>NC_000018.10:40911206-42122947 GCF_000001405.40 Homo sapiens | reverse complement strand
AATACCTAGGTGATGGGATGATCTGTGCAGCAAACCACCATGGCATACATTTATCTATATAACAAAACTGCACATCCTGCACATGTACCCAAGAACTAAAAATAATAATTTTTTAAAAGGTAGTTATTGTCTTTCTAAAAAGAAAAAAACTGAATACAAAAATCCTCAGCACTCAAAAATTAAAATCCACAATGTCTGGCATCCAATCATAGAATCCAGAAAATACAACCCCTAATGGGAAGAAAAATAAACCAATTGAAAATAACTCATCAACACAGTTAATACAATCAGTAAAGAAAAGCATTAATATGGTCATTACAGCAAACAGAAAACCCTGACACAGTACAAAAAGCAATGATAGGAAGATTCTGAAAGGTGGAAAGGATACAGGAAATTGAGAAAAAACATGGTAGTGTGTTCCCTTGGTTTTCTTTTTGTCTTCCATACAGCTCAGAGAGGGTGCTAGAGAAGCCTAGAAAAAAGTTAGCCTAACAAAACAGAAAAGAAACTTTTTTATAATACTCACCCTACTTCAGCTAAACACCAAGGGAAAAAACACTCGCATTGCCTCCCCACTGTGGCTTCAGTAGGGCCTATCTAGCAGGTAGCTGATCATCCAACTCCCACCCAGTAGAAGAAGGTGGTGCCACTCCAGTTCTCCCGCCAGGGTGGTGTTGGCATGGATGAGTAGGGAACTGGGCTTATATTTTCATGCAGCAGTAACAAGGAGGTACAAGTTATTAATTTGCCTTCTCTAGGGAGTTATCAGTAGGGCCTAATAAGAAGCTTAACTTCCACCCACTTATTTGCAATGAGGCAAGTGAGTAAGCATTTCCCTTTTGCCAGAGTAATGTCAGCATGGCCTAGGAGAGAACTAAACATTCTCATCCCAATCTGAACCCATGTACTATATCTAAATAGGGTGACTTCCTGACAAAAAAAGAGTAAATAAATCCAGAGTCTCATAACAATGTACCAAAAATGCCCAGGACACAGTTGAAAGTCATTCATACCAAGAACTAGGACTATCAAATTTCATTAGAAAAGACAGTCAATAGATGCCAATACTGAGATGACTCAAGTATTGGAATTATCTGACAAGGGTTTTAAAGCATCCATCATAAAAATTCTTCAATCATTAATAGCAATTATCAACATTCTTGATACAAATGGAAAGTAAAATTCTTAACAAAGAAAGAGCAGATATTTTAAGAACCAAATACAAAATATAGAAATGAAAAATATAATAACCAAAATTTAAAACTCACTGGACAGGGTAAAAAGTAGATTGGAGGCAATAGAGGAAAAAATCAGTGAACTCAAAGACAGATCAATAAAAATTACCCAACATAAACAACAGAGAGAAAAGAGACTTAAAAACAAAACAAAACAAAAAATGAAGGCAGCCTGAGAGACCGGTAGGAAAATAACGAAAGATCTAACATAACGTTTGAGTTACAAAAGAAGAGGAAACATATGGAGCTGAAAAAATATTCAAAGAAATAATGGCTGAAAAACTTCCCAAATCTGGTGAAAGGATAAACCTAATTTCAGAAGATGAGAGAACCCCAACCAGAATAATGGTCAATAAATATACACCAAGACATACTTCTGAAAACTAAAGACTTTTTTTTTTCTTAAAGAAGTTAGTCTAACCTATAGAGGACAAAAACTATTCGAATGCCAGCAGATTTCTCATCTTGAAACCATGGGATCCAGAAGGAAGTGGCACAAAAGTGCCACAACATTTTTTAAGTGCTGAAAGAAAAGAACTATCAACACTGAGCTATAGCTACTGAAAATATCCCTCAGCAATGAAGGGGGAAATAAAGTCATATGCAGAAGAGAAAAAAATCTAACAGCATTTTTCGCCTACAAAATACCCACAGACAGTTACTAAAGAATGGTCTCTAGACAGATAGAAAATGGTAATAGAAAGAGCCTCAAACTTAAGGAAAAAAGAAAAATGGAATGGGAAAAATATGGGTAAAGAGATTATCCTTTTCCTCAGGAGTTTTTTTAGATTATATTTGATGAATGAAGCAAAAATTATAACATCATCTAATGTTGTGCTCAATGTGCATACAAAACATAATAAAAACATTTATGTTTTAAAATAAAGATTTTTACACATCACTCAAAGTAGTAAAATGCACACAGGATACAGGTAGACTGGGATATGTTTCATACATATATTTTAATACCTGGAGCAACCACTAAAAAGAACCTACACAATAATATATTAAAAAAGTGTGGGCACAGTGGCTCATGCCTATAATCCCAGTAGTTCGGGAAGCCAAGGCAGGAGTATCGCTTGAGACCAAGGGTTAGAGACCAATCTGGGCAAAATAATGAGGCCCTGTTTCTACAAAAAAAAAAAGTTAAAAAATTAGCCAGGCATGGTGGTGTGTGCCTATAGTCCCAGCTACTCAGGAGACTGAGGCAGGAGGATTGCTTGAGCCCAAGAGTTCGAGGTTGCAGTGAGGTATGATCATGCAACTGCACTCTGGTCTGGTTAACAGAGCAAGATCTTGTCTCTAAAAAAACTAATAAAAATAACAATATATGTAAAATATTAGGTATAAATGAAAATAGAATTCTAAAACAAAGTTCAAGTAACTCAAAAGAAATCAAGAAAAGATGCTGAGAGTAACAAAAAACAGAATGAACAAATAGAAAACAAATAATAAAATAGAAGACTTAAGCACTAACATTAAACAAAAACCCATATTCCAGACATCCATGAAGAAGTAATTAGACATAGGAATGATATGCAAAAAAAGACTTCCAAAACTTCTAAAGTTGAAAATTAGAATGTCTGAGAAGAAAAAATACATGGAATGTATCTAGTGGCAGAATAGACATAGCAGTTGAAAAGATTAGTGAACTTGAAGACATAAAGATAGCAACTATCTAAAAGGAAAAACACAGAGAAAAATAATTTTAAAATGATAATAAGAACATCAGTAACCTCTGGGACAATTCCAAGGACCCTAATACATGTGTAACTGGAGTCTTTGGGGAAAGGAGCACAAAAAGAGTCGAAGGTATAACAACTGAAACTTTTCCAAACTTGATGAAAAACTATAAACCCACAGATCCAAGAAGCTCAACAAATCCAAAGCACAAGAACATGAGGAAAATTAACCCAAGGCACATCACAATCAAATTTCTCAAAAACCAGTAATAAAATAAAAATATTTTCCCTAACTATAATGGAAATAAATTAGAAATGAATAAGAGAAGGATATCTAGAACACTCCCCCCAAATATTTGCAAACTAATACAGTTCTTAATAACCCATGGATTAAAAGAGAAATCAAGGGAAGTTAGAAAGTATTTTGAATTACATAAAAATGAGAAAGCAACATATCGAATGTTGTGGGATGTAACTAGAATAGTACTTAGAAAAAAATTTATAGCACCAAAAAGCTCTCAAATTAATGATTATAACTTCCATTTTAAGACACTAGAATAAGAAGATAAATGAACCACAATGTAAGCAGATGAAGAGAAATAATAAAGATTGATGCCAAAATCAGTAAAAAACATAAATTCTGATATTTAAGCACAATGAATCTGAAGAAAGACAAATAAAAATGAATCCATCATAGCTATTTCCCAGTGAAGCTTCAGAATGTAATAGAAAAGAGATAAATTCCAATTGCTACCAGAAAGAAATTTCCTAAAGAAATGATAATTAGATCGATGATATATATTTTTACAAGCAACAATATATATCAGAAGACAAAGGACTAACTTCTTCAACGTAGCATGGAAATAACTGTTGGAAGAGATTTCAACAGGCAACCAACTTCAAACTGAATTCAAAACCAAAGTGCCAAATAAAAACGTTTTCAGAAATATAAAAACTGGAAGTGTCAACAACTTACAAATCCTTAATGAAATAACTGTATAAGAGATATGCTTCCACAAGAAGGAAATTAAGCCCAAGAGGAAGATTGCGGGAAGCAATAAGCAAAGAAGATAGTAAATACATTGAGAAGTGTAAATATGTATTGAGGATTTAGAAGAAAAAGATGGTGATAACTAAATTTTGGAGGGTGTTTCAGAGGAGAAAGATATTAATAAATCTTAACCCTTCTTAGACTAAGTATACATATTTAAAATGTAACAACAATCACCAGAAGAATAAAAATCACGTGGATCACTTTGAAACCAGTAGAAGTAAAAAGGGAATTGTAGAGTCTCAGTCACTCTAACAGAAGTCGGAAAAGGAGGTGGAGTGGGATGGTGGGAGTAAAAATGGGTTAACAGAGTCTACATTAGTTTTCGGAGTCAGAGAAAGTTTCATTGAAGGAATAGATTTTGGTTGAGGAGTTTTTTTGTTTGTTTGGTTTTTGTTTTTGTTTTTGCTTTTTTTGTTTTTTTTTGTTTGTTTGTTTTTTGGCATAGTTTTGCAGGCTGGAATGCAATGGTGTGATTTCGGCTCACTGCAACCTCTGCCTCCTGGGTTCAAGTGATTCTCCTGCCTCAGCCTCCCGGGTAGCTGGGATTACAACAACGTGCCACCACACCCAGTTTTTTGTATTTTTAGTAGAGACAGGGTTTCACCATGTTGACCAGGCTGGTTTTGAACTCCTGACCTCAGGTGATTCACCCATCTCAGCCTCCCAAAGTGCTAGGATTACAGGCATGAGACACCATGCCCAGCCAGCTGAGATTTTAATGACAAAAAATTGCCAGGCCTGAGGAACTTTGTAGGCAGAGTTTTATAAGTCTGTAAGAGCTACTGAAAAAACCCTAAGAAAAGGGTGAGCTTGATTGTGGACAAGAGCCTAGTACAAGGAGGAATGTGTAGGAAAAGATTTCAAAGAAACAGGCAAGGACAGGCAAAATAGATTAGGATCTTGGGGAAATAATAACTCTTTTTACTGAGATGGTATTAGGAAGGTTTGGTGGAGGAGATGGCACTGGGATCAGGTGATGATGCAAGACTGGGGACGGGATACTTTCCGGCAAAGGGAAAAATGGGAAGCAAGCTCCAAAGTCAAGCTAACTCCAAACCCTAGAGGATACTCAAAGCCAACTAAAATTAAGAAAAAACACTTTGAGGCCGGGTGTGGTGGCTCACACCTGTAATCCCAGCACTTTGGGAGGCCAAGGTGGGTGAATCACGAGGTCAGGAGTTTGAGACAGCCTGGCTAATATGGTGAAACCCCGTCTCTACTAAAAATACAAAAAATTAGCTGGGTGTGGTGGCAGGTGCCTATAATCCCAGCTACTGGGGAGGCTGAGGCAGGAGAATCGCTTGAGGTTCTCAATCGCAGGAGGCAGAGGCTGCAGTGAGTCAAGATCGTGCCACTGCACTCCAGCCCAGACGACAGTGCGAGACATCGCAAAAAAAAAAAAAATACTCTGAATACACTGATGAATCGTTCTTCTCTCCATGACTCAGTCTCTCATTTTTGGATTTCCAAGTCCAAAGTCTCTGTTTATTCCATGTGTACTTGAAAGTGTTAGCCTAACCCCAAATATCTTGATGTGAAGGGCAGAAAAAAATGCCTCATTTTTTTTCCTTCCAAAACTAAATGTTAAGTATCATCTTCAAGGCTGACTTCCACCACACTTCCTAAAACAGCCTTCTTGAATACTCCAGAGTTTCTAATTGCCCTTAACTCTGCTTTCTCTAACCTTACCAAGTCAGGTTCTATTTCATTGTTTGTGTGTCTGTAAATTTTGCTTTGTAGGACAGCATAAGTCCTTTACACAAAATTATAAACATTTTAAGATAGGATTAAATAGCATCCAATCCAAGGAAGAATGAAATCTCCATTTCTGACATCAATATATGTGGAGAATTAGAAAGATCCCCAGTAATAACGTTCTTGTAGAGAATACGAGCTGTAAAAAAAATCCTTGTCTGCTCATAATCCGTAGTCATCAAATAGAATCATGCAATATTCAAGCTACAAGCAATCTTAGAAATAACCCAACTCAAGTTATTGTATTTACACATAAGAAAATTGACGCTGAGAGAGGAAACTGTCTTCCTTTATCTTGAAGCAGAGCCTGACTTGAAATCCAGAGGTTTCTTACAAATGAAGAGGTTACAGGAAAAGATCTTTTTCTATGTCAAATGAGTCAAATGTTCCCATTAGCTTTAAAATAGGTCTTAAGAAACAAGTCCTTTAAAGAGAATTAAAAGACAAGCCATAGACTGGGAGAAAATATTTGTAAAGATATATCTATTAAAGGACATGTACTCCAAATATACGAAGAACTCTTAAAACTCAACAATAAGAAAACAAATAACCCAATTTAAAAATGGGCAGAAGATGTGTACAGACGCCTCACCAAAGAAGACATACAGATGGCAAATGAGCATTTGCAAACATATTCAACATCTTATGTCATTAGGGAATTACAAATTAAAACAACAACGAGATACCTCTGCATACCTATTAGAATGGCTAAAATCCAGAACACTGTCAATACCAAATGCTAGTGAGGATATGGAACAACAGGAACTCTCATTCATTGCTGTTAGGAATGCAAAATCATAGTCACTTTGACAGTTTGGCAGTTTCTTATAAAACTAAACATTCTCTTACCTACCCAGCATATCTCTTTCCTATTACTTACACTATCCAGCAATCATGCTCCTAAATATTTATCAAAGTGAGTTGAAAACTTGTGTCCATATAATAGTTATAGTAGCTTTCTTCATAGGTGCGAAAAATTAGAAGCAAACTTCATAGCAATTCACCAAATGAATTGATAAACTATGGTACATTCATGCAATGGAGTATTATTCAGCAATTTTTAAATAAGAGCCAGCAGACATGAAAGGCATGGAGGAATCTTACACATATTGCTGAGTGAAAGAAGCCGGTCTGAAGAGGATAACTACTCTGTGATCCCAATAATACAACATTCAGGAAAAGGCAAAACTATAGAGCCAGTAAAAAGGCCAGTGATTCCCAAGGTCTGGGGGCTGCAAGAAGGTGGAATGCGTTCTATTGATGGAGCACAGGGAACATTTAGGACAGTGAAACTATTCTGTATGATGCTATAATGGTGAATATATGACACTATACATTTTCAAAAATATAGAACTGTATAACACAAAGAGTAAACCTTAAACTATCAACTTTAGTTAACAATAATGTGCATCAATATTGCTTCATCAATTTTAACAAATATTGATATAGTTTGGTTGTGCCCCAACTGAATCTCATCTCAAATTGCAGCTCCCATAATCCCCACATGTTGTGGGGGAGACCCAGCAGGACGTCACTGAATCCTGGGGGCAGGTTTTCCTGTGCTGTTCTTGTGATAGTGAATAAGTCTCACAAGACCTGATGGTTTTATAAAGGTCAGTTCCCCTGCATGCATTCTCTTGCCGCCACCATGTAAGATGTGTCTTTGCTTCTCTTTTGCCTTCTGCCATGATTAGGAGGTCTCCGCAGCCATGTGGAACTGTGAGTCCATTAAACCTCTTTTTCTTTATAAATTACCCAGTCTAGGGTATGTCTTTATTAGCAACATGAGAACTGAGTAATACAAATGTACAACACAAATGTAAGATGTTAACAATGAGGAAACTTGGGGGAGAAGGATAAAAAGCTCTCTTTCTGTGTAATTTTTTTGTAAACCTAAAACTACTCTAAAAAATAAGTCTATTAAATAGAAAACACAAGGTTATTTTGAAAAGCAAGTCTCAACAGTACCAGGACAGAAATACTTAATATGCAAACTGTCAACAAACAGGTAGCAGCACAGTAACATATATTAAACCCAACACATGGCTGATATTTTTTATATTATAAACTTAACAGGGTTGCTTTTAAAGAATATTTAGAATAGAATGAGCATATTAACTGAACACAGAGAAACTAGAATTTTACATATTATTACATTGTTCCTCGTACAACTGCAAATCAGGGGGAATGAAGTTTCAAGACAGTATTTTTCCTTGGGATTTATTCTGAGTGATTCTTGTTATCTAGACCGTATCCAAATGGTATGATTTTCTTTCAACAGTATTATTTTAAGTCCTTATCTTTGTTTCTGTAAGTCCATATTTTGTATGAGACGTAGGATTTCTTTTCTTGATGCCCATATCCATTTTAATCATGTAAATTAAAGTATAAAATACAACCCAATCTTCAGAAATTTACTTTATAAATACTGCCTCCAAAACACCATCCTCTATAAAAAGAGCAGCTTATTCCAGAAACACCCTGTTCAGATACGCATTATGATACTAACCACATTAAATTATAGTGGAATGGAGAGAAGTTATGGAAAATCTTAGAACATATAATGTAGCTTTCTTCTTTTAGTTATTTCAGGGGAAAAACAAAAAAACAAAAAACGTTTCAGGCTTCTGTGCTGAGAAACAAGCCCTAGACAGTTGGCCGGACCACCCAAGCCTCTAGCTTAGTGAGCACCGCCATCTAGTGGAAGGATTTTGTTTCTGGTTTCAGTTTTACCAACAATTAGCTGAATGGCTTCTGGGAAGACATTTAAACTGCCATCAGCGGCCTCGTGCATGAAATTGGAGATAATAGTGCCTATTCTGTCTACTTTCTTAGCTACAGGGGTGAAAAATATGAAGTACTGAAAACCCTCAGGGTCTTTATTATTAGTTCATAGCTGCACTTGAAAGATGAAAGCTAATTTTTACTCTAACAAAGCAGAATTCTCTAGGCCCTGAGAATTCAGATAAGTTTTGGCTGAAAGTTATTGGTTTTCTCTCCTTCTAGGATTGTGGCACATATAAACCTAATTAGTGCATCTGAAAGTTTATGAAGTGACTGGTTAGAGTCCAATAACCTTTATTGCATGTGGCCCACATAAGCCAATTATAAAGGAAAATTATGGGCACCGTTCTGATGCAATCATGGGTAAACCACAGAAGAGGCCACAAACAGAACTTCATTCTCAGTGAAAAAACACAGATAACCAGACTTGGACTTCGAGGCTTGGCAACAAGGTCAGGTCTGGGATTCTATGGCGATTGATGTGCCCTGTCTGAGGCTTTCTCTAGCCTCTGGGCCTCCTTTGTCTCCTCCTCCCTCATTCATGTTAAAGGCCATGATTGGAAGCCTTGAACAGATATGCAAAGCGTTCCTTAAATGTAGACAATTGAAATACAAATGTTCCTCCCATGCACTATTAATTATTTTACAGCTTTCCCCAAGCACACTGTGTATATATAGCAGCTTAAATGGTGACTAAAAAATGTGAAGAGAATTTTTTTTCTCAGTTTTTCTGTTTCTGCTTCTCACTTCCCCATTCCATTTGTACTCATTCCTCCCCCTCCAAGTATTTGAAGAAGGTAAATATATTTCAAGAAGGCAAAATTGCATCAAAGACACACTTTGCTTTTTTTCGTAGTTGAGATTGGCAACAGTCTACACCCATGTAACCCTGGTTAAGCTGCCTTAACACTTGGGCAGAAGTTTCTTTATCTGTAAAACAGAGATAGGCAGGCACTAAGTCATGAAAAGCTTCAGTGTGCCTAGCACATAGTAAGTGCTCAATGGCAAATATTTTTAAAAGTTGGGGAGGGAGAAACCTTAAAAACATTAAGTCTGGCAAGTTTACCAGTAAAAGAAAGTGAGCTCAATCTAGAAACGTTCATCTGTATTCTCAAAGGAGAGAAATTCTGGAGGATGTTACCAAAGAACTCTTGATTCTATGTGGTTTGGCTGTGTCCCCACCTAAATCTCATCTTGAACTGTAGCTCCCATAACCCCACATGTCGTCAGAGGAACCCGGTGGGAGGTAACTGAATAATGGCAGCGGGTTTCTCCCATGCTGTTCTCGTGATAGTGAATAAGTCTTATGAAATCCAATGGTTTTATAAAGGGCAGCTCCCCTGCACACGTGCTCTTGCCTGCCACCATATAAGGCATGCCTTTGCTTCTCCTTCGCCTTCTGCCATGATTGTGAGGCCTCCCCAGCCACGTGGAACTGTGAGCCCATTAAATATCTTTTTCTTTATAAATTGCCCAGTCTTGGGTATTTCTTCATAGCAGTATGACAATGGACTAATACAGCAATGTATTGACTTTTGTCACTGAGCCGTTGTAAAACAAACAGCACTTAATATACAGTAGGCTTTTAGCGGATATTATTTCATCAACAAAGAATGTGTATGTCATTTGCAGTGAGACAATTCTCTATGGCTCTTTCTTGTTTCTGCATATCTTAGAAACAGAGGCCCAACTCCCTTTGTTCTTGACTGTCTTCCTAAATATGTTTGTATAGCTAACAGCCTTAGAAGATCACTCCCTCCAGAGCCAAAGGCAGGTTTATTTGTTATCGGGGAAAATTCAGCCCCCAATATTTCAATGTAGGTTCTTTTCTCTTTCCCTAAGTGTCAGCCGGTTTGAGAAATAAAGGGAAAGAGTACAAAAGAGAGAAATTTTAAAGCTGGGTGTCCTGGGGAGACATCACATGTTGGCAGGTTCCATAATGCCCCCTGAGCTGTAAAATCAGCAAGTTTTTATTAGCAATTTTCAAAGGGGAGGGAGTGTACGAATAGGGTGTGGGTCACAGAGATCACATGCTTCAAGGGCGACAAAAGATCACAGACAGAAGGTCAGGGCGAGATTACAAGGTCAGGGCAAAACTAGAATCACCCATGAACTTCCATGTCCTGCTGTGCACGCATTGCCCTTGATAAACATCTTAACAGGGTTCAAGAGCAGAGAACCGGTATGACTAGAATTCACCAGGCTGGAATTTCCTAATCCTAGCAAGCCTGGGGGTGCTGCATGCAGCCAGGGTGTGTTTCATCCCTTATCTGCAACTGCATAAGGCAGACGCCCCCAGAGTGGCCATTTTAGAGACCCCCATGGGAATGCATTCTTTTCCCACAGCTGTTAATTATTAATATTCCTTGTTGGGGAAAGAATTCAATATGTCTCTTACCTGTTTTCGGTAATAAGAGAAATATGGCTCTGTCCTGCCCGGCCCACAGGCAGCCAGACTTTAAGATTACCTCCCTTGTTCCCTGAAAATCACTGTTATCCTGTTCTTAAGGTGCCCAGATTTCATATTGTTCAAACACACATGCTTTATGAACAATTTGTGCAGTTAACACAATCATCACAGGGTCCTGAGGCGACATACATCCTCAGATTACAATGACAGGATTAAGAGATTAAAGTAAAGACAGGCATAGGAAATTATAAGGGTATTGATTGGGGAAGTGATAAATGTCCATGAAATCTTCACAATTTATGTTCTTCTGTCACAGCTTTAGCAGGTCCCTCCATTCGGAGTCCCTGACTTCCCGCAACAGTTTGTAGCTTAGTAAATAAAGATAATGACTTTCTCTGCAAAAAGGAAGGGCAAGTTTGCTTGCAGTCCATTAATAAACTATTGGGGTTTCCTAAATTCAAGATTTCTCATCTGTGACACTCACTATGTGTGCAGCATCTACCTAGGCTACTCCATGTTGCCTCTGAACTTGAGGGCCAAGAGAAACTGACATGAACATGAGGCTCATGCTGCTAGCTTTGCTGTGAGCAATAAAATCCTTTGTCTCTGACTCAGGAGACTCATGTGTTCTGCCAGTGCCCATGAAATTGTGGTAGAACAATTTGCCACCTTGCAATTAGGGTAAAACTCTGATGAGACCTTCCATACTTCTTGACATCCCACTTCTTGCTTCATTTGTTTTCTAGTCCCCCAGATGAACCTTCCAGATGAGTGTATTAGACAGCCAGGTGTGAGAACTCAATGAAATGAGACTTTATCTTCATATAAACCCCTATTTGGAAAACCCAGATTTGACTGAATCAATAAGCTGTTTGTTAACATAAAAATTATTGCTTATCAGAATTATATCAGTTTTGTTTTTTTAACCCCAAGCCAAACTGTGTGTAAACACTTGTATGTATAGCCTGAATTATCTTCTTATTTAAGCTTTCCTTGTCCTGAAAATGGAGAGAGCAAGTGTGAGGTGTTAATAATCAGAAATACCAAAACCAAGAAAATTATATGCACATCTCAAATTGTCACAATTCTTCAAAATTTTTCCATTTTATAGTAGGTGAAACTGGGAATCAGAGGCATTAAGTAACTTGCAAAGATTACACAGCTAGCAAGTTGCAGAGTTGGATTAAGAACCAAATTCTGTCTGACCCCAAGTAGGTTCTAGTCTACCATGTTCATCTTTAAGACAGGTAGCACAAAAGCCCATTCTCAAGACTATGGCTAAACTTTTCTAGCCAAAAGTCTAACTTCCTTTTCCATTCTATTGTCTGACACTCCATCATAGTAGAAGATAGGCACTGCAATATCATAGAGGGAGAAAGCACTTCAAGGGAGTTAAAATGAGCTTTCATATGTTAGAACTGGAGCTCATGGTGGCTTTAAATAATTTCTCTGAATATCAGCTTTATGATCTTTAAAATATATACAATAAAATCTACCCTTCCTGTTGAACAAGACTTCTGTAATTTAGAAAGAAAAATCAGAATGAGATAATTTATGCAAAAGCACTTTGTTAGGGTGTAGAGAAGGGAGAACAGAACACTTATACACTGTTGGAAGAAGTGTAAATTAGTACAGCCACCATAAAACAGTATGGAGTTTCCTCAAAAAACTAAACATAGAACTACCATATGATCCAGAAATTCCATTGCTGGGTATATGTTCAAAAGAAAGGAAATCCATATATCAAAGAAATATCAGCACTCCCATGTTTATTGCAGCCCTATTCATGATAGCCAAGATATGGAATCAACCTAAGTGTCCATACACTTAAGTATACAGAAAATGTGGAATATATGCACTATTCAGCCATAAAAAGAATGAAATTCTGTCATTTACAGCAACATGGATGAAACTAGAGGTCACTATTTTAAGTGAAGTAAGCCAAGCACAAAAAGACAAAAACTGCATGGTTTCACTCGTATGTGGGAGCTAAGAAAGTGGAACTCCTGGAGGTAGAGAGCTGATTCATGGTTACCAAAGGCTAGGAAGGATGAGGGGGATAAAGAGAGTTTGGTTAATCTGTACAAAATTACAGTCAGGGACGGGCACGGTGGCTCAGGCCTGTAATCCCAGCACTTTGGGAGGCCGAGGCAGGCAGATCACAAGGTCAGGAGTTCGAGACCAGCCAGGCCAACATAGTGAAACCTTGTCTCTACTAAACATACAAAAATTATCTGGGCATGGTGGCAGGCACCTGTAATCCCAGCTACTCGGGAGGCAGAGGCAGGAGAATGACTTGAACCCAGGAGGCGGAGGTTGTAGTGAGCCAAGATCGCACCACTGCACTCCAGCCTGGGCGACAGAGCGAGACTCTGTCCCCCCCAAAAAAAATTACATTCAGATAGTGTTCAATAGTATAGTACAGTGACTATAATTAATAATAATGCAAAGTACAGTTCAAAAGAACTAGAAGAGAAAAATTGGAATGTTCTCAACGTAAAGAAAAGATATATGTTTGAAATGATAGATATCCCAGTTACCCTGATCTGATCATTACACATGGTATGCATGCATCAAAATATCACATGTACCCCCAAAATATGTAGAATTAATATGTATCAATTTTTGAAAAGCACTTTGTCAACACCGTTTTGCTTTTTTGTGTGTGGAAATTCTTAAAGACACTACTCTTTTTAATTTTGTATGCATTAGGTCTTCAAGAATGTCCGTTTAAAACACAAGAGAAGGAAGGTTTCATCTTAAATGATGATTGGCAGACAGTAGAGACCAGAACAAACCTTTGAGGATTTGGATACAGAGTAAACCTGAAGGTGGGTGGTACAAAAAAGAAAAAGAATGGAGAAGGCCCCTATTTCACTAATTTGACTACATCCAGCATTAAACCCAAAAGGTCACACATCCCAGTGCAAGAGGACCCCAGCATTGGCAGTGAGTCAAATTCCCTGAGCTTTTCATGTTCATTTTCAATATTAATTTATTTTCCAAATAGAAGCTGGAATACTAAATCAACTAAGAGCATCCATCTGATAAAAGATATGCAAATATCTTTATAAATATACAGCATCATCTATAATGTTGACAGGTTAGATAAAGGGACCAACTTTCACTTAAAACTCTAAATTCCAAATAGAGGATGTAAATACAGTCACTCTTTTCCCCCAACATACTCACTCTCTCTCTCTCTCATACACACTCACACACACACACACACAGACATGCACATACAACCTATTTTATTTTCAGTTTCACAGATAGTTATAAATTGCATATATTATTCACAGACTCCTCAACCCCAACCCACCTTCACATACAAACCAGACTCAAATATTGTAGGAACCTCTAATGCCAAGGCTTGAATTTAAAAAATTAATAGATTCTCAGAATTGTCAAAGGTGCTGTGGAAATGCAATTAGGGCACATATCATCTTTGGATGTGTGAAATAACAACAGTAAAAAGTGTCCAAACAAAATAAAAACAGCAGCAAGACAAACCTGGTCTAACATTTGCTAAGCAGGAGCCCACCCCTGCAGCAGCCCATGGCTACTTCCTGCTCTCCAGCCACGGCCTTTATCAACAATTCTTTTCTGTCTCCTTAATAAATAATTGGGGTGTGAAGCCCCAAAGGCAGCGGAATGTCCCACCTGGGGAAAGCAGGATGAATGCACAGAGGCAGCCCTAGGACGGACTGATGAGTGACTGGCTAGGCAGCTCTCACTTGGTCCAAGCCAGCCTGGAGCTGGAGTCCCTGAGAGATGACAGATGGTTCAGCATCGACTTTTCAAAGGGAAGAAGGGAAGGTTGCTGTGGAGAGACATCCCAATTTGCAGTCCTTTTGTTCTTGTGTATGTGTGAGCTCTGACCTCTTACTCCCTCCTCCTTGTTCTCTTCCTTTCCCTTTCCCCAGATCTCCTTCTCCACATCATTCTATAATGCCAAGAGAAAACCAGAATAAAAAGAAAGAATAATCAGGGTCAAAAAGTCAGAGGGCCCATCTCTGATCTGTCCTGTGTGGCTGATGAAGCCTCAGGCTTCAGAGTATCTGACAAGGCATCAATGGAATCAATGTGGCTAAATTAAAACGTGCAGAACATACCATGTTTTACACGTAGCTCTTGGGAGAGAGGAGACACGGCCAGCAGGATCTGAGAGAGCGTGAAAGGCTAAGCTGGTCAGCAAGCCTCCTGGAACTGGCAGACAGGGAGGGCAGCAGGAGCTCCTAAGAACCCAGGCACACAAATATGTAGAAAGAAAAACCAACGCAGGTGAACGCTGATTACAGTGCTCACTGGTCCAAGTTCCAAGGGACTTATTTTCTGATTGTAAACAATGTACTAATTTTATAAAAATTGGAGAATGTAGGACCCCTAAAACACGGTGGGACTTTTGTGGAATGGGCGAATGCAGTCAGGGAGGTGACACTATAGGCCAGTGAATGCTCTATATCCAATGCGTGCTTACTGAGCACTCACTACAAGGCACTACCTGTGTTGGGTATGCATACTCTGTGCCTTTTGTTAGCCTAAGAACACAGAACACAATAGCAACTCAATGCCTAAAATGAACAATAACCCAACTGCTGACAGAGGTATTGACTGCTCCTGGGCTAACGATTTAGCATCTTAATTCCTATTGAGCTTCAGTGTCCCTTTGAAATATCAGCTAAATCATTTAGACACTGTTTGAAGTATAAATAGGGATTTTTGAAGTTTATCTAGCTTACTGAGTAAAGAATTAATTGCTGCATTTACTTAATGAGGTAGTATGTCCCATTAATTTTTTTTTCCTTTCAGCCAAGTGCATACATTTAATATTTCACTGTCTGTCTGCTCAACATTTCTTTTTCATGAAGCATAGCTCAAAGAAATTTCAATAATACTGTTTTAAATTAGCTGCTTCCTGTCAAGTTAATAAACCTCAGATACTTAAGTCCCCTACGTACAGTCCCAAGTCTCCTGTTCAAGGCTAATTCTCTTTGCTTCTCCCATCTCCATGGCCACCTCTCTGCCTAAAGCCCATAGAACTATAACGATGAACTAGAGGGTTCATCTGCATGGCATTGCAATTATGATAATAGCTGATACTTACATGGCAGTTACTATGTGCCAAGATCTGTTGTAAGTGCTTTACACACATTAACTCATTTAACCTTCACACAACCTTATAAGGTAGGAACTATTATTATCCTCATTTTACATGTCTAGAAGGTCTCCAGAGTGGCCTCCTTAGGGAACTATATAAGGAAAAGAGGAAGAGAAGAGACACTTAGTTCAAAGATATTTTCTCAAGATTGAAAGGAAGAAGAGATTCTGACCCCAGCTTCTGTTTCTCATTTAGCTTCTCTTATGGTCCAGCTTCTTCTAGGTCCAACCCTGTAACCAAGTGTTAAAAAGAAGAGGCTTCATCATCTTGCATACTTTAAGTACACACAGTAAAATTTATTTCTTAAAAAAGAGAAGAGCCCACAAGTAAAAAACTCTATGCAGTAAGGAGAGTGCTTGAGGAGAGACTCAAATCCAGGAAACCCAGAGAACAAAAGAGAATGCTCGTGTGTGGCTTTGGAGAGACAGTGAAGAAGAATCACTGCTCTGTTAGAGCAGAGAATACATACAAGTTTCTAATGTAGGACCAGATGCAGGCCACATGGGAGAGAGCTGTCCTGGGGCCATGTTAAATCCCATGCAAGAAAACTGCCAGAAAGAGAGGGTCTGTGAAGTAAATTGCCAAGAAGCAGGCCTGAGGGCAAGGCAGCAAATTTGAGGAGGTCATTGATAGGGCAGTCCCTCATGGAAGCCTATGAAAGACCACTGAGGCATGGACAAGAGAAAGAGACCATCTCAAATGCCTACTGGACCCCCAAGTCGCAAAGCGATCTCAGAGCAGTACCATTTAAGTAATGAATTTCCAGACCCCATTTCTCTCCTCTACCTTCTTACTTTGAATGGTCAAAAACCTACCTTAGCAAGATGGGATAGGAGAGGTGGGGAGAGAAGATGGATAATGACCTCTCCTCCCATCTCTTTCCCTGGCTATAAGGTTGTTGCCATTAGACCCCACCAGAGGAAAGGGAACAGCTACAACCCTGAGTAAAGTTGGAAGCTTTGGCTGTTACCTTGGACTAAGTGTTAAACTGAAACCATGTTCTGTGATTTAAAGGGATTGTAGGAAATTTTACTACCTAAACACGAAAACCCAAAGGATCTGTTAAATTTTCATCAAGAACAGCAGAGGAGTTTCCCAACAGAGCAAGTGTAAAGGGATTGAGGGAGGCAAATAAAGTTGCTTTTATGATTTCACCCCATGCGTGCAGCTTGTTCAATGCCTGTCACTTAGACAATGAGCTGACAGGTTCCTAATTACACAGCAAAGAAGCAGAATTAAGACTAAAACTCTTCTCTGGTTCCATGTGTTTCATTTTTGTGGTTTAGAGAAAGCAAAGCAGGGGACCAGACAGCTAACCACCTGGAGGTGCCTATGAAATATTCAGACCAACTTCATGTGTTGAACTAAAGAAAGCACATAAAATGGATTCCATTTTTCTGCAAAAACACTAGATGAAGAGAAGTTTATAGAATAAAATCATCGCTTAGAGAAGGAATTAAATCAACTCAGCATTTACTGAAAGCTGTAATTCCTAGAATTCATGCTAATACTATTTCATATGTATATCTTAACTGGTAATATGTGTTTATCCTCTATTTTCAGAGTTGAATTTCTAATTTTCTACCGTAGCACTGCAAGGTAATTGAATGCAAGAGAAGGCACAACAATACAAACAAGTAAAATTAATGGACACACATATAAGTACTGAATTGACAAGTGCTGTGAGACAAGACAAAGGAGTGCTGAGATACAGAATAATAAAGAAGACTTATTATTACAGGTTTGCCAGAAGAGGTGTCTCTGAGGGGGTGACATTGAAGCAGATACATGAAAGATGAGAATACAGCTATGCAAAAAGCCAGGGAAGGGCAGTCCAGACAGAAGAAACAGTATGTAGAAATGACACTGAGGCCAGGTGTGCTGCTCTTGCCTGTATTCCAGCTACTCAGGAGTCTGAGGTGGGCGGATTGCTTCAGCCCAGAGTTTCAGCCCAGCCTGGGCAACAGAGTGAGACCCTGTCTCTAAAGAAATAAAACAAAAGAAACAGCACTGAGATGGATCAAGACACAGAGAAGAAATGGGGCCTGGCAAGAAGCACTGTACTCTGTGTATATGTGAGAGCAGGAAATACTTTTTATTAAATTCATTTATATATATATATATTTTATTATACTTTAAGCTCTAGGGTACATGTGCACAACGTGCAGGTTTTTACATATGTAACACCCATTAACTCGTCATTTACATTAGGTATATATCCTAATGCTATCCCTCCCCCCTCCCCCCACCCCACAACAGGCCCCGGTGTGTGATGTTCCCCTTCCTGTGTCCAAGTGTTCTCATTGTTCAATTCCCACCTATGAGTGAGAACAAGAGAGCAGGAAATACTTTTAAGCACAGTGATGTGATCTGATTTACATCTTTTAAAACCACTAAAAGTGTTCTCTGGAGAATGAATTGGAGGAAGGCAAGAAGTAAAGAAGGCAGATGAGTTAGAAGGCAATTGTAATTGTTCTGACAAGAAGTAAGAGAGTTTTGCTACAGTGGCAGGAACAATTGTGTGGAGACAGCAGACAGATGTGAAAAATGGGACTGTGGCTTGGTTTAGATGTAATGAGTGAAGGAAATCAAATCTAGAATGATGAGTTCTGACATGAAAAATGGTGGGTGATGGTGCCATTAGCCATGATGGGAAAGGCAATGGAAGAGTAGGGTTGGTGGTGGGAGACAGACAGTGTGTTCTACTTGGGATGTTTTGACTTTGAGATTCCTGGGAGTGGTGATAAGGAACATAAGCAGTTGGTTATGCATTTGAAGCTCAAAGGCAAGTTCTGAGCTGGAGATGCAATTGAGAAAGTCACCAGCATATAATGGTATTCAATAGCAGCAGAAGAGATGAAGTTAGGCAAAGATGGAATGTACAGACGGAAGTAAAGGCTAAGTGGAGGAGGAGGATCTGAGAAGCTGTTAGAGATGTAAGAGGAAAACTAGGTGGGAGCAATGCCAAGGAAATCAAAATAGGAGACTGGGTGGGAAAAACAGACATCGGCCAACAGTCTTGAAAGCCGCTGTGAAGCTCACTAAGATGAGGACAAAAGGAGCCCACTCCATACCAAGGAAATTCTGCCCTCAGAAATAAATGTCCAGTGGGAGCTGTTACTGTGATGCGTACTGTGAGGTCAACCTTATGTGAGCCTGTCTAGGCTCTAACCCCCAGTTATTCCATCAAATACGCTCTAGGCATTGCCAAGAAGGCATTTTGCAGGTGTGATTAATGTTCATAATAAGATGACTTTAAGTAAAGGAGTTTATCCTAGATAATCAGACGGTTCAAATTCAACCAGTTGAAAAGGTTTAAGAGCAGAACTGAGATTTCCAGAAGAAATTCTGCCGATAGACTACAGGATCAACCTGTGTCCAAGAGTTCCAGTCTGCCTTTCTTTTTTTTTTCTTTTCTTTTCTTTCTTTTTTTGAGATGGAGTCTTGCTCTGTTGCCCAGGCTGGAGTGTAATGGCATGATCTTGGCTCATTGAACCTCTGCCTCCCGGGTTCAAGCGATTCTCCTGCCTCAACCTCCTGAATAGCTGGGATTACAGGCGCCCACCACCATGCCTAGATAACTTTTTTGTATTTTTAGTAGAGACGAGGTTTCACTATGTTGGCCTGGCTGGTCTCAAACTCCTGACCTCATGATCCACGGGCCTCGGCCTCCCAAAGTGCTGGGATTACAGGTGTAAGCCACCGCACCCGGCCTCCATCTGCCCTTCTTGATGGCCTATCCTACAGATTTTGTTCTTGCCTCGCCAGATCTCACAATGGTATAAGCCAGTTTCCTGCAATAAATTGAATATATTTCCTACCTCTTCTGTTTTTCTGGTCATACCTTTACTGACACAAAAACAACTTCACTTTTTCTGGTATTAAAACAAGTGCTGAACCTTTATTCATTTAAGAAAATGAAAAGTTGGGAGAGTCTGTTTTTGTTGAATCAGTGACATTTAGAACAAGATGGACAACTGTAGGCCATTCATTCTACTCCCTCATTTCAAAGATGAAGAAACTTAAGCCCCAAAAAGAAGGGCCCGAGTTAAATGCAATGAGGTGGCAGAGCCACTCCAGAGGCCACTCGTGGTCTTCTAGTTAGAATCTGAGTCACCTTCCTTTCACTGGCCCTAGCAGGATGATGCCCAACTGTGCTTAGGAAACTGGAAACATGTCACCAACCATGGATTACTTAGAAAACTCTCACAGGATCTTATTTACTGCATGTGATGTGAATGTCATCCACTTTTTAAGCACTGTGACAATGCACACTTGAGCAAGAGCTTTCTTGTCAGAGTGTGGAGGTCTTTGGCATAGGATGGAATAAAATTCAGAAGCCAGAGTCCCTGGGAAGACAGTCGAGAACTTTACCTCCTGGACTGTTTTGAATGGGGCCGGACTACAGGCATTTTTTGATGAAAACAACTGAAGAGGGCACATGAATTGGGTGCACATTGGCTCCCAACCATGCACACAAGTGCAAGGGCCTGAACTTATTACTACATCATGGAAAATGAGGGGCTGGAGCAGCAGCTGAAGGAAGGGAGGTCTAGGGTCTGTCCCATCAGAGTTATGTAGACTCCAGCTCTATTCATTCAGTAACTTATCAAGGCTTCATCCTGACTATATTATGTACTGCTAACAAACATTACAATATTTTTGCAATTAGTATTATGATATCATAGACTCTTACTTAAACATTTTGAATCTTGCATTGTTTTCTTTTTTCTTTTCTTTTTTTTTTTTTTTTGAGACAGAGTCTTGCTCTGTTGCCCAGGCTAGAGTGCAGTGGCATGATCTCAGCTCACTGCAACCTCTGCCTCCTGGGTTCAAGTGATTCTCTTGCCTCAGCCTCCCAAATAGCTGGGATTACAGGCGCCAGCCACCATGCTCAGCTAACTTCTGTATTTTTAGTAGAGACGGGATTTCACCGTGTTGGCCAGGCTGGTCTCGAACTCCTGACCTCATGATCTGCCTGCCTTGGCCTCCCAAAGTGCTGGGATTACAGGTGTCCGCCACTGTGCCCAGCCCTCGCATTCTGTTTCCCCTACAACTAAGCTCTCCTATGTTCTTCCTAACACATGATCAGCAACCCAAAAGTAAACTCTATGAGACTCTGCCATGGATTGATAATTCATGGATTTTTACAAGGTTTACATACATACCAGTTCCAAAGGATATTAATTTAAAGGCAGATCCAATATTTAAGCTTTAGTTTTCATTTTAAAAAAATGTTTCACACAAAACTTTATTGCTAAGATTTCAATTCTTCTGATGAGCTACCTTGTTTGGATTCAGTCCACAGAAAGTTGTCACTACTAATTTGTCTTTTTTCTGTATTTGAACCTTCTAAGAAGCAAGCTTAAAACATCTATCTAGATTTTTTTTCTATTCAGCAACATTAAGCAGCTTATTTAGATTCACAAACCTCTGCTAACTCTTGCTTTCTGATCTTTTCCATCAGTCATATTCAAAAAGAAATGCTCCCTCACCAGCAGCTCAACTAATTTTTCAAGTACCTGGAGATGTGGCAATTGATATCTGTTGTCCTAATGAGTCCTTGGCAGTTCCTCCTCCCCTTTCTTTGTTGCTTCTGTTTTTTCACACTCTCTCATTCTAAATGATTTGTTTCAGATTGTCAGTGTTTTGTATTTTTCTCAAAGTCAAGAACAGGATGACAAAGTCAGTGGTCTCCACCCAAGAGATAACATCCGTCTCAGCTTATGACCTTTTCCTGTGGACTAGACAGAGTCATTCTATCTTTCCCCACCACAGCATGCTAACCCCTCATTAACATATTCAAAGTCCAAGTCCATGGAGTCCACGTGAGCTAGCTCACTCCTTCCCCATGTGAAGACACAGTGAAATGACACTATGAGCCAGAGAATGTGTCCTCACCAGACCCTGAATCTGCCAGTGCCTTCATCTTGGATTCCCAGTCACCAGAAGTGTGAGAAATAAATTTCTGTTGTTTATAAGCCACCCCAGTCTATGGTATTTTGCTGTAGAAGCCAGAATGGATTAAGATAGGGTACTTTGCATATGTAAAGTGCTCAGCAAATGAATGAATAAGTGAAAATAACTGAGGATCATGTCTAATAATTGGGGGAATATTACCTACTATCCTTGGGATTTATTTTGAGGCCTTTTATTTTGAGAACTGCTTTCCATTTCCCTGTGGGGTAAAAGGTAATTGCATTAGTCAAGGGTCTTGCAGATAAAGGTGATAGAAAAGCAATTCAAATTAGCTTAAGCAAAAAAGGAGTAATTTATTGCCTCATGTAATTGGAAGTCCAGGAAGACACTTCAGGCATAGATAAATCAGGAATCTGAGTGATTCTCTGTCTTTCTATTTCTCATTTTCCTGTCATCTCGGCCCCACACCACCCATCCCCTGCACCTCCTCCTCTGCTCATTTTCCTCCTTGTTGAGGGGGTTAGAGGCTGTGGTGCAGACATGGAGGGATGAAACTATAAATAGATAGTTCCAGGCTTATATCATCCCAGCTAGTAACCTCAAAGCAAATAATTTTTACCTTTATCTCCCAGTGACTGCACATAAAATTCTATATGTATATAATGTGCCTGGATACCATGATTAGGGCAAGTGTGAGTTATATAGCCAACTCTGTTGCTGAGGATGCTATGGACCATAACTGTAAGGACCCCTAGAACTGTACGGAATGATACAAAAGTGCAAGGAATTTTTGTATTGTTATTTTGAAGAAAAAAAATGACTACAATTTGAGATCGTGATGAGTATCTGCATTTAGCACATTCTTCTCCTGCAATTTGCATTTCTTTTTGTCCAAATTCAGAGACTACAGTTATTCTAGCCAGGCAGAACCTTAGACGTATAATTCAACCTTTTCATTTTAGAGATGAGAAAGTGGAATCACATCCATCTTCAGTGAACCAACTAGCATAATAAGGAAGGTCCTGCTGTTTCCTCATCACGAGGAGGCATTGTAGGAGCTGAGAAGTCAGCACACGGTCTCAGCCCCACAAAAATCCCCTGTGACACAGAGCATTCATGCACCCTTTCTTGGTATCAGTTTCTTCCATAAAATAAGGCGTTTAGAGTCCATAATTTCTAATCATTTCATTATTTCAAGTATTGCAATTATGGATCATAAAGATTTGTTTGTTTGTTCAAACCACTGCCATTTTATAAAATCTTATGGAAAGAAAATAGTATCTTTAAAATATTTTCCCTAACAACAGACATTCCACCTGCATTCCATGGAAAATGATGGAAATCTCATTTTGAAACATTATTTTCAAGATCCCAGCTGTTTGTGATTTTAAAAATATTTTAAATCCTACTGATAAAGTGAAAATAAATTTTATATAATTTGCAAGAAATACTTTGGTAACATGATACATTTCAATGGCAACGCTCATTTTTAATCATGAGTATTTTCAACTAAGCAGAAATATGTAGTAGTATGAAATCTGTGATGTTAAATTTAGGAAAATAATGAGAGAAAGAGGAGGGTGTAGATGGTTGTTTCCATTGTAAAAGCCCTCATAAAGCATAATATGAGCATATATTTTTGAAGTACAAAGGAAAATTGGTATATAGGAACAAGAGCAATGTGTGTGTGAACACATTTACAACTCCTTTCCTCTTTACCAGACTGGGCAGGAGTGGGGTTGCAAAATGATGCCGTTAGAGAAGTGGAATGAAGAACATGTCATTTCATTGCTAAGCTCAATTACATATGGGCCAAGAAATTAGATTGGCTGGGACCTTGAGCAGAGCTGCTATCTGATTGGCTGAAATACTGAAGAGGGCCAGCCACTCTGGTTGAACATTTGAACTCTGGGAGGTCTGAATTAAGGTTTAAAATGGTTGCCAAAAAAAGGAAAGAAAAATTTTTTTATCATTGAAGGCAGCTTTCAGATGGTCCTGCATACCAAGCTGAAAAAACCTGTATCTCCTTGTTCTAAGCCACTTGTACATCCCAGGAGGAGAGTTTGGAATCTTGCTCCATGCCACTCCTATTGTAATGGAAGATTCACTCTCTTCCCAACTGAAGTACATTCCTCCACTAGTCTCTGGGATGACATGCCTTTTCACTTTCTTGGGGATTTCACTTCTTTACTTACAGCCCCCTTTGCATTTACTGAATCATCACCATCACCTATGGTTCCGGTATCTTCTATGTTTAAAAAAGCTGCTCCCTTTATCCAATGTCCTCTAGTAGCTGTCCCGTCACTTAACTGCTTCTTCAACAGGCAGAAAGCAGAGGTCCACAATTATTATTCTCTCCAGTCCTTCAAGATGATTGATGAGTGTCCCCCACCCACTCTGCTCTGTCTCTGCTCCATTCCACATATATTAATGCTCTTATCAACCTGCCTTCAGGGAACTTACAGTCTAATAAGAGATAAAGATAATGCTACATCACCAGATCTAATGGTTATCTGTTACCTTTTTAAACTTTCTCTCTAGATGACCTTACAAATTTTTATAACAATTTTATTGAAATATTATTTACATATAATACAAAGTTGTGAAACCATCACTACTACTTACACTACTACTTAATTCTAAAATATTTTCATCACCCTCCCCCAAAAATCTCATACACAAGCACCCGCTCCCCATTTCCTATTGCTCCTATCCCTTATCTATTCTCTGTCTCTATAGATTTGTTTATCTTGGACATCTCATATAAATGGTATCATAGAAGATGTGGCCTTTTGTGGGTAGCTTCTTTCACTTAGCATGTTTTCAATGTTCCCATTTCTAGCATGTATTGAAACTTCATTCCCTTTTATTAACAAATACTTTTCATTGTATTATATATGACAATTCTTTATCCATTCATCAGCTGGTAAACATTTGGGTTGTTTCTACTTTTTGGTTATCATAAATAATGCTGCTACAAATATTTGGGTTCATGTGTTTGTGTGGACATGTTTTCATTTCTATTGGATATATCTAGGAGTGGAATTGCTAGGCCATGTGATAACTCTATGTTTAACATTTTGAGAAACTGCTAACCTGTTTTCCAAAGCAGCAGAACCATCTTTCAATCCCAACAGCAGCGTATAAGGGTTTTGATTTTTCTACATCCTCATCAACATGTTGTCTTTTTGATGACCGCTATCCTAATGTGTATGAAGTGGTATCTCATAATAGCTTTAATTTGCATCTTTTTAATGATTAATTACGTTGAGCAACCTTTTATGTACTTGTTGGGTATTTGTATATCCTCTTAGATAAATGTCTATTTAGATCTTCTACCCATTTTTTCAATCGGATTTTTTAAATTGTTGAATGGTAAGTTTTCTATTATATATTCTAGGAACAAGTCCATCACCAACATCAAATGTATTACTTGCAAATATTTTCTCCCATTCTGTGGGTGATATGTGACTTCCTTGATGGTGTATTTTCAAGTACGAATGTTTTTAACTTTGACAAAGTTGAACTTATGTATTTGGTTACTGCTGCTGCCGCTGCTGCTTGCGCATTTGTTGTCACATCTAAAAAACGTACCTAAAAATCTAAGGTCACAAAGATTTTGCCTATATTTTTCTCCAAATGTTTTAAGTAGGTTTACACCTATAATTTATATATATAATTTGTAATTATAATTTATAATTACACAATAATTTCTATGTTGCATTTTGGATCAATTTTTAAACCCATTTTAATTTTTTCTTGAAGTACAATTCCAACTTCGTTGGTTTTCATGTGACTATCCAGTTGTTTCTGTACCATTTGTTGAAAAGGCTATTGTTTCCTTCGTTGAATTGTTTTAGCACCCATTTCAAAAGTCAATTGACCATAAGTTAATGGTTTATTTGTAGATTCTTAAATTTATTCTATTAATCTGTGTGTCTATCCTTAAGCCAGTGCCACACCATCTTGACTACTGTAGCTTTGTAGTAAGTTTATCAGGGAGTTTGAATTCTCTAATTTTTTTTCAATATTCTTTTGGGTATTCTTCATCACTTGCATCTCTCACTTTTTATGTTCTAAATACCATCTACTAACAGATAACTCTCAAAATTATACCTCTCAAATTTCTTTTCTGAAGCTGTGACTCTTATTGAAGCTATGTTTTTAATTGGCAGCCCAGGTAAAATATCTCAGAGCTATCTCAAAGTGTATAAGCTAACTGAAAATTCACCTCTATATCTCCCCCTAAAATATTCAACTTTTCTTCTGTCTTCCTAATCACTGCAAGTGCCCCCAAAATTCACTCTATTGCTCACACCAGGATGCTGAGAGTCAATCTTCATTCCTCCCTCTTCTTCTCTCCCATAGTCAATCCATCAGCAAGTCCTATCCAATTTTTCTCCAAATCATGCTTCAAATTCATTTCCTTTCTCCCTATATCTACTTTTACCACCCTAATCCAAGCCACCAGAATTTTCTCCTAGATTACTAATTAGTCTTCCTGATTTTTCCCCAAAGGTCCATTTTCTATGAAAGAAACAAAGTGATAATTTAATAAGTTAAACCTAATCATTTGGTTCACTGATTTCCTTTGCACTTAAATAAAATTCCAACTTTTCCCATGGTTTATAAGCCCATGTATGATTTGATTCCACCTACCTCTCCAGGCTCCTTTTTTAATGTTTCACCTTTATTACCAGGTTCCAGACATACTAGCTTTCTTTCAGGTTATTGCACAAAGCAAGCTTTTTCATGGCTTAAGACCTTTGCACATGCTGCTCCCTGTAATTAAAATGCCCCTCCTGCTCCCTTTACCCCTCAACCTTTCATGCATGGTTCCTTTCATCATCTATTCTTGGCTTAAAGTATTATCTCCTCAGATGACTTTTTTTGGTGATTATATCTAAACTAGATTTTCCTCTTGTATTCTCTTTAACCACACACAGTTGCTTCTTTCAAAGCACTTACTACATTTTATAACTATTAAATTGCTTGTATGATTGCTTCCTGTCTGTCTCTCCAACTGTTGCCTTACTAGGTTGTAAAATCCATGCAGGTAGGAAACATGTCTGTTCCTTTCACAACTGTACCCCCAATGCTAAACATACAATAAAGATTCAATAAATTATTACTTGAATAAATAACTTTTTTACCCATCTTCAAAAAATTAATAATGCAGAATAGTTACATAATGCTGTGTAGGCCAGACACTGTTACAAGCCCTGTAAATTGAGTTATTTATTTAAAAGATACAACAACTTCAAAAGGTAAATTCTATTATTATATGCTTTTTTTTTTTTGTATGAGGAAATTGAGGTGCAGGGAAGATAAGCAACTTCCTCAGTGTTACTCAGGTAAGATATAAGCAAACATAGATTTAGAACTGAGGTGCTCTGGGTTTGACACCTATGTTCATGACACTAGGCTACACCGATATATACCAGAAAGTAATAATTCCTGTAGAAAAGGAGGGTGGGGACTTTTGGTCTGACTTAGGGAAGCTGGCATTCTCTTCTAGGTCCTGTCTCTGCATGCAGATCTTGGGGGAGAGGATGGAGCAAGTTACATGAGGATCCTAGAGAACTTTTTGTTTTTTTATAAAGCCATTTATTTCAACTCTTTCTAAGATTCAGAGATAAAGGAGTCTTATGGTATAGGAGTAGGTGCCTCTCAAAAGCCCAGTGATGTGGAAGACATCAAGGATCCCCAAATAAAATATTGTTGAGTGAATCAGAAGTCTAGGATGATAACCTAAGGTCAATACCAGGTGGGTAGTTGAAGTTGTCACCTCTTTCAGGTGTAGGTGCTGGTCCTAGGAGAAAATGACTAAGCCCAGAGGTATGTGAAATTAAAAGTGTGGCCAGATGGTAGCCTCATCAGGGCATTGCTATGCACTGGATGGACCTTAACCTTCATACTATCACCTCTGCCCCCACAGCTCACACATAAGCATGCTGAGTTCAGGGTGTGCATAGGGTTTCTTGACTTTTTGTGTTCTATGTCTAAACAAGTTCTTGTTCAAATGGAAAATGTGGCCTCTTGAGAATGTCAGTGTCCCCACTTATTCCATTGTAGATGTAAACGGTACCTTTTTTTCTCTCTTTCTCATTGAACCACATGCATATAAGCCCACCAGAATTCTGTGTTCATGTGGCAAATGGATTGTCAAAGAGTGGTGGTAGACACATACATGGTGGCATATCCTCTGCTGGTACACGTGCTCCATTGTCCCATCAGTCTTCACTTACACAATATCGATTCAAAGATCAAATTAATTATTAAAGCTTTTAAGACAGCAACATCATTGCATTAAACTAAACACAGGGCCCATCAGAATGTGAGGTCTTGTGCAGCTTCACAGATAGCATGCCCATGAAGCTAGTCCTGGTCATTAGTGTATGAATGGCATCTAATGCCACAGGATTGGATGAGATCACTGTGAGAGTACAGAGAGAAAACAGAGTCCCAGGAACAAGAACCCTGGTGGTCTAAAACTTAGAGGCTGAACAGTAGAAAGAGTTCACAAAGGAGACTGAGAAAGAGCAGCCATGGAGGTAGGAGGACATGATATGAAGAAATTCAGGTTGAATATCCCTTATCTGAAATGGTTGGGACCAGAAATGTTTTAGAGTTCAGATTTTTTCTTTTCTTCTTTGGATTTTGGAATATTTGCATTATAATTACTGGTTGAGAATCCCAAATCCAAAAATCCGAAGTGCAAAATACTCCAGTAAGCTTTTCCTTTGAACATCATGTCGGCACTCAAAACATTTTGAATTTTGAGCATTTCAGATTTTGGATTTTCAGATTTGGGATATTCAATGGGCATCTGGCCATGATGTTGTTAATTGCATTTTCTGGGGCTCTCATTCTGTGATAGACTATGCAGGATGGCACTGGTGTCCAAGAGGCTCACTATTGAAATAGATTCTTGGATAACTGCCAGGACTATGGGTAGGTATGATAGAGGTAGGTCATTTAGTTGTAGTGGAATAGAATATTAATGCTCTCATAGGAAAGTGTGACAATAGTTAAAAACAAGTTCTGGGCCAATTTTGGATTCAGAGGGATGTTCATGGGAGCTGAGATTTGAGTTGTGTGTCTGTACACATGCCAACCAGATGTTTGAGGGCTGGGAAATGATGCTGGTTCTGTGGCAGCACATATATGTGACTTTTTTTCCTAAGGAAAGATAAGCAAAAACCTCCACCTGGCTGCTGATGGCAGCTGCTACAACAGTAATTCTATGAAATGGACTAGAACCCCTGCACATTCCTAGAGTATATTTTAAGATAAGAGACTGATTCCTCATACGGAACCAAGAAATAGAGTTACAGTAATCCCAGAATACCAATTTGGATTTTTCCCCTCCTAATTTAAGAAGCAAAAAGTTATCAGAACTGGCACTATTACTACCTGCACCTAGTATATGAAAGCACTGAAAGAGAGAGGGTCACTTTTTTGAGAAGAGTGCAAGGTTCACAGAGAGGACCTTCTTTCCCTCCTCATGGTGAACAAGGTGGAACTTTCTCAAGCCAAGAGAGAAAGGCCCCAGGAGAACTACTCAAAAGTTTGGAAGTGTCTGCTTATTATGGTGACCAGAAAAGAAAAGAGCATTTGGGAATGATGACCTGGAAGGATGAGCAGAGAAAGAAGGAATCATCTACTGGAGGTATCCTACACACACATCTTTTGCTTCAAGATGAGGTTGCATTTAGGATTGAGAGAAGACATTAAGTTAAACAGGAGATCAATAAAACAAGCAAACAGACTGAAAAAAACAAGCTTTGGTCTTTAAAGCCAAAATCAGACTAGAAGGTTCCAAAAAGTTATGAAATGAAACTGTCTGCTACCCAGTGAGAACGGAATATTTCCACACAGTTGAAGCAGCTATTTGGAAAACAGACATGTTATGTCTTAATGAGAAGAGGCTCTCACTTACCTAATACATTTGGCTTTCTATTGTGTTGTCATGTGCTTATTGCATAGTCCTCAGGATTTTTTCTGGAGAAGGTGCTTGGAGTATTGATAAATGAAAAATATGAGGGGCATGAATATGTGGGCTAAAATATTATATTCTTGAAGTTTATTTAAAAGTATACTATTTAGGCCCTTTTCAGAGTCCATGGGTTAAAATAGAGAACATAAATAAGTATTTAAGGGCAGACACATTTCTGTTCTCTCCTAGTGCCAGAAAGCTGGTACCTCTTTCCACGGCCTTCCTGGTTTCCAACCCTAGGTAGAAGTTGCAACTCTGTTCAGTCAGCTTATTTGGTAGAATCACTTGCATTAAAGAGTCTTACACTGTATGCAGGGAGAATGGCGCTCCCTGCCCACACTAACCAACAAGATGTCCAATCCTTGTCCCCTGAATTTGCTAGGTTACAAGCCAAGACGGAGTTAAGGCTGCTAATCAGCTAATCTTAAATAGATTATCCTGTTTTATCCAGGTAGTCACAATGTAAACACAAGGGTCCTTCAATGGGAAAGAGAGAGGCAGAAGAATCAGGACATGACTAGTCATTGCTGGCTTTGAAGATGGAAGTAAGATCTGCAGCCTCTAAAAGCTGAAAAAAAGCATGAAAGCAGATTTTTCCCTACAGCCTCAAATCTCATACTTCACCACTATACAATTTATCCATGTAACCAAAAACCACTTGTATCCCAAAAGCTATTGCAAAAAAAAAGAAAAAAGAAAAAGAAGCTTGGTTTCCACAAACACTTATCTTAAATGAGACACTCCTTTCTATTGATTCCAGGTCTTAAGATATAACTCTTTCAACTGATTTCCAATCAGAAACTCTTTTGAGTCCACCTATGGTCTGGAAGCATCTCGCCTTTGAGTTGTCCCACCTTTCTGGACTAAACCAATATACACCTAACATTTTTGATTAATGTCTGCCTGTAACTTCTGTCCCCCTAAAATGTACATAATCAAACTGTAACCCAACCACCTTGAGAACATGTTCTCAGGACCTCTTGTGACTGTACCTCTAAAATGTACATAATCAAACTGTAACCCAACCACCTTGAGAACATGTTCTCAGGACCTCTTGTGACTGTACCTCAGGCCTTGATCACCCACCCGTATTTGGCTCAGAATAAACCTCTATAAATATTTTACAAAAAAAGAAAAGAAAGGAAAGGAATGCAGCCTTGTTGACATCTTGATTTTAGTCCAGTGAGACCCATTTTGGACTTCTGACCTCCAGACTGTAAGATAAGTTGGTGGTACATTTACCACTAAATTGGTGGTAAATTTCTACAGCAGTCATACGAACCTAATGTACAGACAACACTCTTTCCCACACCATCATCTCCAAGGATGAAATGGGTGGATAAGCTAATCAAGGGCTGATACAGCTTCTATCTTCATGTTTCTTTATCCATCCACTCCAAGCAAACTCCCTTCCAGTTCTTTCCTCCATATAGCCAGCAAGAAGGGCAAGATGCAGAGGTTTAGAACTAAGAGGAAAATGGTTTTAGTCCTCAAACCTAGTGTTTACAATTTAGCTCTTTCACCCTTTTAAAAACAGAGTTAAACACTGGCATATAGGGCACTAGTGATATTTTCATTTCCATTATGCTAATGTCCCCTTTGTATATAGTTCCTGAAAATACTGTAGGACTCAAATATTATTGGATCTCAGGCCTTTATGCAAACTTCTCTATCCATTCTGAATACAATCGTATAGTTTGCTGGCTTTAATCTAATAGTTCCCCAGCCTCATTCATAACAAAATTAGTTATTAATAAGTTACTCATTTATTATTGACATATTTATTACTAATTCATCTTTGAATTGTTTTTATGAAAACAATAATAATTTCTAATATTGTCTTGGCAGCAACTTCCTGTCAGAAAGTATAATCTCTAAACGATGATAAAGAGACAGACTATGTTACCTTTCTCTTATTTCATATTAATTCTTTTCTGAAGCTAACAAACATTTTCTCTTATTAATATGTTCAGCTGTTTATTCAGTTTGTGTGTTCTTACCACGTTCTTATTTTTTGATCATATCCCTATTATTTGGGCATCTAAAAGAAAGCAAAATGTTATATCTACTCAAGCAAAATGTTTGTGGAACAGCAGTGTAAAAAATCTCTCAAATTTTAATTACACATGCTATTAATATCCCTAGTTTGCCAAGCTAAAAGTTCTCTATTTAACTATTATAATGTATCTTCTCTCACAGAAATATTATTTCTTCTGTTCTTTTTTTATTTTTGACATTTCCAAGTAACAAAAGAACGTGAACAAATCTTGCTGAATAGTATTTAAAAATATAAAATGAACATTTCAATGAAATATAAGATGCGCTCCGCCCCCAAAAAAATGTGCTTATTCACCTCACATACCAATACACAAACATTTAAGAACATTATATTAACACTATAATGGTAAATACCTCACAATGACAGTATAATTATAGATTTCTGTCATTAAAAAAAACCATAATAAAGCAGTAATTGACATTAACTGTCACTTTAATAGAAATTCTTAAATATGGACTAGAAATTGATTTAGAACATTTAAAAAGCAAACTACCTTATAGTTTAATAAGTCACTGCATTGCTTCAGCAGAATAAAGAAAATACCTCTAGCTCTAGCAGAATAAACTTTCAACTGAGCCAAAACAAAATATATATGTAAATATATATCTGTTAATAGTTCAAATAACGTTTGGAGTTGTAGTCCAAGAAGTACTTGTCAAAAAGACTTCACAAAAGTAAATATGTCAGAACAAATTAATCTGCTTTATGGAATTTACTTCATTCTCCACATCTTGCAGAAACTGATACTAATAAAAGCCAAGGATAATTAATTCATACTTAAAAACTTCCTTGGCGTATTCTCTAAAACTATCTCCACTAAGAAAATTATATACATTAAGACTCTAAATTCTGTTGGCTTTAAATTGTTATAATAACCAAGGTTACACGTTATAGTTTACAGTTCACATACTTCTAGTCAGATATTCCTCATATTTTTAGTAATTTTTGCAAATGTATCCTCCTCATCCTCATCAAGTGTCCTGTCATATTATCAGGATCCTCTTCAGAAACATGAGAAACTCTTCCTGTAAGGTAAGATACTGATTTGGTGATTACATCATCATGTATAATCTGATTTATTTTAAAGTCCTAAGCAAGCATAACTTCTTCTTTTTCATCCAGGTATTCTTGTTCAGGAACTACAGGAGGACTAACAAATTAAAGAACGAGTCACTGCAACTACTTAAGTAATTTTGTTTTTTCCCATTTACACCGCTTTTCTCCTGAATGGTTTTCACTGTGATAGTTTTTTTCCTTTGTTCCAATCTACTTGACATCCTATGCAGCTTTGAATTTCAACTCCCTGAGAAAGGTAAGCATTTGCTATAAATTCCAGTCAAGACTTTATATGTCTTTGTTAGTGCGTTGTTTTTAAAATATTCACTGGGCTTAAAGTGAAAGTCAAATGTATAACTTCAGGGGCTTGCCAGGAACTGAGAATTTTAGTTCAACATCTTTCAAATGTTTTAGAACAAATTCATCAATGCTTCTTCATCACAAAACCAAAACAATATTCTTTAAAACAGTGAATTAAAATCCAGAAATTCCTTTAGTATTGATATTTTCTTTAGCCTCCTCATCAGAAATTCCTTTAAACTCTTTTTCTTCAGCTTTGCCCCAGTTATTTCTTTGGGATCTTCCTTTACTCCAGCCTTTTTCTTCTTTAAACTTTGCTTGCTTGATGTTTGCCTCATGCTTTATTTGTCAATTGAAACAATACCCCGAAGAGTTAAACAGACCAATGACTAACAGAAATTTTTGAGTTTGTAGAATGGCAGATAGAAAAAGAAACCACTTGCTGAAACACAGAAACTTCCTTGCTTAGGCGACGAAAGAACTGGTTGAAATCAGTTGGAACCAGGATGTCCAACTAAAGTTTGTACAGAACAAGCTTGCTAATGTCACAGCCTAAATTTCCACCACATGGTTTATACTAACTCTTCCTGAATTTGCACATGGGACCCATGAAGAGATAACTGCACATGCCCAAGGACTTTGCAGGCCTCCTCTTCCCTACCACCAATCACCTGCTAATGCCAGTATCCATCCTCTAAACCTTTTGTAATAAAATTACTACCTTAAAGCCTGCACAGGGAGACAGATTTGAGCTTGACTCCTGTCTCCTTGGGTGTTGACTTCAAATAAAGCTTTCCATTTCTCAAAAACCTGGTGTCACAGTATTGCTTTTAATGCATCAGGCAGCAAGCCCCCTTTGCTCGATAAGACTATCACAACAGTTTTCTGAATTGGTCATTTTCATCTCAAATCATTGCAGAGGCTTAAATAAGGCACCCAGTTTCTTTCAAGATCATGAGTCTTCTTAGCAAACTTGATTTGTTCTGGTGCAGTCAGGCCAACTGTTGATGAACTCAGTGTCTATGGGTGTCTGTGGCCCAGCAAGCACCCGGGGCCTCAGGCTAGTCCATTGCTTTTTGGGCTACTTGTGTTCCCGGGCAGTAGCCTGGGCTGTACTGGTCCTCAGGGTCATCATGGGCCATGCCTTAAAGCCTGGAGGTATGCACGGTGTCAGTGCAGAGATGTGAGGAAAACTGACTCTGGAAAGCAGTGCCAGAGGGGAAGGCAAATGTCCAGGCTTGGAGGTTGCCACAGGGCTGGTGACCACAGCATGGGTGAAGGTGGACGAGGGGGATCTGAGGTGAAGACCAAGAGGAGGTGAGGAGGAAGCTGCAGCCAGGGTGGAAGCCTCCACAGAACCAGCTATTCCAGTTGCAGTGGGAGGAGGTGGAGTTCCCTTTTTATGCTGAACAGTATCCCATTGTGTGACTAAATCACATCATTTTTAGCCTTTCACCAATTGATGGACACAGGAGTTGTTCCGCTTTTTTTTGGCTATTATGAATCACGCTTAGAACATTTGTGTGCAACTCTTCATGTGGGCATATTTTCATTTCTCTTGGTAGATAACCTGGAGTGAAATTGCAGTATTGTATGCTACGTTATATTAACCTTTTTTAAAAAAATCAAACTCAGATTTTTAAAATTAGATTTAAAAGGGAACGTTTGATCAAGAATCAATCTTATTGAAATTAAAACATTCATTTACTCATTTATGAAACATTTATTGAATTAGACATTCTACTAACCATTTATTTTTACAAACAGTTAACTAAACATCACTGGTTTTCTTTGATAAATGGTAATCTTGCAAAGGCTCATTTATAGATACATCATTATTTCATGCTGTATAAAATTGACATAGGAGTTAAGAAGAAATCACTTAAGCAGAAAGCAAGGGTATGGGAGTCCTCGGTAAGGCTTTTTTCTTTAATGAAAAGAAGCTCCAAATCATTTGCTAACAAAGAGCAGCCTGTAAAGTTGAGCTGCAGACATAGACAAGCTGGCAGCTTGCATGGGTGAATGCCAGCAGAAACTAAGGACTAGACATTTTCAAGATGGTGGCTTCATCTTCCCTTCTCTGCCAGCCACGTGTTACACAAGATGGACCCAATCAACTGGAAAGCCCATTTGCATAAGATTAGGGTGGGGCGACCAGCCTTCCACATGCACCTTGCAAACGTCATACATGATGCAACCAATCAGAAACCACCTCCTCAAACCGGACTATAAAATTTGGCGCATTCACCACCAACCAGTCTTTTCCACTCGGAGACACATCATGGGCCATGCCTTAAAGCCACGGTGTCAGTGCAGACATCTATAGAGGAAGCTGTTTCTCTTTCCCTTCTCTTCTACCTATTAAACCTCTGCTCCTAAACTCCTCGTGTGTCTGTGTCCTAAATTCTCCTATAACAATGAACCCCAGGGTATGTACTCCAGACAATGTACCCACTTCAAAAGGGCTGAAAGTTCTTTTAAAAATAGAGGAAAGGGGGGAAAAAGTGTACTTAGCACCTAGTTTTGCACCACAGAAGGAAACTGGCACTCACAGATCCTGCTGAAGTTACTGGAAAGGGATCCTGGTTAAGACTCCAAGAGAGGGTTCTTGGATCTCCTGCAGAAGAATTCAGGGGAGTCCATAAAGTGAAAGCAGGTTAATAAAGAAAGGATGGCTACTCCATAGGCAGACCAGCAGCATGAGCTGCTGGTTGGCTATTTTTTAATGATTATTTCTTGATCATATGCTAAACAAGGGGTGGATTATTCATGAATTTTCAAGGAAATTCTCAGAACTGAGGGTTCCTCCCCTTTTTAGACCATATAGGGTAACTTCCTGATGTTGTTATGGCATTTGTAAACTGTCATGGTGCTGGTGGGAGTGTCTCTTAGCATGTCAATGCATTATAACTAGCGTATAATGAGCAGTGAGGATGACCGGAGGTCACTTTCATTCCCGTCTTGGTTTTGGTGGGTTTTGGCTGGCTTCTTTACCACAGACTGTTTTATCAGCAAGGTCTTTGTGACCTTATCTTGAGCCAATCTCCTATCTCATCCTGTGACTAAGAATGCCTAACTTCCTGGGAATGCAGCCCAGTGGGTCTCAGCTTCATTATACCCAGTCCCTACTCAAGATGGAGTTGCTCTAGTTCAAATGTCTCTGACAGTGATGGCCCAAGGAGTTCTGAGGTTTGGGGAAATGCAGTTGTACCGAGCTGTATGTGGGTAAGACCAGGGCATATGGTATGATTAGGGAGGTCTGGGTTTCTTGTGGTGACAGACATAAACTGAGGTAAAGGACATAAGATAAATGATATAAGGATTAGTCCTGACAGTCACAAGGCAGATAGTGCTGGTGACAATCTAATGCAAACACTGAAGATATAAATTCTAGTGAAATTCTTTTTTTTGAGATAGAGTTGTCTCGCTCTATTACCCAGGCTGCAGTGCAATGGTGCAATCTCAGCTCACTGCAACCTCTGCCTCCCAGGCTCAAGCAATCCTCCTGCCTCAGCCTCCCAGGTAGCTGTGATTACAAGTGTGAACCACCACACTCAGCTAATTTTTGTGCACGCACATACACACACACACACACACAAATATATATTTTTGAAGAGATGGAGTTTCACCATGTTGCCCGGGCTGGTCTCAAACTCCTGGGCTCAAGTGATCTGCCTGCCTTGGCCTCCCAAAGTGCTGGCATTACAGGCATGAGCCAGCCAAATTCTAGTTAAATTCTATGGTTCATGCAGAAATGGGTTACTCTACCCATTTTGAGCTTATTTCCATTTCTCCCATTTACATGCCAGAGTTTTAGAATGGCAATACTGGGATGCTATGTTAACTTCTATTTTAGATAAATCAGACTTCTTATTTAGGGGGTTATTTGGTAAAATTAGACCAACAGAAAATTGACTGTGACTTAAATATTCTTTTAAATTCATCCCAAAGTTACACTATGCAGTGGGTCCACTAGACTCATTTTCTTATGTTCTATTTTGACATTCCTAGTGTTTTATACACAATTAGTGTGTGATATCAGTATTAGCTTTTTCTGTATGAAATACTAGTCTCAAAATTAAGTGGTTTAAAATAACCATTGACTTAGCTCATGATTTCATGGCAATTTTTCCTAAATTTTTTTCTAGACTATTTATTCATATTAAAGTTGTTCATATTCCATATAAAGTATATGAAGTTTTAGAAACTACATATTTCTTAAAATGTTACAGCAAATGAAAATAATACTGTATTTTGGAATATGGGTTATCTACCCTCAGGGTAGATAAAAGTAAAAAACTAGTGTTGAAATGCAATGTACCAGCCCATAGCACTGAACAAAATGAACTTTCACTTACCAGTATTTACATTGTACCTATTCTTAATATAAACCACTCATTATATAGAAAAGTGCTTTTTGTTAGGTTTTTTAACTACATAGCCAGTTAAAAATTATTTTTTCCCACTATGGACAAGAAAGGGAAAATGAAGTTAGCATATAACAAGAGATACCTGGTTGGGTTGGATGACCAGCGTAACAGAGCCTCAAATTTATCTTCTGTTCTTATGCCTTCCCAGCCCTGGCCCCTGTTCCCTGACACTGGCCTGTGGAATCTCTGGACTACAGGATAACTTAACATCTCATCTACTGGTTAAATCTAGCAGGCATCGGAATCCCCTGGGAAAACTCACAAGGCCCACCTGCAGATTGATTTGGCTGCTCAGGAGTGGGGATTGGGAATGTGCACATTTAATAAGGTTCCCAGGAGGTTTTGACATGTCCATTCCCACTCTAGTTCTTACAGTGGAGTCTGGTTCCTGTGGTCTAGTGCAGCCACTTATCGGATGCAGGGGTCCCACCTCAGCTTCTCTAAGTGGTCACCCAGGTGGGATGCTCACTATCTTCTGAGGCTTATTCTGTTTTTCCTTTTTTTTTTTTTTTTTTTTTGGTTTGTTTTTAGCTACTCTATACTATATTCAGATTTCTGTCATTTTTACCTAATGTTCTTTTTCTGTTCCTGGATCCCATCCTGGATCAGGTGGTATGCATTCTTATAAGTGAAATATTAATATATCAAAATTACTCATTTTGGCAAATCAGTATATTTTCTGTATATAATTATAGAAAGTTCACATTGTTCTTCAAATTTACTTGTAAAAAATTATTTTCCATTTGGCACTAAAGTTTATTCTCAAGGTGTTCAATCTATGTCAGTTTTTATTTGAAGTTGTGTGATCTCTCTAAAATAAACATTAGTAATTACTTACAAAATGCTCCTTAGAATCTCAATCTGGTTTATTGTTTTAAATCGCAATGTTATACTTATGTGCAAAAATATACTTAAGGTATATTATGGTTGTAGGTTAACAATTGCATTGGCAAGATTCATTTTTCCTGTATGTTTTTACTGAATGATCTATTTTCCAACCCAAGGAAAGTATGAATATGTGGCATGATGACACAACACCTTTCCTAGAAATGTGTTTACTGACTACTGAGTGTGCCTTTGGTAATCCTGTTAAAAGCAATGGAAAAATAAAACATGACCAAAAATAAGAAAAGGAATAAGCCTTGTCTTCTGGGGATTAAAGCTGAATGGACCACATACCCACAAATGCACACATTAGAGGTCAGTACTATCACTACCATTATCTCAGTGAAAAATGAAAGCTGGAAGAATTTAATCGTCAAGACTGTGATCACTGGGGTCTAACTCGACTTCAAATCCCAACTCTGCTCTCACCAGCAGCTTATCCTTGGGCAGATGATTCAATTGCTTTAAACTTCAGTTATTTCAACTAAAAAATGAGGAGACAATTCTATCTCACAGAATAATGAGATAAGGCATATGAAGCAATTAGTATAGCCCTGCCATGTAATACTGAGCCCCTACATCATGTTGACTGTTATTATAATATATACCCAGCTGAAAACTCAATAATACAAATGAGCTGGGGAACATCTAAAACTATCATATGGAGAATGATTTTTGCTAACTCCAGCAAAAAGCAAGGCTGTATGACCCTTTATTTGGCAATGTTAACCATACTTTTCTTCTTTTTGTCCTATAGCCCCACTCTCAATAACTGCCATCTACATTCTCTCTTCTCCTCTCAGAAATCTCACTCTGAATAACTTAATGACCATAGTACTCACACTTTTTTAATTAAAGTGATGTGTCCTCACAAATACATTTCTCAAACTCAAAACATCATGCTTGAAATATCACTGAACTTGTCACCAAAGAAGTCACATGGCAATGATAATAAAGAAATATGCAGACTACACTCTGAGGATAGAGCTCTAAAGAGTAAAAACAATGGAATTTGGAAAAAATAGGAGTAAAGAATTGCTTTGAGCAATAAAAACTGAGATTGATAAGCCACTTTTCTTTTTGATATAGGCTTGTCACTCACAGCCAAAATCTCTCAGCAAAACCACAGCTACTGTTTACCCTCCTGAGAGATGCTCCTTCCTCACCCAACACGCATCAACCTTCCTAGAAAGGTTTATCCTCTTTACAATTCTTGTTAAGGTGGCACTGAATACAAAGTTACTCATGATCAACTTCCTTACTAGTTGTCAGTGTCTGCCCTTCTAGAATTTCATGTTTGTGTCAAAATTATTTATTGAGTTCCTTATAAACATGGTCATATCTATGCAGAGTGCTGTGGAGTTTATAAAGACGAGTAAGATGATACACTTTTGCCTTCCAGTTAGCAGAGTTAAGTTGATGCTATTGGGATCATATGCCCCCCAAAGCTGAAGATATTTACTTTCTTAGCCCATTAAAGAAAAAGTATGCCAAATCCTGAAATAGGAGATGCAAGTGTAGGAGTTCACACGGAAGAAAGGTCAGTTTCAACAAGGGTAATTCAGAGAAAAGTTTTGGAGGAAGTTTCAATAGAAATAGAACTACAAGAATGAGCATACAGAGGGCTAAAAATGTCTGACTAATAACAAAAAAGACATAAACATGTGAAGAAAAGAAAAAGAAAGGTAGACGATGGAGCCTGCCCATTTAGTTTATATATAAGCTCTCTTAAGATGATGTACAAAGGTATTTTCATTTTTACCATTTTTCTAATCAGCAGGTATGTTTTATACAAACTATATTCCATATGCCTCTAGAGTGTCTCTTAATTACATGCTTGCCCTCTCGCCGGTAACCCCACTCTGAAGAGGCAAGCCCAGGGCTAAGAATTTGAGACAAATAACACGTTATCATTAACGGCATTCTCTGAAACTGTGCCACAATTTTACCTTCATCTTCTCTGTCACTTGATTTCTAATATTTATTCAGCACCAAAACAATTCTTTTTCTTCCAAGACCAAGTCATATGACTATGTAACATATTAAGTTGCAAAAGATTATTACCATATTGTTCATATCATTTGTATATTTGTATTTGTTCTTTTTCCCCAAAGTTCCAGTAAAAAAGCTAGAGGGATTAGTTCTAGTCTTAAAAGACAAAAAAAATTTTGCTTAATTCAGAAAGAATATATTACATTAACAGGTCTAGGTGAGCTATTTCAAAGAGCTTTTTGTTCCTCAACTCCTTTATAACATCAAAAAGCTTTTGAAATCTAAATTTGCATCCAAAAAATTTATTGCAGAAAGACAATTTACATTGTCTTACATGAATATGTAAAAATATCTTATGCTCAATACTAAAACTGGTGGTCATATGACCTTTTGGCCAGTTATCTAAATAGCCACATTTTCATATTCTACTTTACACACTTACAAGCTAGAAGAACTATTAACTGTAGTTTACAAAAAATTAATTATTTGTAAGAGAAAATGAGTATCTTCTAAAAATATAAGCAATTCTTGAACTGCAGAAGAATGAGCCATCACATGTAAAACTTGAAGAAAAATTTTAAGTAGAACTTTAAACATGTAAATTAGGCAAAAACAAACAACACACAAAAGTGAGTGGGAGAAGAGAGAGGAAAGAAGGAACAAACAAAAACTTGTAAACTGTGACAATCTAAATTCAGGTTACTGCTGTCCTGATATGAAGATATAAGAGGAAAAAATAACATTTTAAACTCAAAAACTAAAATGTTTTACTATTTCAACATATTACTTCCTCCAGAACTCTCATAACATGTACATAAATAAGAATGTTTCTCATTTCTTAATTTATTAACAATGTATACATTTGAAAAAATATATACAATATTTCAAAACAAGCCCTTCAAGACTATATTTAAGCAATGACATCCAAGGAAGCAGAACTCAGGTACCATGTAATATTTGGAAAATATGGTAACTTGAAGATTAAGATTTCTCTTCCTTGCTGGTTACTCTGAAGTCTCCAATATACAAAGGTTGCTCCTAACGTGGTTTTCTTATTGAGCCAAGCATCTTGATGGGTCAATCCCAGTTTCATTTTCTCCAGTACTACAAAAATTAAAAAGAAATAAACAGAAAATAATTTACTTAATTATTCACAAAGATAAACAATAGTCTATAGTTTTAAAAAAGACTACTAATAAAATAAAAAGTGCATTAATTAGTTTGCTAAATGCTACCAAGAGGATTGCAATTAACTATACTGTATAGGATTCCTGAGGCTTCACTTAAAAATCAGTTTATATGAGAAAATAATTCAAGGAGAGGGTGTCTGCTGACTGTAAGCTCAAGATGAATGTAATTAACACGAGACAAGCAAAAATCATCTCATCCAGCACTAGGAAGGCAAAAATTCCACTGAATTCTAAAGTGATTTAGATAAAGTGATTTTGAGTAGTGTGCTTGGTTCTTGGTGCCACATTTTGAGAGGCTGTGAAAACCTGTAGCTTATCCCAGAGAGTGCAACTACTTCATTCCAGAAATGGTCTGGAAATCAAATCAAAGGAAGAAGTCGAGAGGCCTAGTGAAGAGCTGTTTTGGGGCCAACACTATTAATGGTGTTCAATACTGAGATATCCCCAGTAGGAATAAAATCAACGAAGATTTCTTTGTTTGGCTGAATATACACTGAGTCATCCATAACTCGTGCCCTTTTTGTTTGATACAAATATACTGGCATTCTCTTGGAGGAATTATGAATGCTGCTTACATGAATTCTGTTTCTAAGACCTTCACTTCATTATTACTCAGAGAAAAAGTGAAGGCAAAACACCTTGCTGACAAGTGTGTCTGTGTGTGTGTGCACATGCATGTGTACATGTACAAATGTGAAAAATGCCAAGATGTTGATGGCTTTTAATCTGACACATTTTAAAGTGTCACTCTAGAAAAAAATTGGCAAGATTTATTTTTCATGTGAATAAAAATAATGTAATTTAGAATTTAAGAAGCAATTTAAATATTTTTACTAAAGGCAATTATCAGAGAAAATAAACTTCCTAAAGAAATGGTACTCGGCACTCATATAAAACCACATATGTTTATTTGGTGCCTACTATGTGCCAGGAAGTGTCTCAGATTCTGTGGGAGATCTCAAATTAAGACAAAATGCCCGAGGACCAAATTAATATAGACAGAATCATACACACACACACACACACACACACACACACTCTCTCTCTTACATACACACACACACACACACACACACACACACACACACACTCAAAAGTTGGGGAAATAAGAGGGAACTCATTCCATGCAAAGAGAAGAGGTGTGTTGCCTGGAGGTAGCGGCGGTGAATCAACAGAGCTACAAAGAAGGTTCTTTTTGAAGGCTTTTGAAGATGATAAGGGTTGAAAGTGCAGGTAAAAGCCAAACTGCAAAGGGTCTACACTAACATACGAGGGAGTCTAAATAACTTGGAAGTAATTTGGACGCAATGAAAAACTGCATATGTACACGTGTATGCGTCTATGTATGACAAAAATGTTGCTATTGAACCAAAGGTCTCTAATATACCAGCATACCTTGTTTTATTGTGCTTAGCTTTACTGCACCTCACAGATACTGTTTTGTTTTGTTTTTTTTTAACAAATTGAAAGCCTGTGGCAACTCTGCTTGCGCAAGTCTATCAGAGCCATTTTTTCCAACAGCTTATGTTCACTTTGTGTCTCTGTGTCATAGTTTGGTAATTCTCATAATATTTCAAAATTTTTCATTACTATTCCACCTGCTATGGTGATCTATGATCAGCGATCTTCGTTATCACTATTGTAAATGTTTTGGGGCACCACGAACCGTGTCTGCATAAGATGGCAAACTTAATTGATAAATATTACATGTGTTCTGACTACTCCACCAACTGGCCATTCCCCTATCTCTCTTCTTCTCTTTAAGCCTCCCTAAGACACAACAATATGGAAATTAGGCCAATTAAGAACGCTATCAGGGCCTCTAGGTGATCAAGTGAAAGGGAAGAGTCGCATATCTCTGGCTTTATATTAAAACCTAGAAATGATTAAGCCTAGTGAGAAAGGCATATCAAAAGCTCAGATAGGCCAAAAGTTAAGACTCTCGCATCAAAGAGCCAAGTTTTAAATGCAAAGAAATGTTCTTGAAGGAAATTAAAATGCTACTCTAGTGAATACACGAATGATGAGAGCAAAACAGCTTTATTGCTGATATGGAGGAAGTTTTTGTGGTCTGGATAGAAGCCCAAACCAGCTACAACATCCCCATAAGCCAAAGCCTAATGCAGAGCAAGGCCTTAACTGTCTTCAATTCTATAAAGGCTGAGAAAGATGAGGAAGTTGCAGAAGAGAAGTCTAAAGGTAGCAGAGGTTGGTTGATGAGGTTTAAAGAAAGAAGCTATCTCCATAACATAGAAGTGCAAGGTAAAGCAGCCAGTGCTGATAAAGAAACTGCACACAAGTTATCTACCATTTAGCTAAGATCATTGATGAAGGTGACTAAGTAACAGGTTTTCAATGCAGATGAAACAGGCTTCTAATGAATAAGATGCCACATAGGACTTTCACGCTACAGGGAAGTCAATGTCTGGATTCAAAGCTTCAAAACAGGCTGACTTTCTTGGTAGGGGCTAATGCAGCTGGTGACTTAGTTGATGTCAATGTTCATTTACCACTCTGAAAATCCTAGGGCCCCTAAGAATTATGTTAAATCTACTCTGCCTTTGATCTACAAATGAAACAGTAGCTTGGATGATATCATATTTGTTTATAATATGGTTTACTGAAAATTTTTTTTTTTTTTTTTTTTTTTTTTGAGACAGAGTCTCGCTCTGTTGCCCAGGCCGGACTGCGGACTGCAGTGGCGCAATCTCGGCTCACTGCAAGCTCCGCTTCCCGGGTTCACGCCATTCTCCTGCCTCAGCCTCCCGAGTAGCTGGGACTACAGGCGCCCGCCACCGCACCCGGCTAATTTTTTGTATTTTTAGTAGAGACGGGGTTTCACCTTGTTAGCCAGGATGGTCTCGATCTCCTGACCTCATGATCCACCCGCCTCGGCCTCCCAAAGTGCTGGGATTACAGGCGTGAGCCACCGCGCCCGGCCGGTTTACTGAAAATTTTAAGCCCACTGTTGAAGCCTACTGCTCAGAAAAAAAGATTCAAAATATTGTTCATTGACAATGTACCCAGTCATCCAAGAGCTCTGATGGAATATACCAAAAGATTAATGTTGTTTTAATGCCTGCTAATTCAACATCCATTCTACAGCCCATGGATCATGGAGTTACTCTACTTTCAAGTCCTATTATTTAAGAAATACATTTCGTAAGGCTATAGCTGCCACAGATAGTAATTCCTCTGATGGATCTCAGCAAAACAAATTGAAAACCTACTGGAAAGGATTCACCATTCTAGATGCCATTGAGAACATTTGAGATTCATAGGAGGAGGTGAAAATATCAACATTAATAGGAGTTCGGAAGAAGTTGATTCCATTCTTCATGGATGACTTTGAGGGGTTCAAGAGTTCAGTAGAGGAAGTAATTGCAGATGTGGTGGAAACTACAAGAGAACAAGAATTAGAAGTGGAGCCTGAATATGTGACTGAATTGCTGCAGTCTCATGATAAAACTTGAGCAGATGAGGAGTTCCTCCTTCTGGATAAGCAAAGTGGTTTCTTGAGATGGAATCAATTCATGGTGAAGATGCTTTGAACATTGTTGAAATGACAACAAAGGATTTAGAATATTCCATAAATTTAGTTGATAAAGCAACAGCAAGTTTTGAAAGGGTTGACTCCAATTCTGCAAAAAGTTCTACTCTGGGCAAAATGCTATCAAACAGCATCACATGCTACAGAGAGATCTTTTGTGAAAGGAAGAATCAACTGATGTGGCAAACTTCACAGATTTACAACTACTCAACCTTTAGCAACCACCACCCTGATCAGCAGCTATCAACATCAAGGCAAGACCCTCCACCAGCAAAAAGATTACAACTCACTGAAAGCTCAGATGATTGTTAAGCATTTTTTAGCAATATTTTTAAGATAGGCACATAGTTTTTAAAGACATAATGCTACTGCATAGTATCATGTAAACATAACTTTTATATGCACTGGGAAAACAAAAAAGTCATTTATTGCAGTGGTCTGGACTTCAGATCAAAAAATCTTTAAGGTATGCCTTCTTTTTCCCAAATACTTTGAAATGTCTGTGTCTTTAGGAAAAAAATAAAAATAAAAAACATATAGCAGAGACAGTCCCAAAATATTCAACTACTGTACATTTGAAGAATTTTTATAAAAGGTTTTGACAGAACACAGAGGGAAAGAAAACAACAGTATAAAACTAACCTTACTAAAAGCAGTTAATGAAGCAAACATGGCAAACCCTATCAAGGATGACATTCAAGTGTTTAAAAATCTTCTTTGGAGAAGATAAGAAAATTAAATTTGTATGAATGAGAAATAAACTGCAAGGCATTTGGGCTGAAAATTATGGGGCATTCTGCTGACTCTTGCTATTACAATAATTAACTAATCTTACAAGCTGCAAACATTTGTCATATAGCAAGTGCCTGTATTCTTTGTTTTTTAAATATCATGTGTTTTAATGGGTAGTTGTGCAGCAATGCTGACTGCAGTGGAACAAGAGAGCACAGGTGGGTCAATGAAATTCAAGACTAGTTTTGGCCAATGTGCAAAATAAATGTTATCCCACATTTATCCTATTTATCTTGGATTAACAGCTCCTGGCGACTCCTTTATATATCACACTTACTTGTCTGTTTACACAGCTAACGTTTTTTTCTTTGATGGGTAGGTGAAAGATTAAGAAAAGTTAAAAGATAATTTAAATTTACAAGTAAAATTTTAAAAACTCACTACTCACAACAAAAGCTATTCAGGTCTCTAAATTAAGACTTTGATATATGTATGTATGTGTGTATGTGTATGAATATGTAATATATATATGCATATATATATGTGCATATATATATGTGTGCATATATATATGTGCATATATATATATGTGCATATATATATATATGCGCATATATATATATATATATGCGCATATATATATATATATATATATATATATATATGCAAGGTAAAGCAGCCAGTGCTGATGGAGAAACTGCACACGGGTTATCTACCATCTAGCTAAGATCACTGATGAAGGTGACTACACTAGAGAACAGATTTTCAGTACTGATGGAAGAACTGCACACGGGTTATCTACAATCTAGCTAAGATCACTGATGAAGGTGACTACACTAGAGAACAGATTTTCAGTGCAGATGAAACAGCTTTCTAATGGAATAAGATGCCACAGAGGACTTTCATGCTACAGAGAAGTCAAAGTCTGGCTTCAAAGGACAGGCTGACTTTCTTGGTAAGGGCTAATGCAGCTGGTGACTGGAAATAGTCACTAGTTACTAAATATCTTATATATAAACATTTATATAAAAATACATATATATAAATGTATATTATGTATTTATATACATATTATTACTTATAAATATAGGACTAGATCTGGGACTCAAAATATTTTGAGTTTGAATCTGGGCTTTGTCATCTATTAACCTTAGTTTTCTCATCTGTAAATACATAACTTGTAGTACACTTACTTCACAGGTGTGAGAATTAAGAGTTGATACAGAGAAAGAACTTTACATAATTCCTGGCACATTTAAATGTTCAATACTTTGCTATTAATGATTTTTCCTGTTGTTGTTATTTCTGCCAAGAAAAATTCAAATAAATTAGATCTGGGAGACAGAATGAAAAAAAGCTGTGTGTGATATATTGGTGTTACATTATTTACTTAAGCCACTGGTAAGGGAATCATCTCATTCTTTAGAAAATTAATTACTAAATTAAAAATAATTTGTTTTAGATTAAAAGGATTTCTATTTGACCCCCAAATCAATACTTTTTGTTTTGTTCACTGAAATATTTTACACTGCTATTCTTCATTCCTAATGATAAAATTAGGTCCCTAAAAATGGAAACTCAGAAATGATGATTTTTCTCTTCTTTTTAGGTCACAATTTTGCATCCATAAAGTAGGATAAAACCTGATGTTCCAAACAAATTTTAGTTATTATAAAAAGAGTCACACTTGTTTAAAGTGGTAAAATAAGAAGAACTAAATATAAAGGGAGACTATATGAATTACATATACTGAGTGATATGAACTTTTTACCTTTGTACATGGCTATTTGAGTACTCAAGGCTACACGGCTTTCAACCTCATGGGAAGTATGAGTAGGTACTTAAGTAAAACACAATTTAAAACTAGAGAGCATCCCATGTTCTCTAGTCTGGCACGTATGAGGGAACATGAAAGGGTAAAGAGCTTCAATTTGCAAAACGGAATTCAGTGTTAGTGGTCAATTTACATAAAAAGGGAAGTTTCAAAAAGTACAAAGAGAGAATATGAGGCAAAAGTGGGTCACCAAAAGAAAAAAAATGGAAAGTTAGTATGAATAAAGTAATGCTATAAAAACAAAACACACATATAAAAAGATCTGTACTTATATTTAACATACGAGTACTAGTAATGCTTTAAACCTGCAATAGTTTGTTTTGCAGCTACATACTTATGTATCGGTTTCACAACTAAATACTAAATGCCACTTAATATTTACAGCAGGAAATAATAAATTCATGAATTAGAGTTTTATCAACATTTTTATTATTAAAGCCAATTACATGTTTGTTAAAGGAGAGTACATTCTCATTAAAGAATTAAGATATAGTTTATTTTCTACTTATCTGTTCACCTGAAATCAAGACCCAAAATTATACTACAAGTCTGGGAGTAAGGACTTTAAATAAATTAAAGAAAAAAAACATAAACAAAAATTCCTGTGTGTGATAGTTCTCCTTTTCCAAAAAGAGTATTAGCTATGTATGGTCCTAAAACAGAACTAGCTTTGCTAATGTATCATGTAAGATCAAATTTCAAACAAAGTTCATCAAATGAAAACACATTATGGTATATTTAAGACTAACAGACTAGGGTTGTAAGTATATCTAAACATTTACTATTGTTACATTTACTATTCAAAAGCTTAAAAACAAAAACAAAATTCCACTGACCCAGGAAAGAGCGACTTTCAAGTAACTAAAAAATGGAAGAGTTAACACCAGCACAAGTACTGATCTCTTAACTGTCAAAGGTGCTGTGAATATACACATAAACCTAAGGTAAATGTTTTTATACATACTCTGAACACAGAAAATGCTTGTACTTTACCTAGAGAAATACAAGGAGAAATGGGCTTGAATGGTCTTAGTTCCCAATTCTGAAAACCAAGAGACTCACTCACTGACCTAGAAGGTTGCCTTCTTAAAGAAGATGAAAGAGGACAGCAAATAAAGTGAAATCACTCTACACTGGGTTTAGGTGCTAAAGTCAACATAGAAAGGAAAAACAGGAATACAAATTAAAAAAAAAAAAATTACTCAAGAAAAGCCCTTGAGGAGGCAGCACATAAGAGACATGTATCTCTTAAAAAGTCCAAAATCAGAAGCTTTTCCCTCAGCAATGACACAAGAAAACCCTGTTTCTCTGGTTAAGCAGCAACTGGTTTGCACTTAGAAACTGTGATATAAATACCAAACACTCAGAATTTTCAATTTTGGGATCACCTTCAGCGTAGTAAGATGCCATGTTATGCATGAGAGGCACTTGATAACTGAAACACTTTTGAGAGAGCCACTGTCACATTCCTTAGAGGACAGGTATTCTTTAGGGGAAATTCAAGCAGAATAACCACACCATTTTCCTCCTTCCATTTTTTTTGTTTCTTTTGTTTTGAAATCCACCCAAATATATCACAGTTGAATTCCCTTAAGCTAAAGGCAACTGGTCTCTAACTTAAGAATAAGTGACTATAGAATCAGGTGTCTCTCTGCCTAGACGTGTGCTTTTCCTCCTTGAACACTGCAAGTGATGAGTAAGGATTCCCTTTAAATGGACAGCAGTGCTATGTTCCTAGTATCTTGAGCTGGAACTTCTGAACCTTCTGAACCCAATCTATTGGTTATTTATTTTTTTACAGTCATTCTGAAAAACAAAAACCTCTGTCTCTAGTTAATCTGCCAAGATTTAATTAATTAGATTTAGTATGTATTAACATTACTGGAAAACACACCCCTTTCTCAAGATTTTTACTACCATAAATGAAAAGAAAGGATGACAGGGAGAAGCAGAAACAGGAAATGGACTGCAGTGTAAGAGATCACCAGTGAAAGGCCTACTTGTGCAACTGTACATGACCCAAACTATATGACCTCTATCTTTCCCACGTATACAACCCTCGAAAGCACTGTAAAGATCACTTCAAGGCCAGACATGGTGGCTCGTGCTTGTAATCCCAGCACTCAAAAGGCCGAGGCAGGAGGATTGCTTGAGGCCAGGAGTTTGAGAACCGCTTGGGCAACATAGTCGGACCTCATCTCTACAAAAAAATAAATTAAAAATTAGCTGGGTATGGTGGTGCATGCCTGTACTCCTAGCTACCAGGGAGGCTGAGGCAGGAGGATCACTCAAGCCCAGGAGGTCAAGGCTGCAGTGAACCATTATTGTACCACTGCACTCCAGTGGGGGGCGACAGAACAAGATGCCAAAAAAGATCATTTTGGCATAGAGAAGGGTTACAATGATGCAATTTCAAAGACAATGACCAAAATAAAATTGTTTTCCAGTGGAAAATTTGTATCACTAATATGTGGGTGTTGCTAGGAAACAAATATTGCAGTGTTTAATCTCTACCCTTCCTAAGGAATTGCATGATGAAAGAAAACAAGCTTTTGTAGCATTTGGATATAATAGTTGTATCTAGTAACTCTTAGTCTTCTTTTTGAATGTTGTTTCTTTTATGCTGAAATATCTGTAATTCTTTAAGCATGTATTAATCTACTCCCATTTTTTAAAAAGTTGGTTCTACTATCCACAATGATTAATGGGAATGTACTAAAATTACCATAAATCGATTAACAATATTGCATCATTATAATAGATGACTACAAGTGACAAAAAAATAGATGCCAGTCATCTGAATTTGAATGCCTATGTGATTTATTAGTATCAATACTTAGACAATATATGTAGACAAGTGAGTTTCAAAGAGAAAATAAACTCCAGAGATCAATTAAGAAACAACTATGCTTTTATAATTGTTATTTGAAAAGATTTGTATGAAGCTAAGACCTTATTTAGCATCCCATGTATGCTTCAGTGCCTAAACAAGTTCCAGTAAAATTAAACATCCATAGGTAACCCTTATTTTGGAGCACAAATTATATATTTAAGGAAATCTAAGAAATATCACAAACATTTTTAAGTTCATCCCTTAGGATAAAGAGTATGAAATTCTGGTAAAAAAGAACTGAATCTGTCTGATAAGTTAGAACAACTAACTAAGTTTTCTTTTATTTTATTAATTTTTTTTTTTTTTTTGAGACAGAATCTCACTCTGTTGCCCAGGCTGGAGGGCAGTGGAGTGATCTTGGCTCACTGCAACCTCTGCCTCCTGGGTTCAAGTGATTCTCCTGCCTCAGCCTCCCGACTAGCTGGGATTACAGGTGCCCGCCACCACGTCTGGCTAATTTTTGTATTTTTAGTAGAGACAGGGTTTCACCATGTTGGTCAGGCTGGTGTCAAACTCCTGACCTCATGTGATTCGCCTGCCTTGGCCTTGCAAAGTGCTGGGATTACAGGCATGAGCCACTGAGCCAGGCTGAAAACAACTTTTTATGTGGTTCAGTTTTCTCATCTATAAAATAGGGATAACACTAAAACATACTTGTATTATCACAGTAATGGTTATTTAATTAAAAATGGGAAGCATTGTATGAAATACATTCCAATAAATGTTGAAGCTGTTATTGTCCCAAACACTGTCCATCACTGTAAACTGGAGAGCTAAGAAATGATATTTAAAAAGTTCATCTACATATTCATGCTGCAATAAACCTCCAGTTTTACAAATCTAAGATGGTGATCCTTAGACTGTTAGAATAATTCAAATATTTGTTCTTAACTCTTATTTTCATGTGGCAGTAACTTTGATTATCAAGGTTATCAACAATCTATCCTAGTCCAAAAGAGCCTGTAACAACCAAGGCTAAAGTAATGTTAATTACAGGATTTCTACATCGTATCTACTATTGTAATGAAGAACTAGAAAACAGGAACCTAGGAAACAGACTTAATGTTTCTTCTCAAGAATTATAATAATCTGTTAATGTGTATAAAATGATCCCTCCCTAATTTAAGAGCATGCCCACTGCAATTTTACCAATTCGTTTTGCCATTCATATTTTATTTTCTCTATGAATAGAAGAATAGGTACACGCCAATAACTCAAAGAGCTCTCAGCAACTTTCACAATGTAACCATCCCTAAGATGGGGAGAGGGGAGAGGCAGATTTCATTTACCAACCCTTGCAGTAGTCAACATTAGCTTTATAAAGCAATTAACCTTTGACATTATATTAAATTTATATCAAAAACAGATGTTTTAACCTCAATGTCAATCACTTTATAGGTGTGAAAACTGAGGCCCAGAGACTTTGGTAAACCAAAGTCCTTCTATTACTAGCTCCCCTAAATAATACTATGGCCCCCTAAAAACTACTACTTTTTATCAACCTCTTTTTCTCCTCCATTTTTAATAAAGAGAATTAAGAAAAATGGCCCTTCTATTTTTAGATCCAGCAAGCAAAATGGGCATCTTATGCAAATTAACAATAGAATTTCAAAACTAGACCACTAAAATAAAGCATGCCACTAATTCATTTTACAGAACTTGAAGGCTCAACTTTAAGCTGGAGCACATTAGCTGAGTGGCAGTGAAATCTTCAAAAATGCTACTTAATTCCTCTCTTTTCTGCATATGCAACTCTCTCCTCCTGTCAAGAGGCAGAATCTATTTTTTCTCTCTGTGAATCTGGGCTGCTCTTGGGACTTATTTTAAGAGGACTGCCACGTCTGCCTTCATATCCTCTTGGGGAAATCAGTCACCATGCTGTAGAGCAGCAGTTTGGGCAGGAGTCTGAAATGATGACAGAGGAAGTGGAGAGAGATAGTCCATGCAGAGAACACCTAAGTGCCAGACCTATTGAGTGAAGCTTTGCTGGACCTCCAAGACAAACCCAACTACCAGTCGAATACAGCTGAAGGAGTGAAGCCAGCTAACATTACAGCAAACAAAAAAACCTCATAGCTGGGCTCTAGCTAAATTCCTGACTGAAGCATCCTAAGTAAGAAATAACAAATCATTATTGCTTTTTCAGCTACTAAGTCTGGAGATGCTTGTGTAGCTATAGATTACTGAAATCAGTGTTAGGCAGCAGCACTAATTTCAAGTTTGGAGTTTTAGCTCCATTATATCATTCTCCAGGAAAACAAAGGAGAAAAACCAGAATCTACAAGTATGGAATAAGGAAAACCCATGATGGAGAGATATTTCTACACTTGTAGATAGAGATGGAGTAAGATAAAATATAAATGACCAACTACAACGGGTAAATCCCCTGCTACAGAAATGCAAAGACACAGAAGTTAAGAGTTTCTGACTTCAAGCATGTTTTAACTAGTTGAGCTTAAAAAAAGAAAAAAATAAGGTGTACACACACAGAGATGGGCCGTGGCCAGGAAAAGTTTGATTGACACTAATGTAGTATAGTGATGAGCAAGACACTGAAAAGATCTGGTTTAAAAAATACTAAATATGGGAGTCAAAATATTTGGGTTTAAGTCTTGGTTTTGTCCCTTGTTTGTCACAGATGTCAAGTGGTCATGATATCTCTCTGGCCTTTTTCCCCCTATACCTCTAAAATATTCTGTTCTGCTATATGTAGAGCAAGGTCCACCTTTAGCTAGCTGGTTGACTTTGATGAGTCACATACTATTTGAATCACAATTTATTCTCAACAAATGATTGGTTACAATTAATGACCCATGAAGCAGACCCTGAGGCAGCCCTTGTAATAAAAATATGATCAAGACTGGTGTTCAGGGAAAAACACCTTTTTATTGAGCTAGAAAAAGAGTATAAGCTAACATCTAGAGGCAGGAATTCCTTTATGTTCATTAAATATTTTTTAAGTATATAAGGCATTGCACTACTAGGTGACTGATAGACAAAGCCCAGCCTTCAGGAAGTCTGTATTTGAAGAGTTATAACGGAATCTAAATATCTATTTCTTTTTTTTTTTTTTTTTTTGAGACGGAGTCTCGCTCTGTTGCCCAGGCTGGAGTACAGTGGCACAATCTCAGCTCACCGCAACCTCCGCCTCCCAGGTTCATGCCATTCTCCTGCCTCAGCCTCCTGAGTAGCTGGGACTACAGGCGCCCGCCATCACACCTGGCTAATTTTTTGTATTTTTAGTAGAGACAGGGTTTCACTGTGTTAGTCAGGATGGTCTCGATCTCCTGATCTCGTGATACACCCTCCTTGGCCTCCCAAAGTGCTGGGATTACAGGCGTGAGCCACCGCGCCTGGCCCCGGGAATCTAAATATCTATAATAAAAAGCAAAACATCAGCTAATGTGGGAAAAGTGGGAGGTGGGGGGAAGGAAAAAAAGAAAGCAAAACATAAGTGCAAGTCGTAATAAAGGTAGAAAACATACAGAAATTTAGAGAAAGATCAATCAAAGAGCATTAAGAGCTCTTGGAGGACAGGTTGGATTTTGCCATGTAGAAGTTTACAGAAGATACATTATTAAGAAGATTGATTTCTGGGCTGAAGAAATGACAGCAGCAAAGTTGTCCACTATGATGAAAGACAACAAAATATTTAGAGAAAGAGAGTATTACACAACAGCTTGAAAAGCAGCATAGAACACAATATTCTAGAAGGCCTTAAGTTGCCAGAGATTTGACTTCGCTGTTAGGCAATGAGGAAACTGCACACACCTAGGTATCATAAAGTTTAAAAAAACTGGGTTAAAAAGGTTAAAGAAACAAACACGGCTTGGTGAGATACTGGTCACTGGCTGAGGGAAAATTCAAAGCAGACAAGCTTTAAGCTTGGATGATTAGGAAAATCATTAAGTGAATGTGTAACACCAGGAAGGAGTTCACAGGAGAGGTGAGGGCATAGAAGAAAAAAGCAGCCTAATTTTTCCGTTTGCTAACCATTTTCATAGTCATCCTTATTATGCAATTCATAATTAAAATGGGTTTTAAATCTGAAGTTTACCATAAAGGGGTAATCCCTCACTTATCTGTGGATACTGCTAATAGTAAGTCTATGGATAGACCTTTCTGGTGTGTGATGTGGATTGCTTTTCTTAGCTTCTAAACTTTCCCAGCACTTCATCATTCACCAAAACCCAACAAGTGTCCAAGTTTCAATTGCTAAGGCCTCTGCTGGATCCAAAATCATTCTCAAGAGGACGTATAATCACCACTGACTGCAAAGAACAAAAATACCTATGCTGGTGCTCCAGAAGTTAGTCATTACTAAGAAAAGCAGATGTTTTGGAATTAGTAACGTGTGAAACACAATTCACTTCAGCTGGCTGGTGAGATGTCAAAACGACTTGATAGAAAAACAGAAAAGATGTCAACTGGCAGGAGAAATGCATGGCTCTCCAAGGACTCTGGGGCAGTACACGGAGAAGGTGAGAAAAATGCACTGCACTCAGGGAACTTACCTGGGCAAACTTGTGAATCTGTTCCACCACTGCAGCAAAAAGAGCATGGACACTCTCATCAATCAGACTCTGCATGTAATGCACAGCCTCTTCATCCGACAGGTCTAAGCGGAATTTATCCTGAACCTATAAGATAACACTCTTAGTCTTTACAACGAAGAAAAATAGGGCACATTTTGAACAGGCAGAATCAAACTGATGCAGACATTATAAGGTAACATGAGCTATTCCTATGGCAAATAAATGACCTGTAACTTATTAGAATTCTGAATGGCATTCTTTGGAGTGTGGAAGTTTGCTGTTTTTGTTATATGCTCTGTATATCACCTTGTTCTTGTTGGTTGTAAACAGTTTTTAAGAAAAAAGAAAAGAAGAAATATTTCTTAGGGCCCTACATCTCAAAAACAGAAAAACTGCTCTTTTAACTAAAGGTGTGCCTTTTTTTTTAATCTAAAATCTAGAGTTACTATATATGATTTAAATTGTGGAATGTTTATTAATAATCCACTTTATTCCTGTTATTCCTTGTGAATTGGATGAAGCAAGGTGAGATTATATTAATATTCTCCCATACCTTCAGTGTCTATATGAGAACAGGAACAATGTCAATCACTGACAAACTAAATGTGATCTTCTAAGGTTTCCTTTCCTATTGAATTTCCCTACATCCCCACACAAAACTACATCAATAGGTCTATCGTTTCCAAAGATAAAATAATTTTTTTAGTCTTATTTAAAGCTACACTTGATTTTCAGTAGCATTAAGTACTAGAAAAACTAGTATGTATATTTATGTGCGTATATTTTATATATATATAAAAGTCAATGTTACTGAAGAACTACTTTGTGCAAAATGCCATGCCAAATATTATACATGCAACATTTCATCCGACTGATACGCAAACATACAGTAGATAATATCTCATCGATAATATGCAGAAATTGAGGCACAGAGAATTCACGAAGCCGGCTCAAGAACCCTTAACTGGCACATGCTTCCAGACAATCCTACGCCACCACACACAACCATTACAGACTACTCCTTTCTCTTGTAAATAACCCACATATACTTCTCAAAGACAGGCTAGGAGAAAATGGGGATTCCAAGTGGATAAAGTGTGGTCCCCATTTAGTGTTTGAAGTATAGGGTTTCACTACTAGAAAGCTACAAAGAAGAAATGACAAACAGTGCAACAATCCATAGCCCCAGCTCAGTGCCCTTGTCTCTTCACTGTACTGGAGGTATACCAGGTGATCTGAGAGTGCTTGAGCCACAAGATAGCAGGAGGTAAAAGAGAGGTAAATGTAAGAAGTGAAGACAAGAACAATTTGGTGGAGGAACATCTAAGGCTGTATCTTCAATGAACTAGCTCTCTCATGTCTGCATCCCAGATAATGACAAACATATTCCTTAAGTTCGATCTTTTGATTTCCTTAACTTCTACTTACAGAGAGAATATCTGACAATTTTGGAACTATTTTTAAGGAAATAAAAAATCTACAGAGCAGGAGAATCAAAATAAACTTTAGCCCAATTTATCAAAGCTTGCATACTTACATAAGTGCCTGAATTACAAAGAGAAGGTATACACTTGGCATAAAAATGTTATTTACCAAATATGAAAATATTCTCTTTTATACCAAAGGGTTAACTGTATATAAATAGTTATTTGGTATCAGATTTACTGACTTATGTTAGGCTGTCCTCTAGGTTCTTAAGATTCTTAACACATACACTAATTGTTCTAATACTTAAGGCTATTGTAAATTAACCACAACTTTAAATATGAACTAAAAAAAAATCCCCATCTTTGGAAACTACAGATCTATTGAGGTAGTCCTTTACAGGGATACAGGGAAATTCTATAGGAATGGAGACATATGAGAAGATCTAGTTTAGTTTATTTTGCCAATGATTGACATCGTTCCTGTTCCTCCACAGGCAGTGAAGCTGTGGAAGTAAATTAAATAATTTCTATTGATTTATCTTTAAGTTTACTGACTTCTAATGCCATAACTCAATCTGCTGTTAAGCCTACCCAATTAATATTTCATTTTAGCTACTGTACTTTCAGTTCCATAATTTTCATTTTGTTCTTCCTTCCTAGTTTTAATGTCTCTATTGATAGTCCTATCTGTTCAGTAATTATGCATTTATTTTCCCTTAGGTGCATGGACATTTGTAACAGCTGCTTTAAAGTCCTTTTCTGCGGTCATGGGTCATCTCAGGGTGTTTCTACGGATTGTTTTATTTTTTCATTGGCTTAGTGTCACATTTTCTGTTTATTCACACATCTAGTTATTAAAAAAAAGAGAGATAATAGACATTCCAAATGATATGTTAGAGAGACTATGAATTCTGTTGTGTTCTTGTGAAGATTCATTGTAGCTGGCAGTTAACTTGGCTAAATTCAATTTTAAAATAAATCCTCCCTATGATGGACAATAGCTGAAAACTCTGCTCAGTTCTTTAAGCTTTGGGCTGCTGCTTCCTCCTCCCTGTGACTGCAGGGCTGGAGTAGCAAGCAAACTGTCTCTCCAGATGAGAGAACCTATTCATGTGACTGTGGGCAGGAACAAGGAAGGGGATAAAACTGGCTGCAGAGACTTGAGAGGTTGTTGTATTCTGGAATATGGAAAAATTATACAGAAGAGCTCTTCATTTATGTTACTTAAAAATTACCTTTTTCACAGTTTTATCTGGTTCAAGTGCAATATCTGGAATGTTTGCATCAACCATCAAGGAAAACAAGTTCAAAATCAGATTAGAATACCTAAAGAAGAGCAGAAAAGAAAAAAATAGCAACGATTAAGAATTCTGCATTTCTTTCTCATATTAAGAATACTTTAGAAGTAGTGGTACTTGGATTTCTACAGTGATTACTATTATTCCAGCAGAAAATTCATCAGTTGGTATCAATGAAATGCAAGCCTTGACAAATATTTTATTTTGGGGTCTTCGTATAACACCATTTCTAAATCCTACACCATGGGACAGACCTTTGGAGTAATCATCTAATAATGACATTCTTTTCATTTTTTAGTAAGTATATATATATATTTTAGAAGGGATCTGAGGAAGATCTACTTTATGTGCAATTCACATTTTATAACAATTAAAATCTATCTGTTTTTGCTAGATGAAGATAACAATCTGCTACTTTAAGATGACCTCAGTGTGTCATGGCTAAATGAATGAAAGGGAAATAAAATCATCCCATGAATCACTCCTGAGTATCTTCCAGATACACCAATCATCATTTCAGGAACTACAGTGACTGACCTGGATAAAAGTAATTCTATAAGAAAGAAAAAATTGCTAGTACTCTGCTGCATTAAAAATGGGCAAGATATCTAAATAATGATATCTTCAGAGTATGCTGGCCTCCAACAGGAACTAACAGTTTCTCTTCACCAATCCTCAAACTCTTCCTCTTCCTCCAAAGAGAACAAATGTTACTATTCTGAATGGTCATTTCCAGAGGTGGGGCCTTCTGGGGAAAGTTTTAAATAAATCTCCACTGGGACCTCTCCACTTTGGGTAGTTATGCTCTTAGTGGCCCCTCCTTAGCACTGATAAAAAGAGATTCAGGTTTGATCTTCAGGATGGATGTAAGGAAAGCGTTGGTTTTAGGCAATGAAGGGTTTTAGCTGTTTCAGTAAAAATGTCAACCAAGCGCCTTGCACTGTCTTCTCTAGGGGATGGGGGCAGGATCTGGGTGATGTAGGATCTTTATTCCAGCTATCTACCTATCTATAATGATAATAATAATAATAATAAAATACGAACTGTTACTTAATACTTAAATGTTTAACAGTTAAACTGTAATGATAATGGAACTTTTATAGAAAAATGACTATCCATATAAGTTTCAAATTATCTGTTTTATCCTCATTTCTGAATTTTATATTGCCAATAAAAATCAAGAGGAATTATAATGAAAAACTTCTACCTTGATGTAGTCTAATCAAATCAGGCCCTAACCCACTTAAACTCTTAGGAACAAAAAGTTATGATAATAGCTAAACAGCTTTAACCTAGCTTTAAATTACTAATTTCTTTGTGGGAATTGATAAATGCATACCACAGATGTTATTCCATTCCTACTCATGTAATCATTTTATTCATTCAACCAACAAACACTTACTTAGTACTCACTATATCCACTGTTGTAGGCACTAGGGATACAGACAGACAGTGGTGAACTGAACAAACAGGGTCCCCACATTCATGAAGTTTACATTCTGGAGGAGGGTGTAAACTAATATAATGAATTGATAAACATGATAATTTTATGTCTGCTTGATTAAAAGATTTAAAAGAGAAAAAAACAACAGGAAAATGGGAAAATGAGAGAGAGGCATCTTAAGGCGGTATAGTTGTATTTGAAATGCACTGAGAAGCAACTAAGTTTAAGGAGTGGAGTAACACACGTTGATAGGCATTTTTAACAGTTCACACTGGCCATCTTGAAGGGAGTAAGAATCAAAGTAGAGAAACTATATCATAGACTTCCAGGTGGACAGGAACCAACATGGGGGTTATCAGGCTATATTTTGGAGATGAAATAGATGATCCTTGCTGATGGTTTCAATGGAGGTCAGGGTGAGAGGATAGAGAAACTGAAAAACACAAAGGATTTAGCCTAATAGGACACTAGTGTTATTCACCAAGATAGGAGAGGCTAAATGGAAGAGGAACAGGATTTTAGGCAGGGATTCAAGAATTTCGTTTTAGACATGTGGAGTCTGAGGTGCCTACTAGATTTTTAGTAGAGATGTCAGATATATCTCAGAGGAGATATGAAGGCTAGTGATATTAGTTTAAAGTCATCAGCACTAGGATCATACGTAAAGTCACAGGACTGGATGAAAATGGTAAGGGGAGTGAGGGGTGGGCAAAAATAAATGTCCAGAATGAAACCCTTTATAATGATAATGAAGGTTCTACATCAGAGGTGTCCAATATTTGGCTTCCCTGGGCCACAGTGGAAGAAGAATTGTCTTGGGCTATACATAAAATACACTAACACTAATGATAGCTGATGAGCTTTAAAAAATCACAAAAAAAAAAATCTCATAATGTTTTAAGAAAGTTTATGAATTTGTGTTGGGCTGTATTCTAAGCTGTCCTGGGCCACATGTGGCCTGGGGGCCACAGGTTAGATAAGCCCTTCTCTATGGAAATAGAGATGATCCACTTGAGAGGGCTTCAAGGAATGTGATGCCAGCAGCGTACAATCCGCTGTTACATATTATAAAAAAAAAAAAAAAAGATGCTCTTTCAACTAACTCTCCATCATTCGTACTCTGTTTTGTTGATTACATAGGTACATAATTTTTTCCCATCTTGGCATGGGGAAATCTACCAGAAGGTAACATAAGGAGAATACAAAGTCAGTTTTGAAAGAGATATATTAGAAGTTCTCCAACTTGGCTGCCCATTAGATTCACCTTGGTAGCTTTTCAAATGTATCAATGCCTGAGCCCAATCTCAGACCAATTAAATATGAGCGAGTCCAGAACTTTCCCCTTGCCACCTCACCTACAAGCTCCCCAGGTGATTCTAACGGGCAGCCAGGATCAATGTTAAAAAAAAAAAAATCTGCCTTTACGGGTGTAGAATGCGATGTTCCTTTTAACAAAAGTAAATACTAATGCTTTCTGGATTACCTCCTGATTTAAATTTAACCATCCACGCTTCTATTGTTATAGCAAAGGGAAACAGAAATAAATATAAAGGTTAGATATCCACATACTTTGTGAATAATTTGTCACTACCTTTGGTATTAATCTTTTACATCTGTTGTCATTAACCTGAATTTTCCATTTAAGATACATCAAGTGAACCAAAATACCAAGTGTTTACTTCATAGGACAGTCATTTAATGTCCTACTCAGAAACACAAATTTAAAGGCCACTTTTTTTTTTTAGATGGAGTCTTGTTCTGTCACCCAGACTAGCGTGCAGTGGCACGATCTCGGGTCACTGCAACCTCCACCTCCCAGGTTCAAGCGAGTCTCTTGCCTCAGCCCCCCAAGTAACTGGGACTACAGGCAGTGCCACTATGCCAGGCTAATTTTTGTATTTTTAGTAGAGACAGGGTTTCACCATGTTGGCCAGGCTGGTCTCGAACTCCTGACCTCAAGTTATCTACCTGCCTCGACCTCCCGAGGTGCTGGGATTACAGGCATGAGCCACCCTGCCCGGCCAACAAACCAGTATTAGACAACCTAAGGGTAAGATAAAAAATAATAATAACAATAATAGGGTGGGAAAGCGTGCAAAATCTAGCAAAGATTGCAAGATGGAATGTGATATAATTAGGATTTTTAGAAAGAAGCAGGTTGCATGTAATGTTCAAGGAAACTGCACTCTTTCTCTTACCCACGTTCATGCCAACTATTGTGCTACACTCTAGTCACACAAAGATAGTTTAAATTTTTCAGGAAAAACCTTTATTACTGAAAATAGAAATCCATTAACTACATTGAGGTTCTTATAGTATTTCAAATGTATTTCCTCTACATTCTATTTTCCATGACAGCAAAATCAGAGTTCCTGTGAAAGTGTTATTCAATAAGTGTACTACTTCAAAGAGGGGAAGCAATGTAGTTAATGATGTATGTGACCAATAAATTCACTGATGTTTGGTGACTAGGCAAACATCTCTGAGACAATATGAGAACCTTACTTGATAGTTAAACACATTTTTTTAAATTTTTTTTCTTTTTTTGAGACAGAGTCTTGCTCTATTGTCTAGGTTGGAGTTCAGTGGTGTGATTTTGGCTCACTGTAACCTCTGCCTCTCGGGTTCAAGCAATTCTCATACCTCAGCCTCCCTAGTAGCTGAGATTACAAGCGTGCACCATCACACCTGGCTAATTTTTGTATTTTCTTTTTTAGTAGAGACAGGGTTTCACCATGTTGGCCAGGCTGGTCTCAAACTCCTGGCCTCAAGTGATCCACCCACCTCAGCCTCCCAGAGTGCTTGGATTACAGGAGTGAGTCACCGTGCCCAGCTGGTAAATGTATTCCTTATTTCACTATTGAAAATTTTTACCAAAAAATGTAAAAAGAACATCTTTGTAACATCAGTGTCTAAGAATGGTGTTTGGCATAAGTGTGGGTTGGGAGAAAGACTTAATATGTACTGATTAATAAGAGATGATAATGTATTTTGTAACCATTTATAACTAAGTTCAAATGGACTACTCTGCTTATGTGGTACAATGTTATTCAGTGGATTCTTTGTGAAGAAACTGATCAATTATCAAGAAAAACTATAAAATAACAGGGCCGATCATATCTAATAGCTTAATAAAAGTGCCGATAACCTTAGCTCCAAACAACTATCAGGTTAATTCTTATATCCTGAAGGCATTTTTTCAACCAACTAAAACATACTCTGAAATACAACATTAAAAAATAAATGTTGGCCAGGTGCGATGGGTTTATGTCTGTAATCCCAGCACTTTGAGAGGCCAAGGTGGGCAGACAGCTTGAATCCAGGAGTTCAAGACCAGCCTGGGCAACATAGCAAGACCCCACCCCGTCTCTACAAAAAAACACAAAAAATTAGCTGGGCATGGTGGCATATGCCTGTAGTTCCAGCTACCTGCAAGTCTGAGGTGGAAGGATCATCTGAGCCTGGGAAGTCAAGACTGCAGTGAACCATGGTCATGCCACTGCACTCCAACCTGGGCGACAGTGACAACCTGTCTCAAAAAAAAAAAAAAAAAGTTGATCAAATAATTTAGGTCCAGATAATATTAAGTACAGGGAAATTTTTAAAAGTTAAACAGTTTTCATTAAAACTCTGCATAAAATTATTTAGATTAATCTCTCTGTGGCTTTTCTTTGTAGCAAGGAAGTCAACCTTGGCTCTCCATTAATAACCTGCCTGTTTTCTTATTCTATTGAATTGCTACTAATCCACTACCAATGACAGTTTATAAACCACATTGTTTTCCTTCTGCTTTCAATAAGATAGAGCACCTCTGACATTTCTCTAGTTATCATTCCTTACCATCTTGTCCGCCACCTCCCTGAGATATCCATGGTTCGACCTAGTTTTCTATGGGCTTTGACTATTTTAAATTAAAAATCGCAGATATTAAATGGCACTCTCATCTCTCTGAAAGTGCTTCTGCATCACCAAACAAATCTAAAGAGCACTGATTTTCTCATTATTCTTTTGGCATTTCTGGAAGGTAAAACTGAGCCATTCTGCCACCCAAAGGATAAATATCATGGCCATTTGTAAAATGCCTGTTACAGGTTTGTGATACATGGAAAAGACTGAGTTTACAATGAAGACCTAGTCAGTGCATAAATGAAACCCCATTACTGTAAGAAAACCAGTCTCCTAGGACCAACACATCAACATTAACTGGGAACATGGCCTCACACTAGACTCAAAGCAGGAATTCGGAGGGTTCTCATACAAATACGAAGAGTTCTCAATGAATAAACACACAATGAGTGCCTATGTACTAAACACTGTATGAGTAATTGATGTCACAAAGGTTATGAAGTCAAAGGAAACAGAACCCATGTGCACAGGCAACTGGCTATCTATTGGTTATATTTTCACCTGGAAGAGCATGTATGTATGTTTCCTGGACTGGGATTTTCTGCTGGACTAAGAAAAGTTCATTTTGCATAGTTGGGCTGAAAATAGCATGAGTCAAATGATCCTGTCATTTTTGACTAATAATCATCAGAGCCATGTCCTAAATTTACCAAACATGACTTTTATTTTTCTTCCTGATGACATATGATAGTCAGTCCTAAGTAAATTAGCAAGAAGGAAGCACAGATTTAGTGGTGTTGAAGAAAAAAGGACGGAGAAAAAACATTTTTTTGTAGCAGAATGACTGATGAGGTGTTAAAAAGAGATAAAAATCATATTTAACATTTACCACAATCATTGAGCAAACTTCTGAATATTCCTGAAGAGTACCCAAAACTAAGGCTGCTAAAGAATAAAAATGATTGAACTAATATCACTCTAAAATATCCTATATTCTTTGATAAAGAAATAGGAAGTCAGCTAGGGAGAAGGAAGTCTCCAGGACTGTCTTCAGGCAGATCTGAATGGTATGAAGTTTCTTAACCTTTTCTCTATCTCAGTACTGTCAAAGTATACTTTATTAAAGTGACATCAACACCATTGAGTTGGAAGCCTCCATGTTTGCTTCATCTTATGTGATGCCAGCTTCCTAGCTGGTGGGATATAGTAATAAGATAGTGGGAAAGCAAGAAAGTTTATGTCTTTTTCCTTTGATATTTGACAGTTTGTCAAAATTGGTATTAAATGTAAGATAGGAAATATTGTTGCCTTTGTCATTTTGAAAAAGTGATCAATGCTAAAGAATGCATACATTTAAACAAATTCTCTTGTTCTATAAAATAAAATAAATTTACCCAAATTCTCTGTGCCAAGCAAATCAACTTACCTTCGCAGGTGGAGGAAAGCCGTGTAACACTGTTTACGGAACTCTTGGTACTGCTCACTCTGTGTGCCCCCCATTCCTTCTACCATTTCTTTATTCAGCTTCATTGGTGGAGGAAGAGGCTTTGGATCCCGACCCAAAATATATCCAAAGTCTATGTGGAAGAGTTTGCCTGGATGTTGACAAGAAACTCATTTGTTTCCAGAATTATCTTAAAGAACTGGGTAGGTGATATGTCACACAATTGATATAAACAGTGTCTCTTCATAAAGAATATTAGTTCACGATGAAGCCTATTAAATTCTTCGATATTTCTAACTGCAGGTTTGAGAGTGGCCTTCAGAACATAATTAACTCATTTTAACTCATTCGTTCACACGAAACTATGCCTAAAATCATGTCACAGTAATGGTAATCTAAAAATGTTAAATCCTATTTATAAGTCTTCAGAATCAAAGACGGTCAGAGCCTGGGTAACTTTTTAAGGTATCAGCAGAAAGTGGAATCTTGTAGAAAATTTTTTGTGCTAAAGTTTAAGCACAGTGCCCTTCATATAGTAGAAAATTATTTCTTTAAATATTCCTGAGATGAATCCTTCTGCTAACTTATTATTACTCAAAAAAAATTTTAGAAAGGAAAAATTTTAAAAACCATATTCTTAGCATAAATAGCAATTTAGTTACAATAATATATCACCTATCACTTTAATCCTGTTAAATTTTACTAATATGTAAGAAAGACTGACTTATAAATCTGTTTTCATTGTATAGTAAGAGTAATGTATAGTATAAATCTGTTTTCATTGTATAGTATGTAAATAGCAATTTAGTTGTAATAATATACCACCTATCATTTTAATGTTGTTAAATTTTACTAATCTGTAACACATTGATTTATAAATCTGTTTTCATTGTATAGTATGTAAGAGTAGGCACAATTATGAGGTTTCACGTTGTACATATTTAAGATCATAAAATGTCAACACGGGGGGGGGGGTTCATTTCTATTAAAAGAAACTACTGAATGATTTATGACTGAAAAACTACTCTTTCAGAATCCCAAAATGGGCTTTAATGGTCTCTAAGTACAATGAAACTGATTTTGGGGGGAGATCAATATACTTCACCAGATTCCCAAGGAAAGTCCATAATTCAACAAATATGAGGAACCAGTTTTACAAAAGTGAATTTGACAACTTCAGTACCCACTGGAAAAGCAGCATCCCTATAGTCTCTTAAGGTTCAAGGGGAGTATGCTATGATTTCAGTTTTCCATGAACTGATGAAAAGTCCATGATCAATTTCTGTTAACCATTTTACCACCTTCAACTAAATATGTGTTCTCTGTTCAACTAAGCTAAGCAATTCTTTTGGTACTTTATTCTCATTTTGAAGTTCTCATATATCTTTTACCTTGTTGGATACACATGATTCTGCCCCAAAAGAGGTAAAGAAATAAGAAGCTCACAATATTACAGGTGTAGATACATTTTCCTTGGTTTTATTTAATTATTTAAATAATGTTTTGTTACCAATATACTTGAACAGATGACCAATCCGGTCAATCTCTGACACAAAACTGCCATCATGCATGGTTTATTTAATGAGCTCCATGCTTTTAATACGAAACCTATCCCAGTTTTCTTCATTTCATGACAGGAATTACTGGAATTCCAATATTGGCTATGTATCACTGTTTACAAACGAAGAGTATATTTCTATCCTTCTTGTCAGAAAACTCAAACAACAGGATTACTACTTAATTAAAAGGTGTAAAAGATTCAGTATCTAACAATGAAATTATATTATGCTTTACAAGTTAAATAGCCATGTATTTTCAAAAGAGCCTATTAATGTAATGTTTTAAGAAAATTCATCTTCATAAATACTGAAGGGAATGTTTTTTTTAAAGTTAATATTTGAAAATGCAATTTGTAAAGGTTCAAAAAATACACATAATGAAATTTAAAAAAAATGTTTAAGAAGTTCAGAGAGTATGATCTTATTCGAATCTACCACCTTAAACAGTCAAGAAATAAAGTATACATAAAACAAACTGGTTGTTAACCTCCTTTTGTCTCCAACTTGTAAAACATAGGGAGTAAGAGGTGCTAATTACATTTTCCTGTTATTTGCATAAATAACATGAACTTATTTCTAAAATTGTAGTTTGAGGCATCTGTAATTCTTGGATTAAAGAGAACATACACTATTCTCTTTGACAGTATTTAATGGTAAAGTTTATTTTAAATTTCCATTTTGTTTAATAATTAAACGTGTCCAACATCAAAACTGTATTCATTCTGTTTTTCATACCTCTTCTTACTCTCCTCCTTCTACTTGACTTTCTTCTGCTGTTCCTTATAATCCAAACTCTATTATTTAAAGATTCCATATAATTCCCAACTCCAAAAATTCTTCCCTGACATCCTACTCCAGTGAGTTTCCCACTCTTCAATTTTTTATATATAACCTGGCATTTATTTACCATTTTTTCCATAAAATGCCTTTTGTCTTAATTGAATGTCGTATCTTTCCTACTGCCCTATCACTAAACCTAGAAATACAGAAGGTAGCAAACAGCAATTTATTCTTATAGCAAAACCTATATTTTCAGAATTAAAAAGGCTCCCTACATTTATACTCCCACTCTCTGTTCCCAATACTTATTACTTAAACCCTTACAATATACTTGGTTAGCAGTATTTTCACTCAGTTAAAAGCACAATGATGCAATATTTTTCAATAATAGTTTTCAGTATCAAAGATCAATAATCTATAAAGGCGAAAAGGAGCTGGCATGTGCTGAGATCACATAGTAGCATGAGAGGGGAGGTACGAAGCTCTTTTTTAACAACCAGCTTTCAAGGGAACTAACAGAAGAGCTCACTCATTACCTCCAGCACAGTACCAGGCCATTCATGAAGAATCCACCACCATGACCCAAACACTTCCCATTTGATCCTATCTCCATCAATGGGGATGAAGTTTCAACATGAGATTTGGAGGAGTCAAATACCCAAATTATAGCAAGTGGGAAAAAGAAATTTTTGAAATATATTAACTATTTTCTTCTCTCTAATAGTATGAGTCCAAATAAGAACTACATAAGTTTAAAAAAAAAAAGGCATTATTCATCTCATGGTGGTAAAACAAACAAGCAAAGAAAACCTAATAGCCCTTAAGGAATGTTTATTATGTGCTCAATACCAAGCAAAAGTCTACTTATCTCATTCAAACCTCACAGCACCACTAGGAGAGAGGTTCTATTATTATTTACAGATTCAGAAGAAGAGACTGAGTTACTGGCATATTATGTAACTTACCCAAAGTCACCCAATGGGGGAGGGGCAAAATAAATGCAAAAATTTGCCTTTAGAGCCAAACAAATTAGCCACTCTGAAAGACTGTTTCTTGGTCTAAAAAATAATCATTTTCACATAAAATTAAAGAATAATACAGAAAATCAGGATAGAAGCTGTGATGTTAATACTGACTGTCAACTTGACTGGATTGAAGGATACAAAGTATTGATCCTGGGTGTGTCTGTGAGGGTGCTGCCAAAGGAGATTAATATTTGAGTCAGTGGGTTGGGAAAGGCAGACCTTTAATCTAGATGGGCACAAACTAATCAGCTGCCAGGGCAGCTAGGATAAAAGCAGACAGAAAAATGTGAAAAGAGAGACTTGCCCAGCCTCCCAGCCTACATCTTTCTCTCGTGCTGAATGTTTCCTACCCTCGAACATCCGACTCCAAGTTCTTCAGTTTTGGAACTCAGACTGGCTCTCCTTGCTCCTCAGCCTGCAGACAGCCTATAATGGGACCTTGTGAATGTATGAGTTAATACTTAATAAATTCCCCTTTATATATATATATATATATATATATATATATATATATATATATATATATATATATATATATATATACCATTAGTTCTGTCCCTCTAGAGAACCCTGTATTACAGGAGCTATATTGAAAGAAAATGTCCAATTAAGATAAAAATAAGAATAACCATTTTTCTTTATGTTGAGCTTTCTGAGAAAAGTTTCAAAGTGTATTACTCTAAAGTGGCAAGGCAGACAGAAAAGCTACTACCTCTCTCACAAATGGCAACTCAAGATCAGGAGGGCCATCCTTAGGACTCACAATGAACTTTCCATTTAGTACAGATACCAGTTCCCTCTTTACTTTTGTGAACATTTTTCAGTTATTTACAAATGAATTTCAAATACTGATTGCATTAAAAAGTATACCATAAGCAGTGAACATATTTTTCAGTTATACTGCCTTCCCCTCTTTCCTCAAACTCCCAAAAATAAAAACAAAAAAATTAACCTTTCTCCAAAGAGCTGGGATAAACTCAAACCATGTTTCATTTGAATCCTGTCACAACTGATCGCCCTAAGTAAGCTTTTTAAAGCTTCTCCTAAGGACAATGATTCTTGGGAAAAAATCTATTATTTTTCAACTCCACACCACAGCCTAGCTTTGTAATTTCTTGTCCAAAGAATTCTATAGTAATAATGAAAAAAGAATTCAATAGTAATGCACTAATAAGTAAAATATCATTCACCCCAAACTTGTTTCAAGAAAACAGCGTTATAATTAATCACATGACAATACACTGACAATACAATCGCTACACTTTTACATTTATGGTGGATACACAGCGCCCTCTGCTGTGCAAGCTGAGTAAACTTCAACCAAGCTAGAAGTATTCAAAAACAAAGCATGGGCCAAAAAAAGGTCTGGGAAATCCATAATTGAGACTAATATTTTGCATTTGAGAACATTACTCTTGTATAGATTTTGACATTCTCTATATGCAGCGAATCATTTTCTTTCACATGCCCAGAGTTCTTAGCTGGATCATTTTCTATTTCATCTATATTTACAGGGTAGAATAGTTTGTCTGGTTTAAGTCCCCAAAAAATATCAGTGAAATGAAATCTGCGTGGCTCCTTCTTCTGCTCCATCCCCCATATCAAAGAACTGGACACAGATGAAACAGTGGAAGTCTGATTGAAATTCAAAACCACTTTAATCTAAAGCAGAATCTTAGACTCTAAACCTGCTTGGGCTGGCAAAGGAGTACAGAAAACAAAGGTATTGTATTTTGCAGAATAAGAAAAATGTTACTTGATTATTAAAAAATGCTCCATCAGCCATTGAAAGATTGGACAGTTATGTAAGAGAACCCAAAGTTTTCAATTTGAAGGCATAATAAACTCAAAATATACAATGGACAAGTCTTCATGACAGTCGAGGCATTTTTTAAACTAAAAACATTGGAATATATTTCCTGCACTGAACCACATTCAAAATTCACTTTGAACTATACAAAGTCTATTTATAACATATATGAAATGTAACTTAAAACCACTTTGAAATACAAACTCTCAGTAAAAATGACTAGAGACACAAACTTTTTAAAATTATTATAAATTGTTAGAACTTGAAGAATGCATTATACTTCTATTTGTCTTGACATACTCAGTCTCTCCTTATAGAATCTAATTTCATCCAAACCAAAACTAAAAACTTGAAAACATGTATCCAGTAAGAAAGATATAAAATGCTAACTGCATAATGTAACTGGATGAAATAATTACAGAGCAGTTAAGAAAAAATGAACTGCTGTTTTAATAGGAAAAAAATGTGCATCTTACTTATGCACGTTTTAGGGTAAAATCTTGGTTTTGAAAAAGCAAATCTGGAGCACCCTCTAGTGGAAAACTGTTAACAAAAGCTTAAAGCTTCTGTTTCTGAAATTTAATTCAATTTCCATTAAACAAGTAACTGAGACCTGGGCCAAAAAAGTGTATTACGCAGATTCTTCCTTCCAGTTTCACTCTTAAATACCCCCATCAAAACACACATACGCACACACACAAATACACACAAGGGCACTTTTCAAAGTATAACAGAAAAAGGTTTTTTACACTGTCTGATTGTTTATCAATTTCCAAAAAAAGAATCAAGTAGAACTTGTGAATATAAAATTACAGATGTAATACTACCTTTTTTTCCACTGGCAAATTCTTTTTTATTTATTTTATTTTTTATTTTATTATTATTATTATACTTTAAGTTTTAGGGTACATGTGCACAACGTGCAGGTTTGTTACATATGTATACATGTGCCATGTTGGTGTGCTGCACCCATTAACTCGTCATTTAGCATTATTTTTATATTAAAGAATTCCATTGTAGTTGTAAATGATTACAATCTGGAAAAAAATGGAATCATTTTGGTTGCTTGATTCTTGTGGTTAAAAGATTCAACCAATAAAAAAGAGCTAATGAAAATAACACATGAAAACTTCCAAATTACAATTCTCTCCAAATACACCATAATGTTTTATAAATATCCTCTGCTAAATGAGCAAATCAGCCAAGAATCTGCATGACACTCTGATTATATTCTTTTGGTCTTGGTTATTAAGGAGATTGACTGGCTTTGACACAGACATGACATCACCCATGCAAGTTCTAACAGATGATTTTTCATATGTAATAATTAAAAACTGAATATATGACATTCCAAATTATAAATTAATAGGACCATTATATTAATAGATTATTCTTGATGTATTATGTTAAATTATTATTATCACAATTTGGAGAAATACAAACAAAACAGAAAATGTTTTGAGAGACCAATTTAAAGAGTAACGTAAACATCTGCTTTCTGCAGAAAGCGGAAGAAACTTGAATTATTTAGCCCAGACAGGTTCATGGAAGAGCAGAAGTATTTATTCATCATTAATTCAACACTGATTTATTGAACACTTTAGCTAGGTGGTGTTCAAGGTCCAGAGGCATGGGGGTAACCCCAATGGACAAAGGTTCCTGCTCTCATGGAACTTGCATCCTGAAGGGGAGAAGATGATGATAAGAACTCAACAAGCTCTAGGAGAGCAAGGATTTCTGTCTCTTCTGTTAACTTTGGTATTCCCAGCATCTACTAGCTGTTCAATAAATAGTTGTTGAATTAAACAAAAAAGGTAACTTCAGCTAGTGATAAGTGCTATAAACAATACAGTAATAAGTAGAGAGCATTGGAGGAAGAGGGCAGATATGTTATTACAGATCAAGGAGTTAGAAAGGGCTTCTCTAAAGAGATGCCATTAGAACTTCAACTTAATAACTAAAGTCAGCCCTGCAAAGATCTGAATAAATAACTTTCCAGAAAGAGAAAACAACAAAGGCTCTTGTCTGAGGCAGGAGTGGTTTGACATTCAGACAAATGGCCTGCCTGGACAAGCCACAAGGCCCCAATAAAGGGTTCAGGTTTCATTCAAATTGTTTAGGCAACATATATTGTTTGCTTCAAGTGGGGTCAAAGTAGTAAAAATGAAGACAGTGGGTAACTTCATGATCTATTTTGGAGTTGAGGAGTAGACAAGATTTGCTAATAGGTTCAGTATATGAGATGAGGCCAAGAGACATGTTAAGAATGACTTTGAGGTCTAGAGCTTGAACAACTGGGTAGGTGATGTTGCTATCTATTGAAATGGAAAAATGAGGTGAGAAACAGGTTTTAGGCAGGTAGTAGAGGAAAGGACAACCTTTTACAACTGGCCATATATAATGACAATTTCAAGTAAGCAGTTCGATATTTCAATTTGAAGTTAATGAAATGGACTGAGGTAAAAAGCTGTAAGTCTGGAAGCTGTCTGCATAAAGATAAATACATAGGGCTAAAGAGTTGTCAGGACAAAGGGGACTGAGAATGATTATCCCATAGAACTCCAAGGGGAAAAGCAAATAATTAAAGGTAGATATTAAAGTGAATTAAGCACACTTTGTAAGAGAAAGGACATTTTAACAATCTAACTAGAGCTATACAGTAAGAGACTAAGCTACTTGTATCCATTATTGGCTTTCCATAAAAAGAGGCATTTTCCAGTACAGAAGTGTGGGCAAAATGACCATCTGTAGGATTACTACTAAAGCAATTCTTAAAAGGGAAAGGACTTTCCCTAAATGTTCTTCCAAGGTAACATTTAAAGGAATTTTTAAGACTCTCTGATTTATCTTCAATTACGCAACTCATCTTTTTTTTTTTTTTTTTCTAAGATGGCGTTTTGATCTTGTTGCCTAGTCTGCAGTGCAATGGTGCAATCTCGGCTCACTGCAACCTCCGCCTCCCGGGTTCAAGCGATTCTCCTGCCTCAGCCTCCTGAGTAGTTGGGATTACAGGCATGTACCACCACGCCCGGCAAATTTTGTGTGTTTAGTAGAGACGGGGTTTCTCCATGTTGGTCAGGCTGGTCTCGAACTCCCAACCTCAGGTGATCCACCCGCCTTGGCCTCCCAAAGTGCTGGGATTACGGGCGTGAGCCACCGCGCCAGGCCGCAACTTATCTTGTTAGTACATAGATTCAGGGGTAAAAACCATGGGCATATACAATGTATGTCTACTGGTAGTCATTAATTGTTACCTGTTTTTGTTAGCAAAAGGTTATCCAGGTGCCTGTCTCCAACTCCAAGTATATAGGTGATCACGCAATATCCAGCTGCAGTAACAGTTAAAAAAAATATGTGAAAACAAATGCAAACCAGGTTATACATTCTACTGAATATAAAAGCAGTTTGTGCAACTTTAATATCAATTTGTTTTCTAATGTCTCTGGTTTCTCATCTGAATTCTCAAATATGCAATCTTCATGTCTGTCACTTGAAACTCAAAGTACTATTTAAAAGAGAAAATCTTGTAGAATTCTGTTAAATTACAAAAGTCACTTGCATCAAAACTTAAGTTAGGTTCAGGAGACCTTAAATTATAACATGGGCCTAGCAATTCTAATATCAAATTGGACACAGTTAAAAGTCAACCGTCAATTATCCCATAACTCGTAACCATGTTATCTGTAAGATAACATAAGTAAATGCAGGGTTAAATTGTTTTTTAAGTCTGTGGAAAAATAATCTTGAAATGGAAGCAGATAGAAAACCAAATGCATTCATTTGAGTGGTAAAGACATTTATGAAGTTAACACAATAATCTTCTAAAGCATTAAGAAAAATTACATGATCAAGGCTAAAGGCAAAGACATTGGCTCTAGCTGTATTCTGTTATCTTTTTATTCTAAAAAAAGTCTGGAAATTTAGCATTTATTGAAACTACTTAAACAGAATTTAGCAAATAGCACCCTTTTGGAGTTTGTTTTTTTAACTATGTTTATTTCTACCATTAATAACCTGACAACAAACACAACTTGTAAACATATAAAACTATAGCAATATTTACAAAAACCTGTTTATTTCAGCCCATGTGTAAAAACAAGATGGGACCACCTGTTAATGAACTTATAACCCTGTTCAAATTCAATAAATAATAAAGTTCATTTGACTTAGGTTCTGAAGGCCATTCCAGAAGTCCAAAAGCAACTTAAGCAATGGCATAATTATTGGAAAAATAGTATTAATTAATAATAATCACAGTTACAATGTACTGAAGACTAGGCTCTTAGCTAGGCATATCATATTCATCATTTCTAACCTGTTTAATGATGCCAGTTAAGTAGATAACCATCCTTCAAATGAAAAACTTCAGGCTCCAAGAATTAATAGTATTGTTCAAAGTCACTGGGCTGGGATTTGTGTCCAATGAAATGTAAGCAAATATAGATGCAAGGAAAGCAGTTTTAAGCAAGCGGCTGACTCAGCTAGGAGGTTAGCCCTTTAGGCCTTTTCTCCTTCCTGTCTAGATTGCGACATGATGACTGTAGTTGCAGACCATAAGGAAAAGGGCAAGAGAATCACAGAGAAACACAGAGCCTTCACCTGGTCCTAATCACCTTAAATAGTTAGAACAACAGCAATTTCTTATAACTAGTTTTGTCACAAAAGAGAAAATAAACTCTTATGATTAAATCACTATAGGTACATTATGTTAACTGCAGCTAAATGCAATGATAACATTTAGTGGTCCACTGAGGAGGACTTAAAGGGTATCTAGATGAAGGGAGAATAAACTACAGCCTGATGGTCAAATCTGGTTCCCCTCAGTTTTTGTAAAGTTTATTTGAACACAGTCATACTCATTCATTTACACACTGGTTTAAGCATTACAATGGCAGGGTTGAATGGTTACACAGATCATCTGACTTGAAAAGCCTAAAATATTTACTATCTGCAAAGCTTTAGAGAAAAGTCTTACTCACCCTTGATCTAGAGCATTGCTACACAAAATGTGATCCCACAGACTGGCAGTATCACTATCACTTGAAAGCTTATTAAATATGTAAACTCTTCAGCCTTACTTCAGTCCTACTGAATCAGAATTTTTAGGGGCAGCAGCCACAATTCCATTTTAACAAGCTTTCAAAAATTACTATGCACACCAAAGGTTGAGAAGCCTTCTCTAAACTCTAGTGTATTGATGAACATAAGAATCACCTGAAAATCCTGTTAGAATGAAGATTCTGATCACAGAAGTCGGGTAAGGCCCAAGATTCTGTAATACAAACAAGCTCCCAGGTAAAGTCAATACTGTGGGTCCACAGATCACACTTTAAGTAGCACTGCTCTAAAACTGCCACAATACATGCAATTTCAAAAATGACTACAGACTCCCCATTGAAAAATAACTAAGTGACTTACTGAGGGATATTAAATTTGATATTCCTAAAGAGAAACTAAGTACAATACCCTGAGAACATATGAGAACTTAGTACACTTAGGTTCTCTAACATGTGATTCGTAGAAATCTACCTGCCACTCAAGGGTACTAAACTACCGATAATGTGCATATGAAGACAAGCGAAATTCCTACAATTTTGAAAAATAACATCACTGTACATCAGTGCAGCTGAGTTGTTCAATCCAGACCTACTTACTATTCCCATTTTTAAATTATAAATTACAGTTAGTTTTTGTCACTATTTACTTTGTTTCAAGTTTAGCTATCTCTATAGAATACTGATTCACCTGTGTTGCAACAGTTAATTCTGACCTAAAATTTTCATGTAACTGGATATACATGAATTATGCTTAATCCTAACGATAAAGCAAAATATTTCTATAAACTACTCATCATCAAATTTGAGAGTGCATTTCATTGTTATATGGAAATGCAAAAATAAGTAAGGGTCTTTTGCCCTGGCTCAGTGGATTATGGTCATAAATACGTTGGATGGTCATTCTGATAAACATGTTTAGTCAAGTGAAATATATGTATCAACATATGGCCATATTTAATAGTAAAGATGAAAATTTAGAGTGCTTCAATAGTTTAAAGTGTCAATACTCAGTAGGGCACTTTAAACAAGGCTACATCCTGAAAAATAACAACAAAACATTTGAGGTAAGAATGGGATGATCCTCAGAAACGTTGAGGAGATAACTAATACTCAGAATGATTTAAGATGACCTGAAATAAATTTGCTAGAAAATTTTTAGGGAAATTGATGTTATTCTTTAACTATACAACAATGGAAACACTATTTCTGTCCAAGAAAATCTTGTCAAAACAATGTTGTTAGTTTTTTTATTCCATGTGAGATACAAAACATCTTGAAATTGTTTTTATAAAAAAACTTTGACTTAAAGAAAAATATAAAGACAAATAGACCACTGATCCTATTTCCCTTTACTTAGTAAAGATATGTGTGTATGTGAGAATAAACAGTATTCCCACATTTAGCTGCATGATATACACTTGAGACTTTAGATAATCTGGAAAAGATGTCACCAAAACTATTATCAATTTTTTTCTTACACCCTGCAAAAACATTAAAACATTATTTTCTAAAATGAAAGTTACACAAAAACAGATTATTTTGTCATACAGGAAGCCATACAGAAAACAGAAGGCTCTTCTAGATGAAGAGAAGGCCTACCATTAAATCACTTACAGAGGAATGAATACATGTGAAATGTTGGAAAAAAGGGGAGAGATAAGATATAATGTGAATTTAACTGTCCAATAGGTAAGATAATTTAAATTGCTATTCTTTCCCCATGAAAAAGCCAGTCATATTTTCAGTAGCTCTTGGGGGGAAAATGGACCACTATACAAAAGACACAATGGTACGACATTAAGCATGTACCTGTAACATACCATTCTGATAATTTTACTAATGAGCAGAATTTTCAAATTGTAGTCAATACTGACAGGGCAAGCGTGTGTGTATGTATTTTGTGTGGAAAAAGTATTTCTTTATTAAACAGATTTATGACTTTAAAAGGTTTACAATAACTATGCTATAGTAAAAAGGTAAAAGATAATTATTTGGGGGTATATAAAACACCTCATGTAATAACGTACTAATGGAAATGGCCACAAATTCTGTGACACCCTTTTCATCCAGAGCTTGGATCTATATATATTCCGTCCCCTCAAATCCAGGAAGGCTCTAGGACTGCTCTGAACAACAGAATATAACAAAATATAGTTATACTATAAGCTGATATAGTACCAGCTTCCCAGCCCTGGCCTTCAGAAACTAGTATTTTCCATTTCCTGTCTGTCTGAATATTTGCTCTTGGAACCCAGCTCTAAGAGGCCCAAGCCAGGGACAGGTCATGTGTAGGTGATTCACAATAAGCCTAGCTAAGACAGTATAATCTGCCAATAATGTGAGTGATCCATCTTGGATGTTCAGCCTAGTTGAGCCTTTAGATGATATGCAATTTTTTTTCAGATCACAGAAAACATAGACTTGAAGGTCTGAGAAAAACAGAAGAGAAATGGGGCAAAATAAAGAAGAGAAACAAGAAAGGAGCAAGGGAAGAGAGAGAAACACAGAGTAAGAGGACAAGGGTAAACATTTTCTCTCAAAATCTTCAGTGTTTTTAAGTCTTTAAATACTGCATGTAATCACGTTTACAAACAAATTCAGTTACATGTAATATATGTTTATATTCCTATAGTAAAAACAAGAATTAAAACTATAAAGGACTCTAATTTATAAAACACAATTTTATTTCCATATTCTCAAAGTTCATTTTCTTTCTGCTTTTCAGACAAAAATGTATCATCACGAATAAATTTGAAAATAAGGTCCAAAATAATTTGGAAGGTGACTTCACAGGGGTGTTGTGAAAAACACAAAAATATTATGTATAAGAAAGCAACTTCTAAACCAGAAAATAATATGCAAGTTTAAATATAGTCTTAACAACTAACTAGAAAGCCCTCTTCTTGCTCTCCCAGCTTAAGCATAGGCATAAATAGGGACATAAACAAATATAGCGCTTATATAAAATAGTTATAACACATCATACATCCTGTCATTCAGGGCTCAACTCTAGTGTCAACTCCTTTACCAATCCTCCCATAAACAATCTAGTTATAAAAAAAATCAAAATAAAAAAATAAACATGCTGGGGATGGTGGCTCATGCCTTCAATCTTTGCACTTTGGGAGGCCAAAGCAGGTGGTGATCGTTTGAGCCCAGGAGTTTGAGACCAGCCTGGGAAACATGCCATAACCCTGTTTCTACAAAAAATACAAAAAAATCATCCAAGTGTGGTGGTGCACACCTCCTACAGTCCCAGGTACTCGGCGGGCTGAGGTGGAAGAATCACCTGAGCCTGGGAGGTCCAGGCCGCAGTAAGCTGTGATTGCGCCACTGCACTTCAGCCAGCCCGGGTGACAGAGTGTGATCCTGTCTCCAGGAAAAAAGGAAAAGAAAAGAAAAGAAAAAAATAAAGAAAATGAAAAAAAAAATCCTGTAGAATATAACCTTCGTGAAGTTAGACATAAATGCCTGAAGAATAAAAATTAATCCCTATGTCACTTACTATTTATTTCTAGGAAATACTACTACTGCTTTCTTATTTCTAGGAATGGACCATAAGGACTGACTCTAAAATACCACAAGGGCACCCTCTTAATGAAGCACCATTATCTTAGCTCTTAAACTTTATCTAAAGCACAATCATTTCTGATTGAAACTTTTCCCATGGTCTACTTAGTTTCTGTTATTCAAAAATAGAGAAAATCTAATGGAAAATTAACAGCTTCCAGGAAGAGATAAACTGTGATTATAAAATAGTTCAGTGATTACAAAGATATATCCATGAAAGACTAAATAGAATTTACACCTTGTTAATACTATTATGTCAAAGCATCAATGACTACTTTAATCAACATTTATCTTTTACTCTTCCTATAGAGCATTTAAATATTAACATGTTCTAAATGTATATGATTATGGCAATATCAGGATGGCCTGCTCTTCTTTATCTGATCAATGGAAAGTAATAGCCTGAAAAACTTACCACAGCTTTTAACGTAAGTGTCCATGACCTCAGCACTAATCCCATTTGGCCCATTCTCACTTGGTGCATATTTTCTAAAAAAGTTCTGAAAAGACATTATTTACATGTTTTAGAATTAAGTACAAACAAACAAACTAGGTGTTTTGAAACTATAAATAGTGACCAGCAAGTGTCTAGCATAAAGCTTAATCAAAATACAGTATGAGAGATGCTGACTGAACAAAAGAATTGTAAGAGTGCGATAAATACACTAGAGTTTCCATTAGGGGAAACTGTGTTTAATGTCCCCCACCACCCACCCCAGATTTCCAATTGCACCTATTCTTTTACATTTAGAGGCAAAACAAAAAACAAACAAACAAACAAAACCACAGAGCATATTATCTGAAAATACGATTAACGTACTATTAAAAAATGAGTTTATCCTGGCCAGATGTGGTGGCTCACACCTGTAATTCCAGCACTTTGGGAGGCCGAGGTGGGCAGATCATGAGGTCAAGAGATCAAGAACATCCTGGTCAACATGGTGAAACCCAGTCTCTACTAAAATACAAAAATTAGCGTGGTGGCAGGCACCTGTAGTCCCAGCTGCTCGGGAGGCTGAGGCAGGAGAATTGCTTGAACCTGGGAGGTACAGGTTGCAGTGAGCCGAGATCGCACCACTGCACTCCAGCCTGGCGACAGAGCAAGACTCCGTCTCACAAAAAAAAAAAAAAAGTTTATCCTATGTTTTCACCTTTTTTGAATACCCTGTATTTCTGACAAAGGATTTGCATCTGGAATATATATTTAAAAACTCCTATAAATCAATACAAAAAATACAAACAACGCGACAGGAACATGGGCCACAGGAAGATGTGAACATGCACTTCACAGAAGAAACAAATGGCCTATACATATATTTTTATACATTCAACCTTACAGATAATCAGGGAAATGCAAACCAAAAAGAGGTACGAAGAGTTTGAAGTTTGGCAACACTACGATTTGGCAGACATGTAGCAAGGAGAAACACAAGAAGTGTTACTGTTTTGGAAAACAACTTTTAATTATCGAAAAACAACTTTTCATTATCAAGTAAAGCTGAATGTGATCTATGACCCAGGTAAATCACTTACACAGATCAGATGTGCAGCCAAGAATCAGTATACAAACTGTCACTGTTTTCATTTTATAAAATCGTAATTACACAAAACAATGTAAGTAATGAAAAACTTTATGAAACAATGATGGCAATTAGGGCCCATGTTAAAAACTTTAAGTACACTTCAGGTCCTCTTCAAAACAATCCTGGAGTAATATGGGTTATTACCGAAATTTTACAGATGCAAAAACTGGTGTCTTGAAGGGTATGTTAAACGGGTCCCCAGGACCACTGACAGGTTTGACTTGCTAGAAGGTCTTACAGACTAAACATGTAGTTGTACCATGACTAAGGTTTGTTACAGAGAACGGATACACAGTAGAATCAACATGGAAAACATACACAGAAAAAATCTGGAGAAATTCATACATAGGCATCCTAGCCCTCTCTGTCCTATGAAGACACAGTGAGCTTCTTTTCCAATAGCCAAAAATAAAAAATAAAAAGCAGTAACATGGGTGTAATGTTTCTGACAAGGAAAGCCCATTAGAGACTTAGAACCCAAGGTTTTATCAGGAACTGGTGACCCAGGCAACCTCTGTCAAGCAAGTACAAAATTCCAGACTCCCAGAAGGAAAGTGGATTGTTTAGTATAAAGCATATTATTTGAACAAACAATCTAGGCACAGCGAACCACCCTTATCAATTAGGAAGCAAAGGGAACATGCTGAAAGCCAATGACCAATCTCCTGGCAAGCAGGCCTTTCCAAAGATTGCAACCTTAGGGCTACTATGTTAACTTTTCTCTGCAAAAAGAGTTAACCAGTTCACTCAAGGTTACAGAGCTGGAAAGTTACACAGGTGGAATTCAATCCCAGGCAGTTTGATGTCCTAAGCCTGAGCTTTTAACCACTGCACATGACTGTACCCCAAATCAAAGAACAGAATAAGCACTTGCTTTGCAAAAGAATCAGAGTAATACTTTTCTACAAATCTGACTCCCATACTGAATAAATGGAACAATTAAATAGGGAAAGGCAAAAACACACTGTATCAAACATCATCTACCAAGCCCTTCTGTGTATTATCTTTCATCTCAGGTGTATCCATTTTTGTTTTAATTACATACCTTTTTTTTTTTTTTTACAAAGGGAAGCAGGAAAATTATATTTTAAAAATAACAAAAATAAACCATTAACATGTTATAAGAACTAATCCATGTATTTAAAGGGTAAAAAAAAAAAAAATCCAAACATATACATTACTTTGTCACAGAACCACTCACCTTTTCTCATATTTAAAGGGGAGCAATAGGTTGAAGGGAGAGGATAGGGGGTCTTAAATAATTGTACAAAAGACAGATGAGCAACAATATCATTGTAGCAGTGTTCTGAATAACAAAAACTGGAAATAAAGTGCTCATCAATTAATATCAAATAAATTACAACATTTCCATACTTTGGAATATAATGCAAGTATAAATAAACGTTAACAAATTTTAATTTGTTCACCAATTAACTCTGTTTTTTTGGGGTTTTTTTTGTTTTTTTTTGACACAGAATCTTGCTCTGTCACCCAGGCCGGAGTGCAATGATGTGATCTCAGCTCACTGCAGTCTCCACCTCGCGGGTTCAAGCGATTCTCCTGGCTCAGCCTCCCAAGTAGCTGGGACTACAGGTGCATGCCACCATGCCCGGCTGATTTTTGTGAGTTTAGCAGAGACAGGTTTCACCATGTTGGCCAGGCTGTGTTCACCAATTAATGCCTGATCCCTTGATATGCAATGCACTGTTCAAGGAACTGAGAATCTATGTAACAAATGGAAGAATCTTCAACTGCGAACATGCTTACTTCTGAATAAAGGAAGAAAAAAAACTTGAAGAAAGAAAAATGATAAAAGGAGACTTTCATTTTTAACTCTATGTTATAAAGACTGAATTTTTTATGACAAGAATATATTCATGAATTGCATAATCTTTATTGATACCATACCTGAATGCTTCCCTCTGTATCAAGAACTTCAGCCACAGGAACTGACTGGATAAACTGCATGAAGCCTACACAGAAATGTATGCACTGCATTAAGCATAGCTACTGGTTAAGAAATAAAAATAAAGGTTCTGCTAAGAATAATCCTCATCTCTGAATAAATGCATTCCATATCTGAACAACTTAAAAAGATCAGTGTACACTACATTAAGTTTGTACTGGCATTTATGTCATAGGACCTGTAAGAAAACTTTTTTTTTTTAAATTAAGCTGATTTAGTCTGTATGTTTCTCTAGGCTAATTTCTATTATAAAATATGAGAAACGAAAACTAATAGACTAAGCTTCTTAAATCTAGCATCAAAAATTTCTTCTTTCTATAGATTTACAACATATACCAATTAAAATATTCCAAATTTAAAATCACCGTAAGAAATCTAGAATTGTGGATTACAATTACCTAACCCTAAAAGCTGTATGTAAAACTGTTATGTAATGGCTCCTTTTGTCTAATATTCCATCTTCTGTCATTTCCTGGTAATAACAGATGTGTAAATCCCTTAAACTACCAAAAAAAAAAAAAAAAAAAGGAAAGGGGACAGACAGTATGTGGAAGAAGGAGAAAAAGTCAGTCTGATAAGTCTGAAGACAACAGAAACATAAAACAATGGATATATTAAAAAAAAAAGTTGGATGAAGCAAACAACATTTCAGGATCATAAACTATCATGATCTGGTTCTGGTAAGCCTATAGGATAATAATTTGCATGCACATTAGGAGATTATATACCCCTGTAGAATAAGAAATATCTCATTTATTCTTGCATCATAAATACAGAATAGTTGGCACTAATTCACTTAACAGGTATTTATTGTTTCTTGACCATGTCGGAAGAAATTTGCCAAGTAAGTAAAAATAGATGTTTGACACTGCCTACATGGATCTTAAAGCTTATAAGCTTCACTTGGGTAAATACTATGAATAAAGGGTACTATGAAAGGAAGTAGTGTAAGGAGACCTAACTTACAGTAGGGATCGAAGGACATCTGACATTTGAGCCATGTTTTCAAGGATAATAAAATTAATAGGCCATGGAGCAAAGAATGTTTGAGACAATGATCACAGTGTATGTGAAGGCCTTAGAGCACAATGCATTAGATAAAACAGAAGGTAGCCAGTATGGCTAAAGCCCAGGATGCAGGGGAAGAGTGGCAAAAAGAAGAGGCTTGAAAGATAGACACAGGGTGTGTCACACTATGCAAGCACTTAGAAGCTAGGTAAAGGTTTTTTGGGTCTTTGTCCAAAGAGAAAATGAAAGCTAACAAATGACTTTTTGCAGGATTGTAAAGATGCACATTTGCACTTTTTAAAATATCATTCTGAGAAGAAACTGAGAAGAGTAATTAAGGCATCAAAAAGATTTGGGAGTAGCCAGAGGAAGGATAGGAACCTAAAGCATGTATTTTGTTTCTCAGTAACTACTAGTATAAAGCAGGAAGGGCAGCAAGACTATGGAATTTACAGTAAGCATTAGGCAAGCATTCCTAGGGAATCTTCTACCAAACTCCCAGGGATTATTCATCTCGAAAAGACTTAAATGGTTTGTGTGTGTGAGGGTGTGTGTGTATGTGTATGTGTGTCTACAGGATTGTCAGGAATGTCTGAAATATCCTGTTTCTCAGTAACTACATTAACCAGTAGTTACATTAATCAGTAGTTACTGAGAAACAGGAAAGAAGGAAAGACAGAAGGGAAGCAGGCAGGAAGGTCCAACTTGTCTTCAGTGCTACAAATGGAATTTATTTGTATCTCTAACATACTTAAAAATTTTCAATTTGAAAAAGTACACACAATGTACACTAAAGTAAATAATAATGATGTAAAATACACTTACCATGTTTTGTACTGGTGGCTAACACCTTATAAGGTGTCAATTTCAAGTCCAGATTTTCTTTCCGTAACAGCTTTTAATCAAAAGGTAAAATATATTAACCAAATGTAAAGACTGTTAAAAGACAGTTTTGTGGGCAAATAGTATAGCAGTTTAATGTAATAAAGATTTAGGAAGTTAAGCTAAATTAAGTTTAAATTAGTTAACTTAGGCTGGGCACAGTGGTTCCCCACTGTAATCCCAGCACTTTGGGAGGCCGAGGCGGGTGGATCACCTGAGGTCAGGAGTTCAAGATCAGCCTGGTCAACATGGTGAAACCCTGTCTCTACTAAAAAATACAAAAAATTAGCTGGGCGTGGTGGTGCATGCCTGTAGTCCCAACTACTCGGGAGGCTGAGGCAGGAGAATTGCTTGAACCCAGGGGGCAGAGGTTGCAGTGAGCCAAGATCGCGCCACTTCATTTTAGCCTGTGCAAAAAGCAAAACTCCATCTCAAAAAAAAAAATAGTTAATTTAACTTTGATCATCAAAATTAAATTGATTAAGGACTTAGATGACGGTATGCTAAATTTTTCATCTACTCTAAATCTCTGTCAGCTGTTTTCAATGAACAATAGGGTTGTTGCTATCACTTCATGCAGTCCTTTCTGGCCATAAAGTACTTTAGAGCTCAGAAAAAGGGAACTAGGGCAAGCATGTACTTTTTAATGCCAGGGACAGAGATGGGATTAAAAGGATTTAAAAAAAATTTAATAGACTAAGAGGAAGGAAACTACTAAATCCCTTATTTAGAGAACTTAATTTGGAAAAAAAATTAATGGAACACATACAGTTCCAATTTATACTCAACACAAAAACCATTCTGAAGTATATAAAAGCAACTAAATTTTTTCAAGGTCAAGTGGAGACTGTTGAGCTTTCTAGGATCGTACCTGAATGTTACAAATACTTCTGTTCCATAAACAGCAAATGAACTAAGCCACAGTATTCCAAAACGAAAAAAATGTTCCCCACCAACATAAGGTCATGTTCACCTTGTCCATGAGTGAAATGATTTGAAGAATAAGTTGATCTTGACGTAAATCATCTCCATGCTTAAATATAACTGGATATTTGCCTCCATCTTCCGTCTTAAAAAACAACTGTGCAGGCATAAGGGCACTCTGGAAAATAAAAATATTGATTTCAAATTTGGCCATGAATTAATGCATAAAATTGTACTATACATACAAGAAAATGTTGATATATAAGATAAATACACAGGTAAATAGGACCTAAAAAACAAGTTGGGTTTTCAATGAGATACATTAGGGTATACTGGAAAGAACAGTGAACTAGCTAGTAGTCAGAAGACTACACGATGGAAAGCGCACAAGCTCTGCAATCAGTCATGTGGTTAAAACATTCCAAGCTCTCCCAGGTACTCGCTGGACAGTCTTATGCATATCCTTTAACTTGTTTCCTCATCTGTAAAATAAGATACCATCTCTTCTGCAGAGTTGCTAAGGCAATCAGAAACTATACAGGTCAATAGTCTGGCACCATGCCTAATACAAAGAAGACATTCTTTATATATCTATCATCATTTTTTATTTTTAGAGGTATACTGAAATAAATAAGGTGAAACAGTACAACATAACAATGTACCAGATGCAAAGTGAAGAGCCCTGGTTTTTAATGGCAAGTATACTACAGGTTGAGTATCCCATAACAGAAATGCTTGCAAATGTTTGGGATTTTGGACTTCCCCGGATTTTGGAATATTTGCATATACATAATAAAATATTTTAGGGCTGTGACCCAAGTTTAAACTTGAAATTCAATTATGTTTCACATATACCCTACACACATAAACTGAAAGTAATTTTACACAATATTTTTAGTAATTTTGTGCATGAAACAAAGTTCTGACCGTGTTTTGACTGTAATGCATGACATAAAGTCAGCTGGAGGATTTTCCACTTGCGGCATCATGTCAGCACTCAAAAAGTTTCAGATTTTGGAGCATTTTAGATTTTGGATTTTTGGATTAGAGATGCTCAATCTGTACTAGTTGTGCAGCTTTAAGACTCAAATTCCTCATTTATAAAATGAGAGGAGATCTCAAATATCTGTATCTTTTATTCTGGAATAATATTATGTTTTCCCCACAGTCCTTCCCTTAATTATATGAAGGTCTAAATTAGTTTAGGTATATGTTTAAATCAACAAAAAAAAAATAAAGAAATTATATTCTTTTTAGAAAGGGGGAATCATAAAACCTCACATAAAGTGGCATGCTAAGATGGATATTCTGGACATAAATGGTCAGAAAATTGTTCTGAGAGAGAGAGACCCTATTGAGTTTGGTCATTGAGAAGAAATTATATAAGACAAAAATTTGGAGAAATATATTAATCCAAAGAAAAAAAAATGAGTCAAAGAAATTTAAAAACAAAAACAAAAAAAATGGTAATAACCAAGAGAAATAATGGCCCAAAAAACATCATATAGATGGATGAACAGATGTGACAAAACAAATGGCAAAATGTTGATGACAGAATTAAAGTGGTAGATACACGGTTGTCTACTGTAAAACTCCTTCAACTTTGCTGTATGCTTGAAAACTTTCCTATAAAATGCTGGGGGAAAACAAAAACATGGAAAATGGTTCAGAGAATGTATGTTTAAAACTTACAAACTCTAGTTGGAATAAAATTCTGAATTTTAAATTACCTTAAATTTGGAATATCCTTTTATTTGAAAATGTTATTTTATAAATTACCTTGAGCCCTAGTAATTGGAAGTTATCTTCCTAAAGATAAATGACAGGCAGGAGAATCTTTGTTGTGATTTCTTTTTTGAGATTCAATACGATTTCATCTAATTTAGATTTCATCTGAAATTTAAAGCAAGAAAACAACCACAGGATAACATGCACTTATCCCAGTGCCTTAAGGGGTCCAGTCTTCATGAATATCCAGCTTTGGCTGTTACATTAAGGTCTACAAAATTACTTTTAAAACTACTAGAAATAAGGGTCCCTAGCCTTTTCAGCTCTAAGGAGCTCATACAAGGAAAACAGGAGTCCACAGATCCTCTGCAAGTGTATGCAGAAATTTCAGTGTATGTGTAAGCATACGGGCAATTTTCTGAAGTGCATAATCCATCACTTTCATCAGATTCTCAAAGACATCCATGAGCCAAAGTAGCAACTCCCTACACAGAGACACTCTATATAACTAATATTACGTAGCAACTGCCTCAGAACCATTATTCCTAAACTCTAACTCAAAATTTTTAAGAATGCCCATATACTTAAGAGTTGAAAGAAAAATAATCAAGACTGAATACTGAGGTCAAAAAGATTTCCCATATTTTATTTCATAAGACATAATTATAATTTTTTATAATTGAGTATGAGTCTAGAATCCACCTACCAATAGAGGGAGATATATCTTCTTATAGTCCACTCTTAAAACCCCTGCTGTATGTCTTAGATACTCTTTTGCACCATGGTTGGAAAAAAAATGGTAAAATTACTTTTTTAATTCACTGCTCTTGATGAGTCCTTAGTGTTCAAGAATATTAGAAGCTGGTCTTCTTTGGGAGTTCTAGCCCAAAGGAATGCCAGTTGTTATATGTATATTACCTTGTGCATAGCTTTTTACATTTCAGTCTCCAGTAGACTGCAAGCACAGACTAAAAAAAAAATTGCACTGTATCTCCTATACCAGTATTTTCAAATTGCATATAGTAATACCAGTATTTTTAACTTGCAGGTTGTAATCTGTTAGAGAGTTTTAAAACCAATAGGTTGTAAGCAACATTTAAAAATTAAAGCAACAGAATAATGTTAAAAATAATGGTAACTATCCATCCATAACACCCAGTTAAAGTTAGGGATTGCTTTATGAAACTTATGTTTTAGTCATATGAGCTGGGCTGCAACCCATGACCAAATATGAGGTTGCCTTGAAACACACTTTTTTAAAAAATATGAACTGTTTCCTACTATAATTACACCCGTGTATATACATTAGTTGTTGTTCTATGAGCCCTTTCTTAACTCATGCAAAGTAATATTCAATGCAACTATGCCTTTCTACCACTAGAATCACAAAACATAAAGCACCATGTCTCACAAAGATCTTTCAGTATGATGCTGACAGATAATGATGCTCTGGCCTTTGGTCCTTTGAGCATGATTAGAGAAGGCTGCTGCATCAGCTGTTTCTACCTGAACTGGTGGCCAGTCAATAGAAAAAACACCAAGCCTGGTATGCTACTAAGGACTAAAGAGAATTGCCACGTGAAAATATAAGAAAACACTTAAGGTTCAACAGGAACAGATATCAGACTGAGAAATGTTAAAAAGGTCAACTGGGACTCATATCTAACCATCTGAACTAATGAACTGAATGAATGCATGATACGTTTGCAATCTGCCCTCTAAAAAAATTTACATAAAGAAAAATAGTTACAGCTCTGATTAACAATTAGCTTGAAAAACTAAATATTATGTTGGGTATGGTGGCGCATGCCTGTAATCCCAACACTTTGGGAGGCTGAGGTGGGAAGACTGCTTGAAGCCAGGAGTATGAGACCAGCCTGGATAACAAAGTGAGGACCCATCTCTACAAAAATAAAACAATAAAAAAATTAAATATTAAAAAACAACCCAGAGATATAAAAGTATTTCACATGTTACATAAAAATGCCCATGTACCGGTAACAAAAGAAGATCTTAAATCAAAACACACTGATAAATAAAAGGTACCCTTCAATCTAGCATTTACTAAATCAACTAGAATTATAGATGTGATCTCTGCAATGTAATAGTTTTCCAAGGTAGTATCTCTGATCTAGCTTAAGAATTAGGTTCCAATCATACACATTAAATATCCATCACAATTACTTTAAACAGTGTAGCTGTTTCCGGAATTATTCCTCTAATTTTCACTTGGGGTTCTAAAGGCAACGGGATAAGTTCCACATCTGACAAATTCATCTTTTCATTATCTCCAAGCAATGCCTGTAGTCTCTCATTCTAGAACAAATCAGAAAGGATTAATGAGGTTAAAATAGAAGAGTAGTTTATAAAACATATAGTAAAGACATAAAAATTGATTCCATTAACTTAAAAGTATTTGCAAAGCACCAAAATAATATAAAGGAGATGGTGTTGTATGTGAGAGACAAGCACTTATAAATAATCCCTAACAACAGCAGCAGCATGCTTTAAACCAAACAATCGCTTGACTGTGAAAGTTGGACTTTTCACAGGAAGGATACAGAATACATTTCACTTGCTAAAGCTGACAAAGAATCAGGAATTTATTCAAGTTGGACCTAAAGATTCAATTTCTGTTTCCAAGGATTTGTGAAGCCACAGAGAGAAACTGAAATTTCCTTCAAAGTTTAATTTTGCATGACCAAATATTAAGCAAAAATTTCACTATGCTGCCCCAGTGCATTTTTTGAGTTTAAAAAGGAAACTTAATTCACTTGGAGAAACTATAACCCTACTTTCTAACTTTCACTGAGTCTGTATGGTCAAACTTTTCCTAGGATATCATCATCATTCATTTTCTTCAGCTCATATACATAATGCATTAAGCTAACATTCCAGAAACTGAGAAATCCAAGTCATGATGAAACAGCTTCATCAATAAGCAACATCTATACTATTTAGAAGAACCCCTTCTATTCAATTTCAAAAGAACAATTAATTTCCTTTAAAAGCTGGGAGAGTCCTGCAATCTTTAGGAGCAGGGCTTGCTCACCTAAATAGGTGAGTTTGTTCTTTAAGAAGGAAAACTCGACATGACAATCCCAGCAGCATAAAACACTTCAACTACAATGCTACTGGGAAGTTGAAGTGCTTTGTGCTGCTGGGTAAGCCTCAAAGGAGAGAACTCTGGAATCAGTGAAAGAAGTTCAGAAAAAAATAGTATGTTTCAAGGACAAAGAAGATGTAAAATTATTTTCCTTCAGTAATAATCCCATCTCCTCCTGAATGATGAAAAGTTCAAGTTAAAATCAACTGAAAATCAACTGGTATGAATTTCTACATAAGTGTTACAAAAATCACTAAATCTACTCCTTAACTAAATGGATGGTCAGATCTACTAATGTGAAGTAATGTCAACTAATTTGAGAGTAAAGTTATCCTACCTTAACAAATTACTAGTTGATGCGCTAATTAAAATAAATAAATAAATAAATAAATAAATAAATAAATAAATAAAATAACCAGAAAGTAAAATAAGAATGGGGAGAGAAATCTAGCCACTTCTTACCACCTCTACCACTATAAGCCCTAAGAACCCAGCCACCATGATTTCTCATCTTGATTACTGCAATAGCCTCCTGATTGCTTCTCTTCTTCAAACTTTTCACCCTCCTACAGTTTCTTATCAAAAGTAACCAGAGTGCAGCTGCTAAAATCAAAGTCAGTTCATGTTACCCTGCTATTCAAAATCTCCAATAGCTTCTACTCTTACTCAGTGTTTCAGTCAAAATAATATTGACTATAATGATTTACAAGGATAAATTCCATCCATTTCCCAATTATCTCTAACTTCATCTCCTATTACTGTACCCATTCCCTCTGCTCCAAATACACTGGGCTTCTTCCTATTTCTCACAACTGCCACACATGCTCCCACCTCCGGGGCTGTGCACTGCTATTCCTCTGGCTGGAACAATCTTCTCCAGAAGACCGGCTTGCTCTCTTACATGCTTCAGGCCTTTGTTCAAATGTCAATTTCTCAGTGAGGCCTTACCTGGCCACTCTATTAAGAAGTGAAACACTGCCTTACTACTGGACACAAGTACTGCCTAATCCCCCTTCCTGTTTTATTTTTCTCCATAACATATAACACTATCTAGCACACTATATACATTTTATTTATTTATTGCATTTACTCTCTTCAACGAGAATATGATCCCCATAGAGGAAGAGATTTTTATATTCACTGCTGTATCCCAAGAACCTAGAAAAGCACTCTGCACAGAGTAGGCATGCAATACATATTTCGTATTTGTAGAACACATAAATGAGTAATATCCCCTAAAAAATCATAAAGTGAAAAGAGACTGCTTATAATATTAACAGTGAAAGTGTTAATTTATTTTAAATATAGATGGAAAAGATGGCCAGGCACAGTGGCTCATGCCTGTAATCCCAGCACTTTGGAAGGCCGAGGCTGGCAGATCACTTGAGGTCAGTTTGAGATCAGCCTGGCCAACAGAGTGAAACCCCCCCATCTTTACTAAAAATTAGCCAGGCGTGGTGGTGCACGCCTGCAGTCCCAGCTGCCTGGGAGGCTGAGGCAGGTTAATTGCTTGAAGACGGGAGGCAGAAGCTGCAGTGAGCTGAGATCATGCCACAGTACCATGGTACTGCAGCCTGGACGACGGAGCAAGACTATGTCTCAAAAAAAAAGTAGATGAAAAAGGCATTTTATTAGAATTCAAATATGTAGACTGACCTCTTCTAACATAATTTTTCCTAAACTAGAGATCAACGAAGGAAAGAAGACAACATTATCATCTTCTTTACTCATTTGACACTTAACTCAGGGATTACTCTGCCACAGATCTAACACTGTTATACCCACTGTGATATAGCTCTCGCAAATAAATTATGAGGGATGAAAAAGTGCTACATATGATTTTATATGATTAGTGGCCATTTCAATATTACTAGTATTAATGCCAATAATGGTAGTAGAGCGCTATCTCTGCATTTCTTCATGGTGCCAGGGCTTGTTTCTAGTAAATATATGTAAATAAAATTGTTTGTCTTTTACCATATCATGATAAAATGCCTATAAAGATTTTTAGCCAATACTGAAACTATACTTGGGATGGTCTGGCTTAAAATATAGGCTATGTGAGAAACACAAAATTTATTTGGGGAGACTCTGAGTGATGTCTCAAATAGGTGGTCAGCCTCCAGAAGAGCTAAAACTGAGGTGTTGCCAAGGTTCCTGTGCCTGCTAAATTGAAGAGCTCCTGGCACTAAAACAAACTGCTTTCAAATATAAGCCCCAAACTGCAGGTCAGAGCAGCAGACACTCCCTCTGCTGGTGGGCATCTGGGAATCACACTGTTTCCCACACAGCCACCTCTGGGGAGAGGTGCTACAGGGGGAACAGTAGTAGAAATATATTTATTTGACCAAGGTTTGTGATTCTTCTCAACAACAAAGAAAATGTCAACTCAACAGAACCGTGTTTCCTCTCAGCCTGTTTTCCCCTCTCTAACCTGCTGAACGTTACTCATTACTTCTTCTGCATGGCTCTGCTAGCATTTCTCTTTAGACCTGATTCTTTGCTTTTGAACCACTGACTCAAATCTTCATATTTTCCTCCTCTTTCTGCTGTCCTTTAAAAGTCAAAGGAACACTAAAATGTGTTGTTTTACAAAGGTCACCAAGAAAGGCCTGCCAATTATCTAATGGAATTAGGAAAAGATACCAAGCGAATCTTTCATATCATTTAGGCTACTGATCAGAAAAAATGTCACGTGAAGAACTCATCTACTCATTCACTTCTACCCATCAAGTGGAAACCTCATAGTTGAGAGACAGACTGATGAACTAGCCAGGAGAGAACAGTTACAAAGCTACTTACTAACAACCAGTTGTGAAACCTTGGGCAAGTCAATCTGGACTTTTGTTTTCTCAGAAGAATTCTAGTCTAAATGATCTCTAGAGATTCTTTCCATATCAAATATATTGTATATTCTAATTTGCTAAGATTCTAAAATGAGAGGTGGTAAAGCACTGTGGATAACAATATGGACTAAGAATGTCTGAGTACAAATCCCCACTCCAATATTTACTAGCTGTATGACATTAAACAAATTACTTGACCTCTCTTTACTTTCTTCTCCTCACAATTGGGATAATATTAGGTCCTAACTTATAGGGTTGTTATGAAGATTAAATATCATATCAATATATATATAAACTCATAAAACATTCCTATTACTATAATTTCATGGTAAGAAGTTCACACAATAGGCCGGGCGCAGTGGCTCACACCTGTAATCCCAGCACTTTGGGAGGTTGAGGCGGGTGGATCACCTACGGTCAGGAGTTTGAGACCAGCCTGACCAACATGGTGAAACCTCATCTCTACTAAAAATAGAAAAATTAGCTGGGCATGGTGGCGGGCACCTGTAATCCTAGCTACTCGGGAGGCTGGGGCATGAGAATTGATTGAACCCAGGAAGTGGGGGTTGCAGTGAGCCGAGATCGTGCCACTGCACTCCAACCTGGGCGACAGAGTGAGACATTGTCAAAAAAAAAAAAAAAAAAAAAAAAAAAATTCACGTATCAACCCAAAAAGACAATAGTGAAAATTCAGTATTTTCTGATGCCAAGATGCTATTAGGAACAAAAGCATACACCATAGGCTTACCTTTTTCTTACGATTTCCACTTTCGCGTTGTACTGCCTTCATTAGATGCACCAACCGATCTACAAATGTCTGTTGTGCAGCCAGCAAAGAACGCATAACTCTGACAGACTTATCACCCTGAAGGGTTCAAAGTGAGAAAAAATTAGTTCTATGTTGCGTAATGATCTGGATTTCTTTAACAGCATGGATAATCCTTATTCATATTTCTCACAGTTATAAACTTAAATAGAAAGCAAAACTGAAAAAGATTATCTTGATTCAAAAATAACAAGAAACCTCTTATCTTAGTTAAACACCACTAATCCATCCACAATCGAAAATTATCTGAGTCTTCAGCAAATACTGGTCTATCTACAACCGCATTTTTTTCCCACATAAACCATGTGACAAGATAGAATTCATTCATCCTAAAATACATTCACTCATTATTTGATTCAATAAATATCCGATGGCTTATGATGCAGAAATGTGCTAGACATATATACATGTATATGGCAGAAACAAAGATATAGATCTTCAAGGAACTAAAAATCAACTTTTAAAAAAAGAAAACTTCAAATAGCACCACAATATGTGCTTAAAATATAAGTCATAAAAACTAAATGCTATACGGTCCTATGTAGTGATTCCTAGTTCATAAAATATTATAAAATACATTTCTAATTTAATCTTCCCAATTACCCTGGTAAGGGAAGCTGGGTAAATGTTATCAACCTCATTTCAAAGATGAGGCAATTTAAACTTAAAGAAACTGAAATGTCTTCAAGGGTGACAAAGGCTGTAACAGAAACGAGATTAGAGGAGAGGACCAAAGGCTTATTTGCCAATCAGTTTGATGTTGAGAAGCTTTGGGAACGAATACAAAAGCTTAGTCTCAAAGTGTTTAATAAGATGTGATTTAAATTTTTAAAAGCATGAAACATCAAACAGATGAAAGATGCCATGAAATAGACTATTTCTGCGGCAAGCCACAGATTAATGTGTGGTAGCTTTCTTTTCGCTGCCCTTGCACCCTCTGCTGGCTAAACTGTGACACTGCTTTAAGAATCGAACACAGGAAAAATAAATCTCTTTTAAAAGCTGTTGAAAAGGCAAAAATACATTATATAAAAAGAATCTGCAATATGACCATTGCCAGATTTCTGGAAATGTACATAGCCTTGATAAGAAAGATACACAATAGAAAGGAAAATAAAAAAGCAAAGCTTTTTTTTAATTCCATGCACAGGTTTATTTCATTAAATTAGGGATCAAGAAAACTTCTGTAAAGGGTCAAAGAGTAAATATTTTAGGTCTTCTTGGCCATGCAGTTTTCATTCCAACTATTAAACTCCTATTGAGTACAAAAGTATCCATAGACAATATAAAAACAAATGAGTATGATTCTATTCCAATAAATTTATGAACACTAAAATTTGAATTCACATAATTTTCATGTATCACAAATTCTTCTTCTTCTTTTGATTTCTTTTCAACCGCTAAACCAGGCCAGGTATAGTGGCTCACGCCTGTAATGCCAGCACTTTGGGAGGCCGAGGCAGGTGCATCACCTGAGGTCAGGAGTTCCAGAATAGCCTGGCCCAACATGGCAAAACCCCGTCTCTACTAAAAATACAAAAATTAGCTGGGCATGGTAGCGGGCGCCTTTAATCTCAGCTATTCGGGAGGCTGAGGCAGGAGAATCTCTTGAACCCAGGAGGCAGAGGCTGCAGTGAGCTGAGATGGCACCACTGTACTCCGGCCTGGGTAACAGAGCAAGCCTCCATCTCAAAAAAATAAAAATAAAAATAAATATATAAAACCATTTTTAGCTCATGGGATGTTCCTAAACAGGCAACAGGCTGAATTTGGCCCATGTGCTGCAGTTTGCCAACCCTCACATTTAAGGGTTACCTTCAACAATGCTTGGCTGAATCTTCTCATTACGTTCAAGTACATCTCATGGGTCTTTGGATCTCTCTGCTGAGTATCTTGATCTTCACATTCCACTATCACATACCTTAAAAATAGTTTGAGCCATTCATGTGATGTGAAATGAAACTTAGATTCAGTTTGTAAATACTCATATCATTTCACTAAAACAGATTAATTTACATATGCAAAAATAATAAAATTGGAGTAATAAAACACATTTTATCATCACTTTTAAAAGTGAAAACTTAAAGAGGAACACATACAACCATCAATAAAAGGTAAACTAAGAGTGGTAATGCCTTAATTTGTGTAATATCCCAAATTTTCTAAAACTTTTGCCACCAAAACAAGCATTTTCTCCTATTTATGAGGTAGAGTATTAACATCCTCAGAAATCATCTAAGCTCACATATTTACTGAGTAACTCGAGAACAAAAACTATTATTTTCATAATCTGTGTAATACTTTGGTATTACATAAGACTCTCTTATTCTGAAAACCTCTCTGAAGCTATTCTTGTCACTTATATTTTCAAAAGATGAATAAAATTTTAAGTAATTTTTCCTTTCCCATCCAGTTTCCCGTTTTTCAAAGATCCATACATAATCTTTAACTTTCCAATTAAAAAACTATGGTTTTAAAGAGTAAAAGACATTTTAAATGTCTTCTTAACCCTCATCTGCTTATACAATTACAAAAATCATATAAGCAATGATCTGAATAAGACTTTATAGGTCTTCTAATCCAGTGTTTCTAAATGTTCCACTGGGAACAAACCAAAGCAAATAACAGGTTGGGCATGGTGGCTCACACCTATAATCCCAGTGTTTTGGGAGGCCTAGGAAGGAGGATCACTTGAGGTCAGGAGTTTGAGACCAGCCTCTACATTTAAAAAAAAATTAAATATAAGCCAAGTGTGGTGTCGCCGACTATAGTCCCAGCTACTAAGGAGGCTGAGGTGGGAAGATAGCTTGAGCCCAGGTGAAGCTGCAGTAAGCTATGATCATACCATTGCACTCCAGCTTGGGCAACAAAGGGAGATGATATCTCTCAAAGAGAAAAAAAAAAGTATCACAGCTTGATACACACAGCCACATATGCACACAGATGTATAAAACGGAAAAGTTTCACAAAGCAACATCCTGTGAGCAATATGTTAATATTTGCTATTCTGTTTATTTCATTTTTCTTTAAATACAAATGCTAGACTGTGAAACTTTAAATTACTTTCAGTGGATCATGATGATGTGTAGTTTGAAAACCATCAATCTCAATCAACTTGCTTGCTTCATCAATAGTGAAACTTAGAGGGGCTGTGTCTTGTCTATGGTGGTATGACTGATTGTAAAACTGAGATTGAAACCCAGGACTTTGGGCTCCCAGGTCAGACTTTTTTGATTTTACTAAGTTGACTTTCACACTGTTTTATCTTTAAAACACATGTGAAACTTTTCGACCTTCTTAACTGACAATGTTTCCCAAATCTCAAGTCACGGATGCTTATTATTATGCTTTCCACTATTTCTGGGAGAGTATACTCTGTATTCAGCCATTCAGATGGTCAACTTCATGAGAGCTGAGGGCTTACCTGTCTTGTTCTCCACTATATCTTCAGCACGTCCATGTCTAGCTCATAATAGATGCTCAACATATTATTAATACATTACTGTTGAATGAATAATTCCACTCTTGTGGATTTAGCTACTATCTCATTATTGATAATTTTCAAATATAAATACATATTCATTTTTTACATCTAAGGTCTAATCTTGAATTCCATTACATGACCTGCTTTCACATTCATGCACTCTAATTTTCAAGGACCAGATCCCCTTTTCAAGACACTGTTTGTCATTTCTAACTGAACACATGTAAAACCAAACTTATCACATTAAATTGAATTTTTTCTACCTCTATCGAAGGTACTAACAATATCCAAGGTATTTGGGCTAGGAATTCTCATGTAGCAGGGTTCACAAACTCCAAATTTTCTCAAAAGGCAGGCAGGAAACAAATGTTTGAATCACTTAAATAGAAGGAAAGACAGAGAAGTGGGGCTGCAGCCAAACCAGAGAACATAGCACTACCTCAAACTTTCCTTGGCACTCAGTTCAATTTGTGGTCCATGAATCTAAAGCCGAACATTAAAACAAAAAACAGCAGTTCTAAATGGTGAAACTGTCAATATGGTATTATTCAAATCCAAGCCATCCCCTTCTACCCTTCATTGTTAAAGTCCTTGATTATCTCCGTCATCTTAGGGTATTCAGCTTTTCCTGTGTTTATGCAGCAAACTTATTTCCAAATGAACATATAGCTGACCACAATGTAGGGGCTCACTGCTGTATCTTGCTCTTTCTGACCACCAAGTAAACACTATGGCTGCAGCCATTTCCTGTTATTGAAAATATATGTTGGCCGGGCGTGGTGGCTCATGCCTGTAATCCCAGCACTTTGGGAGGCCAAGGTGGGCGGATCATGAGGTCAGGAGATCGAGACCATCCTGGCTAACACGGTGAAACCCCGTCTCTACTATACTAAAAAAAATACAAAAAAATTAGCCGGGCACAGTGGCGGGTGCCTGTAGTCCCAGCTGCTCGGGAGGCTGAGGCAGAAGAATGGCGTGAACTCGTGAGGCAGAGCTTGCAGTGAGCCGAGATGGCACCACTGCACTCCAGCCTGGGCTACAGAGCAAGACTCCATCTCAAAAAAAAGAAAAAAAAAAGAAAAAAAATATGTTGATGCTCATAATAAGCATCAAGTATCAAACACCTCTCAAAAATCATTCAAGTCTGCCAGGTGTGGTGGTTCACACCTGCAATCCCAACACTTTGGGAGGCCGAGGCGGGTGAATCACTTGAGGTTGGGAGTTCAAGACTAGGCTGACCAACATGGAGAAACCTCGCCTCTACTAAAAATACAAAATTAGCCGGGCTTGGTGGCACATGCCTGTAATCCCAGCTATGTGGGAGGCTGAGGCAGGAGAATTGATTGAACCTGGGAGGCAGAGGTTGCAGTGAGCCAAGATCGCACCATTGCACTCCAGCCTGGGCAACAAGAATGAAACTTCATCTCCAAAAAAAAAAAAATCATTCAAGCCAAACATCTATTCAAACAAAAAGGCCACCTAAAAAAAGAAAAGTGACACTGTCATCTCCAAATATGAGAGACAAGGTTAGCTATCAAGACTAGAAGACCTAGATTTGAATCATTTCTGAGGTTTCTGTTCACATCAATAAACTAGATTCTAAAGCACTCTAAGGTATTTCTTTGAAAGCTGTCATCTTAAAGTAGGAATGCAAACAAAATTGTCCAGGTACCCATTGTAAGATGACATCAGTGGGCTACCTGTTTCCTGGCAATTTTATTTTGTGGCATAAATAACCTTTATTACCTTGAAAGGTCTTAAAAGTTATAGAAAACATGTCAAAGCAGCCAAAGTTTACTTTCAATTTCAACACCCTAGAATGACTATAAAAATAAAAAACTGCAACAATTTATAGATTCTGATGCCCATCATTTTACAAACTGGAGACTGTAACGCCCCTCTGTGGCTTAAAAGGTTGACACTATTCATTTTAAAAGGATTGTCTGCACAACTATAGGCCCCTAAGGATTTAGCTACAGCAAGAATCCTGTTTAAATCACCAGAAAGGGAACAAATGAAAAAAGGAAATTCAAGTGTTCAAAGGAAACAGCACAATTAAAATTTCTATTTTAATACATTTGTTATAATAGAGTAGGCTTAGAGAAGCATTTAAATTCTCACATTTTATTATTTTTATATGCTCAAAGGAAGAGAAGAATGATCATTTTAAACCAACTATTTGAAATTATTTCCCTTATTGTTACCTTACATTCACAAAAGCAGTGTTTATTAAAGGCAAGAGTCCACACATCAATAGCTTTTCTCCCCATGAGTATTTCTGAATATGTAATAGGCAGACTGTAAATATGGGAAAAACAATTACTCCTTAGGGAATGAATAGACACAGCATATGCTATTGATTCAATGAATCAGAGATATAGTGGGAAAACACAAATCAAATCTAAGTTTGATTGAATGTTTATAAGACTGGGAACTGGGGCTGTACTTTGCTTATAGGAAAAAAAAGTGTGCTCCTTATGAACAGAAGCAGCTGCTATGTTGGAAACTTCATCGAACAGATTTCCTACTGTTTGGCTGCTTTCAGAAAATTCTGCCTACTTGAAATAAGAGATCAAAGATTCTATCAAAACTCATTTCAAATTTAATAATGAAATCTAGTCTTCAATCAAACACAAAGAATATGTAACTTGAAAGCACCACATAATCAGTATATACACATATAGCTCTTACCATAGTGAATACTCTAGACTATAAATTCTGAGCCAGAGAAAAGTTTCTGTGAATATTGCAAGGAAACAAAAATATCTCTAAATGAATTCTTAGCAAATGGTTTTAAAAATATACAAAATTTTAATTTAAAAATACCTAAGAAGCTTTGAAATATTTACTCAAAAACTTAGAAACATACCCCACAAATATTTTTTCTCTTTACTTCCTTCTAAATATTTAGATTTTCATGAGGAAATATTTTTCCATAAGACCGGCGACAAGACATATCCTTAAATATTCAGATTGGAACACAGAGAACATTAGAGGTAAAAGGTGGCATTTAAAGGAAATAGTAGCAATTTGGCAATATGAGAATTTCTAAGTAAACCTTTCAAAGAAAGAATAGTGATTAACAATTAGTCAAAACCTCCTATATTTTCAAGGACATAATGAAATTTAACGTGAGGAAAATGTAGTTTTATGAATATTATATTAAACTGCTAAAGTAAAAGCAGGAAACTCTTTTTCTTCCCACTACAGAGGCCAACAGAAAAAAACAAACACAACCAAAAAAAAATAAACACAGGTTCCAAAGGGGGGAAAATCACTGATTTACTTAAGATTGTTGACAGTGGTTTTTCTTTGTTGTAAAGAGAACCATAAAGGCTTAAACTAAACAAATATTTATTGTTTATGTAAATCAAAAATTGTGTGTGTTAAAAGAGTGCTCCATAAAAAAGGATGAGTTCATGTCCTTTGTAGGGACATGGATGAAGCTGGAAACCATCACTCTGAGCAAACTGTCGCAAGGACAGAAAACCAAACACCACATGTTCTCACTCACAGGTGGGAATTGAACAATGAGAACACTTGGACACAGGGCGGGGAACATCACACACTGATGTCATGGGGTTGGGGATGGGGGCAGGGATAGCACTGGGAGAAATACCTAATGTTAATGATGAGTTACCGGGTGCAGCACACCAACATGGCACATGTATACATATGTAACAAACCTGCACGTTGTGCACATGTACCCTAAAACTTAAAGTACAATAAAAAAGAAAAAAGGAAAAAGAGTGCTCCAATTTAGTTACCTACTTCTTAAGTACAGGGGCAGTACCCAGCAGAGCATTACCTCTGGAGAGTGGGAGAATGAAGTTAAGGCTGGACTTGACCCACAAGGGCAGCTTCCCAAATCAGTCTTAAAACAAAATCGTATTTTGTATAATTTTCTCACAAAAAGCAAAATACCTCATCATTATTCAAAAGTACTGGTTCAGCATTTCTTAGCCAAAATGCTTAGAACCAGAAATGTTTTGGATTTCTAGTTTTTTTTGATTTTTGAATATTTGCATTATACTTAGCACCTTAAATCCAAAAATTCAAAATCTGAAATGCTCCAAAGAGCATTTCTTTTGCACCTCATGTCAATGATCATAGAGTTTTGGATTTTGGAGCATTTCAGATTTCAAATTTTTGGATTTGGTATGCTCAACCTGTAGTGAGCTTTTACAATGGACATCTACTAATTTGTAATTTGTTTAAGGCTATAAATTGAGCAGTAAGATTAGATTAGAAATCATTTAGACAGTAAAAAGCCTCATGCCAAGAAGTTTAAAAAGTGATATAAGTAGTTTTAAGGATTCTCCCAAAGGTAAAGAAGGCTGTAGGCAGGTCTTACCCACCTGGCTCTGCCCTTTGTTTGCTCCGTAAAGTTAGATGAAGCCCTCTTATCTAGTGTTTAATCCCAGTACTTTTTTTTTATTGAAGCAAAATATTTCTGATTGTGGCTTAAGCTACTTGCCTTTTTCTCTTCAGGATTCTGGGGCAAATAAAGGGCACCACGCTTCATATTAACTGTGCCTCAAGAAGTCAGCCACTCCGTGCCTTAGTTTCTCTCTTTCCTTCAAGTGACTCAGGACATTGTTTTAATGTGAAATAGAGATATTTATGCTTGCCCATTTAACGTCATAGAAACAAATGAGAAAAGGTAACTGAAAATACCCTGAAAATGGCAAAGCAGTAGATAAATGATTTAATCCTAGATCAGAGTCTATCAAGTTCAGCTACAGCAAGCCTCTGCCTCAGTTTCCTCATGTTTAAAATGCCATAAGGTAACTTTTAATTCCAACTTTTTCTTTTTAAATGATTCCAATGTTTTAGTAAATAATGTGAAAATATATACTCCTGAAGAACTGTGAAATATCATACTCAACTACTTTACATGCCAAACAGATATTAAACTGAAAGTACCCATTACCCTCCCCAGTTATATCCTAGCTCCTGGAAAGTTATATCCTTAGTGAAAGGGAGAGAAATGTTGATGCCAACAAGCATTTCCATGAACCCAGCTGTCAGGGAATACAGTTAGATATAAATACTATATCTAGACTTTTGATGATTGCTCATATCTTATTTTAAATCATCTTTGTGTTTATAGCATGAGAAAAAATAATTCTTAAGGGTAATAAGAAAATAAACAGAAAATTATTTTTACATACCAGTATAAATAATTAGCCAGTGTTGAGTTTTTGCAGGCTCTCGATATCAAGAAGGTACAGAGATCTTGCTGAAAGAATTAAAAGAAATGTATTATATATTATCATCTACTAGTAATGGGGGAAAATAAGTAAGTTTACATTTGCCTATCAGTTTTCATCTGTATATCTTATGTAATAGATCAGATTTTCTGCCATTTATCTATCCTTACATACATACATAAAACATATTTTAAATCAGAAAATATGCAAGTGGTTAGAATACCGCAGTTCAGAGGACTCCTTGTCCTCCTGGAGCTTCATATTGGTAGAGGAGAGAGACATTAAAAGAAATGGTCATAGAAATAATTTAGGTTGGGAGATTAGAAAAGGCAACAATGAAGACATGACATTCAGGCAAGACCAAAATGACACTGGAAAGCTCTAAGTTTGGCTTGTTCAAGGAATGCTAAGTAATGTAAATAAAATATAGTGAACACTGAAGAGACTGAAAAGATAGGCAAAGGTCAAAGTATGTGAGACCTTTAAGGTCACATTATTATTGAGTATGGATTTTATTTTAAAAGCAATGGATACCCAACAAAGGATCTTAAGAGGAGAGTGAGATGATGTGATTTACATTTTAGGAAAATGACTGGTTGTCCTGTGAAGTACAGACCTGAGATCAGTTAAGATGCTATTACGGTAGACTAGGAGAGTAAATAATGAGAGTGGAGATGGTGAAAAGGAGACAAATATAAGAAATATCTTGGAAGTATAATTAACAGGACCTGCTGGTGGAGAGGAAGTAGGAAGGAAAGAAAGGCATTAATAGTAACTCCCAAATTTCTGGATTGATTTGTTATGGCACAAACGGAGATTTCAGACAAAAAGCTGCCTATCTATAGAGTAAGAGGAAATAGTTGTATTTTGAAATATTAAGTTCAAAATGCCTGTCAGACATACAATGGAGATCAAATACATGTTTGAATAGATGAATCTGAAACTCAGGTGAAAGATCTGAGCTAGAAATGCAAATTTGAGTTTATTAACACAACCTAGGACAAGAGTATCAAGTGAGACTAGAAGAGGACCCTGAGGAACATTAAGATATCAAGGAGAGAGGAAAGTGCTGACAAATGAAACTGAGAAGAAATGGCAAGACAGATGAAGAGAAAAACAAGAGATATACAGTATCACCTAAACCATGAGAAGAGTTAGTTTTTCAAGAAGAAAGTTATTTACTTTGTTGAATACTCTGAAGAAGCTGAAAAGAATGTGCAACCAAAAGTATTAAGGTCATTTTGTAACTTAGCAAATTGGGTTTTAAGCAAGAGCCAGAATGATATGGACTAAAGGCTGGAAAGAAGGAAGAAAAGAGTATGTATAAACAACTCCTTTGAGAAGAGAAGTAAGAAAACAAGGTGCTGTTTCAAGAGATGTGGTTTCAAGGGACAGTTTTGTTTTTCTGAATTTTTAACATGGAAAATTCTAACACATACTTGAGTATTTCTATCAGGAAAAGAAAATAACACATCTTTGAAGAGAGCTATGTTTCTTCTGTGTAAGAAAACAGAAGGAAAGTATGGGGTAGGGATTCCTGTCTATAAAACCGGTGATGGGAAACAGACCATTCTTACCTAGTGGTTTCTATTGTTTCCATTAAGTATGAGGCAGAATTGTCATCTAGAGATTGGGAGGCGGGGCATGAAGAACAGAGTGGAAATGGTATGAAAAATCACTGCAGAGCAGGAAGATCAACACGTCTAGGGAAATGGAAGATGGCAGACAGCAGTGAGTGCTCATCTGAGGTTTGTGATCATGAATTTATAGTGACACCAACATGCTATGCTATGTGCTTTTCTTCAGCAATATTCAGGCATAGCGAAAGTAGGTAATTAATGAGGCTTATCAAGAGTTGAGATTTTTGCCAGGGGAACTGCAGGTACTAATAAAATAATAACTAAAATGACAGCCATGGGATAAAAGCTATGTTCAGAGAAAAGCAAACATTGAAGGGAGCTGATGAATAATGAAAGAGTAGGGATCAACAGATTAGAACTTTTAACACAGTAGGGGTCCTTTCTTAAGTAAAGTCCGAGTAATAAGAGGGTGTTGTTACAAAGTAGATGTGCCAATGCTTTCAGTAAGAATTTTATCTCCAGTTTTAAAGCTTAGGTGTACATTTTAAATATGCACCAAAAATCCAATTTAAAAAACTCCTCAATCAGGAAGCCATTATATAAAGCTGAGTCCATGAGTTTAATAGGCAGAATATAGGCCTAAAGTTTCTCTTTTGACTATCTGCCAAGAACATTATACTTTTGTACAGTGATGTATATATTTCAATAGCAAACACGTTTCATTTCATACTATGCCTTTTTGATAAAAAATTACTTACAGAACATAAAGAAAAGTTGAATTTAAAAAACTGTGAAACAGGAAGTATGTATTGTAAATGTTAAAACTCAATCTGTGTAAGCAATACTTTAAGGTTTTAAAACAATTTAAAGAAAAAAGTGCTTTATAAAAAAAGATCACATATTGTAGGTCACAGACATAAGAAGAAATGGTGAGGAAGGTGCAGGTATCCTTCAAGAAAAGTATCTCTAAATATTTACTGAGTGTATACAATAATAACAATAATATTATCAAATCTGAAGGAAGTTAAATAAGATGGGGTGGGGTGGAGGGAGAAGGATTTAGCCAATGACAAGCAAGAATATGTAATTTATATATATATAAGAAAGTATAGAAAGTACTAAATAAGATAGTGAAATCAGTCAAAATACAGCTACAACCACAATAAAAGCAAATGGGGCAAAAGTTCCAGTTATAAAACAGAGTGTTAAACTAGATTTAAAAACAAAATTTAGCTACATGATATTTACAAGGGACCTAAATATAAACATAAACCTAAAATATAAGGCTACAAAAAAATTCAAAGGAAAAGATAAACGCAACAAAATATTGAGAAGATAAACATGAACATTAATCAAGACAAAGCTCTATTAACATCAGACAAAACAGGTTTTAAGATGAAAAGCATTATTAGATATCAAGAGGGTTACCAAACAGTGATAAAGATGCAATTTATTTACTTAATTGAAGAGCTTCAAAATATTTAAAGCAAACACTAACAGAACTACAAGAAGAAATTAATAATTCTACCATCATACAGGGGAATTTTGCCCTAATTCTTTCACAGATAAAGCAGAAAAAAATGTTAGGACAGAGTACAGATTTCAATAACACAATAAGCTTGCTCTAGTAACTTATGTATAATGCTATACCCAACAGCTGGGAAATACAACTTCTTCTCATGACCCATGGAATTCATAAAATATGAGCAGATTTGGGGAATAATTGAGTTTCTGTCTCCTTTCAAACATTTGGCCAGACACGTATAATGTTCTCCTGAAACTCCAAGAATAAAACGAGGAAGGACATAAGATACTGCTCAGGTGTCAAAAAGGAGACAGGAATGTTGATATCTCAAGTTGTGATAAGAAGAGAGGTAATTCAGCTTGATTGTGTATTAACATAAAGGTGACAATGGCTTGTACAATACACTCTATGGGAATAGGGGAAGGGATAGGGGAAGATAGAAATATCACTCAAAATGATTGCCACTCTTTTCTGGATACCTGAACCCTCTAAAAAACTATTCAGCTGACAAAAAGTTAAATGGCTTAATCATTGAATAACAACAGATAGGTTCATCAATCACAAGAGAAATATCAGAAATATATACAAACTATCATTTTTAGCCTAAACATTTTGAGTGATGGGGGAGTGTAAATCAATATTCTGAACATCGTTTTCAGAATCCAATCACTTCACAGCATCTAGAATGTAAATCACCCTTTGTTCAAGCTACCAATATGGAAAACTCATTCGGACTAATGGCCTACAAGCCCTACACTACTGATATCCAATTCTCTCCTGGATCCAATCTTCTGCCAGGTTCTCTTTTGCTCACTCTCCCACAAACCAGGCACACTAGTTTCTGGTGTTCTTCAAACATATACACTTAAACTCTGGTCTTAGGACCTCTATACTTGCTACTCCCTCTATCTGAAATGCTCTTCCCCAGATAGCCATATGGTTGTTCTCTCACCTGCTTCACTTTTAGAGGGATGTTACTTTTTTAGTAACAAGTAACTTGTAAGAGCTTTCTAGAACATAACCTCTATGAAGGCAAACATTGTAACTGTCTTGTTTTCTGCTGCATCAACCCCAGCATGTAGAACAGTTCCCATACATGTTAAGAGCTCAAAAAATATATGTGAATGAATGAATGACTGAATCAATGAATCAATATCTTAGCTCTGAAAGGGAAAACTTAGACTGTAGCAGATTGGCTTCTTAAAGGGCTTATCTAAGGATTCTATGATTCTGTAACTTAAAAATTCTTTTTTCAGTTGAATATTTTGTTATACCGAAAGATATGCAAACATACAAACTTTAATCAATAGCTAATAGTTAAAAGATTCATTCAGCCATTAACAATTACTCCTAAAATCTGACTAAAAGTAATATATATACACACACTGAAAAATCACTTGAACTGTTCTAATAATAAAACATGTGTTACTTGTTTTCAACATCAGAGATATTAATGATTTCTTTTAAATTAGAAGTCTTATAGACAAATTAAAAAATATGTACTACATCAGCTTCTGCAATGCACTTTCCAAAGTACTTTTCAGAGTAGCACTAGTCTAACAGGCCTGTTTTATCTCAAAAATGTGTCTACTTATATGTATAGTTAAAAAGTTGCTTAGTGTATTAACTCTAATATCAAAGTTATACATTTCTACGATGTAATCACAAGCACTGACAACAATTACAGTAAGGTTCATAAACACATTGACAGTAAATATTCTAGGTTTCCCTAATAAAATATTTAAGCCTAGTTTATTTTCATATTGCATATGAATCCATTTATATGCCCAAAGCACCAATAAAATGACTCAAATTGAGGACTATCTGGTACTTTATGCTGAGGGGGAAAAGTTATAAACGTGCATCATAAAGTAAGTTATTTAATAAAGTTGTAATATTTAGTTATTTAATCAAAATTGAGGTTTTAAAGACAAGTATAAAATGTTCATGCAGTAGGATCTCTCCTATAGGAAGCTGGAAAAGCTTTGTACTCACTTCCAGATTTTCGCCATCTGGAACTTCTTTTGTTTTTGATGCAGGAGGAGGTGAAGAGACTGAAGGAAGGGGGCTGGTTATAATTTGGGAGCTGAAAAAGTAATAAAAGAGATCACTGAGATGTAAAATACTCTGTCCATAAGAGAACGCACAATTTTTTATGGAACAGTTCACTTCAATTGTGTCTAGTTAATGCAACACTTCCTAAAGTGTGTTCTGTGCAACACTAGAGTCACATTGTACTCTGGAAAAAGCGCATGGTCAAAGATTATGGGTAATGCCTCTTGGGAGATTTATGTGCAAGTCTGCATATTAAAGGTTTGGGTAAGTGCTGTTTGTTTGTTTGTTTGTTTGTTTGTTTAAGCCCATTTAGCTTTAAACTAGCATTTCCCAAACATATCTGGCCAAGATTCTCTCTTTTTAAAAATAAAATAGAGCTTTTATCTTCTTAAAAACATAACAGAGCTTAAAAAAAGAACTAAAAAAGAAACACACAAAATTAGTGACTAGTAGACCGTAAGTTGGAAAAGACTAGGTTACAGTTTTCACCCCATCATAAAATTCTGAATAGACTTTTACTTACAAAACGTTCTACATGGCATAGGGAAGAAAGTAAATAAGCATGACTTGAGACTGAAGACCTCCAATATAGAGTGAGATAAAATATAAAGAGCATCTTCCCTTAAAAATAGAAAAATATAAAGTAACCTGGGAAAGAAAAATTATTTTCCTCTTTTTCGGTTCTTCTCCAAATAAAACACACAACATAAAGCATAGCATAACCATAATCATAAAGAAAAATTCAAAAATCCAATCTTGAGCTCATGTAATAATTTAAATGACTGGACTGATTCAGGAAGTCTAAAATTTAGACCTGGTTTTGTCAATAACAAACCTAATGATCTTCACAAAACCATTTCCTATCACTAAGGCTAAGATTTTTCACCCAATGGTTACTACTATTTGCAAATTTTAAGATTCTCTGAAAAGCAAAAAGTAGAAAAAATGTGGGATTTGGAGTCAACTCTACCATTTGCAAGATACATAAAAGTTTGGGCAATTTACTTGAAGTCCATCTCTAAATTAGGGACAGGAATACGTACCTCAGAGGACAGTTGTAACACGATAATGTGTGTGGACACGTGGTACAGTGTCAGATATACATTTGGGAACTCCTAATTTTTATATTGTTAATAGCTAACTTTTAATTCAAATAATATGCTATTATTTTCAGTTTAACTACTAAAGAGGTGTAAACAGTTAACAAAAAATGCAACTTTTTATTAAACTATTTGAGCTCACTAGCATGCTCCGTCCTTCTATTTCATCCATTTCTTTTTTTTTTTTTTTTTTTTTTTTGAGACGGAGTCTCGCTCTGTCGCCCAGGCTGGAGCGCACTGGTGCAATCTCAGCTTGCTACACCCTCTACCTCCCGGGTGTCACCATGTTGGCCAGGCTGGTTTTGAACTTCTGACTCAAGTGATCTGCACACCTCAGCCTTTAAAGTGCTAGGATTACAAGCATGAGCCACCACACCTGCTCCTTCTATTTCATTTTAACATAAATAAGTAATAGTAGCTAAGACTTACTAAGCACTATGTATTAGACAGTTTCCTATGAGTGTTAATTCACTTAATGATTAAACAACCCTTAAAGATGAGTTAATATTGCTATCACCACTCTTAAGAAACCGGAGACACATAGAGAATATGTAATTTATGCAAGTTTATACAGCTAGTAAGTGGCAGAGTCAAGATTTTTAACTCAGGTATTCAGCCTTGATAGCTTGCAAAACACTATTCCCTAATATAGTAATCTGTGTGCTGTGAGTACACATGCAATATTCACTAGTAAAACTTCAAAATTAGTAACACTAGCATTTGGTACATCTAAGGAAAGGAAAAGAGAAAACAATTTGAAAAGGGAAAAATTAACAAACTAGAAAATATGTCCTCCCTGGATATCCATACCTATCTATTTCTGCAGAATTTATTCCAGAATTTGACACATTTTCTGACACTGAACTCTGACTATCCTTCTTGGTAGGTTCCAATCCATTCTTTATATCATCAAAATTTTCATATTTGAGAGCCTGGACCAATTGTAATAGGTACATCAACAAATCCTGGAAAACAAAAAAAAGTAAAGTAATATTAGGAAAAGAATGCAAAATTATTACAGACATAATTTATTCCTAAATATCAAGTAAACATTTTACTTTTATCTATCACTTTTCAGCTGTATTACTTTTGGCACGTCACCAAATTACTTAACTTCTCTGTGCCCCACAGCCCCTTCATCTTTAAAATGGACATCATAATATAAACCTTAGAGAAGAGCATGAGGGTTAAATTAGTAAATAAAAGAAAGTCACAGTATAGTGTCCGGCACAGACTAAGTGGCCAGTAAATGACGTGTTTTAGGTAGTAGTTTCAAAAAAAAAAAAAAAAAAAGTGGGAAGGATTCAAGATGCTTTGCATAAAACTAAGAAATTATAGAAGGATCCTTTTTTTCAGTAATGGATCAGAAGAGTGCATTCTATGTTTAATATTACACAAGAAATTCCAAATTTTCAAGTTTTCAAAGCACTTCTGTTTAATGACTACTACTGGTTAGAATCTTTAAAAATCATCTGTTTTCTTTTTTCCTGAAAGCTCAAGTTTTAGAGAATTTGGATTGCTTCTTAAATGAAAGATCCTGTAAAACAGACATTTAAACAGTTGATTAAGAGACATGCTTTCTATTCCTGCCAACTACCAAGAGATTTGAACAAAACAAATTGCTAAGACTAAATTTTCCATAAGTGACAATCAATGAGATAACTTGGACTAAAAAGGTGTCAGTCAACAAAGTAGCTTTCACTTTACTGAGTTTTCCCTTAATAATAATAAAACTCTTTAATGTTTAGGATGGAAATGCTTCCAGTATTTCTCTATAAAGGTTGTCTTGACATACTTGTCCTCTTCACAAGTATGTACTTTTTAAAATTTTACTTTTAAAAATAACTAAAAAGTGAAGAAAATTGCAAAGCTCAAAAAATTTTTAAATGTACGTATTATCTTCCAATTCTAATTGTCATTCACCCTGTTAGACACTTGAAACTCATAATCAGAAAATTCTGAGACTTTGGGACTACCAACTCAACTTCAGTCTCCTCTTTAAGCTCACAAACCAGGTTAAGTCTCCTGTAAATATTTGATGGTCCACACTTTCCTATTTGTAACAACTATAGCACCTGTAATAACTTACTCTTGGTTTTTCCACTATTTTGTAAACCAGGAGGACAGAGACCACCTGCCAGCAACCCATATTTCCTTATTTAATACTATAGGCATAACTCATTTTATTGTACCTTGCACACATTGCATTTTTTTTTTTTTTTTACAGAATGAAGGTTTGTAGCAACCCTGCACCCAAGCAGTCTATTGGCATCATTTTTCCAACAGCATGCATTCACTCCATGTCTTTGTGTCACACTGTAGTTATTCACATAATATTTCAAACTTTTTCATTATTATTTTATCTGTTATGGTGATCTGTGATCAGTGATCTTTGATGTTACTATTGTAACCAGGGGTGCCACAAAGCATACCCATATAGGATGGCACACTTAATCAATTAATGTTGAATGTGTTCTGACTAATCCAACAACCAGCCGTTTCCCTGTCTCTCTCCCTCTCCTAGGGCTTCCCTATTCCAAGACACAGTAATACTGCAATGAGGCCAATTAATAAACCTACAGTGCACAATAAGTGTTCAAGTAAAAGGAAAAGATGCATGTCTCTCACTTTAAATCAAAAGCTAGAAATGATTAAGCTTAGTGAAGAAGGCACAGGAAAAGCCAAGATAGGTTGAAAGCTAAGTCTCTCATACTGAGCAGCCAAGGTACGAATGCAAAGGAAAAGTTCTTGAAGGATATTAAAAATGCCATTCCAGGGAACCACAAATGAAAAGAAAGGTAAACACCCTTATTGCTGATATAGAAGTTTTGGTGGTCTGGGTAGATCAAACTAGCCACAACATTCCCATGGGTGAAAGCCCAATCCAGAGCAAGGCCCTAATTCTCTCCATTTCTATAAAAGCTGAGAAAGGTGAGGAAACTGCAAAAGAAAAGTTGGAAGTTAAAAGAGGTTTGTTCATGAGATTTAAGGACAGAAGTCATTTCCATAACATAAAAGCACAAAGCAAAGCAACAAGTACTGATGTAGAAACTGCAACAAGTTATTGATGCAGGTGACTATACTACACCACAAAGTTTCAGTGCAGATGAAACAGCCTTGTTTTAGAATAAGACACCATCTAAGACTCTCACAACCATAGACTGACTCTCTTGGTAAGGGTCTAACGTAGGCAGTGACTTTAAGTTGAAGCCACTGCTCATTCGTCATTTCAGAAGTCCTAGGGCCCTTAAGAATTACGCTACATCTACATTGCCTGTGCTCTATAAACGGAAGAACAAAGCCTGAATGACATCACATCTGTTTAGAGCATGGTTTATGAATATTTAAGCCCACTGTTGAGACCCACTGTTCAGAAAAGAAGATTTCAAAATATTACTGCTCATAGACAATGTACCTGATCATCCAAGAGCTCCGATGGAGATGCAGAAGTTGAATGCCATTTACATTCCTGCTAACACAACATCCATTCTACTGCCCAAAAATCAAGAAGTCATTTCGACTTTCAAGTCTTATTATTTAAGAAACACATTTTGTGAGATCATAGCTTCCATAGACAGTGATTCCTGTAATGGATCTGGGCAAAATAAATTGAAAAGCTTCTGGAAAGGATTCATCATTCTAGATGTCATTAAGAACATTTGAGCTTCATGGGGGAAGGTCAAAATAGCAAGATTAACAGGAGTTTGGAAGAAGTTGATTCTAACTTTCTTGGCTAACTTTGAGGGGCTGACGACTTCAGTGCCTGTAATCCCAGCACTTTGGGAGGCCGAGGTGGGTGGATCACCCGAAGTCAGGAGTTCAAGGCCAGCCTGGCTAACATGGCGAAACCCTGTCTCTACTAAAAATACAAAAATTAGGTGGGCGCAGTGGCATACGCCTGTAATCTCAGCTACTCGGGAGGCTGAGGCAGGAGACTTGCTTGAACCCAGGAGGCAGAGGTTGCAGTAAGCCAAGATCATGCCACTGCACTCCAGCCTGGGCAACAGAAGGAGACTCCATCTCAACAACAACAAAAAAGACTTCAGTGGAGGAAGTAAATGCAGAAGTCACGGAAATAGCAAAAAAACTAGAATTAGAGGTGCAGCCTGAACATGTGACTGAATTGCTGCAATCTCATGCTAAAACTTGAACAGATGAAGAGTTGCTTCTTATGGATGAGCAGCAAAGAGTAGTTTCTTGAGATGCGATCTATGCTTGGTGAAGATGCTGTGAACATTGTTGAAATGACAACAAAAGATTCAAAATACTCCATAAACATAGTTGTTAAAGCAGTGACAGTATTTGAGAGGGAGGACTGACTTCAATTTTGAAAGAAGTTCTACTGTGGAAAAAATGCTAACAAGCAGCATTGCATGCTGCAGACAAATCTTTTGTGAAAAAAAGAGTCAATGGGTGTGGCAAAGTTTACGTTCGTTTTATTTTAGGAAACTGCCACAGGTAACCCAACCTTCTGCAACCATCACCCTGATCATTCAGTTGTCATAAACATCAAGGCAAGACCCTTGACTACCAAAAAGACTACAACTTGCTAAGGGCTCAGATGATTGTTAAAATTTTTAGCAATATTTTAAAAAAAGATATGTACATTGCTTTTCTAGACATAATGCTTACATTATGTAAGCATTACATAATGTACATTACATAATGTAAGCATTACATAATGTACATTACATAATGTAAGCATTACATAATGTACATTACATAATGTAAGCATTACATAATGTACATTACATAATGTAAGCATTACATAATGTACATTACATAATGTAGTCTACATAATGTACATTACATAATGTAGTCTACATACTTAGACTACAGTATAATTTACTATATAAACATACAGCAAAATTATATTTATAAATTTTACATGTACTAGGAAACCAAAAAATTCATATGACTCACTTTGTGACATTTGCTTTATTGCAGAGGTCTGGATCAAACCTGCAGTATCTCTGAGGTATGACTGTATATTTCTCTTTTGTTCAGAATTTGTATCTCACACCAAATAATTTTTAAAAAGGTCATTAGGCAAACACTAACAAAGAGTAATACATATGACTTCATCATAAATATAAATTAAATGGAAGATTATGTGGCTTATTAATTCTTGTTCAAATATGTCAATGTCAGGAGTCAGGGAAATCAAGTCTCTCTATAGTGTTGTTTCTAAAACCCACTTTTTAATTGGAGCAATAAACATCTGATTTTCTATTATCATAGTTGAGATTCATGGCATCCAATAACTATACATATAATTACATGTTGTTTCCTAAGGAAAAAAGTATTATATAACAGAAAATTAAACAATATGTTTAATGGCAGGTATCCCTCTTTGGAGGTATAAGTAATTCAGTTTCACTGCCAGCCTTCATTCGGAGTGCTGCTCAATCTATTACCTGTGTGCTTTCCTAATTACAGAAAAGAGTTAACCATATAACATAAAAAAGGCTGCGGTATTAAATTCCCCAGGAAGGGGAAATTCAGTAGAAAACTTTTCTAAGTCACTTATCATCATCTGATTTCTTGGTCATTACATATTCTATATTCAAACTATACTTTCCTTCATTTGTATGAAAATGAATTAACTTCAATAGTAAGTACAGAGTCTGTTTTCTCATTATATACTCATGTCTTGAAAAATATAAAAGTCCTCCAAGCATGAAGGACATAAGCATTGGAGTAAAACAAAGCAAAAAAGAAAAAAAAAACCAGGCTTCCATCTCAGGCAATTCTGTAAATACTTCCCAAGAGCTATGAAATTTTTACTAGATAGTGATCACCATTTTTCTCAAGAGTGAGTTAATTCTAATGCTTCAAAGTGCAAATGTGAAGTCCCATATCAAAATCACTTAGTGACTTCCCATTTCTTATTGAATTAAGAATAACTCTCCATAGAGGCATTTTCAGTTAGAGACATGGGTTCCGATTTTGCCTCTCAATGGCTACTACATATATCCCACACTCCAGTCTAAGTGACATACTTTCCATTCTTCCTGTACTTTCAGTTCCCTTGCTCTTGCTCATATTGCTTTCTCTACCTGGAATATAAACTCCAAACGTAAAAATTCTACATTTCCTTCAACTCAAATGCCACTTCTTCATTAAATTCTAATATGGGATCTGTCTCCTTTTGAACTACACAGCAGTAGGAAATATGATTTAAAAATTTCAAAATAATGCAAGATAAAGAATAGCCATTAAAAAAATCCTAAATCAGATATTAACAAATCAAATTCAGACAGTATTGAGATTTATTTTACAAGTGTATGGCTGATAAAACATTAGGAAATGTATCAGCATACTTACAGTAGATTGATAAAAATGAGACACTATATGATATGAACGAGTGTCAAAAGCGTGTTTGATAATATATAGAAGCCATTCTTGATTTAAACACACAGAAAAAGAAAAGAACAAACAGAGACAGGGAGAAACTTTAAACATAAATGAGAGCATTTGACTGAAACCAGTAAGCAACACACATTAGAGTGAAATACTAAAAGCGTACCCACAATGAGCAACAAGACAAAGATGAATATTGAACTACTTTTATTCACCATTATTACTTGCAGCTTTTAGCTAATGCAATGAAAAACTAGACTGCTTTTCAGCTACCATAATGCTATACCTACAAAATATAAGAAGCAACCTAACATCTATTAGAGTAAGAAAAGTCAATAAAGTGATGAGATAAAACAAATATTGTAACAGAAACAGTTTTCCTTTTAACTAAGAAATGTAAATAAAAGATAAATGGGGTAGGCTAGTTTATAATAGTAACAATAATATAATTGCCAGGGAATAAATCAAAATGTTAAGAATGTATATGATTTTAGTAAAATTGATAAGTGAGTGAATAAAAAATCATATGCCACTGTGATGGAAGATATGTCATAAAGGTGTCAATATTTTTATAATATGCAAACATAATGTAATTCCACTTAAGATTCTGGTGCAGTTTTAAGAAAATGATAAAATTATTCTAAAATTCATGGAAAGAACAAATGTAAAAAAACTGTAAATAAAATTATAAAAAAAAGGAAAGAAGAAAAGCTTTGTCTAGTCATATATTTAAAGTATTATAAAGGAACAAATTTTTTAAAAGTATAAGACAAGGGTAAAAAGACTTATGGGGATTGTCTGCAAAATGTAAAAAGCAGATATCTTTTGGCTCAATAATTATAACGCAAGCAGTTTATTCAAGAATATGATTTTTAAGGCCGGGTGTGGTGGCTCATGCCTGTAATCCCAGCACTTCGGGAGGCCGATGGGGGCGGATCACGATGTCAGGAGATCAAGACCATCCTGGCTAACACGGTGAAACCCCGTCTCTACTAAAAAAGAAATTCAAAAAAGTATCCAGGGGTGGTGGCGGGCACCTGCAGTCCCAGCTACTTGGGAGGCTGAGGCCGTAGAATGGCGTGAACCTGGGAGGCAGAGCTTTCAGTGAGCTGAGATCACGCCACTGCATTCCAGCCTAGGAGACAGAGCAAGACTCCATCTCAAAAAAAAAAAAAAAAAAAAAGAATATGATTTTTAAAACATACCCACCTACCCTCCCCCACACACCTCTTCACTAAAATACAGTTACAGGAAAAGAATGGGAACAACAGCCTATAAAAGAGGCCCAATGGTTAAGTAAATTAACAAAAAAATTCACAGTAAAATATCATGCTGTTATTTAGAAAGAATAAGGCAGATCTACAGTGACAGAGTTCAGGACATGCTAAAATAAAAAGGACAAAATATAGCATGCTGGCATTGAAATTTTTTTTGTTATTCCTAACAAGCCCCTTTCAATCACACCTGAGTTTATGTTCATGAGGTAACTTTTGGAAAGCCCCTAAAGATGGGGGTTGGCTGAGAGAAAAGCCAGCCATGTGATTAGAGGGTGGGACTTTAAGCTCTACCCTCTCAACCTCTGGGGAACAGAGAGAACTGAAGATTGACTTAATCGGCCAGCAGCCAATGATTTAATCAATCATGCCAATGTAATGGCGCTTCCACAAAAACTCTGATTTTTTCTGCTTTTCTCAGAAAAGCACAGCATTCTGAGAGCTTTTGGGTTGGTGAAGAAGAATGCACCCACATGCCAGGAGGGTGCTATACTGCAAACTCCATGGGGACAGAAGCTCCTGTGCTCAGGACCTCAACCCATGTGTCATTTCAACTAGCTGTTCATCTGCAACCTTTAGGATACCCTTCATAATAAATCAATAGTAGTAAGTAATGTTTTCCTGAGTTTTGTGAGTCATTCTGGCAAATTATCATTTCATCTAGCTGTTCTTCTGTATCCTTTAGGATACCCTTCATAATAAATCAATAGTAAGTAATGTTTCCCTGAGTTTTGTGAGTCATTCTAGCAAATTATCACACCCAAGGAGAGGGTTATGGGAGCCCCCTGATTTGTTAAAGCCAGTAGGCCAGAAGTCAGAAGGATGTAATCTAGTAGAGGTTAGGGGGTTGGGGTGGAGAGACTGAGCAGTGTTACAGATGAAACAAGATTGGTTATAAATTGGCAACTGCTGAAGACAGATGAATTATTTGTTGGGGTTCATTATACTATTTACTTTAGTGTTTAAATTTCACCATAATTAAATACACACATACAATGATCAACTTTAATAAATATTTAATTTGCTTCTTGAAATTCAGATACCACTAATTCAAAATGATCTCACTGTCCCCTCCCTCTTAAAAAGGTATTTGATAATAGTTGTTCTATGCGATCGACATTGCTATATATATTGAAGCTTGAGAAGTTACTCCACATCCCATAAAGTACTGCTGGCTAGCATAAACTATTAGGTTATGTTTAAGAACATATTCACCCTATAAAAATTAAGAAAACAAGTTGCTGGATTAGTCTATCTATAAAGAATTATTAAAGCCCAAAATCCAGCAATGCTTTTTGTCAAAAAAGTGTTCTTCCTTCCCTGATGGCCTTACATGAACAGTCATGTGCCACATAACAATGCTTCAGCCAAGACAGGACCACATATATGACAGTAATCCCATAAGATTATAATACTCTGTTTTTACTGTACCTTTTCTATGTTTAGATACACAAATACTTAGCATTGCGTTACAACTGCCTAAGGTATTTAGTACAACAACATGCTATACAGGTTTGTAACCTAGGAGTACACAGCCTCAGTGTGTAGTAGGCTTTACCATCTAGGTTTGGGTAAGTATACTCCATGATGTCTGCACAAAGATGAAATCCCCTAAGGACACATTTCTCAGAACACTTCCCTGTCATTAACTGATAAATAACTGTATATAAATAGCCAGCATATAGTTGGCAATCTTTGCTTTCCAAGGATCCAAAACCCCTTCAGAAAATCTACATATACATATAATTGTCATCAGCTGAAAGTTTAAAAGGCGAGTTTGAAGGAGAGGAAGATGACCATGCATCTCTAAGCTTTAAAGGCCCCAAGGGCTTTTCAAGGCTACAATTAAATGTGGCTTGTTGTATACTGACTGATAGAGGAGATCTGAATTATTCCCTAGCTGGTGCTGCATTAAACCATTTTTCACTAGAATTCCTTCTTCCAGACAGAGCAATACAAGCTCTGCTGCCAGGTAAATGTCCTGGGAGAGACTGTCCTACCACGTAACAGATCAGGAAGTAAATTTTCATTTCACAGAGGAGTCCTCTGAGGCATATTTTAATTTTCCTTCTGAAAATACACCTAGTATATCCTCTTCCCTTCTAAAAATCTCTCTTGCATGTGCACACACTCTCTCTCTCACTCTCACACACACATACACACATAGTTTATAATTAGGCTCTAGTTTAAAATGACCCATTGAAGCAGAATAATAAATAATAATGCACCTCATCATCGGCCTGTCGCAACCGGGCAACAGCATAACGCCTCACAGTTGGGTTGGTGTAATGAGAGGATAACAGCTCCAAGGAGTCCTCTACATCCATCGGCTTCCATTTTCCCAGAAGTTCCAAGGCCTGTTTGGCCTCTTGAGGTAGATCCCAATTAACACATTTCAAGAATTTTGTCAAGGCCTAAAATCAGAAAATATTTAAAAATTAGAAACAGCCTATTTCCTGGGATAGAGAAGTTGACTAGGCAGAGTTCCACTAGGTCCTAATGACAGAGCCACGGAGTCAGTGATAGACTCCTTGTGTAAGCACTAAATGAAGTTATATATATGATCTTATAGAAGCACTGCAGGACAGAAAAAAAGCATGTTCCCTGTATCTTTATATTTTCCAGGCCAAATCATTTGCGAGCACTATGAATTTTTTAATTTGTTTTGGCTTTTCTTCATTTTGCTATTGTTATTTTAAAATACTGCAGGGCTCAAGACATGGAAATAGTTGAGGCATTTCTCACGAACTCTAAGATGCCTTAGAGAAAACCTATATTTTACAACAGAAAATACTGCAACCACTGAGCGAAGGGCCGGAAGCCATGCTAGGGCAGAAATTCCCAATAGCCTCACTCTCGATCACCTCCCTAGAGTATGACCACCGGCTTTCGCAGATACTTAAACATGAAGACTCAAACGATGTGGAGTATGTACGTATCTCTGTGAAGTAACTACTTAAAAAGATAGGCAATCCAACAAAACCTCAAAACAGAAGCATAAAAATGGGTAAGTACAGAAACAGCAGCAAACAGTCTATGATCTGGCTGGTTGTACATCTTTCTGCAACCTCACTCCCTTGAATAGGCAGCACACGGAAGTTTTCACAAGACTGTCAGTTAAGCAAATTGTCTTGGAGTATATCACTCATTGCACAAACAGTAAGTCCTCTTTTAAGAAAGGTACACACTTCTTGGCCAGGTGTGGTGGCTCATGCCTGTAATCCCAGCACTTTCAGATGCTCAGTCAGGAGAATTGCTTGAGGCCAGGAGTTCAAGACCAGCCTGAGCAACACAGCAAGAACTCATCTCTACAAAAACAAATGAAAATAAAGAAAAGCATGTACTTGCTTTCCATAAAAAGCAATACTTATTGCTGGGTCTCAAAGGCAACACTTTCCTGGCTGAACCCAAGATGTTTTCTTCTTCTTTGTCTTCCTCTGTTGCTATTTGTTGAAAAATAGGTAACTTGAAAATGTTAAGACCCCTGCTCTGCCCAACCAAAATCTTTTTATTAGTAAACTAATCAATTCCTCAAGAAAATGTCTACTTGGACAACAAAACATAATTTCTGTTAGTATGACACTAAATGAACCTTCAAACCCATCCCCTAACTTATTCTTGATTTTATTAAGAAAAACGGCACTATGGAGATTGTCTAGTTCAATGCTTAAATTGTATATAACCTCAGCAAAGATAAATGGCTTGCCCATCACCTCAAGATGGTGCATGAGCTAGATGTAGAACTCAGGTCCACCAATTCTCAGCCCCATACTTCTTCCACCAGATGGTGCTTCCTTACCATTAAGGCGCTCCATTCCCTAGTTAGTCCCATTCCCCTTGGAGCCATTACTCTGACAACACTAATCTCCTGAATCCATTCCAGTTCCTTTCAATTATTTCCTAGCAATATCTCCTATATTTGTCTTCAGCCTGATTCTCATTATATGACACATCTGGAGTTGGACAGAGCCTTCTAGCTAAGAAACTAAATACGAGTTTCTCTTCTAATCATTTCATACAAACTCTTAGAAGCTCAAGTTGGAAGTGATCTTAGCACAAATTTCCTATTGTTAGCAGAAATACCCCACAACATGAATGCCAAAAAGAGACCCAATATTTACTTAAGTGACTCCAGGAACTAATTTCCAAAATAGCCATTATATTCATAGAAAGCTAAGCCATTTTTGTTTTGTTTTGATTTTAACTATAATGAACCAAAAGACAAAAATGTCTTCATATTGCTTTTTCTAATTGGTTAGTTTCATTCTTTGTAGAGAATGGGAGTAAATTTAGCCCCATACGATGTGGACAACCTTTCCAATATTTGAAGATAATTGCCATACTGTTACAAAGTGGTTTCAACTAGATGATAGGACATTCTAATTTGTAAATAAACAAATAACCTTGGCTTCTTTCTCAAAACATTTCATTGCTACCACTTACCACAATGCAAACCCATTTCATTAACCTCTCATTGCCCTTCCATGCTTCAGCCCAGTTAACTTACATTAACAATGTCTCTCTAACCCCTGTGTACATTCCTCCCATATACTCTTCATCAAACAGGGATATCATCTCCTCTAAAGTCATCTTGTTGAAAGTTTTACAGGAAGTTTTCGGCAACTTTCAGCTATTCCTTTAGAAGCTGGCTCAATTTTACTACTGTCATTTAAATGATGTTTTTCTAACTGCCAAATGTTTTTGTGGGCATTTTTATCTCTATAACTGGAGTCTGCATTCCCCAAGGACAGCTGTCCACTTCCTCTACACCTCCTGCACACCATTTAGTATAATGCTCCCTTTCTGTATAGAACACAGATTGCCCTACTAACTTATTCCATGAATTTATTTTCCACTTCTAAAACGTATTTCTAGGTTGAATGTGGAAACAAAGCAATACTTCTTAAATAATGACAGTGAAAGCTTTTCCATTTCACAGTACATCAGCAGTCTTAATAGAAATGTGCGGGTATGTACTTATTATAAGCAAATCTTGTAGCATGCCGATGTACTCAATTCAATAACTGAAACAATCTAAAACTTAGATTCTCAGATTTATAGACTTATTAGCAAGATTTATGAAGTATGCTGCTGCCAAAAAACATAAGGCACTGTACAAAGAATTTCACAACTTTTTAATGTTAAATGTTACAAATGTAAACAAGGAGCCAACAGAATGAAGAAGAAAACAAGGAGTCAAAGAATAAGAAAGACAAAAAGTAAGAATTTGAAGACAGCAATAATAATGGCCTTTTTAAATGACCCTAGGTCTTTTAAAGATGCTTTACTGATCCATGTAAAAATGTAAAGAGAATTGTAAAGAGCAATTCTCTCTCTGTGTGTAACTTCCACAGATTACTGGAGAGCACAGGCTGTAGAGCCAGGGTGTTTGGGTTCCAATTATAATTCCTGGCTCTATCAATTATTAGCTGACTAAATTGAAGCACATTAACTTTTAAGAGACCTTTTTCATAGGCTTGTGGTGAAGACTAAGTTAATGAATGTAAAATGTTTGTAACAGTATCCTATAGTAAATAGTTTATTATCAGTTATTATTTTTATTCTATTTCGATGTTGACATCAAATGTTAGCTTTACTATATGTGTTACTATGTTTTATTCATTTGATCTGAAAATCACCAGTTGTCTCCTATTCTTAGAATCACAATCACCCCAGAACTGAAAATACTATATCTCATATATATATTCCTAATTTAAACTTCTACCAACTAAATTCTCAGAAATGTCTATTTTGCTGCTTTTCCAATGCTTTTGATTCCAAATACTCAAACATGAAAACATCTCATTCGTTTCTTCCCACTTGCGATATATCCTTACTGATATGGTGTGGCTGTGTCCCCACCCAAATCTCATCTTCAGCTCCCACGTGTTATGAGAGGGACATGGTGGGAGGTAACTGAATCACGTGGGCAGGTCTTTCTCATGCTGTTCTCATGATAGTGAGTAAGTCTCATGAGATCTGATGGCTATATAAGGGGGAGTTTCCTTGCACAAGCTCCCTTTGCTTGCTGCCATCCACGTAAGACATGACTTGCTCCTCCTTGCCTTCCATCATGATTGTGAGGCCTCCCCAGTCACATGAAATTGTAAGTCCATTAAAATTCTTTTTCTTCTCAGTCTCAGGTATGTCTTTATCAGAAGTGTGAAAGCGGAATAATACAGTAAATTGGTACCAAAAGTGGGGTATGAACACACACGTATATAAATCCATCAGGTTCAGGCCTAACCCCTGGCCATTGTCTCCAAAGTCAACTTACTTGTATAGCTTCTTCTCCATCCCTTGCCCTCCAAAACTGTTCTCTAAGTCAGTATATGATTCTCCTAATTATGTCACTTTTTTTCATTTTCTGCTCTGCTCCAATCTACCCTAGTTTGTACTCCTTAAAATATCACTTGTTAGGCCAGCGTGCTGACTCACACCTGTAATCCCAGCGCTTTGGGAGGCTGAGGCAGGTTGATCACCTGAGGCCAGTAGTTCAAGACCAGGCTGACCAACATGGTGAAACCCTGTCTCTACTAAAAAGACAAAATTAGCCGGCGTGGTGGTGCACGCCTGCAATCCCAGCTACTTGGGAGGCTGAGACAGGAGAATCACTTGAACCTGGGAGGGGGAGGTTGCAGTGAGCCGAGATCATGCCATTGCAGTCCAGCCTGGGCAACAAGAGTGAAACTCTGTCTCCAAAGAAAAAAAGAGAAGTACAATATCACTTGTTAACACACATTTTCCTGCTTTAGTCGTTTCTTGTCGCCAGTAAAATTGAATTCCTAAGGGTATAATTTGAGGCTCGTCACAATCTGATGCCATCTTTTCTATTTCATAACCATTCATGCAAAACTGTTTCCTGAACCTAACAGCCTACCTTACTCATGCTTTCCTGCCCCATAAAAAAATGACCACCAAATAAAAAATGCTATCAAAGTCTGCTCACACTTTAAGGGCAATCTTTGTTCTGTGAAACCTTCCTCATGTCACAGCACACTGATCTGGTCATCCTCCACATTTATATTATATTAATTACTTATATGTTTATTAAGAGAGTGACCCTTAATCAATTACTATGCTATACTTCCTAATTTTAATTATGTGTAAATATCCTTACCCCAAAACAATTTTAATTTATATGAATACAAGGACATGATACCTGAAAGCTCATAGTCTTATATAATGCTAGGCCAAGAGGTGATAATGAATACTTGCTGAACTGAATTCATTTATCCCATGGGTCACCATCAATTTCTTGTCAGGAGACACAAATATGATGATTGTCCTCATGTCACTGTCTCAGAAACAGCCTTATAAGAACACTCAGTGCATCACTATTATCTTCACTATACATGACTCTTCCAACTGCTTTTTTCCCCCAAGCATAATCAAAAGGCATGGAGTTAATTTAAATTAGTATTTTTATAAGAAAAAAGTCCATTGTAAAAGCAGGTTGGTGCAAAAGTAATTGCAGTTTTTGTCAAATAGTTTTGAAAAATTACAGTATTCATATTTCAGGTTCCACAGAAATGGGTCACTTCCTACATGCTATAAACTGTGAATTTGAAAATACTTCATAAATTTAAATGGTAACAAATTTAATTGAACAAAGTTATTACTATGAACTTTCTGGGTGAAACATCAAGTCCTGACTAGAAGGTTTTCATCTGAAATACTTAGGTCATTAAGGAAAAAAAAAGGGGGTAGAAAGACAAAATTTAATTAAAAAATAAAAAGTGTGACTTTGTGAGAACCAATTTCCTCCAATTTGTTTTCTGAGCACTGCCTTCTCTCTAGAAAAGCTTTTCAGCCCCAGGGCCCAAATGTCAAGTAACCTAAATCATAATTTCTGAGAGTCTGACGCTAAAAGAATTTCTTTCTGTAAATAAATTAATGGGTGGAGTATGAGAGTATCCGTTTTTCACAAAACCCATCTGAAATTATTACAAGGTTACAAATGTGGCTGTGTGAATAATTCCTTTGGTCACTTCAAGGCCTATATATATTTGGTTTACTCCATAGTGACTTCTGAACATTAAAACATATCGTTCACTCTACTCTAGTGGTCAGAAGAATCCTATAACATATCCTGAGAATTGAAGTTTCATCACTCACCTTTCGAAAACTTGAAATCAACTAGTTAAATGAAACTTGTCACACACTTTATATCACTTGAACATTTTATTTCTTTTGCACATATCTAGAAGTAATTGAATTTCGGTGGGAAGTGACTACTTGTTTAAACAAACAATTTTTCTTGCAAACCTTTCTATCTAAAAAAGTTCTGCTCTGTAAATCTACTCCTGTATGCTTTTTAAACCTATACATTCTAACAGGTTCAATTCAATATCTAGCTGTGTATTTAAGACGACACTGAGCTGCATTCAAGATGCAGTTTCTGTGACCAAGGTTATTCTTCATTTAACACAGTATCATGACACTAACTCAATCTTTTAATAAAACACAAATCACAAACCTGTGTTTCTGTTAGTGAATATTTCCTTTTCTTCAGTGATGAAGAGAATTACACTCAAAGCTATAGTAAATTGAAAATTCTTCTCTCATTCTTATTATGGATATAAAGGAGAATAAATATGATTCATTTACAAAGAATTTCCTAAGGCATCAATAAATGACAAAGCAGAAAAGCTGAAGAGTTAAGATGAGCTGTAACTGGATTTTTATCTTTACTTTAGAAACTAAAGAAAGGACATTTGGTTCAGAAAAACAACTTAAAATAGTAAAGACCATATCACAAGATTATAAAACATATCCATTCATTCTCAAATAAATATGTAACAGCTTCCTGAACAGATATTAATTTTCCTAATGCTTCTCTGCTCTTCCTCTAATGCATTTCAGGGTGTCTGCTAAGGCATGTATATGATGTTGAAAATGTTTTCTCTATAATTCTCTTTTCTACGTCTTCACTGACTTTCTTTTCTTCTAATTCGTAGATGCAAGCATATCAAGAGGCAGCATGTATAAGCTTTGTGAGTCTGCACAGGTCCCCTAATCTTTCTGAGGCTCAAGTTTCCTCACCTGTAGAACAGTTACAATAATACATACATTGTGGGGTTGTTATGGGATTTAAAGAATTCCTGGTACATAGTATCTGTTTAAAAAATGCTAGCTATTATTATTATACCTTAAGAGGTACCCCTTGGCTCTCTGTTTTAAGATTTTACAGACTATTTTAAAAACTAGGAGACAAAGTTCACAATCACTGATTGTCTCATATTAAATATAAGAAAACTAAAGCTTATACAGGCAAAGTAATTTGCCTGTAGTCAAAAAGCTTCTTAGGGGCAACAGTAAGACTCAAGACTAAGTGTCCAAAGACTTCAGGTTAGTGATGACTACTTTACCACAATTCTCTCTCCAGAAACCTTATCCACTCCATGGTTTTATTACAGGAAGCAAATGTCTAGCTTTGAGCTTTGACCTACCCGTTATCCTGTATGCCAACCTGTATGCTACTCCACCAACTGAATTCCCACATCTCAAATTATATTTCTCATACTCTCTCTCCAGCCACATCTCGTCTAGAATTCTGTAGTTTCGTTATTATAAAAGCATACGTATTTTCCTAGTCACCCAGGTTCAAAGAGGTAAGAAGAAGAGAACCAGCATTTACTCTGCACCTACTATGCACCAGATACTCTACCAGGTTACTTACCTGTATTATCTTACTTGTGAAGGAGAACTGTCGCCATTAGAATAATAAGGACACCATGCTGCCAAAGTAAGTTGCCTCATCCTACCAAACAAACGTAAAATGTACTTCTGGAAAACGAACCCAAGTCTCTCTGACTTCAAAACCCATTCAGACATTGTCTATGAGTCAACAAACAGGTACAGGTGTCTTTGTATGCAGAATTTCATAATTTTTTTAAAAAATGGAGTCTCATATATACTGCTCTGTAACTTTTCTTTAAAGTGACAATAACAATTTCCATGGCATTTTCCTCATCTTGATCATTAATAACAAAGTTGGTAGATAAATTTGATATATGAAAATATTCAAGACACTCACTTTTTCTTGATTCGTAAGATAATATCTAAACTTCCAAACAAGATCTTGTTCTTCATATGTAAGTTGCTTGGTTGGTGGATAACTCACAATAATCTAAAACAAAAAAAGAAAAAGAACTAATTTTGTCAACAATACATGTCCTATATATTTCCATTTCACTTAATATTTTTCATTTATTTAAATAATTCTATACTACAATTATTACACAAGCAAGGAAAATGTAAACTCAGTCAAGTAGGCCTTAAATTTGTTATAATTATGTGTCCAAAATGCAGTTTAAAGGAGAAGAAAAGAAGATAAAGTCATATTCCATAGGAAAATATTTAACTGGAGAGTTCATTTAATTCAACCAGAAACAAAACCTAGCAAAATAACAACGTCTTCTACCAGAAAAAGGAAAAATGTGCACACAATAAACTCTTTTAAAGTCAATGCATACAACAAGGCATGTGTACACACTAAGTCCTCTCAGGCAATGTCTTAGGGCCAGCTTCTAAGAATACTACTGACATGAAAGTATACAGTATATGCAGTTCTGTCTCCAGAGATAACACATTTATGGAAAGCCCCAAATGATAACAGAACTGCTGATCTGTGAAATTATGAACATGATGTAGGATTCATCAACCTGGAGAAAATGTGCATCTAAATAATTTTTAAGTGAGGTGATAGCTATCAGTTTCAACCAGAACACCCATTTAACTATTTTTAAATTAATATTTCATAATTCTCTTACATTTAACTGATCTCTCGTGGCAGCATTGGGTTTCAGATCGTGGTCAGAAGGTCCACTTCTTAAACTCCGGGCAAGCTTGTGGTGTTTGCTCTCAACTAAATTCTCCTACAAATTATTTTAAAATATTGACAATGTAAACTTCACCAAAAGGAAATTTCAAAAGCTATTCATAAATAGAAAAGGTACTTAGGAGCATTTAATAATATCTAATGTTTTGTTCTGATACAACTTTAGCAGTCTTCTACATATCTTAAAAATATGTATCCTTCTCAAGACTGGGAAACTAAGTATGCCTTAAACTCCACTAGTCCCATAATACACACGTCATTACAGCTTCTTAAAACATCGTCCCTTCACTCTCCACATATTCAAGGTTTCCATATCCTCTAACCAATCAAATATCACCATCACTGTAAAATCTTCCCTGACAACATAGACTAAAGCATTCCTTCCTCCTGTCAGCTACTAATGACCTTGTGATGTCACTGTATTATCATCTTAGCAGTTATTTAAGCTATCAGTTACTGAGGGCAAGGACAATAATCACAACGCTTGAATATACACATCTGGTGCTATTTTACCCATGGACAAAATTATTAGTTTTAACCATACTGTCATTGCCTAAAACAAGATATAAATTTATATTATTTATTTTTTATTGCATGTGTGAATTGTCTATGTCATATTCCTAATTTTTTTAATGGCTTTATGGTCCTTTGTCCTTCATTTTTAAGAGTTCTTTATGTATCAGCCTTAATATATCTGTAATGTATGTAGTTAAGTATTTTCTCCCAGTTTGTTAACTGTCTTTTGGCTTTGTTGGTCTCTTCAGCCATGTAATTTTTAAAATGTAGTTAAATTTATCAATCATTTATTTTATTGCCTCTGGATTCTGAGTCACAGTTAAAAAGTCTTTCCCTACACTGACAGTAAAATACTAGTGTGGTTTCTTTTTTTGAGACAGGATCTTGCTCTGTTGACCAAACTGGAGCACACTGGCATGAATATAGCTCACTGCAGCCTTGACCTCCTGAGTTCAAGCAATCCTCCTACCTCAACCTCCCAAGTAGCTGGGACTACAGGTACGTGCCACTACCTGGCTAATTTATTTTATTTTTTTGTAGAGATGGGGTCTCCCTCAGTTTCCCTGACTGGTCTAGAATTCATGGGCTCAAGTGATCCTCCTGCCTTGGCCTCTCAAAAGTGTTAAGATTACAAGCATGAGCCACCATGTTTGGCCTAGTTTCATTTCCTAACATTTAGATTACAGATCCATTTGGAGTTTATTCCTATGTATGGCATGAGTTATGGATATAATTTTATTATTTTTTTCCAAATTAATTCCATTCCTCAGTATTATGACTTAGTGAAGAAATGCCACCTATATCATATACTAGATTTCCATGCATACTTGGATGTATTTCTGGGCTTTTAATTCTGTTCAACCAGTATATTGGTTTACACATGTGTGTCACTACCACATTATTGTAATTATAGTCTGTTTTATTGTCAGATACAGCTGTATATCATCTCAGTCCCACCCAAAGTTTACATTTAAAATGTGTTTCTGCATTTAACAAATAACTATAACTGCAGGCTGAACTGAATTTCTTCATACTTAGTGTGTGCTCTGAATATCAAAAGTGTAAAATATAATTTGATTTTATACTGAAAATTCAGTGCCAATTTGGGATTAACTGGATTCTACTATACTATGCATAGGAACTATCAAGGTCTTTAGAATGTTCCTACCAGATCCGCAAGTGGCCTTTTCTTTTTAACTTTTTATACTCTACTTTCCCTGCTGCCCATCTCTTCCTTTGATATTAGGCCATCAGCCGTTCCTGCTTTCATGACCTGTACTTATCTCAATCATCATGTTTTCATCATCCAATGTCCCAATTTTAATCCACTTTGGTCTGATGAGGAAGGTAACTAATCTAATTAGAAATGTATAAAATTAGAACAAAAAGAGTTGGAATGATGTAAATGAGCTGTAACTGCAAAAATCATGGTAACTATCGTGCTGCTAAAAGGATTTTGTGCCTACAAGTTTGTAATTCTAAAGTCATCTAATTAAACCTCTTTTGCATTGTATGAATTCTTATCCTCATATCCCTGAAAGCTATCATCTCAAAAATTCGTTAATAAGAAGGTATCCCACCATCATCCAAGTTACCACGTTCCAAATTGAACAGTTCTAGGGCTACAGCAATCTTCCCTATTTTCCAACAAATTGGTCTCCCTAAAACTTTCACGCATTCATCCTGGTTATAGAATCCTCCTGTAACAGGCAAATTCTCCTTCTGTATGATGGCAATCTTTCAAATACCAGTTCTGCCAAGTCTTCACTTCAAGATTATATACCCCCAACCTGAAGAAAAAAAAAAAGAGTATACTGCCTAGCTCTTTCAGCAATTCAAACAAAGTGGATGCCCAACCCTACTCTACCCTTACCTTAGTTTTAAGATGTTAATATTCCTCATAAAATTCCATCAGAAACAGTGCCTAGATGCTAAAGTGAATTTATGAATCACTTTTAGGTAACGGAGGCAGTTATATATTACTTTGTTTAAAGAAAGTACATGATGTGGCTAACTCACAATTACTCTGAAGAAAAGTACTTTCATAAAAAAATTGCACAATAACTTACCATAGACATCTGGGGGTCAGGAACTTTCACTAATTCAAAACTTGTTAAAATTGGAGATGATTCATCACCGTCCTAGATTACAGAGCAATAATTTTTTAAAAAAAGAAATTTAATACAATAGGAAGCAGTATATGATGTACACATCAATGTATTTTAATTCTATTTGATGAACATCATTCTTCCCTTTAAAGAAATCCTTATCTTCTTCTAACAATATTATAAAATGCATGTCCACTTTGTACCTCTCCTTGGTTGATTATGAAATTGTTTTGAGAAAAACTCTAACAAAATTCTTACTAAAGTTTTAGAGGTATGAGGTCTGGAAATTAGATTGTTTCGAGTTGTTCCTTTTTTTTAAACTTCGTTCATATAATGACAGTGGATTTTTAAAAACGTGCTAATTTTCAAACTCAGAACAAGAAACCACAGACTATATGTAAAATGTGGCACAATGGATGTGTTGCATCATTTGCAAAAACTAAGTGGATGTTGGTAATTTTTCAAGGTATCATAATGGAGATCCATTCAAAGAAGCAGAATTTTAAGTGTAGGGTTAATATTACTCAAATTTACACACAGCTAGAGAATCAACAACGTTGTTTCTCAAAGGGACACCTGCTCAACATAATCTAAACTTGAATAATAAAATCAATCAATCAGTTTTTCAGAAATAAAGCCATCCTATTTTGTTGGTATTATCACCTTTGAAGAATGTTGGCTTTTATTTTTCTCCAATGTGAGAAAGGTAATTCAACATAAAAATGTCACTGCCAAATATACTGGAAAAAGGCTAAACTAATTAAGGTCAAAATTCACTTTCTCATGACTGTATATTTAGCATCAAGCTTTTCTGTCAATTTCCAAATGCTAGTATGTTTTCAATTTTAAATATGGGCAACAAACTCAAGAGAGACTGAAAGCGGGGAAGCACTGTAACTTTACTTCAGTTCAGTAATTGAGTCTTACAGAAAACCACAAATTCCCACAGCCGTTGTTTAACAGGCTTGTTCTCAGTCACAACACCAGAAAACACATTTATCAGCCTAGCTGTGACAAGTAATCTTCACTAAGGCTATCTGTCACAAGACAGGTGACAAGAAAGTCTATTTCCATTAGATTCAATACACTGGCCCAGCAATCTTTACACTAAGTGGAAATATGACAGGGTGGGTAGACAGGCATTAATTTATGAGCAATTTTCAGGAAGTGGTAGAAAGGGGTCAAGAACCTTTTCAAAAATACTTGAAATTCTTCTAATTTCTATTCTGTTATTATTTCATCTGCTATCAAGCTGTCTTTCAAAGGATCCTTCACATCTCCAGTGTTTGAAAGTACCATCTCCATTAGCATGTTTTTGCAATACAAACTCTATATGGGCAGAAAATACTGCCTTTAATGAAATGACATATAGTTTAAAATGTAAAATATGATTTTATTAAAATGCACTGGTGACAGAACAGTTTCACTCACATTTCCCTTGTTTTGATGTATTTTTTCTAATAAATTAATAAACAATGTTAAATAATCTATCCAAGGAGTACCATTTATAAAATAAAAGGCAGAAACAAGTTAACACTTCCTAGTCTTTCACTAACGTGAAAGGGATATGAGTTAAAGACAAAAATATGAACAGTAACTTGAAAAAAGATCATAAATAAACTGTAAAAACTCAAACCTTCATTATGAAAACCTTTCAAATAGTAATTTATAAAAGTATACATATTTTAAAAATCACTTGTGACAGCTTTAATAAACAACAATAAAATGTAAATTTAATTTAAAAGGACTGCTTCTAATGAACAAATACACTGCATATCAGCTTGGTCATATGCTAGAAGAAATATTAATCTACTACTATGCCATGTATCAAAAGTCTGTCATCATTTATGCTGATTTAACATTTGTTGACTATTAACACAATAATAGAAGATACTTTATGTGGTTTCAAACTATGCATACATTTTTTTTTATATTTATTTTAAATAAAGATGGAGTCTCGCCATGTTGCCCAGGCGGGTCTCAAACTCCTGGGCTCAAGTAATCTTCCCACGCAGCCAACCACAGTGCTGGAATTACAGGCATGAGCCACCACACCTGGCCTGCATACAATTATTTTCTGTAGTACTTAAATATATAATTATTTCTGTAGTACTTAAATGAAGCACCTTCTACAAGCATTTAAGGAAGATACTTTCAAGTAGGTACATAATAAACACAGAACTACTTTCTGTAGCATAATGGGCAGAACAAAGCAAATCTATAACTGCATATTTGTTATTACCCAGCCTGATGGTAAAATTGTCTTAATTTTGCATCTATTGTACAAATGGACATTTCTGAAGTATTTCATAAGTATACTTCAGTGAGGGCCACATATAGACATTACACATACACTCAAATAACAAACAGACTCTTAACTTTCAATAAATAGCCTACCACTTAGAAATATAATTTCCCCCTTTCATTTTTTAAATAAATAATATTAGTAAATGAAGCCATTACTTAGTGTCCTACTTGCCAATTTGCAGAACAATTAATCACAAAGTTTTTAATCACTTGCATACTTATTGAATTCTGTAACCCAGAACTGCATTACATGAGTGATAGGCTTTTGTAATCTTGTTGTAGTTATATGATTTGATTTCTGTATACATAAACAGCTGCTGCTGACAGCTGTCTGCTGCTACCCTGCAACCAAATAATTCATCCCAGCAGGAACAACAATATTTTTTTAATGTTTCCTCTCCCCTCTACTTTAGAGACCAAAAACAGTTCCAAGGGAAATACCTTTTCATAATAAACAATACCATATTCCTTATCATCACACTTGACACATCGAAATTCAACCATCAGGTACATGAAATTAGAACTTCGTTTTTCACTCTGAAAAAAAAAATGATTTTCATGAAAAATGATTATTTTCAACATTCTCTTAAAGGATCAGTATGTATCATTTTTCCTAATTCAGTAATACATGTATCTATCAAATACAAGTCAAAACATAACACATTTTTATTTTATTATATACATGTAGTGTGTTTTACACAGCACTATTATTTTATTATAGACAGCACTACTGTTTATTCAGTAGTGTCTACTATGCACTTATAACTGCTTTCTCAAATTTAACATTTTTGGTTTATTCAGTAGTTTGGGTTTATAATCTTGAAGGTATTTTGCACACATGTTCATGAGAACTATTTTATTTCAAAAATAAAAAGAATGGTTTTTCCTTCTAACAATTTTAAGCTAAGTTCACCCTTAACTTATATGACTAAACCATAGAAATCAATATGTGTAACAAAAATCAAAAGGAAGAAAAGTGTGCAACCTAAGAACAGAGGCCATTTGAGTTTACCAAGTATAGCCTTTACAAGTTTTTCGCAATTTATAAATGGTCTTAAAATGATTTGTCATTTGTAAATTTTTATCCACACTTTAAATATACTGCGGAATAATTACTTCTTGTTCCAACATAAAAAAAAGTTATTTATATAATTGTGTCCCCTTTAAAATAAAAAAGCAAACATGGTCACATGTCACTTAACGACAGGTGTACATTCTGAGAAATGCATCATTAAGCAATTTAGTCGTGTAAACATCATGAAATGTAAACACACAAATCTAGATGGTATAGCCTATAGCACACCGAGGTTATATGGTGTAGCATATTACCCCTAGGCTACAAACTTGTTACTTCAGGTTACTGTACTGAATACTGTGGGCAACTGTAACACAATAGTTAGGTATCTGTGTATCTAAACATACCTAAAAGAGAAAAAGTACAGTAAAAATAAAGTACTATAATCTTACGGAACCATCATTGTACATGTGATCTGCAGTTGACTGAAATGATATGATGAGGCACATGACTATACTAAGGTGATGATAAAGTGAAAATACAATGAAGTCTAAGCGGGTGATTAGCCTTGACCCAAAACACCTTTATAAATGGCTTTACATCTAAAACATAAAATCACCAGGCATGGTGGCTCACACTTGTAATCCTAGCACGTTGGGAGGTGGGAGGACTGCTTGAAGCCAGGAGTCTGAGACTATCCTGGGCAATATAGCCAGACCCTGACTCTACAAAAAATTTTAAAAATATTAGCCAGGCCTGTAGTCCTAGCAACTTGGGAAGCTAATCAGGAGGACTGCCTGAGTCCAGAAGTTTGTGGCTGCACTAAGCATACCAGTGTACTCCAGCCTGGGTGACACAGCAAGACCTTGTCCCCCAAAAAAAACAAACAAAAAAAAGAAATAATAAATGATAAAGGTCTGAAGAGGTTACTTAAATTCTTCAGCTTTATGAAGCATATTATAGTCTATTTTGTAATAGTAATGCGGTGGTAATGGTAATTTCTTTCAAAGAAATTAAAATGTAAAAATATGAAAAAGGCTGGGCAAACTCTAACATTACGTTTTCTATACCCAGTGATATCTAAGTTTAAGAAGAGAAAAATATAAGTTAGTATTATGAGTAAACTCTTTTTGAAATGTGACTATTATAAAAATTAAAAAGGCTTCCTTCCAGTTTATGTATATAGGAATGTATTATGAATAAATTTAGAAAAGGTACCAAATACGAGAATTGAATATAAATGTTGTTAAACATCACTACCTTTATTTTAAAATAAAAGAATAATGCTAAAATCTAACTTTTGTAATAGTTCACTGTAAAATTAAAAACTTCTCTCTTTCTACCTGCTGAAAATTATTTGGAGAATATAAATTAAGTAAGTTGTGCCTTATGGTCATTATAAATTAGACAAATCACAAATTGATGTCCTTCTCTCCTAATTTGATTAATATAATTATTGTTTCTGTTCTCTAGATGTGGAACATTAGGCCTAACATCTGGCATTTTAGAGCAAATATACAAAAAAGTAAACTATTCTTGTTACAACTTTTGGCAGGACTCTCATTGAAGCCATCTTTATTTAAACATACACACTGGCTCACATACAAGGTCAAGAAAAAAATCACCTAAATCATGTAACTTTATAGAGGGTGCGGAGTCCTATATGTAGTACATAGACAAGTAATAAATTAATTGAAGAGAGAACTTGCTGAAATGATTTATGGTAACTGAAGTGAAAAGCTGGCACTGTGCTGATGGAAGATTTATCCAACGCTGACTTGAACATGAGCTGATATGACAGAGAACACACCACTGAGGCATTAAGTCTGCATAGGCTTCACTCATATGATATTTAGAACATCTTTGAATATCCACTACCTACTTCATAGTTTGACATTACGTTAAAATATAGGGAAGGCTGATATCTCCAATTTTCCAGTTATTAGCATAGAATTCCCAGCTACAGGGGTTAACCCTGATAATCCTATATTTGTAAGATACCTAATAATAATTCTTATCAAAAAATTGTTAATTTAAAAATTTACAGAAAATATTTTAAAATAAAAGAGTGATATAACCCACCTCATTTATCATTTCTATTTCTCTAAATGTCAATCTATCCAGCCAATCTACTTTCACCATGTGTCCTTGTCGATGAGCTTTGGTGAGCTGCAGAATAAATACAATGACGAAAATTTTAATATACATCTAGTAGAAAGAAGGACCAAAAATGTCAGAATGGCAATGTACACTTCACATATGATACTTTCCTATACACAATAGAAACCATACGCAATTAGCAGGATAAGAAACTTGGCAAGAGACAAATCATTATTTTTTAAAGAAAAACAATTAAATTTTTTTTAAAAAGGTCCATAATTTGCCATATTTTGACATGATAAAGAATAATGAAGTTGTTCCTGAAATTATCTCCGTGTTCCTATATTTCTTGTATTTTGACTATTACAAAGAGATGAAATTATAATAATAGTTTCATGAATGGGAAATAAACCACTTTTTCTCTTTTCTTCCCATCTTTCAATGTATCTAACCAACATGAAAAAATGACAGTTACAGGTAATAAGGTATTTTTCTGGGTTTGCACATTAATACTCTAAGGTTTAAGCTCACACATATGCATGTATGCTTTAATTTTAGGCAACGGTGATAAAAGACTTCAATTTTCTAGAATAGCAGTTGGTAGAGTCCTGTGAGGTCTTACATACCAATCTAACCTTAGTTTTATAACTTTAATAATTCATTGACTCTTCAAATCCATAGAGAATTCCTGGTAAGTTCCAAGGACCTCAAATTAGAACCAGGTTTTGAATTAGAAACTGTAATACTAAAAATCAACACCCCTCTCATTCCTTCTAAACAAATTGACAGTATAAAGCAAAACTGGACATCAAAGCTTTACATAGTAGCTTATCTATATCAGTTTCTTCTGCTTCATTGTCCATATCATGACAGCTTTCCTATAAGAACAGCAAACACTGCCACCAATTTCATCTCTCTTGCAGAATTAAAAATCTTCACTATCAATCTTCTTTCTCTTCCTCAACTCATCACAACTATGTGGTCATACTATTTCAGAAATAAAAATACTAATGTCACACAAAAAGTCTGAAGTTCATTGTAATAAAAAAAAGTAATATCAATTTAGCTTTCTTCCAATAATTCCCTTTCATGTGAGGTAATTTCTATATGAAAATGTATGAAAAGTTATTAATAAGCTTAGCATGATTACAAAAAGCAGGAACTAAATATCGTGGTGGCTCTGGTGGAATAATAGACAAATATGCTAGCAACATGGAAAGAGACCTAGAAATAGTCACAAGGAAACCAAAAGAAGATCAGACAATGTGACCTACAGAAAAGAGTGCTAGAGTAGGAGCTGGAAGACCAGAGTTCCAACCTTAATACTCCATTTTCAAACTATGTCCTTTCTGAACCCACATCAATAAAATTCAAGTATTAACATCTATTCTTACTCCCAAAACTCAAATAAAGTAATAGATGCAAAATATAACAGGTGGTATTATTTCATGCAGTCATTGGAAGCCTCTATTCTTACTCACTTCGCAATATGCTCCAAACTGGTTTTCAAAATAAATGAAAATGTAAAAGGTCATTTTACATCCTTTGCTTGTACGAACGAAGTAACAGTAAAAATTAGTAATAAGAGTTTATATACTTCCTATAGGAATGGAGAAAAAAATAACATTTATTTACATGCCAAATTATAGGCACTTTTTATAACCACACTATTTTGTAGACTATTTTGACCCCAGTTTGCAGATGACTATCAACTACTACTATGAAGTGGCCAAGCTAGGGTTTAAACCCCAGACTATATGATTCTAAAGCCTATACTCCTACCACCAGTCTGCTATCCTCTCTACTGATGTACTAAGAGCTTTAAGTGAAACTCAATTCTGTCGTTTCTCGAATATTAGTTTTGTATTTATGATACAATAGTTGATCCACTGCTAATTTCCTATGAGCAAAGAACTGGCAATGGTAAATTAAGTTTGGATGTGGGAGAATGTGGTGGGAACTTTTTTCCTCCTTTACTAAAACTATCCAGACAAATTAGAAATGTTCTAAAGCCATTTTCACTAGCTCTAGAATTTATGTTTGCTGCTAATATATATTATCTCCCATATAGCATATGATTAGCTTTCCTATTTGAATACCAAATATGACCTATCTCAATTGTATAAGAGCTACTAAAGAATGTATGGACAGCATGCCAGTACTAAAACTGGTACAGTCACTATGAAAATAAGTTTAAATTATACTAGAGAAATTCACATTTGTGCACCATATTTGCAATACAGAAAAATTAGACACAAAAGAATGAAAATGTTCATCAATAGTGAGAACTGTTAAGTAAACTAGAGTACACACACACTATGAAATGCTATAATCAAAAAGAATGAGAAAAATCTGTATGCCTTCACAGGAAAGATATTGTTGAGTGCAAAACCGATTGCAAAATTAAAGGTACCATTTATGCTATGGAAATTGTTTGCATGTCTGTCTCCTGTACCTGACTTTGAGATTGACAGCAAAAATTCTGTGTATTTCTTTGAGCTAATTTTATGATTTCCACAGAATTGTACAGTTACCACTCAAAATGTCTCCTAGATGCCTGTCCTATTTACCTATTACTACATAACGAACCACCCTAAAACTTAGTGGCCTAAAACGACATTCATTTTATTGTTTCTCATTATCTTTTTTTTGGCAAAATCATCTTCTTGAGAGACATTTAAATAATTTTTTCTTGTAGTCTCACTTATCAGTAGTCATAATATTGTATTCATTGGGTGGTTAGAGCTGGAACATCCAAGCTGGCTTTACTCACATTTCTAACACCTTGGTGATAAAGGGTGGGCTTAGCCGGGATACCAGGGTGGTAGGGCCTCTCTTTCCCCACGTATTCTCAGTGCTGCTCCCTCTCCAAGTGGTTTTTCAACTTGGTCACTCCAACAGAATAGCTGGACTTCTTACATGATGGCTTAATGTTCCTAACATGTGAAGAAACCAAAGCTGTCACGCTGTCTTGCCTGGAACAGACGCAGCATCACTTCTGCTGCATTATAACAGTTAAAATCAGTCACAAGGTAATATAATGTGGAAGAGTGTGACTATCAGAAGGCATATTTCATTGAGGGCCATCCTAAGAGACTAGCTAGCACAGCGCTTACTTATCAGAGAGTCCAAGCAAATAATACAATTAATTGTTCCACTGCAAGGGAGCAGGTGTGTAGAGTTTAGAGATGGCAAAGTCAGCTCTTGGCTGGACTTTAGGCAGCAGAAAAAGTCTAGAACTAGCTATCACAATTGCTAAATGATCCATAGCTGCCTTCCTCTTCAGAATAATCTCCTTCACCTCTCCAACGAACTCACTAAACTCCAGCTAACACAGTCTCTTCTGGCTCTTCAAACCATAAAGCCGTTTACCTTTACTGCTCAATGTAAGTGAAATAATTAGTTATTAATTATATTAAATTTTTTTATTAATTTTATAAAACTATAAAGCACTATGTAAGTTGTAACAGCTATTCTAATTAGCCCATAACCTATGTCACTTCATCTCTTATGGGTGCTGATAACAATGTAGATATACTTGAGTGGTTTTCATCAGTTCAAAGCAACTTCTAGTTATCTCCAATCCACGAACTTCTATAGATACTAAAGACCAAAAATGAACAATAGACACAGGTGGCATAACAATTTATATTTAATTTTGGGTCTGTAATGTCAGTGATTTACATCTTTCCAAAGAGAAAATCTGCATTCTGTTAAGCAGAAAGGTAAAAGTAGGACAAACTGTTTCAATTACTCATGAAGAAATAATCCTCACTAGGATGCCCATTCTAGGATGGGGATAGGTCAAGAAACAGGAAAAAAAAAAATTCATTCTCTCTTTTTAAAGGAACACAGGTTTCTTAACAGAATTCACAGGAAGTCACAAAGAGTTTGGAAGAAAAGTACACTGTCACAAAAAAAAAAAAAAGGCATAATTTAGCCCTAACTTCTCCAAGAATTAAAAAGCAAGGAGTTTTAAAAGCTATTTAAATAAAAGAATCCACAAGAACCAAATAACAACATGCCTGGGAAACTTCTTGGAGTACTAATTCTGTATTGTCAGATTTAATGAAAGAACAAAAAGATGTGTTTGAGGAAGATGTCTCAGATTAGTAGGTGTTTAATAAAAGTATCAAGGACAGAGCCAAAAGTAGGCCAACTTGCTGCACTGTGTAAGAATAAGACCAGCAGGGAAAACAAATTTCAGAGCAGATAGTGATCCTTGGAAATAGACAGACTTCCACGATCATTAGAACTCACAGTTCATTGCTCCGTACTCTTCTCTATTTTACTAGACAAATGAGCTTCTTGAGTATAAGAGCTATGAATGTTCAATAGAAGCTAGCATTTATTCATTCAATGTCTATTTATACTTATTGAAAGGCTTTCTATGTGAAAGGGTGACAGACATAATGGAAAACAAATGTAAGTATACTCTGATATTCTGCCCAAAGAGCTTTGGGGCTTCAGGGGAAGAGGTGGGAGTGACACTAAAAAGGAAGCTGGAGAGAGAAAAAAAAAAAAGATTCCTGCCCTTGGTCACTCTTCCCTAATCTTTATACACTCTCAATACAAATATATGTAACTTGCTGGCTATTAAGTAACAAACTTCCATCATGTCCTCTGTCCTTCAGATGAGCATAGAATGTTGAACAAAAGAAGCAAGTTCTCTGCCCTAACAGAACATCAAGGTGGAAATAAGTGAGTCATTCAATATAGTAAGCACTTAAAAGTGTAACTACAAATTGAAACAGTGATATGAAAGTAATACCTTATGACTGATAACTTGGAAATACAGGATATGAGCAAACCAAGTAAGTTGTCTAAAAACAACTTAAAAATATAATCCTCACTTTTCATTTCAAATAAATAGAAAATGAACCAAGAATTTCAAACATTTTTAATATCCAACCATAGAAGACTGCTGAAATCAATTATGACTTATCTACACTATGCAAAACCCTCCAGCCTTTACAAATTATGTGGTAGAAGTATCTTAAATAACCTGGAACAATTCTGAGACACCATTAAATGTAAAAGCAAGATTCAATTAAGCACACAGATACGGTATGATTCTAATTTTAAAATAAATGTTCACATATTCATCTATAACACACATACATTTATTAATTTACTGAAAGCATATAAACCAAAGTGCTAGTGATTATCTTTGAGTGGTAGGTAGACTGGGGTGACTTTCATAGTCCTCTTTGTGCTTTAACAATATTCTACCACTGTAGAAGATGTATATTATCTTTGTAGTAAGAAAAAATAAAAGTCATTTAAAAGCTAAAGTAATTTAAGAAACAATTAATTGTGGAGAAAGCTCCGTTGGGAAAACCACTAAAGATTAGCCTTTATAAAGATAATGCTAAATAAAGCAATTTCACTTCATAATAAAAGCTCAAAGAATAAAGCCCTATCTCATTAATTTAACTTAACCACCTGAAATAAAATCCAAGTATAAACTTGATTGCTCTCTCACTTTCTTCCAAGGGCCCTTCAACTAGATCCAACTACAAAACCATATAAATTAGAAGATGTTACCATTTTTCAATAGGTGTTTAATAATGTCTGGTACTACTATATACAAAAGACTGTTTTTCCAGTAACCCTTTATATGATTGTACAGGGTTGCATTTTGTCAATTACCTCCCATCTCATTCCTCTAAACTCCCTCAGGTTAAAGGCCATAGCTTAACTCTTTTGACTCTAATGCCTCTCTGAGTCTAAAATAGAACTGAGCTAAATTAATAAATACTTGAAGACAATATCTTTGTCTGCTAATATAGTTGCATGGTGCACTAGAATTATATTACTAAAAAAGTGTAATTCTTCAAAAAAAGACAATAAGCGTCTCAAATCAAATATAAACTATGCAGTACCTTTTTTTTTTTGAGACAGGGTCTCACTCTGTTGCCTAGACTGGAGTGCAGTGGCGTGATCTCGGCTCACCACAACCTCCGCCTCCCAGGCTGAAGAGATTTTCCTATTTTCCTGCCTCAGCCTCCCGAGTAGCTGGGATTACAGGCATGCACCACCATGCCTGGCTAATTTTTTCTTTTTTTTTTTTTTGTATTTTTAGTACAGAAGGGGTTTCACCATGTTGACCAGGCTGGTCTCGAACTCCTGACCTCAAATGATCCACCCTTCTCAGCCTCCCAAAGTACTGGGATTACAGGTGTGAGCCACCAGGCCCGGCCAAGCTATGCCGTAATTTATAACTTCAGACAAAATGCAGTTGTATAAAATAATTTATTTGAACTACTGAGATTAGAAAAAGAATCATGTACGTGTGCATGTTTTAGAGACTTTGCATATGCCTATGTATTTAATTCTTGGCAAGCATAGAAGTTTCTTCTATCTTCCTGATTAATGAAGTCTTGGTCACAAATCTCCAATTTTACTTTCAAACTGTACATGTAAATCTTATTATTCAGGAAGAGTAGTATTTGCTTCATAAAAGTTTCATTTAGTTAAACTTCTTGAAGATAAATCTAGTCTTAAAAGTGTCTTACTATTTTTCTGGCAGAAACTATAACTGTAAAGACAGAAAATAGATTTACAGAACATAAATCAATACTGTTTTAGGGCACTGGCAAAAACTAATTTAGTCTACTTGCTATCATTGGTTTCCAGACAAATCCAAAACTTCTGACAGTCTTAGCAGTAAGCAAACCAAAGTGATTAATAAAACAGAAGGTAGCATTAAAAATAAATTTACGAGATATTCCCAAACGCTTGTTATAACACAATTCAATGGCGACACAGAATCAAAGCAATAAGATATGTTTATAAAAGCTATACCAGATATTTATACAAAAACCTATATCTAGGAGGTATATTTGGTGATATCAATGACATCAATGAATAAATTTGATAGCCTTGAATAATTTCAGCATTTATCATAATTCTGTTGTTTATTATTGTCATTTACAAAACATTCGAGGAAGAAAAAAATATAAGACTCTTCTGCTCAACCCAAATGTTATATCTAGGATCCTATATTTTGATTTGTAAAGTAACAAATGCATTCTTCAACTCTTTAGGACACCGTTTTTCTTCCTCTAAAACACATACATTTAAAAGACGGAAGTTTTCTTTTGTTCCTAGTGATTAAATAAATAAGGGTGTTCTTACTGTTTTTGAGAAAATGAGATTATTTTTACTATAGTCATTATTACAAATGGTCAAGTCCCAATTGTTGTTTTTTGTTTTTTTTTTATTTACAGAGACAAAGTTTCATCATGTTGCCCAGGCTGGCTTCGAACTCCTGAGCACAAGTGATCCTCCTCCATCAGCCTCCCAAAGTGAATTGTTTTATATTGTGGGTAAAAAGTAAATGTAATATACATACATATTAACAGAACACTGTCTATATTTTGTATATTCATTTACCTAAATGGGGTAATGGTTACATCATTAGGGATGATAGATTCACCCTCCTAAATTACTATACTTAGTCTAATATTGCACTGCATGTACTGTAGACATCATAACTAAGGGCAGTTGATTAGAAAATAGAAAACCGAAGATTATCAAGCTACTTGAGCTATAACCTAAATCATTAAGTGATTCAGCTATGGAGAAAGGACACTTTCTTTATGTGATATACCTAACCAAGTGAAGACTTAACCAAGTATAGATATTTCTTACAAAGAATACAAACTTCCCAAGAAAAGTGCTAACATATATAATCAATTGAAAGCAATTTTAGGAACTTAAGTGTTAAATTCTGAAAACAATAAATTATGTAACAATAATAAGGGGAAAAGATCACTAATAGGTCCTTCTAAACAATTTATTCTGTTAAAGTAATTTGATCCAGAATGTCAGTTTATTCATCAACATTATTTCACATAATTTATTCAAGGCGGAAGGAAGTGTATTCAGAATCCAGGAGAAGTACACTTAATCAGCTTGCTGTAATTTATAAACAAAATAGTCTGAGGTTAATTTTCCTTTTCAGAATAGCTAATAATAATAATAATAATAATAATAATAATGGCATGATTCCTATAATTAGCAGAGATAATGGAGATCTGACCACATTTTAACAATGAAAAATACCCAGGAATACAGAAACAGCTAGCTATTCAATAAGCTGCCATCAGTGAGAGCTGTAATTCAGGAATCTTGACTGTCAGTCTTCAACCCCAGTTATAATGTATCTCATTATTATTTAAATCTTTCATCAGTTTTTATAGTTCTACTAATCTTAAAAGCGTAAAATAAAACATAATGCCTTCATTTTTCAAAACACCTCCTCCTTGGATACTTTAATGTTTCTCATTTCTCCAAAATCTAACTACAAAATATCATTACGTGGGTACAGGTTTAGAAATTCATATAAATCATCAATTTGATAACCCATTATAGGATTTGTAATAAGAACTGATGTCCACTATATAATAAAAATCACTTCTTAAATCATATCTCTAAAATCCAAAACATTGACTGATCTTAGTCTTTCAGAGATAACATGCAAGTATATTCACATCTCTAGCGGGAAAAATGCAGCTCTAAAAAGCCCATTTCCGAATGAGAGTTTAGGGATTTTACTGGGAGCTGGTCACAAAGGCAATCTCTGCCTTACAACTACCAAAATTTTAGACTTCCAGAAAGAGAGCAAGTGCTCATCATAAATCACATGTGGAAACAGTCTAGACACAGTGAAACATCTGTATCAGTTAGGAATTGTTTCAGAAGCTCAGTTCTCAGACATCAGCCAAGGGCCAACCTTGCAAGCAGGCCCTTCTAAGCACAGCAGCCTTAGGCCTGCTATGTGAACTCTTTTTTTTTTTTTTTTTTTTTTTAAGAGACGGGGTCTCTTATGTTACTCAGCCTGGTGTCAAACTCCTGGACTCAAGCAATCCTCCTGCCTCAGCCTTCCATGTAGCTGAGTGGCTGAAACTACAGGTGCACACCAACATGCCTAGCTAGTAACTCTTCTACATGTAAAATTAAAAGGGAAAAAAGGTAAGATCAAAAGAATCCCAATTTTTTCTTTCTGGGGGGTAAGTTTCAATATTCATTCATCATGTAAATGTTAAAACCCTGACAGTTAACTTTCCAGGACTAGGAAAACTGAATAGATCAATGAGTGCCTTTTTGCTACCCTTCTCAACAATCTTGGTTTTCAATTACTACTTAACTAAATTATTTGGCTAACTCTCCTAGGCTGAAGGGCACTTGGATGAAGATTATAACTCAACTAAATCAATTCAGTGTCTAACACAGGCTTACTTCTTCAATGTGCGTTTAATGCATTCAAAAGAAAGAAAATTTTAAAATATTGTTATATTTAGGGATTTTTCCTTTCAAATTTTAATCCAAGACCTTCTTTAGTCCATGCCAAATTGTCCCCTTGAGAATGGGACCAAAAGAACCAAAGAACCCCTTGGTCCTTTTGGGTTATCTTCCCTTATAGGTTCTCAATTGAATGGAACATCTTGCCTTTCTCAAACTTTGTGAGAACTGACATATCCCTAACTTGGTCCATTATCGCACTCCTTGATTATAATTGCAATCCCAAAGTATAATGTGACATCTTTAGTTTTTTCCAAAATTCCTGTTACTCCCTTTTCATTAATCACTTCTTTTATAGTGGTGTAAATTAGCCTAGAGGTCCAGCATGGTGGCTTATGCCTGTAATCCCAGCAGTTTGGGAGGCTGAGGCAGGAGGACTGCTTGAGCCTAGGAGTTTGAGACCAGCATGGGCAACCAAGTGAGGCACCATCTCTATATAAAAGAAACTATTCAAACATGGTGGTGCACAACTGTAGTTCCTGCTCCTCCAGAGGATGTGGGAGGATCACTTGAGTCCGGGAGACTGAGGCTGCAGTGAGCTGTGAGTGTGCCACTGCACTCCAGCCTGGGAAAAAAGGCGAGACCCTGTCCCCAAAACAAACAAACAAACAAAAACAAACAAAAAATTGGTCTAGAGAAGCAGTGTCCTTTTTTCCTCAAACTTCTGAAAAATAATCCTGTGATCAAGTCAATAATCTGACAAAAGCCTGAGCTGAATGAATGAGACTTCGTTACCATCATAGCTGCATCATTTTTTGTGATCACACAAAGAAAATAGCCATTTCTGGCCCAGGCATGGTGGCTCACACTTCTAATTCCAATGCTTTGGGAGGCCGAGGCGGGTTGATCACTTGAGGTTAGGAGTTCGAGACCTGCCTGGCCAACATGGTGAAACCCTGTCTCTACAATTACAAAAATTAGCCGGGCATGGCGGCACGCACCTGTAATCCCAGCTACTCAGCAGGCTGAGGCAGAGAATCGCTTGAACCCAGGAGTTGCAGTGAGCCGAGATTGCACCACTGCACTCCAGTCTGGACGACAGAGTGAGACTGTGTCTCAAAAAAAAAAAAATACACATATATCTATATAGCCACTTCCTCTCATGGCTCTAAAACGTTTCCGCAATTTTGCAGCATCTGTTGTACGTCTCTTGTATACTTACTAAGGGGTTCTCTCATATGTTTGTACACTGAGGTTCCTATCCTATTAATAGTTCCTTTGAACAACATACACCTTTTTCAGTAATGTTTCCTTTCCTCCTAGGCCTTTGTCCTTTGAGGTTGCACTGACTATGATGAAATAAATCTTAAGATCTACTGTTTTTTTAATTGCTTTTGAAGTATGTATTCGTAACAACTGAAGCCATATATCATTCATAACTCCAATTCTTTCATAGCATAGATATGTAATGGGTGCTTACCATAGGCAGGTCACTGTTTACTGACTTAACGGGCATCATCTTTTATGCCATACTTGAGGACCTGCAGTGTAGACACTGCTTCATATTCTATCTACCTTTTCTCCTATTTTCAATTTTAATCTTCTAAATAAGAACAATACATTCTTCATGCAAACACATTCCTCTCAATCCTCAGATCTTAAGCATATGTCACTGATACTTATTTTGGAAGAGATTTCCATAAAGAATTTAAAGACGTGGTTTTAGGTGCTGGTTCTGCAAGTTACCAAATATGTAACCATAAATAAACAGCTTAACTTCTCTACGCTTTCATCTTTTCATGAATTTAAAAACAATGTAGTGCATAAGTCCCAATCCTACACTTGTCAGACTCAAATAAAAGCAAGTAAAAAAAGTAATAACAACAGCTAACATTTATTAGTGCTCAGTATTTGCTGAGCAGTATGCTAAATCCTTTAAACATTTTATCATTTACACTTAGTCTTCACAATAATCTCCAAAAACAGATATAACTACTATTCCTACTTTACAGAAGAGGATTTCATGACTTAGTAAAGGTTAAATAGCTAGTTCAAGATCACAGCTGGGATTTGAATAAAAAATGGTCTCTAAAGCCATGATCTTAATCCCTTCTCTATTTTAGTTTGCAATCTATGCTAAGAGGTTTTGTTGATATTAAAGCACTTTACACATACAAGGTGATTATAAATGTAGTTACTATTATTAGTCATAATAACACTAACAATAATGACATCAGGAACTTAGTAATACAATTTTTTTTTTTTTTGGTCTTCAACATTTAGAAGTGTGCCTTTGACAATGGTGAAGATGAAAGAGGACTTCTACATGTACATAAAACTAAAATCTCAGGGAGCTCCTCTAATCAATGCTCTAGGACAAGTACCCATTTGATGCAATAGATTAATGCAAAATACTTTCTTTCAAGGGTAAATATTATAGTGGGTCAAACTACTTCAATCCCACTTTAGAAAATTAATTATGTGACCAGAAAATTCCTTGCTATCTTAATCTTGATTTTCAAGGATTATTTTGGGATTGTGATAATTTGTCAACGTTTATTCAAAAGATGCAGTACAACCAGCATATTCAAGTAAATTTAAATTAAAAGGATACTATAAAGAAAGTCCTTTTGGCCAGGCGTGGTGGCTCACGCCTGCAATCCCAGCACTTTGGGAGGCCAAGGCAGGCAGATCACGAGGTCAGGAGTTCAAGACCAGCCTGGCTAACACAATGAAGCCCCATTTCTACTAAAAATACAGAAAAATTAGCCAGGCATGATGGCGGGTGCCTGTAGTCACAGCTACCTGGGAGGCTGAGGCAGGAGAATGGCATGAACTTGGGAGGTGGAGCTTGCAGTGAGCTGACATCGTGCCACTGCACTCCAGCCTGGGCGACAGAGCAAGACTCCATCTCAGAAAAAAAAAAAAAAAAACAGTCCGTTTTAGATTTCCCAAAACTGAGAAAAATATCTGAGAAACCTTTCCAGCTCCTTCATGGTTCACTAAGAAATCAACAATATCATGAAGACTACTTACATTTCCAAAGTATCTTGAAATACGGTGTCCTAGATAGCAGGCACAAGTAATATGGTTACCAGAAAGATGTACTCACCCACCACAAATTTGTAAATTGGCACTCTAGATCAATGCTGTCAGTAGAACTTTTGGCAATAATAGAAACGTTCGACATGTGCACTGTCCAATAGATATCTTGTAGCCACCAGGGGCGTCTAAGCATTTGAAATGTAGTTAAAGTGACAGAGCAACTGAATTTTTAATGTTATTTCATCTTAATTAACCTAAATCTAAATTGCTACATGCGACTTGTGGCTCTGATATTAGACACTGCAGCTCCAGATTATAAATGACTCTTTGAAGTGGTTGGCATGAACCTATTCTCAAGAAACAATAACTAAATGAACTTAAAAAATCCAGCTCCTATTTAAACCTGAGATCTAGACCCTGGACCCACAGTGACGCCACACAGGCACTCTGTGGTTCAGCCTGAAACACCACCACATCTTACCACATCTTCCCTGCAACAGTGTTCACCTCTATACTCTACTCAACAACATTCCCATACCTATCTGTGTCACACAGAGTACAAAGCATTTTTCATCTAGTTGTTACTTTCTCTTTGCCTCCTCTTAATCAAACTGACAGAAACTAAAGCACATTCCAAAGGCATCAAGCAGAGCTGCTAAAATGAAAAGGAGACAGTGGAGAAGCATGCTTTTGCACTAACCTTTCATGTCTAAAGACATGGATTCAAATATAAATCAAACACTAAAGCTTGGTAGTCACATCCAAAACCCCAGGTGGATATGCATTCTAGTCATAAAACTCTTATAATATGACAAGCTGAAAAACAGAGCAGATGGGAACAATGGGTAAATTTGCTCAAGTAAGGCCCACAGCCACCAAAAGCCTGGGTCATGGACAAGGAAAGTTTAATAAATGCTCTAGAAGTCTGGTCTTTTATTATTTTCACAAATCAATTCAAACGGAAAGACACTATACTAAAAATTAATTAGGGAAACTTAGAAATGGGAAAAAGAAGAAAATGGGGCAGGGGGTGGGGGGGTAATAGTGTATTTAAATTATTCATTTCTTTCATTCCCTACTAGAAGTCTAAGAAATTCAAGTTATAAAAAATAAAAATTAAGGAAAATGATTATGTTTCCTTTTTTCATACTCATTTTTCCTTAAAGCAAAACTAGGCATGTTCACAAAATCAGGTAAAATCATGAGAGAGGTTAATTCCGCTAAATTCATCCTGAAAGAACTGGACTTTTAAAAACTCTCAAACTTGAAAAGCAGGCTTTCAAACTTCAGCTATTCATACTGTAATTAGAATTCAACTGTAATAGGTGAGCAATAAATCAGAAGAGGGTTAAGTCTGGCTTGTAGTGGAAGTTCTTTGCTTAATAATTATCTAACACCGTCTTTTCACAGGCCATTAAATAGTTAATCTTCATTTCACAGTCCTCTTGTCCATTATCCCTAGACAATCAAGACTGAAGTAGTTCTATAAGTGAGTAAACTCTCTCATACTGCAGTTTGAAAACTGTTACTACTATGCTACTTATTTAGGCTCATGGGTACCATGCATAGTAAAAATGCTTTGCTATTATTAAGATTTATGTATATCTTTTTAGTCTTAAGCCAACTGTCTTCTCAAAAATTAGAAACAATCATAGTAAATTCACTGGATGGAAAATAAAAGTTGCAACAAGAAATAAACCATTTGGTTCTAACTACTTAACCCTCATCTATTTGAATACTAATTTTTTTTCTTAAAATGGTAGCGTGAGAAATACAGACATTACATCTACCATCTCTGTTCCTTCTGTATGAAAATGGAAGCAGGAGGCATACAAATACTTTCCCATGTTTAAAAGTTTATTATACCTAATACAATTTCAAAACGTTTTGAGAAAGAGAGTGACAATCTAACTGAACAACTTTTTAAAATGTGTCATCAGAAAAAGAGTGAAAGACAGCAGACACTATTGTGGCACAACTGTAAGAACAAGTTAAGTATCTAAGCATAATTTTAAGAATTTAAGAATAATAATAATAAATTCAGTCAAAATAATTTTAAGTTAAGAATATAATTTTAAGAATGTAAGTACCGAAGTATACTCTCTCCGGTAAGTTAGTAAATTAACTAACTTAATTAATTAATTAACTAAAGAGTAAGAGAGTAAATTAAGACCATACAAGTATCAAAATATATTTTCTCAAGTATAAGGCAAGACCATGTTTTAGGTGAGGAAAGAGTTGTTTTTCAGGAAGCCTCTCTAAAAATTTAAGAAGCAAGCACTAATCAAACAACAAAATTAAGAGCAAAGCCCCATTATTCACATTAGGCAAGCCCTATGTAACACTTTACCCTAGGCATACACATTGCAGAAAAAAAGGAATGACCTGCAAACAATACATTCAAAGTTGCAAATTAATAATCACAATTTTATTCCCTAGTAAGATAATAACTATGAAACCCAGGTAGATAATCCCAATTATTTCCTATATCAGTACTTTTAGAATCAATTAAAGAGCTACATGAGACCATAAAAATCATCCATTCTAAACACCTGATTTTGCAAACTCAAAAATTATTTTCCCCAAGTTAGCAGAATGGCCAAAACTCTGACTCGCAGTACAGTGCTCTTCCCACTATAATGCATTTCCAAGTGCCCAACCTTCCAATTTTGTCAAATCTTAAGACATCATTTTTAAAACATTTCTCTTCAATAGCAGCTGGGATATACAACAGTTCTGAAACCTCAAAAACCACAAGCAACTGCTATATCAAGAAGAGGGGAATATCGAGTTAGCACAATACATCAAAAAATAAAAAGAGCTTCCTTCAAAGAGGGAGCAATTCCTTAACAAAGCTACAAACAGGACACATTTTTCCCCTTAAAAAAGTAATTACTCATTTTGATGGTTTCTGTTTAGTCTTTGGGGAACATAAGTTAATACTAATGCAAGCTGTCACAGCACGGCAAGCTCAGATGTCTCCACTCCATTCAGAAGTTAAAAGTACAATTCTATTAGGGATGAAAGAATGTGGAAAAGAGCTAGGCTCCAATTACTATCAGGAGGACTGTAAGCTGCTCACTCTCATTAATTTTTATTCCCATTTTAAAGATTTACAAACCAATAAAAACTTATCTGAAAACTGCTAACCATTCTGAACAATACAAACAGCACATAAATTTTAATAACTATCTCTTGAAAAAGTAGGATCCACTTGGCTACTCTAAGGAATTTAAACTGGGGATAATGATTGCTACCAATTAACAAAAACATTAAGAAGGCTTCTTTCCTACACCTCATTGAGCTCTGCACATGCTTAGTCATCATTTCTAGAGTTGTTAATGTGCACAAATAACTAAAAGACAAATATGAACAAGCATGAAGGGTTACTGTTTCAATCATAAAAAAGGTGATCATTAAGTCACATCTTTTTTCTAGTATAAAATTCAAAAGATTAAAATGAAAAAGATATACTATTAACGTTGTGCTACATTAAAAAACCAGCAGTCCAACTGGGACTAATTCCAATGATTATACTCCATACACCGATGCCTGAAAAATGTCATAGTTGTTACAAAAATTATTTTTTAAACCTTCCATCAAAAAGAATTAGGGAAAAAAATTAGAAACCTAACTTTTTAGGTGAACAGAAGCCTAAATAATGTGTTTAACAGAGAAACAATGTAGTTACACTGTGCAACTATAAAGCTTTATATTTCTTGACTCTGGCCATTCCCCCTCAGACTTAGAATTTCACCTACAATATGAATCATAATGGCTACTCTTAAAAGACAATTTAAGAGCTTTTTTAAAAATATTATTCTTTATTCTTTTTTAATTTAACCTTTTTCATATTATAGTGACCCACAGGCTATAAATGAATTGATTCTAATAAAATTTATATTAACTATTCAAGGTTTGTAAAAGGGACAGAGAGTAGCTCAAATGAAAGATCATCACTAAGATAAAGTCTTAAAGGTAGACATATGAAAAGCTTGAGACCTTTCCTATATCCCACGTCAGAATGCAAACAAAATCTCAGAATGAGTAGAAGAAATGAATATTAAATTTTATTTAATTATGGATGGGAGAAGCAGACAATAGTATATTGGTCAATATAGTTATCAGGTTGCTACAACACCATTTTTCCTTAAAAGAGCAATACAAAAGACAAAATGAACTTGACAAAAATTCTGTGTTGAAGCATGAAGCCTAGCCAACCCAAGTACTTATTCTTGAAGATTTCTTCTATATGTGGGTAAAGGCAACAAGCTGTTAAAAGCTTAGCAACAAAACTTCCTCCAGACATTAAAGAGGCACTCCTACTAATAAGATTGCAAAAAAAAAGTATGTATTATAACTACAAGAAAGTGTCCTAATCAGATAACTGTAAAGGGATCCTTAAACAGTATCTAACACAGTGCTTTGTGAAAGGAAGTTCACAAAATAAATGACAGCGTTGCAATTAATGCACGGAATAGAATTTAGTTTTTATATTTCTAAGTGAAAACACTTGATTAAAACAATTTTGAAAGAAAAAGGTAATAACTTCATTTGCTTACAAAGAAACTTTATACTAGTTAATTGTCTGAGTCATCTTCACTTCCAAGTGGCATAAGCTTCTCTAGAATGTTACACTAACAACTTTAAGGCTATGTCACCAGAAAAAGTGGGTGGTCATCTTGAAAATATCACCAACGCTCCACATTTTCAAACCTGACAGATTTCCAGACATAAGGTCACATACTGAATGATTCCATTTATATGAAATTTCCAGAACAGGCAAATCCATACAGATAGTAAGTAGATTAGTACTTGCCTGGAACTAACTGCAGGGAGCAGAAAATGGGAGTGACTGTTAATGGTGCGGTTTCTTTTAGGGGTGATGAAAAAATTCTAAAATTATATAGTGGTGATGATTATACAAGTCTGTAAATTTACTAAACCATCAGACTGTATGCTTTCCAAGGGTGAACTTTATGGTATGTGAATTATATCTCAATAAAACAATTATTTAAAAGTTAAGATTTAGATTTTTTAAAAATCTGACAGAGTTCATAATGTCAAGGTATATATACTACAATAGACATCAGTCAGAGCTTTGCACCTGTTCCAAATGACTTTTTTTACCTTGGCAAGACGGCTCATCTGATCTTCTGAGAGAGTGCTACTTGTTCTGCCAGGAGTTTTTGTGGGTTCTGATCCATCTGCTTCTACATTAGGCCAGACTTTCAAGTCATGCATCCCTTGGCGAAACATGCTAGGGAAAAAGAGAATGTTCAGGGTAGAAGTAAATTAATACAGTTCATTACAGGAAATTTTAGATTCCTAAAAATAAAGAGAATTCTATACATGGAAATGTATATCTCCACTGCCAAGCTTTAAGCCCCCAATGGAATGTAAAGCAATTAACCAAGCAACTAAAATCCATGTCACACTGCTTTGCACATGCCATTCTTTTCTCCTCCAAGCGCTCAGAACTATGACAGAGAATTCTACACAGAGAGTGGAAGGAGAGAAGGATGAGAAATGAGCACACACATTTCATCACTTTGGTGAAGATCTAAGGAATAACAGAGATCAAATTCCTAACCAACTGAAGAATGCCACATTTACAATGACTAAAATCAAAATTTAAATAATTACATAACTGTTTTCTTTAAATGACATTACAGTAGACTATATAGTCAAACTGCCTGTACTTGAATCACAGCTGTGCTATTACCCACATAACCTAGGGTAAACTACTTAACCTCTCTGTACCTCGGTTTCCTCTTTTATAAAATAGGATAAAAGGACTTGTATCCCACAAGGTAACTGGAAAAATTAAATAAATCAATACAAGTAAAAAGTACTTAGAACAGTGGCTGGCATACAGTTAGTATTCAATAAATGTTAGCTATTACTAGTCTTTTTGCTGTACAAATTGATTTCTCCTTTCTTTTCCATAAAAGGCATGTTCTAAAAGTGAATACAATAGTAGATTCATACAAAAACATTTCCCATGTCTATAAATCAGAAATTTAGCACATAGCCAGAATTCAGCCTAAGTTTGGTTATCCTGCTTCAAAGTGAAACAATATATAACCTTTGTCTTGTTTTTGTCAAAAAGCTACCAAGAACATATAAAGATGAAACAAACTCATAAAGAGCTTTAGATAACTATGTGTTTTAATTATGCTGCTGCCAAGTTCCCATGTTTCTTTCTGATGGGGAGGTTAAAGATGTTCTTCTGTTAATGCGGTTTCTTTTCAAAAAAATATTTTTGAACAAGAATTTTCAAACATAAAGTCTACTCAAACAGCATCTACTCAAAGCTCAATAAGTTATTTCTTACTCTTAGAAATAAAAAGACTATAGAAATTACAATAGAAAGAAAAAAACTAGAAGTGTGTGTAGATGGACAGGCAAATCTAAAGCATTTCATACATTTTCACATTTAATACTTTAAAAAAAAAACAAGGTACAGACTGGGCATGGTGGCTCACACCTGTAATCTCAGCATTTTGAGAGGCTGAGGCAGGCAGACCACTTGAGCTCAAGAGTTTGAGACTAGCCTGGGCAACATGGCGAAACCCCATCTCTAAAAAATAAAAAAAAAAACTAAAATTAGGTGGGTACAGTGGCATATGCCTGTAGTTTTTAGGGGGCTGAGGCAGGAGGATTGCTTAAGCCTGGGAAGACCAGGCTATAGTGAGCCATGTTTGCACCACTGTACTCCAGCCTGGGTGAGAAAGTGAGACCCTGTTTCAAAACTTAAAAAAAAAACAACAAAAAAAAATTGTCTCCTTAACTGCTAACGGTTTACATAAATTTTTTCAAATCATTATTATAATGTTCTGGCTAATAAAAACTTTCTTCATAGATTTTCCTAAGGTAATAAAGATTTTCACTCAACATTATATAATGTGTATAAGTAATGATGCCATAAACATTTAGATTGGGAACTATAAAAGACAGCTACAAACTCATGAGCACAATAAGATCAAAGACCATATCTGTTAAAAGGTCTCTAAAGTTGGCAATAAAACAGATAATTCTAGTAACTGTATTTGCAAAAGCTTACCTTATGGACCCATACAAAATGCATTGACTAGCTGTGATAAATCAAAATTCTCAATATTTATTTATCATGTTAAACATCAAAAGAAAATTACAGTACAAAAACCACATATATACATGTCTCTTATAAAGTTAATTTTCTTTCTCTTTCAACTGAGATATAGATTCAACATTAAGCAGGCCTGCTTAGAGCAGTCTCTAAGGAACTACGTACAGTGAGATGATAATATCACTTTAAATAAATATCCTTAAATGTACCTTCAGAAATAGCAGAAGGCTTCCCTTCCTTCTCTCTACCTTCCCATCCCCCAGTGAATACTTTGGCTGGCTGAACTAAATCAAAAATAAGCACATTTGGCAAGAAGTCAGTTTACTAAATGATTTAGGTGCCTTGGGATGGATCTAGAGAAGAGATTTAAGGATAGGGGACGTGGAGGGTATGGGTGATGCCAAGTGACTCAAATGAGCAAGTGAACATATTACTTTCTTTTGACACTAATGGAACTTTGCAGAGTTACACAGCCTCCAGGTGGCAAGGCAGAAGATGCTCAGAGCATCGTGTCCACTTGGGAAATTAAGCCAAACAGGCGAGAGAGAAGAAACAGCACAGCAGGATCTCCTTCTGACTCCAGCAGAGGCCCCAGCAACAGCTGCTGTTGATATTCCAGCTTGCAGTGCCAAGCCACTACAGCACCAACTGCCTTGACTTCCAGGATTCACATTTAGAAAAAACAACTGCAAGAGAAATCTACAGCTTGCATGTGGTTCTTTGCCAGGTCAACCTAACAATCAATCCATTCTTTAGCTACTTTGAAATTTCATATGCTAGACTTCCAAATTAAGGACGACAAATTATTCTAGCCTTATCCCTAACAAATCAGTATTTCAATTATTAATTAGACTATTCTCCAAGAAGTTCTGCCTCATACTGACTCATGTAAACAAAACAGATATTAGCAAACAGCAAGAGCTGATAGTCACAAGATTACCAATACTACAATACTACAATACTAGATGTCTTGAGGATCACTTTTAACAGCTACTAAGTACACATCAGAACCCTTTAGGGGAAAAGGCGAGGGATGGTTGGTGTTATTTCACTGCATAAGAAACATCTGAGAAAACTATGGTTAAAGGCAGCGTTTCCCTAAGTTATGAGAATGGTAGTGGCACATGGCATGGTTTTTGAGGACAGGTGGAAGAAAATCTGCACGCGCTTCTTGCTGAGACCACCCAGAATACTCATATTGCCCTGACTCCCTGGATGGCAGCACCATGCAAGGAAGTAGCTGTGAGCCAACAGCATAAGGAGATGTCTGCACTCTGCTGTAGCACCAGGAACATCCTGAACATCATCTTTCACAATCCAAAGCTGCACAAGAAGACCTGTAGCTGCTTAGGACTAGGAAATGCCTGGCTTTTCTCCAATGCGAGGCAGCTCACCCACATGGCAAGGCTACAGGACAGAGAGGAAAAAAAAAAAGTTGTTTTAATTTCATAGGGTTTCTTAGAATTCCTTCTTCTGAGGTGAAGGTCAGTACAAGCGCCAGTACAGGGGGAACAGGAGTTGGTGATTTAGTCTTTTTGCACTCCACCCCCTCAAAATATCTTAGACCTATATTAAAATCTTACGTTATGTTAGTTATGTTTGGATAACTGCCCTACAACTATATAGGAGTTGAACTGATTAAAAATGAAAATGATGTAAAGCCTGATCTTCACCTTAATCTGAGAGTGAGCTGAATATTCCGTGTATATCTGACTATGGAAAACAGAACCATTCTAATTAAAGGACTTTTTTGCAGATATTGTATGCATATTTTGCAAATCAAATGAATTTCATATCATTTGTATTCACTAGGGATTCTTTTGCTTCAATTTCTAAAATTTAATAGCATAGTTTTTGTCATTATATTTAGTCTTGCTATTACCCACTAATGTTAAATAATACTTGTTTTCCATGTATAACAGGGATATCAAGCTTTTCTTTTAAAATAAGTGGAAGTTTAAAAAAAGTAAGTTGGGGTAAATAAAGATATCAAGTAAAGAACAATAGGCCAGGCATAGTGGCTCATACCTGTAATCCCAACACTTTGGGAGGGCGAGGCAGGCGGATCAGCTGAGGTCAGGAGCTCAAGACCAGCCTGGCCAACACGGTGAAACCCCGCCTATACTAAAAATACAAAAATTAGCTGGGCACGGTGGCATGGGCCTGTAATCCCGGCTACTCAGGAGGCTGAGGCAGGAGAATCGCTTGAACCCAGGAGGCGGAGGTTGCAGTGAGCTCAGATCACCCCACAGCAGGGCGACAGAGAATCCATCTCAAAAAAAAAAAAAAAAAAAAAAAGGAACAATATACTTAGCAAAGAGATATGAATGGAATTCTAAAAGTGATAAGTAAATGACTCAAGTTGGAGAAATCAAGCTCTAAGTGAGATAATTTCACGCAATCAGTGCTTCTCTCTAACAGGTTTCATTTATATCGGGCATCTGATGTGTTCGGGACATGAAGGAGTGTAGGATGACCTATTTTCCAGTTAGAGTTAAGAGAAAACAGATGACTTTCCAAGATTCAAAGTCTTATTTTAGTTAATGGCAGAAAACAAATTTAAGTAACCACTCACTTATTGCTACTGCTCCCTTTATAGAAATCCTTGGGGTTTAATGACTTTTTAAAGTAGAACAAGTGCTACTGATTTGTCTTTAGGCACGCTGCCAGCTTGGTTTGGATGGGAGGTAAAGGAATTTTCCTTTCACTGGGATATACACAGAATTACAAATAAAGTGGGCACCAAGAGAAGGAGTAAAGAAGAGGAACGCATGAATGCACGTGTAAGTCATATTAATAAACTATCACAAAGGTCAGTTCAGTGCTTCTCAAAATGTGGTTCATAGGCTCCCTTTCACAGACTCACTCAGGATGCTTGTTTAAAATGCTGATTCTTGGGCCCCACCACAGACACACTGAGTTAGTGAGAACCCAGGAAGATGCTTTTCTCATAGGCTTCCAGGATGGTTCTTAAACACAGGTTGATTATTACTGATTTGATGTAGTACTTTTTAAAAAAACGTGCCAGAAGCCAAACTAAACAGTACCAAAAATCAATCTGAGAGTTTGTTTAGATGTACGCAGTTCATTTCACTGCATCTGTGGAAATTTCAATTGTCCCTCCCACAACTACATCCTAGTCAGAAAATCCTCTGAAACTAGATCCTAAAGTCCCCTAAAATGCATGAGTACTAACGCAGGTGTTTTTATGAGGGAACCTCCTGTTGATATTCCAGAAGGTAAACCACTTGTGATGAATCTGGGAGGAAAAACCAAGAGGAATGTCTGGTTATTTCTCAAAAATATTTAGCCACTAAGAAGAGCTGTACATTTTTCTTTTTCTTCTCTGTTGCAAACAAGCCCCTCCCTAGTAACAAAAAATAAGGGGTAAACACTCTGTAAAAGAAACAATACTGATTTAGCAATATGTCCATTCTGCTGTAACATGCTATTTTATCAAAAAGTATATTTTAAAACTGAAAGTTACAATGTTTCAGACTACATCTAAGTTATTTTTCCTGTATGAATTTTAATAACAAATATCTCTTTAATAGCCACATTAAACTAAAATACCTAGGTATTTGTAAGCAACCAAGCTATTCCAAATGGGATTACATCTAGATTTCATTCATGAGTTTAGAAGCCTTTCTGACACACTCTTTTCCTGGATAGGAAAATTTAATATTATAAAGGCATCAATTCTCTCTTTAATTAACATATATAATTCAGTAAGATTTTCTAACAAAATAACATTGAGTTTTTTAATTGAGAAAATATTAAAATGTATCTGCCAAAACAAACCTGGAAATATTTTAAAAGAAAGACTAATAAGAATTATCCTTACCTAATACTTAAACATTTTATAATACTATCCTAACTGACAGAATAGCCCAGGAAGGATACCTAGTATTTATTAAGGTCATTATAATATTTATTCAATACATAAATATATGATATAATATTTATCAGGCCCATTAAATGTATTTAGTAATGTAACAATCATAAACTACTCAATGAGGTGGATACTATTGTTCTTTCATTTAACATATGAAGACATTGAGGCATAAGATTAAATAATCTGCCCAAGGATACACAGATACTAAGCAAAGAAGCCAAGATTTGAAGCCAGATAATCTACAACTTGCTTTCCTAACCACTATAGCACTATACACTATAATGCCTCTCTTAGACTTCAACACATGATGAATTGAGTATATAAGGATGCTATTTTAAAATAGCTGGATAAGATGACTTATTTAATAAGCAGTGTTGGGACAAATATTCAAACCATTTGTTTTGGTTTTCTCTAAAAAGCTATTCTCACTATACCACTCTTTCACAAAAGTAATTTTAGATAAATCAAAGATTTTAATATAAAGGAATAAAAGCACAACAGAAGAAACCATTTTAAAGAATCTTAAATGGGAACTTCCTAAAACATTAAATTCACAGCCCAAAAACTAAAAACTGATAGATTCAAGATAATAATTTAAAATCCATGAAGAGCAAACAAATACATACTAATTCAAAAGAACAAACCAAACCAGAAAAGCAGTATTTGTAACATAACCCACAAAGGGCTAATTCCATTCATCTACAAAGACTCCTTATATATCAATAAGAAAACGACAACTCAAAAAAAAAAAAAAGCAAAGAATTTTATGATATGTGAATTATATCTCAATTTCTAAAAAGGACAAAGTACATCAAAAAGCAGTTCATGGAAACATAAACACAAATAGTCAATAAACACTCCAAAATACAATCCTCCTCATACTTAATGATGTAAAAATTAAATAACATTTTTTAACTTTAAAGTAGACAAAAATTAAGACATTTGTAATATCCAGACAGATCTATAGCATTTCACACTGAAAGGAACCAGAACTTCTTTCAGAGATTCCAGGTCTGGAGCAGAAAATTACCAAATGAGCCTGGAAAAACTTGTCTACCAGAAAGCAAAGAAGCTACCAATCACTAGTAGTGTACTGCCAAAAGGACACGGGGTCTACTTGAAGGGTCTCCTACTGACCAAAAATGAGATTTTTTGAGCATTATAAAGAGTAAAGACAGCAATGGACTAAAACACATAAAAAACAAAATGCACAAAAGCCATCGATCACCACCTTTGCAAGTTACTAGGGCACAAACTCATTAGTCTTAAAATCGGTAAAGGGAAAGAAAGTTAAAATATTTATCTGTCTTTCCTATATGAACTAAGTAAATACTTGATGAAGGACCAAGTTCTTTAGTGAAAAATTCCTATTAGTAAATGCAGAATAATAACAGAATGTCACAAATTCTCTAAAGACAGACTGAGTCCTCTGTCCCAGGAGAAAAACGATATAGAGAAAATATCCTTTGGGACTATGGGATTTTTTTTTTAACAATTAACATCTAGTATTTGCAAATGTTTCAAAAACTGAATTATCTTTTCTATCACAATCATTACCATCATTAGCTAATGAATGCTTTTTAATCCTGTTTTTCATCCTTTCTGTCAATATTATAAAAAAAGCAGATAAACCCTGTAACAAAGCAGTTATATGTCATAGTCACTTTTCCCTAAAAGCAAGGTTCTATTTCCCAATGACTTCTATTTTCTACTAGAAATCACATTAAATCACCAACAGAAGAGCAATATAAATTGTATTTCCTAATCTATCTGTATATCCTGTAGGAAATATATGTTAAAATCAGTGTAAGGAATGATCAAATCATATGTACCTAACTGGTTTACACTGGAGACTGAGCATAAACTATTAAAGCCTTCCCTCATTCCGAAAAAGAAAAGGGTCAGAAAGCTGCTACACTCCTACAGATGAGACCAACAGAATGCTTACCCGTATTTTCCAAAGAGCGAAACCGTTGTTCCTCCTACAGGCACTGCTTTTCCGGGACCATACACATCCCATATGGTGAGGGCCACTTGGGCATTCCTGGGCAGGTCAGGGTATTTTACTGGTAGTTTCAGCCATTCATTCCAGCTATGGAAATGAAGTTAACATAAATCAGAAATACATATATATATATCTTTCTTTTAAATTAACAAACCACACAAAAAGTTTTGGCCAGAGGAAAAGGTTCCAAAAATGTTGTTAGACTCTAAAAAATAATATGGCAGTCACCTCAATTTTGCTAAAGGCAACTTTCCATTTTAAATAAAAACATAATTGTTTTAATAGAGCTCATGAAAAACAGCTCTGTTAAATTTTTTAATAAAACTCAGAAAACACCAAGACACCAGATAATATAATGGCGAAAAAAACCTGGGAAAACATTTCAACCTGTTAGAACTTTTTAAACAAACCATGATTTTCTTTAACCACTCTTCAAAACCCAATTTACATTATGAAGATAAAATAATCAAAATTACTCATACTCAAAAGCACTTCTGAGAATAAATCAGGAAAAAAAACAATCAAAACAAAAACTCAAAGTAGAAAATCTACTACCTTTATCACATGAAGTTACCAGACTGCTCCAGACAGATATGTGACTTCTTATGCGAGAATTTTCTGTTCCTCAAATGATTTCATTAATACTGATAACATTAAGCTATTAGTGCTTTATGCTTTCAAAGCACATCTGTATATATTCTTTCACTGAGGAATGTTTGTTAATAATAATATAGTTAATGACACCACAGCTCTTTTTTTTTAAACCCTCTATATATTTATGTAAATTTTCTTATACTTTTAAATTTCACACTGTATTCATTTGATAATTTCAACCCTCTTCAAGAGGAGCTGGCTTTTAAATTCCAAAAGAATACTGTGCCAACAATATGCCAAACTAATACCTAGCAGACACATAGAATTCTATTTCTGTTTACTCAAAATTATTCTGTTCATTCAAAGTTATTATCTAAGGGACATATCCTAGTCTATGTTAAATACATCTGTATTGCTAAAACATTTAACAAAATTTCCAAAAACTTAAACAACAAATCATTTATATACGCCATATAAATTAGAGATGGCTATCAATTTCAAGAAAAAGGAGTTATTAAATCCTTTTCTTCTATGAAATACTTTTTTAATCACATGCTTAAGAAAGCCAGTATCTACTACAAATAGGCTCAAACAACTAAATAAAATTATCTAATTACTAGCCACATGGTAGGGCAGGCTAGAAAGAAAAACACTAAGCAGTGCCAACTTTTGCCAATGAATAAACCACAGAAGTTAATTAACACTGGCTAAAGTTGAAGACAACAATAAGCGATAACATCCAAAATAATGTTTTGGATATTATCCAAATTTCTTTTTGGATAATATTGTGGAATTTATTATTCTGTATTCTGTCCTTTAATGACTACCAGACAACACCAATGACCAACTAATCATTTGTCTCAAACCTTTTGCTATCCAATACCAGGCAACACCACTTTCAATCAAAGCAACTGCACTTAATATGTTTTATATACGAGGCTTCTGCAGAAGAGTTCTTTTGAAAAAAATGATCCTACTTTGGGAGGCCGAGGCAGGCAGATCACTTGAGGTCAGGAGTTCAAGATGAGCTTCGCCAACATGGTGAAACCGTGTCTCTACTAAAAATACAAAAATCAGCCGGGCATGGTGGTGCGCGCCTGTAGTCCCAGCTACTTGGGAGGCTGAGGCAGGAGATTGCTTGAACCCAGAGGGTGAAGACTGCAGTGAGCCAAGATCATGCCACTGCACTCCAGCCTGGCGACAGAGCGAGACGCCATCTCAAAAAAAAAAAGAAAAAAGAAAAAATGATCCTTCAGTCAAAAAGTTTGAAAACTGCTCTAGATATTCTAGAAGTTATAGAAAAATCTAGTCAGACACCAAAAAGGTATATATTTTGGACACCACTTCGTTCTCCTCCTCTTCACGAATCATCCCTACCCCATCCGCTAACCCTCATTAACCTTAAGATTACATTCACTTGGCAACAATCAAAACATCACCAGACTGCAAAGCCTAAATCTGGATGCTCCAATCCCCACCAGGTACCGCCATCACCGCATACCATTGTGCTAGCACTCGAATCTGATTAAAATACTTCTGAATCCTAACTTTGTAATTTTTGAATTAGATTGTATTATATGTCTCTCTAAAGCCATTTTCAAAACCTTTATGAGACAATGTGAAATATAAGTGTTCTTAAAAATGTAAACTACTTCCCTAAAGAATAATATTCACATAAGAAAAAAACTTAGAAATTTGCAGTACATACACCTAAAAATGAGAATTTACCTTAAGTGTAATTAAAGGAAGTACAAGTGTCCCTCATGGGATCTCTTAGTGTAGGACAGAATAGGACATGATATGATAGACTTGAATAAATTTCGGATGAGTTCCTCATTATTAGAACTCTCACAACTCACTATCAGAAAGTCAGAAATCAAACAGATTTAAATAATTTAGAATCTCATACTGGCCCTAAAATACTATCTGAACTAAGGAATGCAAAAATTTGGATAGCAAGAGATCCCTTTATGATCTAATTTCTTCTTTCCAAGGTTTATAGAATATCTCTTTTAAGCAAATACTTATAAATAAGGACTATTTAAGGTTTTTACCTCCACTCACTTTAGGATGGCAATTTTTGTTTTGATGAACTACCAATAAATTCAACTTTCGAATACTAAAGAGCAGGATGTATAAAATGTGCAAATGTTTTCTCTTAGTCTCCTAAAGACTATTCTTTTTTTTTGAGATGGAGTCTCGTTCTGTTGCCCAGGCTGGAGTGCAATGGCTCAATCTCAGCTCACTGCAACCTCTGCCTCCTGGGTTCCGGCGATTCTCCTGCCTTAGCCTCCCAAGTAGCTGGGATTACAGGTACCTGCCACCATGTCCAGGCAATTTTTGTATTTTTAATAGGGGGTTTCACCATGTGGGCCAGGCTGGTCTTGAACTCCTGACCTCAAGTGATCCACCTGTACAGTATTTTTTTAAAAAGCCTATTCTCGTGGTATTTTATCCAAAATAAGGTGTTTTTCTAAATCTATTGTCTACATAGCTTAGACATTTTAATTTCAAAGTCGTTTTAAATAATTTTAGCGTACTTTCCAGTACTTTCACAATTTAAAAACTACAAACGTTAAAAATTCAACTTTTAGAGATCAAACATGGAAGTTTTTATATTCTTGCAAACATATAATATAAAAACTAATGCAGAGAAGAGTTGGCAAATGGGAGGAGGAGGAGAAAACCTTTAATCTTGTAATTGAGAATTTGCTTTTGTTGTAATTTCCTTTTTTGTCAAGTCATGCAACAGAAGCCACTATACATTTTTCCTTACCAAAATGTTTTTGGCCTTCTAGACCTAAATTTGTTTTAACTCTTCTGAGAGTAATAGGTGACCTCAAAAATCTAATTAAAGCTTTGAGCTCTGTCCCTGAAAAAGTACACAAAACACAAAATTCTGCATACACCTTCAGGGGTTTGAAGACTTCCTGATTCCAGTTTAAGAATCTCTGATACAATTAAGGAATTCTGCTCCATTGTTTTAGGTGTGATGATGATGATACTGTAGTTATGCTTTAAAAACAGATATACAGAAATACTTACAGTTAAGGTGTTATAACGTTTGAGGTTTGTTACAAAATGGTGAGAATACAAGATTGGCCATGAGTTAACAGTAGGTATGTAACAGAAACTTAGGCGTTCACTGTATTATTCTATTTTTGTAGGTTTAAAATTTTCCAGAATAAAAAGTATTAAGTATATATATATATTTTTTATGTGTGTGTGTATATCTACATACACATACACACATATCTATATACATATATATCTATATCTATATACACACATATATATATACAGATAGATAGGCTAGATAGACAGACAGACAGACAGATATCTCTCCACAAAGACTACTGAAGAAATTACACCATTAAAATACTTGGTTTCGATATGGCCAGATCACCAGAGTTCAGGCTTCTGCTGTTTGAAAACCCTTTCCAGCTACACTGGGTGACACCTGGGACACACAGGGTTGAACCCTCTATGGCACAGTCTGGCTGTCCATGTGGTCACATCCTGTCTTCCATGAACACTCCTTCCTTAAAAGCATACAGCCTGTGTATCCTACACTGAGCCTACCAGAGTGCTGAATAACACTCGCTGATCAAACATCAGAACTGCACTACATAGTCTATCAAATAAGAAGTGTCAAGAAGTCAGATTAAGGATCCACAATACTCTTCTGAAAAAAACAGGAACTTCATGTTCATTATATTTACCCTGCATCTTGACAAGGTCTTGCTAATGTGCCATGCTGAATAAACTATGAATCTAAATAAATTAGTTTCATATGTAAAATAATAATAAAAATTTTATCTGAACCGATGGCAATAGATCTATCTCTAAAAATCTGAGCTCCAAACATCAGGTTGGACAATATTTCAGACTATCCAGAAGTATTTATGCATTCAAGAGCACAGGATGGTAAAGAATTTTAAAATGCCACAGACGTGTTTTTGTTTTTGGTCATGTAAATCAGTCAAGTGCTTATCAAAATGTCAATATGCTAACTACAAACATAAATCCATTTCTATTTCAATTGCAGTTATAATACTGACATGCATAATACTTTATCTGAGTATGTTTCTACTTCAAATGATTTGATCAATGCCTATAGGTATTAAGAAATTCCTCTATAATCCTACTAAATTATACTTGCAGCATCCATAAAGAAAGGTAAGAACAGTCTGTAACATACCATATGCCACAAAAAAACTTACTTCCATCTTGTACTAAATGCTTTGTAGGATGTTCTCACTGGCAAGGCCAAAGGCTTCCCTTCTGCAAAAACTTGACAAGTAACATAAAGATCAGAGCATGTCTCTTGATATAGTCCTGAGAACTTCAACATTGGGTCTTCCAGGACAGCTTTATAACTCTTTTGTTCTCTCTTCCCTTCCAAGCTTCCTCTGAAAGCACAAGACCAACAATGTTTCAGACATGAATTTTTTAAGCATGTACATATATACATAAGTACTAAGCATGTACATATATGCTTTAAGCATGTACATATATGCATAAGTACTAAAAAGTTTACCTTTGTGTTAAGGTATGCTACCTAAACAACATTTTCCTGTATATGAAATTAATGTCATTTTTATATATGATAAGGGTTTCTTAAAATCCTAACATACCTAATATCAGTCCCATCTTCATCAACACATTTCTCTATTTTATACTTCTGAATTTTAAACGCTGCCATTGACCCTTGATCTACCCTCTGGAAGTCACCAGCTTTCTAGGCCTTGGTTTCATTTTCTTCATTTCAAGTTGACCACATATTCATCTATTCTTTCAGGAAACATTTACCATAGTGGACAAAGAAGCCCAGAAGAAAGAAAAGATAAGCAATACAGTATTACAATAAAATATTAAGTCATTGCTTCTGGGGAAAAAAATTTACTTTTAACTGCATGTTTTTATTCTACTCTTTCCATTTTTTTCTTTTACTATGCATATGCATTGTCTGATCATTTCTTTAAAACAGTGGTATAAGTCATAAATAGATATGCACAGGATACTATCACAGAGGGAGGAACATTTTTTAGACATCAAGATTACATCAGATACTGTGCCAGGCATTTTATATTTTCTTTCTTACATAATTTTCACCATATTCTCATTTTATAAATGAGGAAACAGAGACTTATAAACTAAACTCCTTATCCACAGTCACAACGTAAGTAACAGAGCTGAGAATAAACACTAGGGCAGGGAGGCCAAAGCCAATATTCTTCCCATTACAGTAAGATAAATCAGAGTCTCAAGAGTACTTAGGCTGGCATGGGGAAGGGACTTAGTACCCCAGATAGATGTCTGAAATGATCCTGAACAATGCATGAGAGTTGAAGCAAAAGAAGCAGAACGTCATCCCAAAGGGAAAGGAGACAGAGTGAGACCCTGTCTCCAAAAAAAAAAAAAAAAAAAAAAGGGACCGGTTTTTTTGGCTTTTTCTTTATTTTTAATGTTCAAACATTTCAAAAAATGCATTCATATATCCAAGAAATACTGAGCATCAAGCTGAAGGAAAGCCCTTTATCAATATTGATCCTGTATAAACTACTAGTGGTGTATGCTATGGAAAATACCTTAAATGAGTGTATAAAGTATCATACAAAGGTACAAGGTGGTTGTTGACATATTACTTTTACCACCACCACCACAAACTAAAAAGTAAAGTATTTGTCAGCGAATAAGGGACTTCTGAAAATAAAATGAAATGATCATTCAAAGGTACATCAGACAACTGAGAAAATTTATCTATCACTTACTGCAGGCCTTTGACCGACACATATTTGTTGAATATTAATTGAACATACACAAGAAATGTTTATTAATTATGGATGATGCTATGGTCAATAATTTGTGATAGCTTTGACAACACTCCTACATGACCACCTTAAAAGGGACATAATTTCCAACTCTGTCTTGTGCATCCCTCGTCATTATACCAGTTCTATTATCCTCATCTCAAGATATCACGCCCTTGACCTTTACTTCAGCCGTGGTGCCCCAACGTTTTCCTGCAAAGACTCTTTTCTCCTATCTTCTTGGTACCTTTGAAACTGGAACCCTCATCTTCGACTTACTCCCAACTTCCCTGACTAAACACTGCCATACTACCCAAAGATTCACTCTAGGCCTCTATCACCTCCCGTGCTAATACACCATGTGCTCATCTTATTCTCAACTATCGCATCTGCCTGTGTCTACCTCTCCATAATTTCTGAAGCCTTCATTCCACCCTACAAGCCCCGTTCCAAAATAAAGATCGTCCTCTTACTTACGACGAGACTTGATTTCTTAATTTACAATGAAATAGTAATAAACTCTCAAAAGGCTGAACAGCAAAAACTTTAAAGACTGTAAAATACAGCGGAACTTAAGGGCTATTCCTACTGCTGTGCTTCTCACGGAGACCACGTATTAAATCCTTTTCCAAAAGAGCCCCTCTCCACGATCCACTCTCTCGCGCCTCCCTGGCTACAGCCCTCACAGCCGCCCCCAATCTGGGCCTTGAGACGAGTCACGTACTTTCTGCCTCTCACTCCCAACAGGCCCCTGCCCCCACGTCCCTACGCCCCAGCAATCCCACTCCCTGTCCCGAGTGTTCTCTTACATCTTAAGCTGGACGTTGATATCCAGGTCACAACTATAGATGTAGTGAAACTTCTCTGCTTCCCCCATCGCACCGTCTGCAAAGGTACCACCTACAGCGGGAACTTAGGTACAGGAAAAACAACATAAATGAACCAGCTGAGCCCCACAACACGGAACTTCCGGTTCCGCCCCCGCCAGCAAGCCGCCAATCCACGCCCGGAGCGAGTTCCGACGCGGCGGAACTCCCCGCCGAAACAACCCTTCCGCGCATGTGCACAAGGCGCCCACCATCTTGCTTAAGGGCAAATGTATACGGGAAACGGCTAATCTGGTTACATTCCAGTTTTCCTGTCTTGACAGCACTTTTTTTTTTTTTTAAAGAAAAAGAGACGCTATCATTTGAGCTTGAGCTGTACCTAAAACAATACGAAAGAAAATTCAATTCAAAAAGAATTATAACAGCTTTCACTGGCTGCCGGCTAAACAGGTTACAAGCACAAAAATTGGAATTTTGCCAGGTTTAAATTCCAGTGGCCTTCCCAAAAAGTGTAGCACTAATTTGCTATCTCAAGCAAGGATTTTCTCTTTCTGCTCTAAAGAGTAGGGAAAGGACTAAATAGAGAATAAATAAATCTGGGTTTCATGTTTGGTGTTGTCAGTATTCATGCTACTTTGGACATAATACTTGCGTGCATGTTTAAACTGGGAATATTCAAATTCAATGTAGTTTCAAGCCCTAACCCAAGTTAGAATCTAGAGGCCTCCTGTAATAACTACAGAACACAGATCTCTAAACCCTCTGAGCTCCTATAATGTTTGTTTTTATAATTATTATAATCTAAAATTGTAATACTCCCTTCCAATTAGATTGAAAACTCTTGGAAGGTAAGACCAGTGTGCCATTTACTTCCGTGTCTTGCCCCGCTAGCTGTCTAATGCATTGCTGAGTTTAATACTTCCTACTTACTGGTTATTAATGATGATATTGAATGAAAGTCTCCATTTTCTATGCCTTTATTTCTTTTTTTTTTTTTTTTTTGAGATGGAGTTTTGCTATTGTCGCCCAGGCTGGCACCATCTCGGCTCACTGCAACCTCCATCTCCTGGGTTCAAGCGATTCTCCTGCATCAGCCTCCCAAGTAGCTGGGATTACAGGCACCCGCCACCCAGTCAGGCTAATTTTTGTATTTTTAATAGAGATGGGGTTTCACCATGTTGGCCAGTCGGGTCTCAAACTCCTAACCTCCAGTGATCTGCCTGCCCTGGCCTCCCAAACTGCTATGTCATTTCTTTTTTTTTTTTTTTTTTTTTTTTTGAGACAGAGTCGCTCTGTTGCCCAGGCTGGAGTGCCCGTCTCTCTGTTGCCCAGGCTGGAGTGCAGTGGCGCGATCTCGGCTCACTGCAAGCTTCACCTCCCAGGTTCATGCCATTCTCCTGCCTCAGCCCCCCAAGTAGCTGGGACTTCAGGTGCCCGCCGTCACGCGCGGCTAATTTTTTGTATTTTTTAGTAGAGTCAGGGTTTCACCGTGTTAGCCAGGATGGTCTCGATTTCCTGACCTCGTGATCCGCCCTCCTCGGCCTCCCAAAGTGCTGGGATTACAGGCGTGAGCCACCTCGCCCAGCCTATGTCTTTATTTCTAAGTGCTGCATTTTAAGACGGACATCACTAAAGTATGTGCAAAATGGCGTAATTAGAATGTTGAGGGATTAGAAAAAAAATATTTCCAAGAAAGGGTGAAAGGTGTGGAGCTGTTTAACCTGGAAAAGGAAAAAAAATGGCTAATGCAGAATGTTTTACACAAAATAAGTTCTCAAAAATATTTATGGAGGCAAGAAAAGGATTTGGGTAGAATAAAGAAAAACATGATAGTTATCCTCCTATAACTTAAAGTTTAAACAAAAAGAGCACCTTTGATTTGTTCCTAAGAATAACTGCCACCAATGGTTGGAACTTACAGGAAATGTAATTTCAACAAACAATACAAATTGAACTTTCTAATTATCACAGCCATTCAACAGTAACACTGTTGTCACAAGTACTCTGTTTAAGGCATAACTCCAGCAATGAGTGTGAGGTTTGATGTGAAACCTCAATCTTGAATAAAATATTGACAATGTGTAAAGGAGTAAATTATCTGATCCCAGTGGTGAATAAATTACTTTCATTATGTAATGGTATTTAATGTATAAACCTAAGATAATATTATATACATATACAACCAAACAAATTTACAAATTAAATATAAAAACTTCAAATTAACAATCTTAATATAATAGTGGGATTTTTTACGGAAACTGTTGTTTGCAAAATGATTATGGAATATAGTGTTGGCTACTCTTACAGGACTGATTCTTTGAAATTCAGCACGTCTATACTGCTATATTCCACAGGGCAATTCATTTTTCTAGACTCTTTTTCTCTATTCAAATAACTATGAACTCTTCATGAGTGTAACCACCATGATGTATTCTGGCTTTATCTTGCCTACAACACATCTTTTTGTTTTAAGCCTGACTTTGTCCTTTTCTCATTAGCTCATAACAATTAAAGTAATACTGATTGTTTCCAAAACAGTTGCAAACACAACACAGATAAAAGCATGAAAATCAAATGTCAGTACTTAGTTATAAGATATTCATTCACAGAACCCAAAATAGATTTAACTTTTTAAAGATTATCAAGAGAAAAAAATAACATTAAAAATGTATTATAGAGGGATCTCAGAAAACTTGACTGTAGTTGTATTAAATATGTTAATACATCAAGGAAAACTAATGTGCCAATAAGGAGCAAGATTTTGGTAAGTCATGGAAGCATGGAAAGAATTATTATAGAAACCAAAACTCTCAGTGCCTTTTGTACTGTAAGTCAGGGAAGTGTTGGTTGGTAGACTTGAGTATCAGAATTCAATTAACAAGGCCATCTCTATAAGAGAAAAGGAAGCCTTAAGCATCTTATTTTGAAAGGAGAGGAATGATTTTTTCCTTCCCATGTGATTTTCATGAATCATGAATATAACATACGCTCATAATTATGGGATACAATTTGCATTGCAAGAGTCCACGGTGGCCTGTCTGCAGAAAAATAACTTACAGAAATAGGTGTTTTCTTGGTGTGGTAGGCTCTTCCAATGATTATTATATGATCCCATATTTAATTTTCCCTTGGAGTTGCAGTTTTGGCTTTGTGCTTCTTTTGCCACCTTGTTTCAATTTCTATTTTAATTATTCTAGTAACCAGTTTTAATGATGGCTTAGAAATGTGTTGATTGTGCCCCATTTCTTCCTTCCTTCCTTTCTTTCCTTCCCTTCCTTCCTTCCTTCCCCCTTCCCTTCCCTTCCCTTCCCTTCCCCTCCCTTCCCTTCCTTTCCTTTTTCCTGAATCGAAGTTTTGCTCTGTTGCCCAGGCTGGAGTGCAGTGGTGCAATCACAGCTTACTGCAGCCTCAACCTCCTGGGCTCCAGCAATCCTCCCACCTTAGCCTCCTGAACAGCTGGGATTACAGGCACGCACCACCATGCCTGGCTACTTTTTAAATTTTTTTTGTAGAGATAGGGGCTTACTGTGTTGCCCAGGCTGATCTCGAACTCCTGGGCTCAAGCAATCCTCCCTCCTCAACCTCCCAAAAGTTTAGTATTACAGACGTGAGCCACCATGCCTGACCTCCATTTCTTCAATTGCCCAGGACTGACATAATGATAATCAGGTTTATTTTTGCCAGTTTCTATAACCCAATTTATTCCCTTTGCTTGGAAATTTTTTTAAATGCACTGATAACTTTACAAAGCAACAGTCTGTTACTGAGCTCCCATCAAGAATAAACAAGTATGATGCTGTGAGATTAAATCTATCTCATAATTCCTTTTTTTCTAATTAAAAAATGCCTTTGTGAGTTTTCTAATAACTGTGTTTTAGAACTCAATCACATGCTAGAACAGACAACAGTGCTAAGGCACTTGAAAAATCCTAACTAATAATTCAAAAGTCTTGGCCATTTCTCAGCTGACAATGTGAAAAAAAATGGGCTTAATGAATATCCATGAATGATCCTAATGCAGGAACCCCCAAGGCCTGGGTCGGGGGTTCCATTCAAAAAGGTAATTTATATAGCTGCAAAAGGGAAAGAATAAAAGCATAAGTTATTCTGAAAAATAATAAAATTATACTTGCATATGTGTTCCTTTGTAATATCTCTGTTACATAATAACAAAGCTCCCTAGTCTTGGGCATTTCTTTATAGCAGTGTGGAAACAGACTAATAATCTGGGTTTCTTATTGTGTAAGCAATAATTATGTTTACAAATTAAGCCACTTTCATTTTTTAAAAATCTTTCTGTTACATACAGCTGGAAGCATATAATTCCTAACACGGTGTTAAAAGGTTTTTCATGTTCTGGCTCATGTGGTACTGTTCAAGCTCTCTAGACTTAGTGTAGTCAAGAACTCTAGGCCCTATCAAGTTTAGACCTTTTAAAAACTGTGCTAGCCTCTGGGAAAGTCTCCATTTTTCTTCCTGACTCCTACCAAAGGAACTTCTATTAGACTTATGCATTGCAAGCCTAAGATTACTCCTTCAAGGAAGCCTCTTCTGATGCCACCTTCCTCCCACAACACTAGTTAAACCAAGTCATTCAAAAATCTATTCCTCCTCGTATTCTTCTTTCACAGCACTTCCAAGAGTGTCTGTCATAATAGTTTGGTTGATTGCTGTCTGACCCACTAGACTGTGAGCTCTGTGAGGAAATGGTTTGTGTCAATTTTATTTACTACTTTTTATGGATTGAATGTTTGTGCTCTCCAAAATTTACATGTTAAAATTAAATCCCTGATACTAAGATATTTGGAGACAGGGCCTTTAGGAGGTAATTAGATCTTGAGGGTGGAGCCATCATGAACTGGTTTAGTATCCTTATGAAAGCTGGCCAGAGAGCTCTCTTGCATTCTTGCCTTGTGAGGATACAATGAGAAGTCAGCAGTCTGCAACCCCGAAGAAGGCCTTCACCTGAACCCAACCATGCTGGCACCCTGATCTCAGACAGCTAGCTGCTAGAAATGTGAGAAATAAATGTTTGTAGTTTAAGCCCCCGCCCCCTTACTATGGTAATTTGTTATAGCAGCCTGAGCAGACTAATACACCACTTACCGTATTGTCTACTTTAGTTCCTGGTGTAGAACACATGTTGAAAATAAGGAAAGTAGGAAATAAAATAGTACTTGAAAAACAACTATCTTTCATGTTAGGTGATTTTCCATGTATTATGTTATTATTTCAACAAATTCGTGAAGTAAATGTTATTACCCTATTTTACAGAAAGTAATTGTCAGGTGGGTTGGATGATTTGTATATGAATAATAGCTAATCATAGTGGCAAAACAGTTATATATGACTTCAGAAGGCATGACATTTTTATCAAACTATGAGGGAATGTTTCAGACTAATCCTGAACTTTTTATAATAGAAAATGAATGATTACTTCCAGTATTTTTTTAGATTCCTTGGTGTCATCAAGCACTGCCATTGGTCCCTCTGCCTCTTTATAGATGATATTCTTAGGCAAGCATCTTGACTCATTGCAGATTAGCCCCATGCAGAGAGTATATTTGGGTTCACTCAGCATCTTGCAGGTCATTTATTTATTCAACAAATATTTACTAAGTGCTTAAAATATGCCGCCAACTACAGCAGCAGTATACTAGACATTGGCCTCTTCAATCTCACTAGGGAGAAAATAGCTTCCCCTTCTGTGTGTAGTGCTTCTGTTATCCCTCTGTGTATGTTTTCTATGTCCTCATGCAACCTATCCTATCAGATCATAGGTTATAAATAATTTTATTTAATTTTTCCTGTAAATATTATGGGATGACAATGACTTTATAAACATTTCTAAGAACTCAACAGTTATCAGGAAACCCATTGCAATGAGTGTATCTTCAGCCTGCATTATGTTTGATCTGTAGTTCTGGTCTGTGTTGACTCTTACGCTTTTACAAGCTTCACAGGACAGAGGTGCTGCTACTATTTGTATGGTACTTCTTATTGCCTGGATCTGTGTGCAGTTGTACTTGTGCATGAAAATGCAATCATTGAAAGGTTACTGACCAACACTCAGACTTGTGAGTCTATAGGCAGCAATTAGTGGCATAAGTAATTCTCCAATCCCTGGCATCATTCTAAGTTACTTTACCACCTGTGCAGATTCCATAAGTGCCCAGGGAAACAGTGACAGAGGCCCGAAGAAGCAGGAAAGATCTTTACTGTATCTTAGGAATTTACCTTTAATAATAATAAAAAAGAACAAAATGCTTATGTAAACACTAAAAGACTAAACCCTGGAATGAAAAAAAAAAAGAAAAAGGAAAAGGGACAAAAAGAAGAATTGTTCTCTGAAGAATCTGCTTGGATTTGACCTGTGGATTAGTTCAAGAATTCTGAAAGTTAACACTCCTCTCAAGAAGAAAGAAGTGCTTGTTGGGCTGGAGGTCAGATATGGGAAGAGAACAGAGAAAGACTCAAATGAAGAGAATGTACGTAACAAATAAAACACTGGGGCTTCCATCTTCTCAGAGAAGCCACTCAAACCAAGGTGAAGGAGTGGAACTCTGTCTCTCTTTCTGTCTAAAGACGAAAGAAAAGTGTTCTATACCAGTGCTCTTCACAGCAATTAAGAGGAAATGGAGGCTTTCCAGGAACTCATAATACGTAGAATTGGAGCAAAGTTTTAGTTGTTTTGAAATTATTACTTTTTATGTGTCTCTCAGTGTTTGTTTGAGGATATCATTTCTGAATAATATCCTCTCTCTTATCTATATTCAGATTGTGTCTCTATATTCACCTATGGTGGTATAGTTGATTCTTATTCCTTGTGGTAGGTATGTTCTATAAAGTCACAGTAAACACTGAATTAGCAAATACTGAACTGCTGCTAGGGGCATATAGGATTACATTCCTGCCAGTGTCTGGTAATAACATTTTCATTAAATAATAAATACGTAAACGTGTTTTCTGTGTTTTCATGTAAAGGGATTTTATTTAATATATATTGTTGATTTATTAACATTGAACTCATGCACAACAGCACTATAACTCACACCTGAATGAAGCCTATGTACCACAGTTTTTCTCCATAAGACACATCACAGCTTTCTTGCACTTAGAAACACCAGAGGGCCCTTCTATCACCACGTTTACAGGATGTTTTAAACGAAATCACCCACGAAAAGCATAGAAATGCAAATATATATGGCTGGGCACAGTGGCTCACACCTGTAATCCCAGCACTTTGGGAGGCGGAGGAGGGCGGATCACGAGGTCAGGAGATCCAGACCATCCCGGCTAACACGGTGAAACCCCGTCTCTACTAAAAATACAAAAAATTAGCCAGGCGTGGTGGCAGGCGCCTGTAGTCCCAGCTACGTGGGAGGCTGAGGCAGAAGAATGGCGTGAACCCAGGAGGCGGAGCTTGCAGTGAGCCGAGATCGCGCCACTGCACTCCAGCCTGGGCGACAGAGTGAAACTCTATCTTAAAAAAAAAAAAAAGAAAAAAAGAAATGCAAATATATGGCACTGAGTAAACCTCCCGAAATACACTTATATATAGTATGAGAGCCGAAACAAGAAGGCAGAATCTCACCTTGTTTGGCCTCAGCTGGGAACATGCACATCAGACTTAAATTTTTCCCTCTGCCTCTGTGCACATGTCCACAAATGGCCACAAGTATTGATTTTGGCGTTACAAATAGATTTTAGTGAGCAGTTGAATTAACAATTATGGAATCTGTGAATACTGAGAATCGACTATATTTATTCTTAGAAAGAAACGAAGAGCTCTCTAGACCAGTGTGCTTATGATTCACTAGGGAATCTGACTAAAATGAAGATTCTGATTCAGTAGGTGTGAACTTATTCAGGACACCTGAGAGTTTGTTTCTAATGAGTGAGCCTAAAACTGCCTTGAGTAGTGCTAATCCCTATTTCACATTCCTTTTCATTTAGAGACACAGAAATTGAAACCTGTAGAGACTAAAGTAAATTGTCGGGGTCATGCTGATAACAATAGAGTTGAAACTTGACTACAGTTTTCCAGAAGACTTCATAGAGGAGATGGACCTCTGTGATGCTAACAGACACCAAGTTAAATTAATGATTAGGGCATCCTAGGAAGCTGTGACCTGCTTTGGCTGTTCTCTGCTGTTTCTTTCTCCATTCCTTTTCCAAATCTCTTTGAGTTTCTTGAAGGCTACCTCTAAGATATGGCGGGTCTTAAGACTTCTTTAAAAGAAACAGAGTTCTTTTCAACAACTCCATGTGGCAAAGAAAAAAACATAAAAGAAGCAGTTTTCTGATAGGATTTCTAATAAGCTCAGATAAGAGTTCATTCCATTCTTTCCATAATGCCTACATTCTACTACATAGCCCAATGAGTTTGACCCCTCCCCTGTTCAAAACCCTTCAATGGCTAATCACACGTGATGGAGTAGAAATTAAGTCTCCTTGCTGGGACCTCTTCATCTTCCACATTCTTTCTTTAGCCCCCTTTTGGGGTATTGTTTTCTACCACTTCTCAGCCTTGGCTCTCTGCTTGTGTTCTAGTCCACTGCAGTTAGCTGTGCAACTCGTATTTCACCACATATCTGTTGCTTATGTTCTATAGTCTCCCTAAAAAAAAATATTTCTTTTCCTCTTAGTGCCACTTATGTCAAGAATCATTCTCATTCCATTCAGCTCTCCTGGATCTTCAGTCACAAATTTTCAAAACTACTAGATATCTTTAAAAATCCTACATTTATTGGCATGGATATGTATGTGCATTTGTTATCTTGTATAAGTAGCCTGGAGACAAAATTAATTTGTCTTTGTATTTTCCACAGCATAATAACATGCACATTTATTATTGTACCTGCATTCATTAACTCTTTCAACAACTATTTATTTGTTCAAATCTGCCAAGGGCCAGCCATAGAACTGGAAAGAAAATATTTAATAGACACATGTAAAAATAGCCTCTGCTATTTCTGAATTACAGCTTCATAGGGAAGACAGAAAGCTAAATAAGTATAGTGTATCCTCATTATTCATGGTTTCTGTATTCCTGAATTTGCCTACTAGCTAAAGTTTATCTGTAATCCAAAAACCAATACTCAGAGTGCTTTCAGGGTCATTCACAAATATGTGCAGAGCAGCAAAAAGTTTGAGTAGTCCGACATGCATATTCTTAGCTGAGGTCAAACAGGGCGATGCTCTACCTTCTTGTTTCAGCCCTCATACTCTAAGTCCTTTCACTTTAAGTGTACTTTCAGCAGTCAATGTAGTGCCACTTTTTTTCTTTGCATTTTTGTACTTTGTGTTGGTGATTTCACTGTTTAAAATAACCTTCAAATGTACTACTGAAATGCTGTCTGGCATTCCTAAGGGTAAGAAGGCTGTGATGTGCCTTACAAAGAAAATACTTGTGTTTGATAACCTTCATTCAGGCATGAGTTATATTACTGTTGGCCATGAGATTGATGTTAATAAGTCAACAATATATATTAAGTAAGGTGCATGTAAACAGAAACATACATGAAATAAGGTCACATATTCATTGTTTAATGAAAATGTTGTGACCAGAGGCTTGCAGGAATTTGATTGTGTATTTCTCCTAGGAGCAATGGTTCAGTATTCACTAATTTAGTATTCACAACTGCTTTTCAGAACATAACTACCACAAATAACCAAAGCCATCTATAATTAGTTATGATAAGTGTAGAAGGTGATATAATATTCCGTGGGAGCACATCAGAATGGTACTTTACATTTGTTGGGGGCAGGTGCAACAAGGAAGGCTTTACAAATAAAGAAAGGATGAAGCAGTGATCTGAAGATGAGTAGAAGTTAACTAGATGACTGGGGAGAAACATAAATGGGGAGGAAGAAAGAAAAGCATTCAAGGCAGAAGGAATAGCCTGGATACACCAACAGAGGATGACTCAAAAGAAACACAACACAGTGAAAAGGGAATGTATTAGTTAGCTAGGACTGCCATAACAAAGTACCATAAACTGAGTACCATAGCAATAGACATGTATTGCCACATTACTCTGGAGGCTGGAAGTCTAAGATCAAGCTATTATCAGGGTCAATTCCTTCTGGAGACTATGAAGAGGAATCTGTTTCATGTCCCTCCCTTTGCCTCTCGTGGTTTGCTGGCAATCTTATGTGTTCCCAAGTTTATAAATGCATCATCCCGATCTCTGCCTTCATCTGCACATGGTGTTCTCCCTGTGTGTCCTTGGGTCCAAATTTTCCCTCTTTATAAGGAAACCAGCCATATTGGATTAGGCATCCACCCAACTTCAGTATGACCTTATCCTAACTAATTACATCTGCAATGATCCTATTTCCAAATAAGGTCACATTATGAGGTAACTGTGATTAGGACTTCACCATAAAAATTTGGAAGGGGACATAATTCAAAGAGGGAGGAAACCCACAAAAGAGGGTGGAAAGTTAAGAGAAGCTAGTGGTTAGGAAATAACTCTAAAAATTTTGGACTTCAGCTTGTAACTGAAAACCCCATTTTAAAAGGGAAAAAAGAATTGTTTATTGATTTATTTATTTATTTTTCTTTTGCTTTTTCAGAATTATTATTTTTTTACTTTATTCCTTTTTACCCACCTCCTACTTACCTCTTTAGGAAGGCAATTATAAGCTTTACCTTCTCTTCACCCAACACTCCCTCCATGTCAAGCTTGTGTACGTGTTTATTTAGAAGTTCCAAAGACCAAGTCTTGAGACAAACCAGGTGCCCCTAGAACTCTCTCACACCAGGAGATTGTCTCAGTTTACAACCTAGCTCTGCCCATGATACAGCAAGACAGACCACTCCATAGGTAAGGCATCCTAAGCAAGTCATGTAGACCTTGCACCTCCTCATCCCTCCCCTACATGCCATTCACACCAAGCCCCCCTTTAAAAGCCCCTGCTTTCTGCCCCAGAAGCTGAAGTGGTACCCTCAAAGCAGGAGGCTGTACTACTTCTCCTTGGCTAGCTCTGGAATTAAAGTCACCTTCTTTCTACCAGACCTCACACTTGTTAATTGGACTCTGCAAGCAGCCAGTAACCAGACCTGTGTTAGGTTATAGCCCTAAAGGTAACGTAAATAAAAATATGCTTCAGCGGGGAACTACACATTACCTAGTGACTCTTTTGGCTTATATGATTCTAGTCTTTCGTAGTCTTTGAGCTATTTTGTCACTTTGTAAAATTGTAGACAACTAATAACAACACAAAATAATTCCTATAGACAATTCCAATTGACGTTTTTCCACTACCTTTGGAAAAACCAGTTTTGCCTTAATTTGTATATCATTTTAATATTCCTGAACTAAAGATATCAAGAATAGTCTTTGAATTCTCTTTTTGACTTTTATGACATCTAACTGGTTCCAGTTCCCTTATTGATTAATGAGTAGAATGAAATTGTTAACATGTATGCATTTTTATATCTGTGTGAAAGTTGTCATTTTATCTTTTTGTAAGAATTATCTTTTGTAGCAACATGAAGTCTTCAATGAGTGATATATCAATATATGAACAACTGCATAAATAAGTCAGGTTGCATAGCAGGTGAACTCTCAAGAGGCAAGACAGTTTAGTTCTAGTTAACAACCAAGCTAAGAATGACAATTCTGAACTTTATCTGAGCCATGTATTCCTGGAAAATAGGGATGGTTAAGAAGACTCTCACTCTTTGTGATCTGGGAAAATGGCCACCATGAACAACCCTTCCCCCATGACTTACATAAAACTTGCTAATGAACCTCTTTTTAACGATCACAAGACCAGCCACAGACCCTTCACATTCCCATTATTTGTTTCATAAATGATTAAACTGTTTGTCTTTCCCAAATCAGCGAGACACAGAGATAAATATTTTCCCTCTATGCTGACTGAGACTCTTCCTGATTATAAAATGATTCCAACTGTAAAATCTCCCCATCTATAACTTGTTTATTCCTCCCTATATAAGTCTAAGGTGAAACCATTCTGCCAAGAAACTCTGGTCTTCAGACCTGAGGTGTTCTCCCTATTGCAGTAGCCTAAATAAAATCAGTTTTCTGGCCCCACAAAGTGGTGTGTGCCTGTAATCTCAGCTACAAGGCAAGGGAATCCTTGGAGAACAGGAGTTCAAGAGCAGTCTGGGCAATATAGTAAGACCCCATCTCAAGAATGAATGAATAAATAAATAAACAAATAAATAGGTAACAGTTCCAGGCGCACTTAAAAAAATCCAGTTGACAACAAAATGTAGCTAAAAAATGAATAAATAAAAAGTTTTTGGAAAAGATCAATTTTCTTAGTTGTTTGGGTCCCATATTCCAAGTTTCTCCAAACAGAGCTGAAGAGAAGTCTAGGATGTAGTTGACAATTTGTGGGTTCAGTGAAATTATTTCCTCTTCAACCTTTGTTTCAGTTTCAGCATAGTCTATTTGCTTTCCCTTTTCCTCTTTTCTACTCATAGTTTCATTCTGGAGTTTTTACATCTATTGATTAAACATATTATCATTTGGGCCCTCTGCAAAGGGATTGACTTCTGTCTGCACTATAACCCTCTGATAAAAATAAAAGATGTCTTAGTGGATTTAACTATTTATAAGTTAAACTAAAATAATTTAAAACTATATGAAGAAAGAAATATTTTGAAGGCAAAATTATACAGCATGCTATTTTTGTCTTTAATGGTTCTTGATGCATAGTTATTTAGTATGGTACAAATACATGTTGAATGCATTTTAGTATTTACAATCCCAGCCAACTTTAGTATTACTGTATTGGAAGTATTTTTCCATGCAATGCACAGAAGCTGTGGATTCCCCCTTTTCTTTCTTTCTCTTTTTCCTTCTTTCCTTTTTTCCTTCCTTCCTTTCTTCTTTCCTTTCCTTTCCTTTCCTTTCCTTTCCTTTCCTTTCCTTTCCTTTCCTTTCCTTTCTTTTTTTCGAGATAAGGTCTCCCTCTGTCACCCAGGCTGGGGTGCAGTTAGTGGCACAATCATGGCTCATTTAGCCTCGACCTCCCAGACTCAAGTGATCCTCCCACCTCAGGCTCCCAAGTAGCTAGGACTACAGGCTACAGGAAAGTGCCACTATGCCCAGCTAACTTTTCAATTTTTTTGTAGAGGCAGGGGTCTGCATATGTTGCTCAGGCTGGTCTCGATCTCCTTTGCTCAAGCGATCCTGCCATCTTGGCCTCCCAAAGTACTGGGGTTACAGGTGTGAGTCATTGCACCTGGACAGATTTCCTTTTTCTATAGGAGATGCCATTCTAAAATGCTGGTTTTTCCAATACTGATTTGAATAATCCTGTCATGACCTAGAATCTTTCTTTGATCTGTTGATTATTTTTTTCAGCCTCACAAATGATCTTAGATCAAAGGGAAAAGGCCCCCACCATTTTATGTATCATTTGAACCTGGGACTTGCATGTTGTATAGGAGAGATGAACAGAACTACAAAACCACTGGTACTTTTTATTTAGTATGCTGCCTTTTATTTTTTCCTATCTCACACATGTATTTGCTTTTTCAGCCCACATTGATCAGCATGGAATATAACATATGTTTTTATATATTTACCAAAATTTCCAGAACAGTGCCTGACAGATACTGACACTCAAAAGCAAATGTATTGATGCTAAGTTGTTTATCTTTTGATTAATTGCTTCATGTGGGTGATAGTATTCGCAAGTTTCTATTTTATTAATATGCTAATCTTTTAAATATTGAGACAAATAGTTAAATAAATAACCTTGGGTCATCCCATAGAAGCAACTTGGATAGAAATTTCTTCAAGTGTCAGCCAATAAGTTCTGTTTTCCTAGTGTCCCAGGAGAGTGATGATTTAGGGAAAAAAAACCAAAAAGCAAGAATCTCCATTCCTGTTTTACCTTATGTAAGAAGGTTGGGCACGGACAGGTGGGGATGAAGCTTGATTTTGTAAGTCCAGTAGGTTGTTAGGATATTAGACAGAGATTCAGAGTAAAGGTGGAGAAAGAGAAATATCAACACATGTAATGTTGATCTCTGTGATGCCCAATTTTATGCTTAAGAAGGCTGGCAGGGCCATTGATGTGATTTGAATCTCAGAGTGAATTCATAAACTTTTTTTGTCTTTCTCCTTCCTTCCCTACACCCCGTCAATCAGAGATTGCATCTGCAGAGAGGCAGTCGACATCATTATGAAGCTGGGCTGCTTCCTGATGTAAATCGGTATTTTCACAGAGAGAGAGAGAGAGAGACCTAGAAGGGGAGATAGATGCCTGGGGCAGGGTCATTTTCTGACCCCAGGTAATCATCCTTCACCAAGAGCAGTCCCAGGACCAAGCGCTAGCTAAACAAACATATCTGCCCCATCAGCTGCTAACTTGTCTCCTGCCTTTTGAAGAAAAGGCTTCCTCCTATGCCTGCCTAATGAGTACTGCCTGCCACTCTCTTGAGCTGGCTTTTACAGCATCAAGAACCCTCTGCGCAAACACTGAGCTCTTCTCTCTACTTTGCACTTCAAGAATGTAGGAAGCTTCAGGGGAAATAAGGATTCAGGATTTTTTTCTACATCCATTTTGATGAGCATTTGCTTTCCCTACAGGATGTGCTGAAATACTTTGAAAACTCACACGCTTCTTTCAGGGAATGGCACAGTCAGACAGAAGGCATGTGGTCTGCTAGGCCAAAGGTGGAATGCAAGGAGATTCTTAGCAGTATTGAGCCATGAGCACACTGATCTGCTTCCTCTCCTCTTCCTTCATCCAGCCCTGCTAGGTAAATGAGATTGACCAAGGCTACAGAGAGGGAGAGAAAAAATGCTGAAAAACTCAAATGATTGTGTTGTCCTCAACCTCATTTGCTATGCGTCTCTCTGCTTTCCCTATCCCTTTCCTCAGGCCTGCCAAGGCATTCTACCTGGAGATTCAATTACTCCCCAATATCTGAGTTAATCCAGAATGAACAGGAAATTCAATGTTGCAGCTCTAGCAATGACCCTTTTCGCACTCCTCACTCCTGCACCCACCCAAACCCACATACATACACCTTCTCCGATCCAGTGGAGAAACTACACTGATCTAGAGGTCTCTTGCATTCATGCTTCAGTATACAATTTGGCTGACTCCAGATATTATATCTAGATGGAGAGAAAAATAGTGACCTGGAGTCCATTCCTAAATAAATAAGGGCAGATCCTGCTTCTCAGGTGGGTGAGTAGGGAAGTAGAGGTATTGGACTCTGGTGGCCGGAGCTTGGAAAGAGCCATTTTGTTGTTGTTGTTGTTGTTTGTTTTTGTTTTTGTTTTCTTCTGGCTTACTTCTCCAAGAAAGAAAGAGCTAAGGGTTTGAAGCTGGGACACATTATGACTCCTAGATCCTGAGCATATTAACCCCTTCCTTTATAGAAAAAATACTAGAAAGTGTGTTTTATAACCACATTAGTAAAACATAAATATAATTCAGGTTAGATCATATATTTTCTTTCTTCTGATTTTAAAAGAAAAAAAATACTTTGCTACTCTCCTGAAAGTATCATGGGCCTTGGGCTCTGTGTCTTCCATGCCCAGTGGATAAACTGGCCCTCATTTGAAGGGGGATGAAGGAGAAATGGTTAGAAGCAGGAGTGGGAGTCACACGTATGTCTAATCTACCACATGACCCTGAAGTAGGTAGTGTATAAGAGGAAAAAAGAAACAGCTTCCATTTGGAAGGGAGAGTGTGACCGTGAGGGCATAGATATTTTTAAGGCACACACAGGTAAGGAACTATTCAGAAATGAGGCTGAGACTACCATGCTGATCTCAGAATGCAGTTACAGAAGGCTCAGTGAAAGGAATGGGAGTGAGTCAGGGAGGAAATTGAATGAGATTAGAGGCTGTATGGACAAATGGGAATGATAATTTGGGTAATGATGGATGAACTGGATTTCTGGTGGCAAAAGGCATAGGGGAGGAAAAATATCTTTTTCTCTACCCATCTTAGCTTTGTATCTGAGGTCTCTATAACAAGAAATATTAACAAGAGACAAGCATACAACTTTATTTAACATAAGTTCTACATGAAATGGGACTCTTCATAAAGACATAAAGATCCAAAGAAATGGTTCAGATTCTTTTCTGTGACCCTTTGTCTTCAGAGATAAGGATGCTCCTTTCTTACAGGCATAAGGAGAGTACCTTTCATGTGAGGGTCTTATGACCTACATAGGGAAGCCAGAAGATCGTTTCTAGATTTTTTTTTTTTTTTTTCTGAGACAAGGCCTTTCTCTGTCACCCAGGCTGGAGTGCAGTGGTGTGCTCATGGCTCACTGCAATCTCTGCCTCTCAGGCTCAGGTGATCCTCTTACCTCAGCCTCCCGAGTAGTTGCTACTACAAGCATGTGCCACCATGCCCAGCTAATTAAAAAAAAATCTGTAGAGACAGGGTTTTGCTATGTTGCCTAGGCTGGTCTCAAACTCCTGGGCTCAAGCAATCTGCCTGCCTTGACCTCCCAAAGTGCTGGGGTTACAGGTATGAGCCACCATACCCAGCCACTTTCTAGATTTTTATGACCTGCTTTATGGGGGAAAAGCAGGGAAAGATGAGGGAGAACTTCCTGCCTCTGCTGTTTTCTCAAATGTCAAGGTGCCATATTTCAGCGTAATGTGTCCTGAATCCCACCAGGGGCAAACATGAATGTGAGGCTTGGTGTGCTTGGCTTAGTCATGAGCATGATTTAGAAGTAGGCGGACAGTCCATGAAAGCTCTACTCTGAGAATTCAGCTTCCTGAAATGCTAAATTTAGCCTCAGAAGGATTGTTACCTCCTGCTGTGATGATCTATGTAATGACTAACAGGGTGCAGAATGTATTCAAGGCAATTTTATGCTTTATCTTATTTAATTCTCACAACAACCTGTATTACAGATTTAAAACCAGAGAAATAAAAAGATGGATTCCTCCCTAAGGACACTCATCAACAATGCTCCTCTTTCTCTCTCAATGTGTATACACACACATATACATTTACATACATGTATACATATGTGCGCCTATATGTATGTGGGTGTATTAGCGGTTCTTGCTATAGTTTTCGGTGTAACTTGAAAAGTAAGGCTCCCTGAATATTAGTTTATGGTTCATTATTATATTACAGTAATGCCTCCATTCTTCAGACAGTGTGCCCTTTATGTATTTGTGCCTCCCATAATTAAGTGCCCTGGATTCTAGCTTCCTTAGAGGGCAGGAACAAGGTCTAAGGCAACTTTTCAGAATCTTAAGTCCTAACTTGTTTTGATAATAGTGAAAGGAAAGATTATTTTAGCTTCCTCTATTAAAAATATCAGTTATCTATAGTCACAACTTGTTATCACAATGGGGAGAGATCAAGAGACTTTCCCATATTCAGTCAACAAACGTGGGATACATTATTGATTGTCAAGAGCCTGGCTCCTGGGGCTAGGCCTGCCTCAAATAGCTAGTGATCCTGGGCAAGTTACTTAATTTTTTAAAATTCTTCTGTTTATTATCCATGTAAAATTATTTAACATAAAATTTGAGAGTCAGTTGCTCGATAAGTATTGGCAATTGTAATTATTGTTGAATACTTGTCACATGCCAGGCACTCTGCAAGGTCTTAGGGATTGGAGGAAACTCTGGAGGAGCTCATAACCGGGTGGTGAGACAGTGAGACAAAGAATTCCCACCAGCACAAGCCCCTTCAAAGACAGTTGTACACGCTGGGATAGAGATATGCACAGTGGCCTTTTTAATCTACAGTTTAAAAACCAAAAGGAGCCCTAACTCTTGATTACATGGTGGCATTTCATTTAACTTTGTGTATGTATGTGGGAACTGCCATAATTGTTCTAAGGACATCTGCTTTTTTAACTTCAACTGTGATTCCCTGCCCAGTCCGACACTGACTGGGCAGGCAAGTGGAATAAAATTGGTGCCTGGGCTTGGCGCGGTGGCTCACGCCTGTAATCCCAGCACTTTGGGAGGCCACGGCAGGTGGATCACAAGGTCAGGAGTTTGAGACCAGCCTGGCCAACATGGTGAAACCCCTTCTCTACTAAAAATACAAAAAATTAGCTGGGCGTGGTGGCAGGTGCCTATAATCCCAGCTACTTGGGAGGCTGAGGCAGGAAAATCACTTGAACCTGGGAGGCAGAAGTTGCAGTGAGCTGAGATTGTGCCACTGCACTCCAGCCCGGGCGACAGTGCAAGACTCTGTCTAAAAAAAAAAAAAAGCCAACAAAAAAAACCCCCAAAACAACAAAACTGGTGTCTGCCTTCTGTAGTCCACTCCAGATGAACAAAGCTGCAGACAGGAGGAAGTGACACCTCAGAAACTTCAAGTTCGTACTCTGTTTCTCATTCTATCCACCCTCCCCTTTCTGTTCTTCCCAATGTCAGCTCTCCTCCTGTGAGTGTGACAGATTACTTGGTCATGAGATATCGAGGTGAACAGTAACACAAGGAAGTGTTTTCTATGTGGGTTTTCTGTGTATGTGTCCCTCCCTTCCTTCCTTCTTTCCTTCCCTTCCTTCCTTCCTTCCTTCCTTCTTTCCTTCCTTCCTTTCCTTCCTTCCTTTCCTTCCTTCCTTTCCTTCCTGTTTTTTGTAAGTTTATTTTTGCTAAATGAGCAACAAGAACCCCAAACTTACTGTTTCTCAGGATCAACAGTAAAAGAACCCTGCACTGCTCATAATGTTTGGAGTTTTTCTCTCTCTGGGATTATAGGCCTTTTCACAATGCTGATGCACCATTTTTAGCTATGTTAGTTCTGTAATGTTAGTTCTGAATGTTTTCATAATATTCCCCTGGTAGTTAGAAGCAGGGAAAGATTTATTTTAAAGAAGAAAAAAAAGGATTATTATTTCAGCCCCAGAGTCACAAGTTAAGAAAGGAAACTTGGAAAGTGTAAATGCAATACTCTCAGCTCAAACTCCAAACCACCTCCGGTTTTGCCCAGCTCTATTTATTTATCATTTCAATTACAGAAGAGATCTGTTGCTACAAAGAGCCATGTTGTGTCTATTTTCTAAAGGAAGAAAAGGCAATTTAAGGCAATTTAATCTTTAAACTCTTTTATACGATATTTTTTCTACTATTGAACATTTTAGGAACTAGAAAACTTTACCTACAACCAGTTTCTTTTTATCTTCAAATCATCTGAATTCAAACAATTTGTTTTTCATCTTTTGTGATACTTCCTGTGCCACTTTCTACTGAAGCTTAATTATTATTCTTTACAATGATAAACAGGTTCACTTATTTTTAAAGCTCTATGGTTCTTATAAGCCAAGGATGTTTAAAGATTCCACTGATTTACGTGCTACCTATGGCTATTCTCAAACAAATTTTGTGTTTGGCAGTGTTTTTCCTACAGACTATTAAAGAATTCACATGGCATATATTTTCTCATAATACCATAAAGATTTTAAACTGCAAAAACAATAAAAAACAGCAATCATGTGTTTATGTATATTTTAAATATGTTGTTGGCTATCCAGAGTAAAATGCCATCTTCACATTTCAGTGGGAAAATTAGATACGTCAGGTAAGAATTATTTACCACTAATTAAGAGTAATTATTGAGCCTAGTGAAAAAAATCACAAGCTCAATTAAAACATCTAATAATAAAGATATAAATATGCTCTGGAAACACAGAGCTCTTTCAATATAACTGTGTACATATTCATATGTTTTTATAGTGTATTGCAAAGTTTAAAACTAGAAAGTTGGCTATTTCTCCAAGTTTTCTGAACAGACCAAAATACTGGCATTAAATTTATGAGCTAGGATCACCCTTAGAAATAAAGTTGGAAGGCAAGAAAACTATTCTAAGAAAATAATCACAATTATATAAACATTTGTTCAAAAACTATACTTTCTGCAGCACTATTTATAGTAGTAAAAAAAAATGAGGAAACAATATAAATGTTTAATAACAAGAGATTGTCTAAATAAATTAAGATTTGTCTTTAATCTGCTGCCAATAAAATTAATTTTCCTAATAAGTTTAATCTCATAAGAAAATGGTCAGGACAGTGTTAGATGACAAAAGCAAGATTTAAAACTGTACACATTATATGATTAACGCATCTAGGTAGACCAAAAAAAAAGAAAATACTGAAAGGGAATATTCCAAAATATTGACAGTAATGAGATCAAAGATATTTTTATTTTCTTCTTTAAAATTTTCTACATTTTAAAGTTTGGTAAGCATGTATCCCTTCTCTAATAAAAATTAAAATTAGCTATTTAAAAGTTAAGGAAAAAAGATTTTAAAGTCAGATTTGATGACAAGCCCAGAACTAGATTAATGAGTATTTATTCTTTAAAATCTTGAAATCCACATATCATAATTAAGTACAGAATGTTTTATGTTGATCTGTCTAGTTGTTTTAATAAAATGTCTTTTTTGTGTTTGAATGAAAATAAAGGGTGGTTACATTTAAATCAAATGGAAATGGATGACAGTGAGAGGAAACTTCTCTTTAAATCAAGTGGCAATGACCAGTTTTTTTAACTCATTCATTTCTCCAAAGCATTTTTGCCTAGGAAGATTACTGGTTGGGCTGGCTCCTACCTGTGAATCTGGGGAGTGTCTCACTTGTCTGGATGAAAGAAACACACCCTAAACTTCTGGGCCAAATAGAGATCAATTAAAAAAAAAGCCCACGCATAACAGAACAAGCAAACATATGAATACTATGAATGGTGGAAAGAAGGAGACAGATTGTGTAAGGACCTCAAGACTTGGATTTCCTTATTGCCTCCCATATATCCTGGATGGGGCTTTGCAGAAGCCTTCAATCTGGAATCAGCAATAGGTACAAACAAAAAAGCCTCCAAGAAAAGCTTTTTTACACTAGCCAAAGCACTGAGAAAAGGTGGCTTAACAGAACAGAAAAACCATTTGCAGAGCAAACTGTTGGCATTTTACTCTGAAATAGCCAACAACATCTTTAAAATGTACCTAAACACGTGACTGTGGTTTTTTATTTTTTTATTTTTTTTTTGCAGTTTTAGGTCTTTATGGTATTATGAGAAAATATATACCATGTGAATTATTTAATAGTTTGTAGGAAAAACATTGTCAAATACACAATTTGTTTGAGAACAGCCATAGGTAGCATGTAAATCATGGTTTTGGTGGGGCTTAGCAGGGAGCTGAAATTTCACCCCAGCCCCATCTCTCTCCTGTCTCTCACCTTATGGAAACAGCTTATGGAAACAAGTAGTAGTGCTCTCATTCTTCTACAGGACTGAGTGGGGAGCTGATGTCCCATCCCCAACCCCAACCCTCCAGCAAAGCAGTCAGCACTCCTGTTACTGCAGCAGGGTCCCATAGGAGGCTGAGTCTCCACCTCCACTGGGCAGCAACAACTCTCAGAGTGAGTATGAGATAGCAGGGGAGGGGATACAGTCACCACTATGCTTGGCTCCTCCCTAGCCCGATAGGTGTCACTGGGACCAAGCGGGAAACTGGTAATGAGACTGAATGAGGCAGTGCAAAGCAGGGTGAGTCTGCACTTGTCATCCCCTGCGCCCCCAAATCTGGCGTCTAACAAGGCTGAATGAGTTAATAGGAAGCAGGAGTAGTTGGCACTTCACCCCCTGTCCTCCCCTCTCCTGGTGTCAGGAGGAGGCCCATTGTGAAGCCGGGTTTACACTTTCAATGGAGGCAATGCTGTAGTGCTAGTGTTGTCCCACTTTTGCAGGAAGGTGTCAGCCTGACCAAGGTGGGAGATGAACTTCACTCTGCCAATATGCAGGGGCAGCTGGAGTTAGCACTCCACTTTTACAGAAGTGGTGTTATGGGTGAGGAGATGAGAGGTGGGGCCCAGCAAAGCAGAATATGCACACCCACCTGGCACTCTCATTACACTTCAACAGTTGGACTGCTTGTAAAAAGGAAGATCAAGTAAAATCAAGACACTCACAATATAATAGCTAAAGTATCCAGGATGCATTCAAATATCACTTGTCCTACCAAGAACCAGGAAAATCACAACCCAAATGAGAAATGACAATCTCCAGATGCCAACACTAAGATGAATGCTATGTTGGAATTATCTGACAAAGATTTTAAAGCAGCCATCATCAAATGTTTCAACAAACAATTATGAATTCTCTTGAAGCAAATGAAAAAATAAAAAATCTCAGCAAAGAAATAAAATTATTTAAAAAAACTGAATGAAGATTAATAGAACTGAAAAATGTAGTAACTGAAATGAAAAGCTTGCTGGATGCACACAGCAGTAGAGTAGAGATGACAGAGAAGAGAATCAGTGAACCTGAGGACAGATCAATAAAGCTTATCTGTCCTGAATAACAGAGAGAAAATAGGCTGAAAAAAGTAAAGTCTCAGGGATCTGAGCTAACATTTGTATAATTAGAGTCTCTAAAAGAAAGGAGAGAATGGGACTGAAAATTTTTCAAATGAATTACTGAAATGTTCCTAAATTTTCTGAAAGACATAAATGTTTTTGTGAAAGATTAGAGTTGAGTGAACCCTAAATAAGATCACATACTCCCTCTGATTACAGGTACTAGCTAAAAGGGATAAAAGCATCTGGGCTAGAGAGAAAGGGTACATTGTATTGCTTAATGATCCCTATTGTTCTTTTTATTAAAAAAAAAAAAAAAAAGAAACACCCTTAGCCAGGTGGAAAGCCATTTCTGAGCTACTTATTTGCATGCTTATTTTTTCAAATATTTGCTTCTCTTACTCCCTTTCTTTCTTTCTTTTGGATCTTTGTTTTACAAGAAAGCATTTTGTGTTTTCTTTACCAATAAGCATTGATTGAGCATCTACTGTATTCTGTTTTAGGCACTGCAAAAGGTTCAGGTGACACAAAAGGGAAAAAGATAAAGTACCTTCACTCTAGGGTTTCAGAGTTCAGTGAGGAGACTAGCATCGATATGACCATGTGGTAAGAGATGTCAGTAGACATTGTGCCAAATGGAGTCATCATTTGGTTTGGTTCTTATGGGAGAACATATATTTATTTGAAAATGATGGTGCTAAACCTATTATTAGGTGATAGTAGCAAAGCAAAATAGTTCATGTGTGGAAACATTTCTATTTGTTGATGGGTAGTGACAGACATTACTCCATAATAGAAAGATTATTCAGATTGGTAAATAATTAAGGATTGGCTTCATGAACAGACCAGCTTCCTTTAAGATGGCTTTGTGCAGGGCTGATGGCATTCAGCAACCTCAGAACGGCTGCACCCAAGTTCAAACTTGTTGGTTTCCACATTTAGATTATGTGACATCCTCAGTGTGGAGCACCCAGAGGGAGCTCCAGAGGGAACATAACCACAGAGGCCAGGATCCTTCTCTTGGAGCCCAGCTTCATGGTGGAACCAGTGCTACTCAGCTAAGTACATTGTTCCACAGAGTGGCATAAGAGCTGGGGAGACACACTTCTGCCAACCCTCTGCCGTAGGGCTCCAGTGTGAACCAAGTGATGCCTTCTGGTGTTGCTCGAAAGCCTGTTTGTTAAATATTTTTAAAATCAATATCTGTATGAGGAAACAAAGGTTCACACTGGCTAAGTCCTTTGCCCAGGGACTCAAAACCAAGAGAGGTGGAATTACCATTTCACAGCAGTCTCCTCACCATCAGGCTGGGGGCCTCTCTACCTCATCAAACTATCATTCCTTCAAGGATTGAATTCAAAGTGGATATAAATTCTGAATGAAAAAAATATGAGAAAATGTATTATTCATAGCTTGAAAAGTTAAACAGCAAACTCTTGTGGCTTAAATGTTTAAAGAAAGGGGAATTTCCCATTATTGACCAGATAGAAGGCATCAATGTTTCATTTACTAATGTTATGAGGTCTATGTGTATTTATCTTTAAAATTTGAGGAACTGACTTGATCAGCTCCATTACAAAATATTCTTTTTTCATGTGCCATATGCCTTAACCTGAATAAGAAATAGATAGACCACACAATTTTCAGGTCCTATAATACCAAACAAGAAACAATCATTAGTGTTGATATGATTTAACTGAATTTTTCTTTTCTTTCTTTCTTTCTTTTTTTTTTTGAGACAGAGTCTCACTCTGTTTCCCAGGATGGAGTGCAGTGGCACGATCTCGGCTCACTGTAGCCTCTGCCTCCTGGGTTCAAGTGATTCTCCTGCCTCAGCCTCCTGAGTAGCTGGGACTACAGGCGCGAGCCACCATGACAAGCTAATTTTTGTATTTTTAGTACAGATGAGGTTTCACCATGTTGGCCAGGCTCTTCTCGCTCTCCTGACCTCATAATCCGCCCACCTCTGCCTCCCAAAGTGCTGGAATTACAGGCATGGGCCACAATGCCTGGCCCTGAATTTTTCTTCATATTTACCTTTGCTTACAAATGGTAATTAATTTTACTAGGACACATGTTTGCCTGTGTCTGTCTCTTGATTTATCTGTCCCTGATCTATTTTGGTGTTGACCTGTTCTGCGCAATACTATCAGGGTAATTTTCCTAAAATATCTTTTATCATATTATTTACCTTCTCCTTATTTGATTACATAAGATATCATATTTTAACTCACCCACTATCTGTAGTGGACAACTACTGGTGACCAGTTCAGCCCACGAGGATGCCCCTCCTTTGGGAGACCCTTGATTCACAGGGTGAGCTCCCAGCAGCCCTATGTGTGCCATGTCATCCAGCCTCCTGGCCTATAGTTGATTGAGTTGGTGGGGGACATCTGACCTGAGCAGAACCCAGTTATTATCTCTCTGGGGATTTGATATTGGAATCTAGAAATGACCATTCTGTGCCTGAAACTGCAACACGTAAACAAAAGCTGAGAAAACCAGTCTGCAGAATGAGAGAGAGAGCGAGAAGAATGAAAAAGACAAGTCAAAGAAGTAAAGGTAATGCGCAGAGAAAGTGCTTCTGCCAGCTTTCCCAGATCTGACTCTCAATATTTTGTGAGTCTTGAAAGTGTCTCTGCATTTGGATTCCTTTAAGTAGTCCCATATCATTTAAATAATTTCTCCTCTTTGGCTTATGTTTACTCAACTGGTTTCTGTTACTTGCAGTTAAGGTGTCTAATGTAATGCATTGGATTTCAAAGACTCTGTAAGATCTGGGCCTATACTACATGACAAGCCATTGTGTCCAATATTTTTTAATGTATTCTTTACATTTGTTATTCTCTTCTTTTACTCACATAAACCCACATCTCTCATTTTATTCATGTTGAATATCCCAATCCAGAATGTTTTTCCTTTTTTTCCAAATAACAGTCATTCTTAACATAGCTCAAGCTGAACATCCTTTGAGACAGATTTGCTCCATCTTTCAACTCATAACATATATTAGTCAGGATTGGTAAGGTGTGTTAACAAATTACTTGGAAATATGAGTCATCAAACAAATCTTTATTTCTTGCTCATGCTACATTTCTAATAGGGTCATCTGGGGTCTTTTACCATCATTCAGGGACCAATTCATGACTTCCAACTGGAAAAATAATCCATTCTATCTGGAACACACAGTAGCCTCAATTATTGAGATTAGATTGTTTCCTTCTAAATAATTTGTGGAATATACTATCCCAGTTATTTAGAAAAAAGACTTTAGGTATACCCAACATATGGCCTATCTGTGAACCCAGAAATAAGTGAATAGAAACCAGGGGATTCCAAACTGTCTGTTATGACATTTAGCACTTACCAAACAAATTATTTCCTGCCCAAGTAGATGCAAAGGCTTTTACATTTTGTTTGTAATGTTCTAACACTGAAATGTTGGGAAGACAAAAAAAAAAGGACAACAGGTGGCAGCCAATTTTGGTGAAAAGTTTCCCTACAGTTATGTTTTTCCTTCCTTTAGAAAAAATAGAAGCCAACACTCTGTCAATATTCAGTGTTCAAAGGTGAAAACTGCTACGTGAATTAAAAATATTCCTATTTGGTCAACATGATGTAGTCAGAAGAGATATGCTAATTTATTTAAGTTGTATCTTTAAGTAAGATTAAGAAGCTAATACTGTGATAATTTATCCCCTATACATCTGCTTATATTTTAGAAGGAAGTAAGTCAAGGTGAGAACCCTGCTCCTGTTTCCTTTTGCTTCTATACCACTTAAAATTTTCCTCGCTCCCACCTCACTGTCTTTAGTGAAATGACATTAGTGAGAAAGGAAATGAGATGGGAGAAGGGGTTCTTGTCACAGAATAGGGTTTCTGGGAGTGGTGTTATATGAAGATAAAGTCCTGGTACCCATCCCAACTCCTCTAGCTCTTCCTGGGACTGTAGTCAAGATGAGGACTCTTTCTTTCTTTAACCCTGAGTCCGTCATAAGCCATCTGTCCAAAGAGGAAGAATGATTCTACGCAAGAACTCAAGAGCCTTCCACCTCTCAGCCAAGCTGAGATGAAGAAGAGTTATGGGATACCAGAATAACTGACCTTTATTTTCATTTTCTCTCTATAAAAGGTCCCTTTATTCTTCTTTAAAAGCAATTGATATTAAAGAATTTTTTTGGTTAAAACATGAGAGAGGGTTAGTGAGAAGTGAAACAATCTTTCTGTAAATCTATGAAAAGCCTTCACAGAAGTCATTTTGCAATAACAGCAGAAGTGACTGTTGACAGCCCAGGAAGAGATGACACCCAAAACCAGTGCAGAGCATAGTTGTGTATTATAAGGAATGGGTAGTCATAATGCTGACCCTGTTCCATGAAGAAAAGGTGGGTATTTTCACTGTTTTCTGCCTCAGAAGTCAGGGAAATACAGGTTTTTTGTTTTTGTTTTTTTGTTTTGAGATGTAGTTTCACTTTTGTCTCCCAGGCTAGAGTGCAATGGCGTGATCTCGGCTCACTGCAACCTCCGCCTACCAGGTTCAAGCAATTCTCCTGCCTCAGCCTCCTGAGTAGCTGGGATTATAGGCACCTGCCACCATGCCTGGCTAATTTTTGTATTTTCAGTAGAGATGGGGTTTCGCCATGTTGGTCAGGCTGGTCTCGAACTCCTGACCTCAGGTGGTCCACCCGCCTCAGCCTCTCAAAGTGCTGGGATAACAGGTGTGAGCCACAGCACCCGCTGGAAATACAGCATTTTTTTAGGCATTTCTCATCAAGTAGGATTAAGAAGAATACAATGTGGGGCTTGGCTGCAGATAAATTTCAGTTATTTTGTAATGTCTACCTATGTGGAGCAACTCCTTCCTTAATAAGGACAAGTGAACATAACAACACTGAATTTTAATTACTAAAAAGGGGTTTCCTCAAATCTGATGAGAAGCAGAATATATTCTGTATTTAGAAATAAAGCCCAAGAGGGAAACAGAAGAAAAATCAATATCTGGTAACAAAAGTCTTAGGTTCACTGTTGAACAAACTAGGAAAAATCTCAGAAAATTGTATAAACCAACCATATCGCTTCAGATTTTTAAAAAAGTCTAAAGATATTATGACAGTTTTAACACACTTTCTTCTGGAACCCTCCTACAGTAATGATCCCACATATCTTCTTGGAGCTTTCCAAGGAAATTCTAATAATTCTAATAATCATAATAATTAAATTATTCTTTAAAAAACCTAGCTCCAGACTTTCCCCATTAAATTTTTAAATAACAGCTCATTGAGATATAAATCACATAGCATAACATTTACTCTTTTTAAAGCATATAATTCAGTGCATTTTAATATTCAGAGTTGTGCAACCATCATCACTATTTAATTTTAATACATTTCTATCAGCTCAAAAAGAAACCCCATCCCCATCAGCAGTCACTTTCTATTCTCTCCTTCCCCTATTCCCCAAAAATCACTACTTTCTTTTTCAATGGTTTTTGCCTATTCTGAACATTTCATATAAATGGAATCATACAATATGTGACTGTTTTAAGACATTTGGGCTGTTATAATAAAATACCATAACCTGGGTGGCTTATAAACAACAGAAATTTATTTCTCACAGTTGTGATGCTGGGAAGTCCAAGATCAAGGTGATAGTAGATAAGGGGCCTCTTTTGGGCCTCTTTTATAAGGACACTAATTCCATTTATTAGGGCTGTGTACTCTTGACCTAATCACCTCACAGAGGCTCCCGCCTTCTAATACCATCACCTTGGTAGTTTTGGGGGACATAAACATTCAGACCATAGCGGTTGCTTTTGTGTTTGGCTTCTCTCTCTCTCTTTCTTTCTTTCTTTGACCAAGTCTTGCTCTGTTGTCCAGGCTGGAATGCAATGGCATGATCTTGGCTCACTGTAACCTCCACCTCGTGAGTTCAAGTGATTCTCCCACCTCAACCTCCCAAGTAGCTGGGACTACAGGTGTGCACCACCATGCCTGGCTAATTTTTGTGTTTTTAGTAGGGGCAGGGTTACATCATGTTGGTCAGGCTGGTCTTGAACTCCTGACCTCAAATGATCCCCCTGCCTCGACCTCACAAAGTGCTGGGATTACAGGCTTGAGCCACTGTGCCCGGCCAGGCTTCTTTCATTCAACATAATGTTTTCAAGTTTTATTCATGTTGTAACATATATCAGTACTTTGTTTCTCTTTGTGACTGGATAATACTTCACTATATGGATGCAATGCATTTACGCATCCATTCAAAAGTTGATTGACATATGGGTTGTTCCTACTATCCAGCTATTATGAATAATACTGCTATGAACATTTATGTACAAGTGTTTTCATGGAGATATGTTTTCAATTCTTTTAAGTATACACCCGGAAGTGGAATTACTGGGTCATATGGTAATGCTATGGTTAACTTTTTGAAGAGCTGCCAAACTGTTTTTTATAGTGGCTGTGCCAATTTATAATACAATTAGCAATGTATGAGGTTTTAAATTTCTCCACATCTTGACAATGCTTGTTATTGTCTGTTTTTTTTTTTAAATTATAGACATGCTAATGGCATCTCATTGTGGTTTTAATTTGCATTTCCCTAATGACTAATGATGTTGAGCATCTTTTAATGCTCATTTGTATATCATTTGTATATTTGTATATGAAGGCATGTCCACCAAATTCTTTCTCCTTTTTTAAAGTTGGGTATTTGTCTTTTTATTATTGAATTGTAAGAATTATTTATGTATTTTTGATACAAGTCATTAGACATATGATTTGCAAATATTTTGTCCCATTCCAGAGGTTGTATTTTCACTTTCTTGATGGTGTGCATTAAAACTCAAAGTTTTAATTTTAATGATCCATTTGTATTTTTTCTTTTTTGCTTTTATTTTGTCTCATATCTAAGAAAACATTGCCTAAGATCACAAAGATTTACTTCTATTTTTTTTTCTGAGCATTTTATAGTTTTAGCACTGACATTTAGTCTATCTTCTATTTTGAGTTAATTTTTGGGTGTAACTGAGGTACCAGTCCAACTTCATCCTTTTGCATATGGATATCCAGTTGTCCCAGTATCATTTGTTGAAAATGATTCTTTCCCCACTGAACAGTCTTGGCAACCTTGTTGAAAATCAATTGACCATGAATGTAAGGGTTTATTTCTGAACTCTCATTTCTACTACATTGATCTACATGTGTAGCCTTATGCCAGTACCACACTGTCTTGATTGTGGGATCTTTGTAGTATTCCTACTTAAATTTAAATTGATTTCTTCTTTCTATGACAGAGAGAACAACTTTACTAGCCTGCCTCGTCATTATAAGTCCTTCTTATCACAGAATTATGGAATCTCTCAGCTGGAAGGGAGCTTAGTGATTAGCTGGTCCAGTCACTTCATTTTACAGATGGGGACTCTAAGCCCCAGAGATTTGTCTACATGATGTGATTATATGGGCCTTTCTGCATACATAGTACCAAGTTTAAGAAATCTTATCCGTTTGTCCTATTTGCTTCAAGTATTTTGAAAGACATCAAATATTATAGACTGTGTACTGCTGCCTGATTCTCTTCTTCTCATTCCAATCCCAGGAAAAACTACCATTCTGAATCTAATATGTATAATTTCATGTTTTTATACTTTTCCAGAGCCAACACAAAATAGCATAATTTTTAAAAATCACTCATCAACATGTTTTCTCATTTCAACATTGTTTTAAAGATTTATGTTGATACATATAGCTTTGATTCATTTATTTTAAATGTTCTATCATATCCCATTTAATGAATGTATAACTTTTATATATCCATTCTCCTGTTGAGAGACATTTAGGTTTTTTCATTTTTTTTTCCACTGTAAGCAATGTTTGTATGTATGTCCTTGTGTTCAGATGTGACCACATCTCCAGTGGAGAAATGCCACTGCAGAGCAGCAGAGGACTTGCTTTTTTTTTTTTAACCAGATGTTGCAAATTGCCCTCCAAAGTGGTTACCATAGCTCCTGCTTTTCATATCCTCATTTGTATTTGATATTGTCACACTTTAAATTTTTTGCCAATTTGATAGGTGTGTAATGGCATCTTATTTAATTCACATTCCCTGATCACTAGTAAAATTGAATTGTTTTTTCTATATGTTTATTGGGCATTTTTGCCCTTCCATTACATGCTTGAAAATGTATTTTGGAATAGTATGGGTTTCCTTTTTTCTACAGCATGAAATTATTGCTTTTTATTTAGCTTGTAGTTAAATATGATTTCCCAAAGACTAGTCTATTCCTACTGCCACTGCTGTTCTCCTGCAGCCATCACTGATAGCTCCTCTACTGCTTATTTTCTGAATGGCTCTTCTGTGAGGGAAATACTTATTATTCTAATTATCATAAGAAACATGCAGAGACATACTATAATTTCCATTTTAAAGATAAGAAAACTGAGTTTGAGAGGGACTAAGTGATGTATGTACATTTATACAGCTAGAAAGTAGAATAGTTTTATTCAAGTTTAATTTCATTTTTCTAAAAGCACTTTTTCTCCCTGCCTCCCTATTTTTCTTCTATCCAGTTTTGCTCCTTAGTTATTGTCTCTAAATATATTGCATTGTTTCCATTGATTTTGTACTTTTTAAAGCTACTTTTCTATTTGTCCGGGATATTTCAAATTTTCTTTCGGTCCTCTAATAATTACTTTGTGATGTATTGACATTTCTTAATTGCAGTATTGAGTTTTTTAATTGGTCACTGTTTTTATACAAATAGATTGATTAAATGGATAGCAACGATGAGCCATTTGAGCCATCATTTAAAATTGTCAAGTGAAAAGTGAGTCATTTTTAAATAACTCTAATTCAGATCATCCTAAGTAACAGTGATGGGGACGATGGCTTGTTTCCTTGAGTGTTAATATTTGTGATAACTTCTAACACTTTATTAAAAGCATGTAATATTTCTCCTTTGTGTAATCTATGCTTTAGCATAGGAGGAAGCTAAACCAGTATAAAAAGCTATGTTCTTCTGTAAACCATATTGATGCTTGCACAATATTTTATGCACAAAATAATTGCTACTTGATTAGTGACTTCTTCTGTTATTTCAGGTAGTGATGGCAATCTGGCCTAACCTGTCTTTGTGAATTAATCCTATTCAACGAGCATAGATTTAGTCCCAATTGTATAACATGTACCGCGCTTGGCTCTGGGAATAATAATCCAATATCTCATACTAATTGAGTACCTACTATGTGCTAGGCACTGGGATAGAAACTTCACATGCATCTTCTCTAGATCCTTTATAGGGTTATTAGCTCATTTCTACAAATGAGGAAGCTGAGGTTTATGAAATTGGGCAATAGGCCCAAGGTTACAGAACTTATAAGTATTGGACACTTCATCAGTCACACACATTACTTAGTTGATTTTTATAGCAAGCAGTTGTTAGGCAAAATTCTTGTGTTTGATTACCTATGTTAGAGTCTTGAAAGAAAGGAAGAAGAGAAAATATGTACCAACAGGGAATAAGAAGGAAAATGTTTAGGTCTAACTTGAGGCATCTGAGTGTGGGCTCCTGGGAAAGTAGTTAGCCCAGCATCCTCAGGACTTGGAAGTCCTGAGGGGACGAGAAAGGTAAGTTTATTTAAAATTTTACATGTGACAAGGCCTGCTATTATCTTTAGATGCTGTGGGTAGGTAAAGTAGAGAACAAAGGCCTGGCTCCTGAAATAAAAATGAATAACTTTATTTATTTATTTATTTATACTACTAATTCACCAGTGATTTTGTTTATAATAACTGATCTTCACAAAGAGCTGTGTAGTGGTCCATAAACAATTACTTTCAGGCTTACTTGTTTAGAAGCTGACCTACATTGCTTTGCAATGGATTCTGAATATAGTACAAATGGATTTTATCATTACCAGCATCACTATTTTTATTAAATGTGAAATATAACAAAGAGGATTAATGCTTGTCAACAAGCCTACTTAGCACTTCATAGTTTTCCTTTTCAAATGTGCTTTTGCAAATATTAACCAGACAAATGATTCTACTGTGATGTGAATAGAAGCCACACAGCTGTAACTCTATACTCTCTGAATATGTTTCCTGCAATGTCAATTAATTTTGCTTCCTGAAGCATATTCTTTCATGTATAGTTTCATCCGTGCTGTGTGTTCTGCCTGGAATGATTAGAGGCCTGCAAAAGTGGATAAAAATAACAAATTAAAACAGAAAAAAAACAACAAAACATAATAGCTTTTCAGGAGTTAGGCCCAAACTCAGAATCTGTTTTCTTTCCATTTTCTATGTTTTAATTTATAGTGTAAATTAATCGCCTTTCTCACACCCCTTGATAAGAATGGTCTTTTGCACTCTATTAACCCCAGGTTCTAGAAAAAGGCAATTTCCTAACACGTGAATTAACACTAGATAACATTACCTCAAATGCCAAGTCATTTAATGTGTAATTGAAAAAAAATTTTGGAAGGAGTATTACAATGTCTTAATTTTTTTTAACATTATGTCTTTACAAACTAACTATAGGCTCCTAACCTCGTGAGAGTGATTTGCCTATTAACAAAGCTCAAGAACAACTTCCACTACTAGTACACGAAGAAATAGCCCCCAGTTTCCAATTACTTTTGCCGCTGACAGTTCACTGGACTGTTAAGACACATTCTTCACCATTGTGTGGATGTGGTGAAGCCAGGCAGCCGTGTATGCTTCTCTTTTTGATTATGCAGTAATTAGACTGTTCCACTAATGGAAGAAGGGAAAAAAGTTTCTAGAGAAAATGACATCCGGTGGAGCTAGCTTTGAAAAACTCACTGGCACAAAGAAGAAAGAGTAACCTCTTTGTCATGAACACTGTGAAAGGTTTTATGCGTTAACTAAGCAGCATTAAAAATGAAAAGTTGGAATCTCAAATTAGCTCAGGCATCATTGTGTGTTTGTTTGCAAATAATAAAGCAAATAGGTGTTTTAGACAAGCTCATTAGTCAATAATAAGGCCTTTCAGAGATGTACACAAGAGACTTTCTAGATGTGGACGAGCATCTCTAAGAGTTCTCGATTCTGTGTCTCAGCTCCGTGAATTCATTAAAGATCCCTTGACAGTGTTCGGAGAGTGGGAGTTTGCCCTTTTGTCCTTGAACCGGCTTCACCTGAGAGCTCAGCTCTTTCTGTAGGTTATTAATGTATTAGTCACCCTATAAAAGTTCCCTTGATTTATTTTTCTGGTGGAGAATTTAATTCGTATGCCTCTTAAAATTAAAAACTCAGTTCAGTCTTACCGCTCTATCAGTCCTGCCCAAGCCCCCACAGTCTTCTTTTCCCTTTTCTCCTTTCCTTCCCAATCACTTTTCTTTTTCCTCACTCAACTTTGTATTTTTAGTATTTTGTGTGAATGTGACATTTTCGTTTTTACCTAAAGAATTTTCCCATTCTCTTTCCCCTGTATGAATTGAAAACGGCAATTCTTTATTCAGTGCACTGCAAATGACTGGCAATCTATTGCAGGTACGAATATAACCAAATGTCTCCCTTTTTGGTCTTATAAATTCTTAGAAGCTTGGATGCCCTTTGCAGTTTCTCTTTTTTCTTTTTCTTTTTGTTAACAGACACAGTAAAAAGAGTTCGGAGAGGAAAAATGTTAAAATTATCAGTTAAATGAATTGCTCTGATGAAACACAATTTTTATTTATCTGGGATTTCATATTACTGGTTTGTAACTGAGTTATACCTAAGTAAATATCTGGATGATGGTTCTCTGGTTCCATTTCTTTTTTATTTGACAATTAAAAACACTTTTTAGCAGATTTCTGTGATGACTATATTTTTCAAACAAAAATTCAGTATCCAGAATTTGACAAAAGATTTTTGTGCCAATTCTGCCGTTGAGAAGCATATTGTTAGATTTAGATTAGATTTAGATTAGATCCCAGTCTTGAATACTGTGATCTTTCCTTGTTTATGAGAAGACAGAACAATGGAAGTGAAGATACATGAAGGTTTTCACCATGGGACTGTGGCGTGAGCAAAATGGAAGGGTTTTATTGTGCAAGTTTTAACATACTAGTTGTATCTTCATTTTTCCCCTTGCAAGAGAGCATAATTCGAAAGCAAATGGGTGAAAATAATATAATTCATGGTGGAACCTCAAATAATACTGGTTTATTAAAAATCACATTTTAAAGTACTTTCTGTATTAATATCTAATTGCATCACACGCTATGACTGATCTTAAAGTACTTCACAGCTGTTATGAACAAATGAGTATGTCATGACACCTTGGTTGAGAACTGGTGATTTAAGTTATACTCTCCTGTGTCAAGGAACATAATGTAGTTTGAAATTATTTGTGATTCTCTACCTATTATTGCCAATGGAGAAAGGGGGAAAAAGGATGAAATGACAATTTAAAAGGGCTCATTTCAAAAATAAGATTTTTCATTTTGCCAGTCTTGAATACCTCTGCTATCAACATTATGACTCATTAACATCATTAGCTTGATCACTGCCATCATCAGACCCTGAAAATCTGGAATTACAAAAAAGGACACTATGAATTTTGGCTCCTGAGAGCCTGACATTGTTGTTGTCGGTATTAAAACAAAGCACAAAAAAACCTTTTCAACAAACACTTGGAAAATATACTTTTAAATTGATTAATTTACTCTTAAATAAATACTCTCAGACTTCTATTATGTATTTTATACTGCATATTCCATTCATTATTAAGACGTGTAACATGCAAATTAAGGTTGGAAAAAGCAGACATTCAATGACATACACAAAAATGGAGCTGCTCCTCTTTATGCAATATTGGTGTGAGTTAAATTTTTGTAAATAAAAGAAAGTTTTAATTGAAACATGCTTTTACATGAACTTTGACTGCTCAATTTTAAATTAACCTTGCAGCAAGTTATCTATTAAATAGAATACATTTTTTTCAACAATGGAAATAATTGCTTTCCAACCTTTTAAAAATATGTTTTAGATTTTTTTATTCATATTTTCTTATATTGGATTTTCTTAAAGTTTGATACCCATTCAATGTGTAATCCTTTTACCTCATTGTATAAACAGCTTATATGTAACAAAGCCTGTGCTTTAGCACAGTTCTGATTTCAGTTCTCAAAACTGTTGAGGAATCTTGTAACATTTGTGACCCAGTATACGAGCATATATTTACATATTTATTTAGAAACTCAGATGCAGCACTGACTTTTGAAAAATTGTCCTGTTTATAGAATGTTGGCATCATTATTTCAAGCAAGACCCCTTTTATCTCTGTACCCCACTCCTGTAATCCTGTTTTTCTTCCACAGCCACTTGATTCTAAGATATACCTTTTTGTTTGTATATGTTCTTATTAGATGTGTTTTATTTGTCTGTATTTTTAATGTCTATAAATGGTGTGAATATAATATTTTGGTTTACTATTATTATTACTTTTGTACTTAGCATTCTCTTTTGAAGATCCATTCATGTTGCACTGAAAATTCACTGGATATTTAGAAGCTAGGAAGCAGCTGGCAAGCAAACAGCCTTGATTCCAATATGCAGTAAGAGAAGTCTTATTTACTGTTGGAGTACAGAAGAAGGTATGGTTCCGAAACCCAGACTGGTATTGAAACACCCTGAAGTATCATTATAGCATATCATTAAATACTAAAATATGAGATGCATGGTAATATTTGGTAACATTTCAAATGAGAGGGAAATCAGTAAAGGATGGGGAGGTGAAAGAAAGCTGGAAATTAAAGGACCCAAGATTTGAAAATGCAGCAGGAAAAGAGATTTAGGAGTTGAAACTGGTGGGCAGAGGAGTGGCAATGTAGCAATGCAAGTAAAGGCATGAACTTGGAGGCTCTGTGATACATGATAGCAAGAAATAATTTAAATAATTTTTATAGACCTATAACAAGGTTGGAAAAGTGGTTTTGCTATGTTGTGTTTGCTATAGGCTTCCTCTGTCTTCTTTTTTTCATATTTACTTCTTTCTACCTCAAATTTTATCTGCTTCTCTGCTGTCATAGACAGCTTCTCTTACATGGTTGGAGAAGACGGTAGCAAAAGCTCCAGCCTATATTTTCCATACAAATAGTGATCCAAGAAGAGGAGGCTCTTTCTCACCCAGATTCTGTTTGTATGTATATTCATGGATATATTATTCCTGATTCTACTTGGATGCCTATCATTGGACCAATCACTGAGAACATGGGAATGGAGTACCACAATTAACCAGGCCTCTACCAATATCCCAGTGACCAACAAATCCACAGGAGACATGCAGCTGGAGAAAGAGGGCAGTTCCTCCAAGGAAGGCAGGAGCTAGGCAGATAGGAGCAGCAGATGTCCATTAGTTTCCTATGTGACCAGCACAACAATTCGAAGAGGCAGACAGCACAGGAATTCCCATTCTTATTAATAGATGAGGACACAGTACATGAACCAAAGTCAAATAATTTGTAAGTAATTGAACAAGAACTTGGTCAAAATCTACTGAAGGTTTTAGAGTAGTGAAACCTAACAGTTATATTTTATTTTTGGACAAAATTTCCATTTGTTCTTTTGGTTTGTTTTTTCCCCCTGTATTCTTATAAGCTGTGAATCATATGACAACTCTTTAAGAGTAAAATTCAGAAAATCAGTGCCAAATGCTTTAAGCACACATGAATATACTCACACACACTCATTTGCACTCACAGAGTTTTGTTATGTTTATTGAGAGTTATTGTGTTCAAGTCACCTTCTACATGCCTTACCTGTATCATCTCACTTATCATTTCATTTAACCCTAATACAATAACTCTAAGGTCTAGGCTGTATTTTTATTTAGTTTGCAATGTCACAGACAAATTAAATAATCTTCCAAGTCCGTATGGATAGTAGGTGGTACAACCCAAATCCATATACAACCCAATAGCCCAAACAGATTTTCTTACCCACCAAACCATACAGCTGAATAATGCATGCACATGTAGGAAAAATAAGTACACATACCTTTTACATGGGCATATTTTAAATAATTCATTTGTGATTGCTAATGACAGACAATCTGTAAACAAATTAAGCCACATGTTTATTCTATTGGAACTTATAAAGCTTCTTAATTTGATATTCTACTGTTCGTTAGAATAAATGGGCACCCATAGGTCTGAACCAAGGTAAATTTAACTGCCAATAGATAATCAGCTTCATTCTTTCTGGGTACATAAAGCCTAAATTAGTGGTGAGGGATAATTTCAGATGTTAAATACAGTCTGATAATTCAGAAGCACATTGTCCTGTGTACCATTCTGTACTTTTATCGTAATCTAAGCACCTCTGCCAGAAATGAAATCTTACTAAATGTATTTTTTATGTTGCATTCTGAATATAATTGATCTTGAGTTATGATATAAAAGACCAGCACTCAGCAGCTGGAAAATAACATTTTGATGGTAGCCCAGACTCGGGAAAAAACACCCCACCACAGAGCCTGTCAATATTCAGCTGACAAAGACTACTCATGCTTGTTTCAGGAGAAGATTTTCAATCTGTCTGCAAGTAGCTGCCAAAACTTTTGGATGAATAGGGAAGAATGCAGTCAATCACCCAGATGTTCCTCCTGCAGGAGGCCACACCCCCAGCTATTTGGAAACAACCAGGTGCCTGGAACAGGATGACAGCACATCTGGAATAAATGTGTATGTGTGTGTGCATGTGTGTGTATGCGTGTGTGTGAACTTCTTAAGGAGATATTTTGATGTCATGTTGAAACAATTATTACCGCTCTTGAAGTACCCAACTCTGAGATAAAGTATGCGTCATTGTAGTTTAGAGGAACATTTAAGTGTAGTTCACATTATGTGTTGATCATGTGACAAAATGTTGATAATTCTCTCTCAGGACATCCATGAATGCTGATTATCTAAAGCCCAACCCTATTTGGATATTGAATATTGAACACTTCATCTCTGTTATGGTTAATTTAACACTATATGCACCTCGGTTTTTCTTAACTCCCGCTGTCTCCATCCCAACTTCTAAAACTTTATCAAGGTTATCTAGTTCTGAGTGAATTCAAATGACTGATAAAGATAAGAAAACACTTAGTTTCTCTCTAGTAACAGTAAATGTGAATTAAAATAACAAGATACATTGTAGGGATTTTAAACAGAAGGCAGATATGGTCAAAATGCTTTTTAAAGGCTCAGCTCAAGATGTAAAACAGATCTGAGATTTTTAAAAACATGAACAAAATATGGTAATTTTGTACAAGGAATTATTATAAAAATACTGTTCTAGTAAAATACTGAAAGCTGGTATTGCAGTCCTAATCTTAGATGCAGTGGGGTATCAGAGTCCCAGTCTTGGATGCACAGAGGTAATGGCAGGTTGTGAAGACAGAAAACAGGACCAGGGAATAAGAAAGGTGAACTGTTACCAAACTGTGGAATAAAGGGAGGTGGGTAGAGGGTGTTTTTTCGGTGTGGGGAATAGGATGAAATGTGCTCACTCCATACTGTAGAGGCTGGTAATATGGCTGTGGTGAAGAGGGCACTTGACTAGGAGTCAGGGTGACTGGGAGTCAGCTAATGTACTGTAGACCCTTGGAAAATTTTCTCTACAAAATGACCGAGATCTGTTAATACGTTTCAGCAGTCTTTCTATCCTACCCCACCCCTCCGACCTGTATTTATTTGCATTGGGGCTTAAAGTGTTTTGTCTTATAGCTGGCACTAGAATTCCACTTAAAAATGATGTAGTTATTTAGGAAAGTACCTCAGTAACATTCAGATAGAAAGGTGACATCTTACTGAATCTATAGAAACATAAGCCACAAGTGAGATAGTTGCATTACTCTGAGCTAGAAAGAAACAGAAATTAGGACTGGAGAAGAGAGATAGGAGAAGAAAGGAGACAGGAGCCTGTAAGAAGATGCAGGGCTAAGGATTCACAGGTGAAGTGGCCAGTGGAAAAGAGTCCCTGTGGAGTGGGGTAAAACAGATTTAAGAGAAAGCCTACTTGAAAGGTTACCATTCATTTTGAACTTGTTAGCAATTTTGTAATGTAAGATTCCCTTCTTTTTCCTCCCAAATATCAAGAATATCTGATAGGTGTTTAGAGGGAACTGTGAAAGGGGCTTAGTTTTATACTTGAGTTGATGTGGTATAGAACGCAGAGTGTGTGTACCTGAGAAGGTGAGAAGTAAGACCTCTAAGCAAGAGGTCATCAGGATTATATATCCCACTCACTGCCATACTCCCTAGAATTTGGAGAAAAACTGGTGAAGTGGATTTCCAAAGCACATAGAATAGAATATGGGTTATTTAGATAAGTTCTACATAAAGATTTTCAAGGTCAGGGAGCCATGAGCTGACATCTAGGCTATACCAGAGGTCTGGACCCCTACTCTCTTCCTGTTATAATAAAAATGTTTCTTCTTCTTTAAGGAATAGATTTAATGCAACAGCTGAACACTATGATAAATCGTCTGAAACTAGAGTGGGCCATCTGGCTGTCATGAATAGTCTTAAATAAATCGAACCCAAAGTAAGAAATATAAAGAGACAGTAGGTTCCATCTTAGTTGAGCAAGGTTTAAATGAGCATCTTAAAATGAGCAAGGTTTGGCCGGGCGCGGTGGCTCACGCCTGTAATCCCAGCACTTTGGGAGGCCGAGGCGGGCGGATCACGAGGTCAGGAGACGGAGACCATCCTGGTTAACACGGTGAAACCCTGTCTCTACTAAAAATACAAAAACAAAATTAGCTGGGCGTGGCACCTGCGGTCCCAGCTACTCAGGAGACTGAGGCAGGAGAATGGCGTGAACCCGGGAGGCAGAGCTTGTAGTGAGCCGGGATCGCGCCACTGCACTCCAGCCTGGGCGACAGAGCGAGATTCCGTCTCAAAAAGAAAAAAATATGAGCAAGGTTTAAAAATCATACTCTGGTTTTCAGAGCCTTCTATATTGTCATGTGGAATATGGACTAGTTGTCGATGATTATGACATCATGACTAGTTCTGGACAATGAAAGCAAAAATAGGATTATAAAAGAACTCACAGAATCCAGAATGCCAGAGAGATCCTGCAGATAATCAATTTCTCTGTTCCCATCCATTTGTAGTTAGAGACTCGGCCTTTATTTATCACTAATAGAAGCTCAGTGATGTACAACACTATCTCTTGATGATTTCTTTTTCTTATACATCTGAATCCAAAGGTATCTATGTATTTATTCATTCATTCTCAAGCATTTATTGAATATTCACTACATGTCAGACACTGATACAGCACTGAGAATGCACAGATAAATAAGATCTGGTCCCTATCTTCAGGAGCACATACTCTGATGAAAAGATAGCAGGCAAACATTGCTAATGGAATTACAAGTCATGACACTTGGCCATTGTTTCAGTGTGAGCACGGTAAAGAGAGATTACCTTTAACTTTGCCTGGGGAAGAGGGAGAGGACTTCAAAGAAGGGGTTACTTGTGAAAAAAAGCATAATATGACCAGAACCAGAAACTTGGGGTAACTTCTAGGAAATAAAATAGGTTTGTTGAGCTGAAATCAAGCATAGAAATGTGAAAGGTCTAATTTTATGGGTAGATATTATATTTCTCATCATTATTTTAACCACAGAACAAAACTAATCAGTGTGGATGAAGACACATCCACCTATAGATGAAGAATGTATCTACATATTTATATCTACCATAGATATGTGGCATATTACATAAGTTAATGTGAGCTAAGCTGTTGTAAAAAATAGACCCCAAATTTATTGGCTTAAGGAACAGTTTAGTTCTTGCTTATGTGATTCCAGAGCGGGTTTTCCAGGGCAGAAGGTAGCTCTTCTCTGCACAGAGATTCAGGGAACCTGGCTATTTCTGTCTATGACTCTGTCATATCCAAGGGTTTCTTTAAACAAAATAGTTAAGACTGAGTCATCATATCCAGGTTCGGGACTAGGAGGGTGAAGTAGACATGCTGCTGCCTTAAAGCTTCTTGCTTTGGTTTGAATGTGTCCTCCCCAAATTCAAATGCTAAAACTTAGTTGTCAATGTGATGGTATTAAGGAGTGGGGCCTTTAAAATGTGGTTAAGTTATGAGGGTGGAGTGCTCATAAATGGGATTAGAACCCGTATGAAAGGGCTTGAGGGAGTGGGCTTTTTCCCTTCTATCTTTTCTGCCATGTGAGGACACAGCGTTTGTTCCCACTGGAGGATGCAGCAACAAGCTGCCATCCTGGGAGCAGACAGCAGCCCTCGGCCAGACACTAACCCTGCAAGCACCTTGGTATTAGACTCCCAGGCTCCAGAATTGTGAGAAATAGATTCTCTTGTTTATGAATTACCCAGTTTTCAGTATTTTGTTATAGCAGCACAAATGGACTAAGACTCTCCGCTAAAGTAGTATACATCCTGTTTACTTATGTTACATTCAATTCGCCAAAATCAGCCTCATAGTTGCATTTAACTACAGAGGAGGTGGGAAAGGTAATTTGGTCATGTGCCCAGGAAGGAAATAGTAGATTTTGATTTCCAGCACGCATTCTTTGTTACAGAAATAAAATTAAAATTGATGAAAATTAAACAGTCTAGATCATTCTAAATGGATGTAAACTTACATAAAATTTATCAGGATAATATATAAATTCCTTCATTTAGGCTGAAAAATTACTTGCAGATACAGAGAATAGTAAAGGCAAATTAACAATGTTCATGTGGGAAAAAGATGTGGACGTTTTGCTTGAAGACTAATTCAACATGTGCCTACAGTTTAATGTGGTTCCTGAAAAACAAACCAACACACAAACAAAAAGTGAATATAATTATAGGCTGCATCAATACAAGTGTACAGGAAGAAAATGAATTATGTTCTAGAAAGATTTAATTCGAGATCTTTTAATAGTGTTCTGGTTCTATTTTTAAGAGGCACACGAGTAAGCAGAAAGGGTTTAGGATGACAGGGTAACAGAGATATAGAAACTATGTCATGTGAGGACAAGTAGTGTAGAAACCATGTTCTGTCCTAGAGAAGAGGTATGATGATGGAAGGGTGTGTGTGTGTGTGTGTGTGTGTGTGTGTGTGTGTGCGCGCGTGCGTGTATGTGAATTGAAGTAGGAAAAGGTATGGATTAAAGTGGTCTTTAAAATTCAAAGAAATTTAAAGTTTAAATGCTTGAAGTTTAGCCGTATGGAAGAGAGAGCAGATTCATTCTTTCTGCATCACAAAACCAAGGAAGGAACATTTTGGCTTAATATGATGAAGAACTGCATAATTGAAGCTATCCAAGAATGGTGGAATGGGCTGCTTAGAGAATTATTGAGATTCACATCACTGGAAGTGCTTGATCAGAAGCTGAATGACCTCATGTCAAGACTGCTATAGAGAAAATTTGCTCTTAGAGTGGACTAGATGATGTCTAAAATGTTTTCTAATTCTAGCAGAATTGTTTTTACTCCCAACATTTCTGACACCAAATATGTGGTTTTTTCTTCACACCAACAATCAATTTTCCAACTCTCTGGACACCAACTGGATGTCCAATGACTAAATGTAATTATGACATTAGTGGAGTTAGTGTCAGACTCCACAGGTTAAGGGCTCTGTCTCACAAGACTGCTTCCACTTCAGAAGCCAGTTGCAAGTCCTGGACCTCCTGTACTTCTGACTGGTTGGCTATAACAGGAGCTCCCATGACTCCCTCCTTGGGTTTGACAATCTCCCTGTGAGCTAGAATGGCTCACAAAACTTAGTCAAACAGTTTTCTTACTCTTACCGGTTTATTATAAAGGCTCCAAGTCAGGAGCAGCCAAATGGAGGAGATACATAGGGCAAGGTAGGTGGGAAGAGGTATGCCACCCTGCCAGCAACCTGGAAGCTCTCAGGTAACCTAATACTCCCCATAGGTTAGGAGTATTAATGAAGATTTTATTACATGGGCATGATTGACTAAATCATTGGCCATTTGTGAATAACTCAGTCTCCAATCTCTCTCCCCTCCATTGATGTTGTTGGGGTGGAACTGAAAGTTCCAACCTTCTAATCATGCATTGGTCTTTTTGGCAATCAGGCCCAACCAGGAGCTATCTAGAGGCCCCCAGCTCAGTCATCTCATTAGTATACACAAAGATGCTCATTACTTCAAACATTCCAAGGGTCTTAGATGCTGTTGTCTCAGGAACTAAGGACTAATGCCAAATATTAAAACAAAAGATGTTCCTGTCACCCCCGTCACTCAGGAAAATAAAAAAGATTTTAAGAGCTCTGTGCCAGGAACTCAGGATGAAGACCAAATAACATATATTTTAGTCCATAACAATATCACCCTAGGTTTCACTAAATTTGACATTATTTCTATGGCTCTTCTGGATGATTCAGGCCAAAATAGAATTCCTGTTGAAGTATATGAATAAAAGCTACCACTCTAAACTTGGCCAAGAGACATAGACAGTGTGGCCAACATCATGGACACTCCCTTCCCCACTGGAAAAGCACTTTTATAGTTGTTTAACTAGTAATTATTTTCATGAACACCATTTTGCTTGAAATCAAATACTGAAAGACAAACTATGATTATTCAGACTTGAGAATTTGGCAGACATTTTGAAAATTAACAATGTAAGTCTGTCACTTAAAGAGGACAATGAACAGTATTTATTGTTCATGAAAACATTTGTGCTTTAAAGCAAAAATTAGCAGTGTGGACCACTTGTATTTGCCACATAACCATGGCAGCTTCCCAGTCCTTAGAAGAATTTTCTGATGAGGCCAGTAGTGATATTAACAAATGCGATTTTTTTGGATATTATATAATAAAATGTGTCAACATTTGAATGATCTGTACAACATAGTGAGCCATTATTTTCCAAATGAGCGATTCAAAATGAGCATTGATGTTATAAAAATTATGCATGAATAAAAGATCCAAAGTACACAATAAACCAGTAGATTTTTTATATAACGAAGTACAAAAATTATTGACATGGTTTCAGATTTCACCCCCAGATGACTTTAAAGAAATTTATACTTGCTGAGTTTTGGCATAGCATCAAAGAAGAATATCCACAATTATCTGAAATTACTACTAAAATTTAAGTCCCTTTTGACAACATATCTTTGAGGCCAGAGTTTCTTCATGTTCTGTACTCAAACCACACATTGCAATAGATTGAATGCAGAAATAGATTTAAGAATCTAGTCTTTTTCTTTCTTTTTTTTAGTCGAATGAAAATTAGAAGTTTATAGAAAATGAGAAAAAAATTATTACAAGCAAGCAGATAAAAAAATCAAAACAGGAATTAGACATGGGTCTTGGTTTGATATCTTGGGTACTAAATGAAAACTGTCTGAAGTCATTAGTGAATCTAGCTGTTTTCTAATCAGGCAGATATTTTTTAAAAATTGTGAAAGAAAACCCCAAACAATGCCATTCATCTCCCTAAATTATTTTATTTTGAAAAATAAAGTCACTTTTCATATAAACATGTAAATATGTAATGGATTTATTATTTTTAAAAACTAATAAAAATTTTAAACTTTCATTTTATTTTGTAATATAGTAGATATTTTTTAAAAATCCTTTTGATTTACACTATGCAATTTAATATTTTCAATAACTATGGATGTAGGTAGGCATTATCACATTTTACTTTTCATAAAAGAAAAAAATGGAAAAGTTGGAGGACCCACTTGAGATCATGTAGTGAACTGTAAAATTATAACTCCAATTTAGATTCTTTAGCTCTAGATTAACCTTATGCTTTCTTATAAGCAAAGGCCAAATCAATCCAGACAGAATAGTGGCTGAAGAGGCAACTGTGGCGGCTGCACTAAGGAGGAACTTAAGGAAATTATTGTACTGAACTTGCAAAACTCGTGTGGTGTCATTAGAAAACAACATGATTTATTTTGTCACTGCCTATTCAAACATATGCTACAGGACTAATATTTGCCTTTACCTTTAAGCTAAAACTGAGGCATGGTTCCAGCTCAGTAATGAGTATGTCTAGAATAACACTAAAAATGTAAAACTTCTTTTGAAATTACAGCACCCTCACCTCCCTACCCCAAGATTAGGCCTTGCAAATTTCAAGAGAGCTGTGTGTCTTTCCCCTCCCCACCACCTAGTGAGTGCCACTGCTTTTTGATCACCTTCCTTAATGTAAGTTGTAATAGTGGAGCTGGGAATTGGGGAGGGGATAAAGGAGAGTCAGTGGCAGCAAGAAAGTTCTTACTTGACTGGTGGTATCACTGTGATCTGAGTTTCCTATACCAAAGGCTGATTCTTTCTCTCCTGGAGGTGCTTCTGTGGTTCTATAGAACTCCACCAGCTTCCCTTCCTCCAGTCTAAGTATTTCTGAACATTAGGCCCCTCAAAATGGGTAACTGTATTTCTTTTTCAGCTGGTCACTTGACTTCCAGGTATCCCATGGTACACGTTTTGCTTCCTTTTGCTTGAGTCCTTATCTGTGCTCAGCTTTTCATTGCCCTCTTGATGAGGATCCAAGACAAACCCACACTATCTCTCTAAAGCTCTTGGTTCTCATCGATTCCACAGGCAGCCTTGAATTTGTGACCTGTCATTGGCGGGAGTATAGTAACTTCACAAACTGTAGTGCTTATCCACCTGTTTTTATCCAGGGTGAGTCAGACAACAGTTCATGGCATCCTTCAGATTTTAGGAGACACATATGCAGCTTTTTTTTCTTTTCTTTTCTTTTCTTTTTTTTTGACACGGAGTCTCGCTCTGTCACCTGGGCTGGAGTGCAGTGGCACAGTCTCAGTTCACTGAAACCTCTGCCTCACAGGTTCAAGCGATTCTCCTGCCTCAGCCTCCTGAGTAGCTGGGATTACAGGCACCCATGACCACGCCCGGCTAATTTCTTGTATTTTTAGTAGAGATGGGGTTTCACCATGTTAGCCAGGATGGTCTCAGTCTCCTGACTTCGTGATCTGCCCGCCTCGGTCTCCCAAAGTGCTGGGATTACAAGCGTGAAACACTGTGCCCTGCCTACATATGAAGCTCTTTAAGAGGTCTCACTGCATTACCTCTTTCTAGACTTCAGTTTAAGGGCAGGCATGCCTTACTCTTTTTGGTGTGTTTATTGGTGAGGGAGTGTTAGCTATATTCAAAGCACGGCACCTCACCTAATCTCCAGCTCCTGATGAAAGTGATGGTTTAATAACTACAAATCCAGTTTCAGTCAGCTCCTTTACGGTTCTGTGGAGGAACTCTCACCTCACTGTGAAATGTAGCGTTTATTCAATCTTGAGGTAGATTGCTAAAATGGTCCTCCCCACTTTCTTTTAAAGCTTATCCTTTTATCCAAATGCTGTGCAATGAGACTTTTACTTCATCCCATCAGAAGGTGGAGGGTTTGTTTTTAATTTTATTTATTTATTTGTTTATTTATTGAGACAGTCTCATTGTAGCCCAGCATGGAGTGCAGTGGTGTAATTTCAGCTCACTGCAACCTCCACCTCCCAGGCTCAAGCAATCCTCTAGCCTCAGCCTCATGAGTAGCTGGGACCGCAGGCACGCACCACCATGCCTGGCTAATTTTTTAAATTTTTAGTAGAGACAGGATTTCACCAAGTTGCCCAGGCTGGTCTCAAACTCCTAAGCTCAAGCGATCCACCTGCCTTGGCCTCCCAAAATGCTGGAATTACAGGCATGAACCACCGTGCCTAGCCCAGAAGGTGGAGTTTATTTCATCATAATCAGAACTGATCTTATGATTTGCTTTGGTCATCTGATTGCAGTGGAGTGCTAGTTCCAAGCTTAGGCCTCAAGAAGTCTTGTATGGTTTTGCTTTCTCTGGATACCTTGCACCACCATGTGAACAATCCCAGTCTAGTACGCTGGAGGCCAGGAGACTGCCAGAAGAGCGCAGTTGTCCCAGCTGTGGCTATCTTAGACCAGTCTACAACCAGCTTAACATATGGGACATACATATGGGAGAGCTGGACCAAGAACAGCAGAGCTGCCCATCTGATCCCCAGCTAAGGCATCAGTAAGCCTAGCCAAGACTGGAGACTGAAACTACCCAGCTACCGTACAGGCTTGTGAGTTATAATAAAAGCGTGTAGTTTAAAGCTACTATGTTTTGGGGTGATTTATTATGCAGCAAAAACTAATTAATACAAGTCTCAATGAAAACTAAGACTAAAATAGTTCCATTTTGACATCCTGTTACAGTAATATAGAACTTGAAGGATGAATAAGGTTGAATAAGTGAGGAGGGAAAGGAAGAATATTACAGACTGGGAAGAAGGGGCAATGATAAGAAAATGAAGAGAGGCTGATATTCAGGAGTCAGTGAATATGCAAATGTGTAGATAATACTTTTTTTTTTTTTTTTTTTGAGATGGAGTCTCGCTCTGTAGCCCAGGCTGGAGTGTAGTGGGGAGATCTCGGCTCACTGCAAGCTCCACCTCCCGGGTTCACGCCATTCTCCTGCTTCAGCCTCCCGAGTAGCTGGGACTACAGGCGCCCGCCACCACGCTCTGCTAATTTTTTGTATTTTTAGTAGAGACGGGGTTTCACCGTGTTAGCCAGGATGGTCTCGATCTCCTGACCTCATGATCTGCCTGCCTCGGCCTCCCACTGTGCTGGGATTACAGGCGTGAGCCACTGCGCCAGGCCGATAATACTTGTATTATACTAGGGCACAGAAGAAGAAGGTGAGGTTGGGTTCGACTGAAGAGACTTTGATTTTGGGATGGGAGATTCTGCTATCATTCCGAATGTAACCGAGAACCACTGAAAGTGATGTCTGTGGTTTTCTCCATCCCCAATGTTCACGTTTCTCTTTTATTTCAGCCATCATGCAACCCTAGAATGTTTGCTAAAATAGAGGATAGAAGCAAGAGAACCAACTCAATTTTATTTCACAGAGTAGTGACTATCCATAAAGAAGGCTTTCTTTCTCAATGTGTTTCCTTGTGCATAAACCCCAGCCTACATTTTATGGTTTGAAGCACACTGACAGAAGATGAGCCAAGATACTTCTATCCTGACCAAAGAGAAACAGATGGAAGAAATAATTTCCTCAGAAAAAATGCTAGTACACAAAAATCATCCTGTTTTAATAAAAAAGTTAAAAACATGTTTGGTTATTTATGAAAGGCTTTAAGTCTTTTCTTCTTTCTTAAAGTGACATGTTAATTTATTGCTAACCACTAGATGGCACTTGTGTACAGTATTTGAAATTGACTGCGGTGAAAATAAGAGTACCTGTGGTGTGGTCAGAATAGAATCTGAGGTTTTGCTGTTATGCAGCCCACTTCCTCCCCCACAAGAAGTCAGGAGGGGTGTAGGAGAGAAGGCCTAAATCTCTTCTGCGCCTTTTTGACTTATAAAGAAAAACGAAGATGGCAGAAGTGTTTCTGATTAGATCGAGAAAAAGGATGATGCATTCTTGCCGGATGAATCAGGAGAGATGATGTTCTGTCGTTCTTTAGATATAGACCTGAAATACTAACTTTAAATTTATGGTTGCTAGTATGAGCCATGGTTCTCTATTTACCCAGTTAGTGCATTTGGGGGAAGCATGAATTGTGCCTTCCAATTTGTTACTTTATCACACTGACAATTTTGGAAGATATAATAACTCTTACCCTTTTGGGTGAAAAAATGGATCTCACAAGTCTGCTTATCAGATCACCATAGTTTGATTCATCTTTATGAGAGTTGGCTGCCTGGTTGTTCATTGCTGCCTCCAACTCATCTGGACATTTTCAAATGATGCAAAGGTTGATAGCAACTGTGAACATCATCCACAACTGTAGTGTTGAGAATAATGTAGGAAAAATCTTAAGAAAAAAGATCAGCAAACAATCAGGCAAGCAGGCAAACAAACAAAAATTCCATAATTCAATACATTCCAGTGCAAGTCTAGAGGAACTGCAATCTTGCCTAATTGTGTCCCTCATTTCTCTGGCCCTGAGACTATTATCAATATATAGAACTACCCAGCAAACTGTAACTTTTTCTGGGAGGTAAGATGCTGGCAATCTTCCAGGTCCAGCTTTGTCAACCCCATTAGCTTGTCACCACTGTGCTGATCCTGATCTCTTTCAGGGCTCATCTAATCTGGCCTTTCAGTAGCCTCAGCTTTCTCCTGTTTAGCCTAAGCTGCTGTAAGCACACGTTGTGAAGTACCACTAGATCTGATATAAAAGGGACATCTGTCCTAAGGAAGATTAGGGTGGGATCAAGAAATCCCAATAGGACAACAAGAAAACAGCAGATTGGGTCATAGGAGTAAAGAAAAATCAGAAACAGAAAGGCATGTGCTGGGGAAGTACAAGACCACACATGGGAGCCCTCTGTGATGCCTCTGGCCTTCAGGATGGCGTCTCTTGGTCTTCTCCTTGGTCACTTGGAGCTTGTATGCTCTTTTCCAAATCTTTTTATGAAATCCTACCTCAGGAAGAGGATTGATAAATTAATTCCAACTGAAGATTGTCATTCCATAGGAAACAAAGCATGAATTTGATAAAGAAATGGAATCAAATTCTGATGGTAAGAATGCAAGTTTTGACAAGCAGTGTCAGTGATACCTCCCTCTCATTTGTGAAGCTACCATTTAGGCTATTTATGTTTGTGTTTTAAAAAAATTAACCTTTACCACATAAATTAATGTATGACCAGAAACCTAGTTAGCTTCCTGCATTCAACAGCACCAAACACGTTAAAGTTGTATCGGAAATAAATGGTGGCAAATTATTGGTAGAGTGCTGGAGTTGGAATTTGGGGAGGGCCACACATAAGAACACAAAAAAGTAAATACATCAGTAAGTATGCATAAGAAGCTAGAGGATCATTTGGAGGTAGAAACAGCAAAGGGGTTAGAGTCTGGCTGAATTGAAGGAGCATGAACAGTTCCTAAGCACTATGAAGGAAAGAGGTAACCCTTCATGGTAGGGTGAGGCAAAGAGCCACAAGTCCAAAAGGCAATCTGCTTCCAGAGCTGGCATGGTCAGAGTGAGACAGAGCTCCACTGATGGCAGGCACTGTCAGACACCATGTACTGGCCTAAGAGTAAGGGTTCAATTGCTCTCTGCTGTTAGTTGTCCTCCCTCATACAGTGGCCCTGAACTTGGAGGCATTAACCAATGCCAGAAGGAAGTCTGAAGATTTGGATATTTTAGAGTGTTTGTGCTGCTATAACAGAATACCATAGACTAAATAGCTTATAAACAACAGAAATTTATCTCTTATAGTTCTGAAGGCTAAGAAGTCTAAGATCAATGTGCTAGTAGATTTGATATCTAGGGAGGGCCTGCCTCCTGTTTCACAGATGGCCTCTTCTCATCATGTCCTCATATGGTGGAAAGAGCAAGTGATTTCTCTGGGGCCTCTTTTATAAAGGCACTAATCTTATTTATGAGAGCTCAGTCTTTATGACCTAATCACCTCCCACAGGCCCCACCTTCAAATACCCTCATATTGGGGATTAGATTTTAACATACGAATTTTGGGGGACATGAACATTTGGATCATAGCATTCCAACTTTGGCCCTCCCAAATTCATGTCCTTCCTGCATATAAAGAGCTGAAAAAGTCTTAAATTGTTCCAGCATCAACTCAGATCCGAAGTCCAAAGTTTCATGTAAATATCATCTAAATCAGATATGTGTGAGACTCAAGGTATGATTCATCTTGAGACAAATTGCTTTTTAGCTGTGAACCTGTGAAATCAGACATGTATGTGCTTCCAAAATACAAAGACGGGGACAAACATAGATTAGACATTGCCATTTCCAAGGGAAGAAATAGGAAAGAAAAAAGAGTTAACAAATCCTCAGCAAATCTGAAACCTAATGGAGCAAATAACATTGAAACTTAAGGTTTAAGAATAATCCTCTGGCTTGATGTTCTTCCCTCTAAGTGTACTGGGGTGGGGGATCTGGCCTTCTGACCCACTGGGTGGGGGTGTTCACCCAGGGGTTCCACCCCTATGGTGGCTCTGTACCTGGACTCTACCCTTGTTGTGGCTCTCTTCAGTGGTCTCACCTTCATGGTTACTCCATGCCTATGTCACATGCCCATAGCTGGCCTAGTCTGGAATCAGGTGTAGGTTGCTCTGTGATTTCTCTGCACATTTCTCTAAGGAGGGATTTCTGTGGTGGTCTTGTGCTTGCTGGGGCTTTTGCACTCTGGGTCTGTGATGGGAGGGACAGCCCTGATTATTTCTCAGTTGCCTTTGGGATTATTCTTCTGTTGTCTTTGACGAGAGCTCCTGACTTCTGTTTAGGTGGCTGGCTCACCCTATCAGATGATCTTTGGCTACGCTCTTCATGTTTTCTCTGGAACAGCCTTTCTCATTCATTTCAATATGGATAAGCTGAGAATTTTCCGTATCTTTAAGTCCTGTTTCCTTTCCTTCAACAATTCCATCTTTAAATCATTTCTGCCTTCTCTCATTTTACTATAAATAGTGATGAGGAACCAGACAACTCCTTCAACACTTTGCTTAGATATTTCCTAAGCCAAAGATCCAGTTTCATCCCTTGCAAGTTTTACCTCTCACAAAACACTAGGACACAAACGCAATTCACAAAGACGAGCTTTCCTCTATTATCTAAAAACATGCTGCTTATTTTTGTCTGAGACTTCATCAGAACGGCCTTTATATTTCTACCAAGTGTGTTTAGGATCTCTAAACACTCTGTTTAGAGAATTCTTAGGTATTCTCTAAAAAGATTGAAACTTCTCTACAGCTCTCCTCTTTTTTTGTGTGTGTGATCTCAGAATTGCTCTTAGTAGTCGCTTCAAGTCAGTATTGACTTTTTCTAGCATGCACCTCAAAACTCTCCAGCCTCTACTGAGTTCCAAAGCTGCTTCTACTTTTTTAAGTATCTATTATAGCAATACCCCCACTTATTGGTTCCAATTGTCTGTCTTAGTTCAGTGGGGCTGCTATAACAGAATGCCATAGACTGGATGGAACAGAAATGTACTTTTTAGCATTCTGGAGGGTGGAAGGTCCAAGAGCAAGGTGCTGGAAGATTTGATGTATGGTGAGAGCCCACACCCTGTTTTATAGTCAGCCTCTTCTCATTGTGTTTTCCATATGGCCGAAGGGATGAGAGCTCTCTGTTGGACCTCCTTTATAATGGTACTAATCCCACCCATGAGGGGTCTGTCTTTATGACCTAATCATGTCTCAGGACTTACTTCTGACTACCCTCACACTGGGGATGAGGTTTAACATGTGAAGTTTTAGGGACACAAATATTCAGATCATAGCATTGATCCATGCTACTATTGTTGGAAGCAAACCAAAGATGACCAGAAGATTCCTAAGTATAGTGAAGTGGATTTTGATCATCGATGAGAAATGGTCATCTTCAGGCCCAGTGGCTTCCTGTACTGGGCTTTTTTTCCTACCCAGCTATTACTCTTTTTCCTTCTGCTATGAATATGTTCCTTCCTTCAAGGAACTGACCTTTTTCTACTCCATGTGGTTCTTTTGTGTCTGCCAAAGATAGCCTCTCGGTCTTTGAGTTTTAGGTTAGGCATGTTATCAGGTCTCATCAAACATAGTATCTGGCATATAATTCATTTATGATCTAAAACCAGCCAGAGTTCTTCCCTAGGTTTTATGTATGGAAAAATGCTGTTCTTTTTTTGTCTGGAATAGCAAAACTGGGGTGATTCAAGCCTGTAACTTTTGGTAGCCTTGCTCCTTCCTCTCCTTACTACATGGAGAAAGACTATCTGAAGTCATAGAAAATGAGGCCAACATGCAGAAACAGGCAAAGATGTGAGTTGAGCAGAGAAAGAGATAATAAAATAACTCATCTGTTTTGAGCTGGGTCTCTGTCACTGGCAACCATGAGAATCTTGACTAGTATATTCCCCAAACAGTCCAACTGAGGTTCCTAATTTGGCACATGCATTTCTTCTAGGAACTAACTAAATCATTTCTATCTCTAGCTTAGCTTGCCATATGATTCTAATAGGGATAATAGTATTTTTGGAAGAAAATATAACTATGATTCAAATTTTGATTATCCTAACTCATGATCTTTTTATGACCTGAAGCACAAGTATTAGCTATCCCTGAAAGAGATATTATTTAGGACAGAATCAGATAATATTTACAACAATTTACCACATTGTTTAATAGGGGAAATTATAGTGAATGGAATTTTTACCAGCTCATGGCTTTTTTCTTAAATACTGCAATGACTGGTAGGGTACTGCTCTGGCCAATATTCTTCTCTTATATTTTCTATTAACAAGGACAGAAAGTGAAATGGAAGAAAGATTTCTTGGAGTTCTAAGCTAGCTTAGGCCTGACAGCAATGAGATCAGGGGAAGGAAAAACAAACATCAGCATAAACTAGAGTGTAACTTATTGCTTTTAGGTCCCATAGACTACTCCTCTTGCCCTCCACACTCTCTCGCCAAAGAAGAAACGTCAGGAACCTTAGTCCAACTCCCTTATTTTATAGATGAGGAGCCCCAAGAGGTTAATTAAATGAACTAACCAATGTCACAAAGCAAGTTCCTGAGGAACCCAGATTCCTAGTCCTCTTTTGATAGGTTAAATTGCATGTAAATACTTGTTCTAAGAGAAATTACTTTATGCTATCACTTAAAATGGTTATTTTCTTCCATTAATGAGTTCCAGATAGTAGATGAAGAAAGGGGCTAGGCAACCTTTATAAAAACATAAAAGCAAATACATGTATATTTGTAGTTTGTCTTTTTCTCTAAGCACCATCACACCATATCTTGATTTTTTCTGCCCCATGGGCCTGCCTTAGTTTATCAACTCTGTGCTGCTACTATTGTTGTTTGCATTTGTTGGAATAGCCTCCTTACTCCTCAGTCTGGTTCAAAACACATCTCTTGCTGGAAGGAACACAATTAGTAAATGATAAGCTCAGGTTACAAAGTAGGTCTGTCTAAGCTCTAATGAAATATTCTTTCTCTCTCTTGTTACTTCCCATGTGGCCTCAGGCAATAATGCAACTGCAAGATAAATGACCATTAATCTGGAGAAAAGTCTCTTGAAGTAAGTCTCAGGGCTCCATAAAGGACCTTGTCCAGCTACTTATTGAAGACTTGTGTGAGGACAGTGAAAGAACGCTGATCAAATTGTAAGTAGCACAAAGCTATGCTGTATATCTAATATGTCAGAGGTCAGAATCAAGGCTCAAAAAGGTCTTTAGATGCTGGAGTAATGGCCCAAATCCAATAAAAACAAAATTTACTGGGAATAATGTTAGGTCTTGAACTTCAGACTGAAAACTCAATTGGGGGGAGATGTAGCTTAATAGTAGATCTGTGAATAAAAATCTCAGGCGGTGGGGGCGGGTGGTTCTTAACTGACTATAAACTTGATATGAATCCATAGTAATAGGATTGTTCAAAAACAGACATCAGTTTTGGGTTACATTCATGGATGTTTTGCATCCAAGATGAGAGTAGTGATCAGTCTCGTTCTTTGTGCTTCTTAGGCAATACCTGAAGTTTTACATTCTATTTTGGGAGCTACACTTGAAGACGGACAGAAATGTATGAGGACATGCTCATCATGGGACAAAAACATTTGGAATCATTCATTCACTTATTTACTTACTCATTCAGTAGATCTTTACTGGGTGCCCATCATGCTCCAGGTACTTCCCTTGCCACCCAAGGCACAATTAGTGAACAAGGCAGACAAATAAGGAAACTCAGGAAATTTAGCCTGTAGAAGATAAAACTTGGAAAATATGTGCTTTCTATTTTCCAATATTTGAATGGCATAGCATCCTTCTGTGTGATCATAGAGCTAGTGCTAATGTATGTACATTAATATAGAGTAGTGTCTGGGCCATGACTTTCCACCAATTAAAAGTATCCAAGGATGGAACGGGCTTTTGCAACTAGGGTGCACAGCATCAATGGATTGACTTCTTACAGTCCATTGGAGGGAGTCAAATATAGTAAAATCCTGTGATAATGAGCCCCGTGATAATAGGGATTCTCATATAACATACTTGACAACTGGCTCCTTTATCCATTCCCTTATTCAAAAGGAGCTGGCTAAATTTATTATATTCTCAGGAGTGGGGGGAATGGAGGAGCTCACTGGAATATGAGCAGGGGAGTGAGGTTAAGTAGGGAAATAGTAGGCCGCTGCATCTGGGGAAGCAGGTCTGTATTCTCCTGGCCCAATCTCTCCTGACCAGGCCTATGAAGCAGGTGCTGCCTAATTAAACAATTCTTGGAATTGCTACAGCAATCTTAGAAGTCCCAGCCAGCCCTAAAGCCCTGATGGGCCCCATCAATATTAATCTGAAACAGATAACCACCATCAGGTGGCACTAAACCATAACTGGGATCTGGATAGATCCAGATTGAACCAGCAAATGAAATGCCACACTTGTCATTTCATCAATTTTACAATGATGCACCTAGGCATTTTATGTGATTGAAATTTTTGAAACCACTTTTCAAATTACGGAAGGATTTTACTGTACCAAAAGGATTGCTGGACTACTTTACCATTGAGCTTCCAGCCAGCTCTCTGCTTATCTAGCTATAACTATCCTAATTCTGTCCTGATGGGCTCATCCATCATGGCCCCACTACAAATGTTATGTTGTCTAGTCTGACTTCTCTAGTCAGAAATAACTTTTCTTTCCATGTACTTCTTATGGATTTTTTTCATATTTATCCTCAAACAGTTATTAAATTGCATTATAATTCCCTAGCCCAAATACATTCCTCAGTAAATATTTGGCAAGCACCTGCTCTCAGGTAAGCACAAGAAGTAATTGCACCTGATCTTAAGGGATTTTTAGGAGAACTGGGCAGATCAGTTCAGACCAGCACAGGCCCTCTCACACAGCACTGAATGGGGGGATTCTGTCGAGTGCTGAATGGTGCAGCACTGAGAGGTGCATAGCTTAGAGATGAGAGAAGTCTGTGGGAACCAAGAAGAAAGGAAGACTCCCAGGGAAGCCAGGACGCCTTGCTCTTCAAGTTACTCTACTGAGGGACTTCTGGGTTTTTCACAGCATTCTTTTTTTACTTGATCTAATTTCTACCAGGTTAATGCTGTGCCGAACTGGTATTAGATGAGAATATATGTATATATGTTTATATATATGTATATAATTTAAAAAAATATTTCAGGTTATGGGCTCTTTTTTTTAGGGTTTATGTCATAAAATCATCAAGTGTTACATCTTAGCAACAATAGCGCCATTAAAAATAAAAATTCACCTGCAGTCTAAAAGTATTATTATCTTGATAGCTAGAGAAAAGTGCCAGAAAATCATTGTCAATATAATTGCCTTTAAACACAGAAATTTAAAACGGGATCATTTCCCCAAGCACTGTTTACTTTTTCTTTCTTTCTTTTTTAAATTCAGGGTGTTGGCTTTACCTTTGTGTGTTAACTCATTAACTATGTGCTTCCAAGTCAGCCATTTTATCTGAGTCTCAGAGTTATCATATATTAAAATACCTCCCTAAATTTCAGAGGTGTCAACAAGATCATCTATAACACTTAATATAAAATTAATGCTTAATGTAAAATTACAGAATAAGTGCCTGTATGGATATTTTCTATGCCAGGCATATGCTGCCTCAGTTTCCCATATTCTCCGTGCTTATTTCCTTGGTCCCTGCCTGCCATTGACTTTGCTTGATGAAGTTTAATTGCTGTTTTCCAAGATCAATTGCCGTTGGCAAATCTCTCCAAATACCTCATGTTTTTTCCATCAATAAATAAGGGATTAAAATTATTTTATTTAGTGCAGAGCAGTCTATTGGTCTTTAGGAAGGTTTTAGATGATCTAAAGAAGACTCAGTTCTTGCCTTCTAAAAGTCAACAGTCTTAAGGATGTATTAACCAAGACACAAATTTTCCATAAATACATATATGTTCCATCCACTTAGAACTTATTCTAGCAAGGCACAAAAGGAGAGGTTGTGGGAGCCCCTGGCTCTTCTTGGAGTCAAGGAGTTAAGAGGATTCCCTAAATACCTTGACTCTTCTCAAGAACGGCTTTAGATTTGCTATCTATGCATTCATATCAATCACTTTTGAGCTACTTTAAAATTTCTAGCTGGTATTCCAACTTGAAATTCAAGTATTTATTGTATTTTACTATACTACATGCTTCACATGTGTTAATTCATTTTTATCGCTGTAACAACCTTGAAAGGAATGATACTCTGATAACCTCCATTTTACAGATGATCACATTGAGGCTTTTTGAAAGGTTTATTGCCTTAGGGCACACTTAGAGTAAGTGAAAGAGCTGAGATTTTAATTCAGGTATTCTGATTGCAGAATTAGTCTGCATGACAACAATGCTAAACTGCCTTAATAACAACTTCATTCATTTTAAAATTGCTTCTTTCAATTTTTAAATGTCTTTCCACTCCCTCTCCCAATTCTGACATACTGCAATGTCATACATACTTCCCCTCACACCACTGCAAACCTTTTGTGAAAAAAGGTTTGAGGTGCGATGGAAACACATTGGTTTAAGAATGAGAAGGCCCTCTAATTTTGGCTCCACCAACATGTCTGGATAAACATGGGAATCTCACTTCTCTGATTCTGTTTTCACCTCTGAAAAATAGTGATAAATTATGTCTTCTGTGTGGGTTGAGAAAGTAATGACATACATGAAACTATATGGTAAACTGTAATGAGCAAAACTCATATTAGATATAATGAAAATATTATTGATTTCAATCATATCTTGTTAGTCTTTGCACTTTCTTTGGATCTTTGTAGATAGAGAGGAACTACCTTTTTCTTAAAAATCTTAGATAATGTTTTCTGGATCTTTCTAAACAACATGAATTTTGGAAGTAGACATTCTAAGAGACTGGTATGCTCTACTTAGTTTTTCATTTTCTATCTTAGAAATGCTCTTCTTTTTCACTCCTCCAGAAGATTCGGAGAAGGGGGAATAAGTTCCTAGATACTGCACAGTCATATTTGTATAGCAAGGAAAGATGAGGTCATTTGGGTTGCCTTATAAATGGTAGTTGAGTGCTGCACAAGCAGTGCTGGAAGCCGGAATTAATTGGCTCTTAAGAGATGAGGCTGAGGCAGGAGAATGGTGTGAACCCGGGAGGCGGAGCTTGCAGTGAGCCGAGATCGCGCCACTGCACTCCAGCCTGGGCAACAAATCGAGACTCCGTCTCAAAAAAAAAAAAAAAAGAGATGCAGTTCAGTTATCATCCAACAAAACCATTTCTCCTTTCTAAATGTATGTATGTTATGGTGCTAAGCAGCAACGAGAGAACAAATCTAGGGAGAGTTCCAAAAAGTGTTCTGCTTGAACAATGTAGACTCCTGTCACCATCCAGACCTTCAGGAGTACTTTTGTGTGGGGAATAACTGGATCTACCAGAAAAGGTAGAACTCACAGCTTAGCTCTAGGGCTGAAATTCTCAAGCAATCAATGGGTAAAATGGACATTCCTATAATGGGGAGTTGGGGGTTCACCTGAGGGGAAATGATGAGGTGTGCTGTGCTGACTTTGTCTGGGCCAGAATGATGATTCAATTTGGTCCCCAAGGATGATTTTTAACATTGCACGATTTGACACTTGCATATCTTGCTCTCTTCAAGACTCTTGGTCCTGCAGCATGCTCTACTCGCTGTGCGTGGGACCTGTGAGATAATCAGTGAAGAGAGACGGAAGGATATGAAAATGAGAGAGGTAGGTATGGTTTTTCAATCTTTTACTTGACAGGGGTTCTGAATTAGACATTTTATGGATACATTTTCTTCAGATTAATGAGGTCTAGAAAACTTGGGCTTAACATACTTGACTTCTCTGTTTTACAGGAAAGGCAGACCTAGATCATATGATAGTGTCAACCTAAAAGGGAGAAGCTGAGGCAAAATTAGTATACTCACGGCAATTTGAATCCATGCTCCCTCAGTCAATTCTTAAGCTTGGCCCAGATAAATTCTCTACTTACATTAATGTGGCCTCAGCTTCTCCTCTTTAGGTCAACTATGCATATAACAGTGTTTTTACAATCCTTACTTGATACACCTCACCATCATGCATATATATTTTTACTGTAATCTCCCAATGGGTTCTTCTTGCCCCCTGCACAGAGACAGCCAATTCACTGAGACTGCAATATTGTTGTGAAGAAAGAGTTTAACTAACGAGAAGCTAGCCATGTGGAAGAAAAGGAGTTTATTACTCAAATTGGCCTTCCTGAAAATTTGAAGGCTGGGATTTCTAAGGATAATTTTGTGGACAAGGGGCTAGGGAATGAGTGCTGCTGATTGGATGAGGATGAAATCATAGGAGTATGGAAAGCAGTCCTTATTCACTGAGTCAGCCTCTGGGTAGGGGCCACAGGAATGGTTGAGTCATGGATCCTGGGTACAGGCGGAATCAGTTGGTCACCAGAAATGCAAAAGTCCGAAAAATATTTCAAAAGACCAATCTTAGGTTCTGCAATATTGATGTTATTGTAGAACTTAAGGAATAATTGAGGAAGTTACAAATTTTGTGACCTCTGGAGCAATGCCTGGTTATTGTTTAATTACACCGACATCTTAGCAGAATTCTGGCCCCTTTCATACTCCTAATCTTGTGGCCTCTCATTAGTTTACAAATGTGGTTTCAGTCTCCAAACAAGGAGGAGGTGCATTTGTGAAGGGCTATCAACCTTGCTTTAAGGTTTAAACTACAAACTAAATTCCTCCCAAAGTAAGGTTGGTCTATGCCCTGGAATTAACAAGGACAGTTTAGAGATTAGAAGCAAGATGGAGATAGCTATGACAGATTTCTCTTACTGTCATAATTTTGCAATGATGGTTTCATTACTACCTATAGAATAGTCTTGGGAAAGTATTAGAAACATTGCTTATGAGAATGAATCACTGTAAGTGAAAATTATGAAGTGGAAAGTTATTTAGATTACTCAGACTATAATATCAATGTATCATAAAGTATAAATTTCCCTGTAAACTGCTGAATATGATGACAGAGGAGGACATCAGCAAAAATGTTGAGTAAATTAAGGGCTAAAGTAGTGCCCAGAGATAACTCAACCATATTACTACTTAAGAACTATCAATCAAGGCAGAGGGTCACCTTATTAATATGAATAGGGAAGTCTCCCACAGACTGATAGGGAGAAAAAGCCCCCACTCTCTGTCATATTCAGATAGGTGATACAACTTGACCCAATATTCCGTTTTTCTTCTAATTACTTCTTATAATATACCCAATTGAAAGGAGGGGCATTTAGAAGAAACCTATTGAAGATGGAGCAGCTTCCACTTCAAATTTTGAGGGGAGCACTTCTACTGCTTGATTAAATGCCCAAGAGCCCAGTGACCTTTCCTGTTACCCAGAGCAAGAAGAGAATGCTTCTTCATAAACAGAAAGGAGACAAGAGCTGGTGAAAGGGCTTTACACAACTATACTACCCTTCTCCTTGAAATCTTACTCTATTTTTCTTTTCTTTTTAACGTTTAACTTCTTTTGGAGGGTGGGATGGAGAACAAACCTTAATTATATTTATAAAGCAAAACCTTATTTTGAGCTTTGAAATTCAAATCTAAGTTAAGGGGCACACTCTAAGTCCTGTGCTATAGAAACACAGAGGTAGGCTGGGCACGGTGGCTCATGCCTGTAATTCCAGCATTTTGGGAGGCTGAGGTGGGTGATCAATTGAGGTCAGGAGTTGGAGATCAGCCTGACCAACATGGTGAAATATGTCTCTACTAAAAATACAAAAATCAGCCAGGTGTCATGGCGGGCACCTATAATCCCAGCTGCTCGTGAGGGTGAGGCATGAGGCATGAGAATCACTTGAACCCAGGAGGCAGAGGTTGCAGAAAAAAAAAAAAAAGGAAACAGAGAGGTAGCTTGGAAAGTTGAGATGGGGATAAGGGATCAGAAAAGCCTTTTTAGAGTAGATGATACTAGTGTAGAGTCCAGAAGGATGAGCTCCATGTGTACTGATATCACATTGGTGGCTTAAAATGAGCTATCATGGGTGTATTTACACCATGGAAATAAACGAACACTACAAACCAGGCCTTGATTTATTATTTTGTTGATTGCTGAGACTCCAGAATTGGTAGAAAAATGCTAATAATGCAGAATAACCCAAAAAGTGTATTTTCTCTGTAGTCATTACATTACGAAAATAACAATATTTGAGGAAATAATCCTTAAATATTAAAAACTATTATCTGATTGAGCAAAGAAGTCCCTCATGTTATTGACCAATGAGCAAAGGCCAGCATTTCCATTGTTTTACTTTCACCTTACTCATTAATATTTAGTGAATTATTTCCCCTAGAGAACCAGTTGTTAAACATTTACCAGCACATCACTGCTCTAAGACTATCATTCACCAAGAAAGACACTATAGAGAACACAAAGACTGGGGACAGGGTGGGGAATGTTGATTAGTTGGTTATGTACATATGTCAGTAGGCAGTAACAAATGTGACTCTTGAAAAGATGTGAGAAAAAGTTTAATACAGAAGGTAGAAAGGGCTAGGAAGTTCAGTGTATAAGACAGTCATAGTTAACTGACATAATTGGGGCAAAGTTGATGGATTAGGGAATATTTTCCTTGAGCTATACAGAAAAAGGTAGCTCTTTTTCTTTTTCTTTTATCTTTTTTGTGTGTGTTTTTCAGTCTTTTTACTTTTTATTTATTTTTATTTCATTACTTTTGGGGAAACAGGTGGTGTTTGGTTGCATAGAAAATTTTTAGTGGTGCATTTCCGAGGTTTTGGTGCACCCATTACCTGAGTAGTGTACACTGTACTCAATGTGTAGTCTTTTATCCTTTACCCTCTTTCCATCCTTCCCCCGTAAGTCCCCAGAGTCCATTATATCATTCTTATGCTGTTGCATCCTCATAGCTTAGCTCCCACTTATAAGCGAGAACACATGGTGTTTAGTTTTCCATTCCTGAGTTACTTCACTTGGAATAATGGTTTTCAGCTCTATCCGGGTTGCTGTGATTGCCATTATTTTGTTCCTTTTTATGGCTGAGGAAAAGGTAGCCTTTTGATAAGTAGAGATGGTAGGCACAGACTCTTCAGGGCAAGAGAACAATGATACAAAGGCATTTGGGTGGAAGGGTGTGGGTGATTTTAGGACATAGTTAGGAATCAAATTTGCCTAGGAATTAGGTTGTATATTATAAGAAGTAAGTCATAGGAGATTTCATTAGAAAGACAGAATAGAATTATATTGGAGAGGACATTGACAGCCAAAATGAGAAGCCTATTGAAGAAATATGAGATGAGAGAAATTATAAGTAAAGGGTTTTTCTTAATATAATGTTGATGGAACATGCCAGTTTCAAATAATCTTCAATAGATTTCTAAATTTATAATTTAAGGGCTGGAAAGAACATTACTCATTCAACCCTGTTCTCTAATTTTTACATGAAAAAATAAAAATATAGACAGGCCTTTAAAGGTACATCCAAATTTAGAACCGCAGTCCCCCACGTGAGAATACCAGGCTGCTCCTCCAGCTGAAGTTTGTAAGTTTCTCAACTCAGGATTTTCTGGCCTTTATGTTGACTGTTTACATGGGATGCTGGCAATCTTATTGGAATCCAGCACAGTGGCTGGAACATAGTAGAAGCTCAATAAATATATAAGCTGAGAGTATGCATGAATATTCTGGAAAAGAGTGATGACTCATTTCATATACATTGGAGGGGCAGGGAAACAAAAAACCAAACTCTTAGACAAGTGACAAGAGAAAGTCAAAAGCTCATTCCTCTAGCTTGATAACTGATTAAAAGTGAAATAAGCACAAGAAAAAAAATCACAGAGGGAATAAATGATCATGCCAGTATTAGGAATGGTGGTTTGGAAATCTGGAAAAAGCCGTATATACATACATACATACCTGGCCTGGTACAAACTTAATGTTGGCTGAACGAGATTGCTATATTGGACAGGCCTGTGAGGTGGTAAGGAATGTTCATATAAGCATTGAGGTCTGTCACGTGGCAGGTCCTGACTCCTCACAGTAACAGAGAGACTATTAAATAAACCCAGTGCACACAAGACTCAGAAGCTGGCTCAATTACACACTAGAGGCCTCTTTGTGAATTTAGTTCAGAGTGAGCATAGAAATGGTGATTACTGAAATGCCCTGTAAAGGGTTTCCCAAATTGAGATTTGAATTTGCCCATAGATTACTAGGAAAGATTTGGTAGAATTACTTGTCTTGGAATTAGAATGTAATAGGACTAGAAATAGGGATCACGCAGAGGTGATATTCTTCTAGTTATCAATGGGAGTTTTCCAGATTGCTAGGACAAGCATGCAAATAGAAGATGTATTAGGCCATTCTTGCATTGCTATAAAAAAATACCCAAGACTGGGTAATTTACAGAGAAAAGTGGTTTGATTGGCTCATGGTTCTGTAGGCTGTACAGGAACCATGGCACCAGCATCTGCTCAGCTTCTGGGGAGGTCTCAGGAAGCTTCCAATAATGGCAGATGGCAAAAGGGGAGCAGACGTCTCACATGGCAAAAGCAAGAGAGTGTTGGGGGGTGCTACACACTTAAACAACCAGATTTTGCAAGAAAACACTCACTATTGCAAGGACAGCACCAAGCCATGAGGGATCTGCCCCCGCGATGCAAACACCTCCCGCCAGTCCCCACCTCCAATATGGGGACTATAATTCAACATGAGGTTTGGGCAGGGACAAGTATTCAAACTACCTCAGAGGACAGAGCTCCATTTGAGGGACTTTTCCAGCAGTCATGCCCCATCTTCATGTCTTTGTTCACATTGTATTCCTCTCCTTATCACTTACCTCCACATACACAAATAATCTTTGTCCTAAAACGCAGCCCCATTGTTATTTATTATCATGATTTCTCCGTAGGCAGAAATTTCTTTCTATTCCTTGAACTTCCACAACACAATAGTTAACTCTCTTACAGTATTTAAATAGCACTTACATTTTATTAAAATATATTTTGATATTTTCTTGTTGATATTTAAATAAAAAATTTCAGATTTACAGAGAATTGAAAATATAGTACAAATTATTCTCATATAACATTCATACAGCTTTCCCAAATGTTAAATCTTGCATAAACATAGTACAATTAGCAAAACTACAAAGTTAACATCCTATTAGCTTTTAATGCCTATTGTTTTTATATTAGGCTTCCCCCAGGGTGGCTGGGTTTTCAAGTCTTTCAATACTTTCTGTCCAGGACTGAAGATAGTTCCCTAGTTTCTTCCCTGCCTCTAGGTCCTCTTCCAGTGTTGTGTTCTTTTGTGTTCCTCCACATCAGCTGTGGTTACATGTGCCAGAGCAGAGACCAGACATTGTAATATAGACTGTGATGCTTTGACTGGGAGACCCACACTACAGGTGCTATAATCTTGGTGTCCTGTCTTGAAGTCCAGTGTTTTGTTTACTGCATACTCAATTTTTTTTTTTTTTTGAGTCAAGCTTTCACTCTGTGGCCCAGGCTGGAGTGCAGCAGCATGATCTCAGCTCACTGCAACCTCAGACTCTTGGGCTCAAATGATCATCCCACCTCAGCCTTCACAGTAACTGGGTCTACAGGCGTGCACCACTATATCCAGATAATTTTTTGTATTTTTTATTAGAGACGGGTTTTTGCCATGTTGCCCAGGCTGGTCTGGAACCCCTGGGCTCAAGTGATTAGCTCGCCTCGGCCTCCCAAAGTGCTGGGATTATAGGCATGAGCCACTGCACTCGGCCCTTACTCAATTTAGATAAAATATTACATATAGAAGAAAATAATAACTGAGGATAAAAAGTGAGTCTTAGTAGTTACTCTTGTACCATTTTATCCACTGTGGAAATGGACTGGAGTGGGTAACATCAGGAAAAGTAAGCTGAAAAATAGGTTGGGTACTCTTTCTTCCCATCTCCTAGAATGCTATTATTTTGCATCAGGTGCATCATGGGTAGGTATTGTGAGGTCGAGTCAGAAGCCAAGACCAAGAGTTAAGATTATGTTTCTTTTCTGTTTTTATGAATATTTATCGCATGTCTCCTGTGCCGGATACTGTGGGATGTTAGTGATACAATGGTTAGTAAAAAGAGAAGTGGTTTCTGTCTTCATGGAGTTTATCATCCACTAGAAAAGATGTGGGAAAAAGCCTTTACAATATGTACTATTCTAAATACAGTATATATATGTTCACTCATTTAATCTCATATATATATGTTAACTCATTTAACAACCCTGTGAGGTAGTAACCCCATTTTATGAAAGAGATACAGAGTGGTTAAGTAACTTGGCCAGTAGCAGAACTGGGATTTGAACTTGGCAGTTTGGCTCCAGGCTTTGTGCTATTAACCATTTTACCACACTGCCTCTTGTGCAAATTTGACTTGAAGGAAAGGGTACAGCATGAAAGAAGAACATACAATAAACTTGCTTTCCATGGGAAAATAGGTTGCAGACCGAATGATCTTAGGGCTGAGAAGGTGTTTAGTAGGGAAGTGGGGGTTTGTGGGTGGGGCATGGGGGAACAGGACAGGAAGAGAAGATTTTTGTGAACAAAGATAACAATGTGTGTAAAGGCCTTGAGTAAAGAATAAACAAGGTAAGTTTGGGTAAATAAAAGAGGTCCTAGGAGTGCTGGAGATCACATTATGAGGAGAATAAGACGAAGCTGGAGATGGCTACCATACAGGGATTTTCAAGTCATGATCAAGATTTTTTTATTTTATCCTGTGAACAATTAGAAACTATCCAAGGCAAACATTCCTAAGCTTTCTTGGTTCATAGCACCCCTAGGCCAACAGAAATAGCTAAAATTTCCATTAATTAAAAAGTTAGCTAAATATTTATGATCTAACAATTTAAATGTTCTTTGAAAAAATATTATACGTAAATGGACAGAAACCAGTATTTTTTATTTCATTCTTAAATAACTACAATTTCTTACTAATTATACATGTTTGAGTGTTAGGCACTGCGCAGTTTCTCAAACCTTGGAATCAGATTGGATACCTCCACCTTTATGTTTTGTTCCACAGTGATTATTTTGTGGAATTGCCTTTCTTATCACAGCAGTCACTGAAAGCCCAAGCTTCACACAAAAAAAAAAATATTGAAAGAAATGTAGTGCAATCTAATGTTGAAACTGTGCAGTGTCTGACTGATGTGGAGTATTATTGTTTTCCTCAAAAATTAAAAATATTCCAGAGAACTCCTATGAGTCTAAATGGAGTCTCAGGGCACCTTAGTGTACATTTTGAGAACTGTTATTGAAGTAGGAGATTCATATGAACACGGCGTGTTTTGTTTTTATTGTTTTTGTTATTTATTTATTAATTATTAACTAATTTATTTAGAGATGGAGTCTCCCTCTGTCTCGCAGGCTGGAGTACAGTGGCGCAATCTCGGCTCACTGCAACCTCCGCCTCCCGGGTTCAAGTGATTTTCCTGCCTCAGCCTCCTGAGTACTTGGGATTACAGGCATCATGCCATGACGCCCAGCCAATTTTTGTATTTTTTAGTAGAGATAGGGTTTCACCACTTGGCTAGGCTGGTCTCGAACTCCTGACCCCAAGTGATCCACATGCCTCGGCCTCCCAAAGTGCTAGGTTTATAGGTGTGAGCCACCATGCCCAGCCAGACACTGGCTGTACTGTTTTCCAGAGGCTATACTGGCCTATGGATTGGACAGAAGCAAAAATGGAATTGGGGGAGACAAATTCAGAAGCTGCTGCATTAGAGAAGGCAAAATAATTGTGGCTTATAGTGACTAGAGATGAAAACGTATGGGTGAAATTGAGTAATATTATGTAAGAGAAAAGCCATCAAAACACAAGGTTGGGAGCCAGAGTAAGGACAGGGAAAATAAAAAATAGGGGCCCAAAATTATTTATTTAGGATATACTACTTTTGAAGTATAGTATTATGTTGGTAATGATCTCTTCTTGGTTCAGGTGCAGGTATTCATTCCTTAGCACTCTGACATTTCACACAAATAATTTGCTAATCCTTTGTGTTTAAAATTGTCTGTAATTCTTGGTTTCCCCAGACCCCTGCTATGGGGTAAATCAGGACTCATGTGATATGTAGAGAGGACTCTGGGTCCTGTCCAATCCCATGGTGGCTGCATGTGTGATGCTCTGTACTAGAGGAATGAGACACATTTTCTTCTTGTCTTTCTTTCTTTTTTTTTTTTTGTCTCCAGACTCACAAGCAACTCAGTTAAGGCTGTAGACAAGGCCAGAGAGTCTGAAGGTGGCAGAGCCTCTACTCTTGACTGGCCCCATGTTGTTGAACCTCAAATCTGAGTTGGTACTGCCTTTCTGCTCCCTGGCTGAGTTGTTGCCAAAATATCTCAGCCTCAGTTCACAGGGGCCACAGATGGCTATCTGGTCCACTGACAGTTGCCACTTTGTCTTTGAGTGTGGCAGTTTTTCAGCCAGCAGTGCTCAATTTGTACTCTAATTCCAGCCCTTTTGATGCTTAAAAGTTGACTTTGCTCTTCAGGGTAACTGCGCCTTCTATCAAGTCTCCTCAGAAGGAAGGGAATCTCTTTTTGTGTCCTTGGGTAATGCAGAGGTGTCCTTTCAATAATTCTGACTGACCCAGGCCCCAGGCAGGGCCATGCTCTGTGAGGGCTAGGGCCAGGTGGCAGCTTTCCTGGGCATTCATGCCTGTGGTTAGGAACATTCTCTTCTCTTTTGTGAAAATGCCATAGTCCTGAGGTCCAATGACCTAATTATGAGCCCCAAATTCCCCTCATGCCTCTTAGGGCCTGTTGCAGTGTCTCATGAGTCCCAATGGGTCAATGGTGATTATGCTGTTCCGTCCTGAAAGTTTAAGGAAAAGTACAAGTTCATTTTGCCTCTTCTAGAATACAGATTTTCCAAGCCTTGTGCCAAATACACTCCCCAGTGTACCTATTTCTCTGTTTATTCATGCTTAGGGACTTATTTTCTTTGGAGATTTGAGGCTAGAAGTTGGAACATCACAAGCACAACTATCTTCTGGATAAATTGAACGAAACAATTAGAGATTGATAGTGCTTATCCCCAAATGCCAAATCACCCTGAATGAGATAGGCTTCTAAATTTATCTTAAATCCACAGTGCTAACATGAACTGGATCGATACCCTAATTTATGGGAGGATGTTAGCGTGAGGAAGTCTCACAACAGACACACACATACATATGACAACTTTCCTGTAAAGGTACAGCTGTGTGTGTATGATATCTTGTCTTTTCAACATCAGTGTAGGGACAGTAATCTAATTGTGTGGTGTGGCTTTGCAAAAGTCCACTTGTGGTCAAACATTGCCCTTTTGAGAGAACATTGGCTCTGAAACATAAGAAATTTGAAATGGTATTCGCAGGATGAAAGCAACCAACAGATCAGCATTTGTGAGGTGCAGGCAAGATGACTTCAAGCTGCAAAGCTGGGCCTTGACAGACGGATTTAGCACCATTAGCAGTGGCCTGTTGAAAAACAAAAATGACTTCAAAACTCTTTCCTCTGAACCAGAATGTTACATTCATCCCTTCGTTAAAACATCCGTTATTTGCTGACTTGTTTTCTGTCGCCCCCCCAGCCCCCAGCCTCTCACTCTTTTGTGTCGGAGCTAATGTTCCCAGCGTCTACACTGCGTAGGCCCTGATTATTTGCGAGACAGAGTGAGTTAATGCAGATTTGCAAGCTGTTCCCATTTGTGAAATGTCAGAAAAACACATGCAAGTCACTGGCTTTAGCACTTCGCTGCCAGCTGGCTCTTCTGGAGGCAGGGGACAAATGACAGTCTATCACGCAGCATGCTTTCAAAGAAAGAGGGGACCTACTCCAGAACCACAGCATCAGAGCGGCTTTTAACAACATAAGCAAAATAAGAAGCCAACATCAGTTTTTTTCTTCCCTTATTTCTCCCCCTGTTGTTGAATGAATGGCAGCACAACATTTGGGAGCTTTTTAAAGCCTTGGGAATATCGATTCCACTGCCCACCATCTGAGAGAGTGATGGGATAATGGGAGCTTGCCAGGAATGCTGCACACTCTCTGGTGAGTGACGACAGAGATACTCTTCGAGCCTTGGAGGAGAGGGTGCACCGCTCCCCACCTCTGTCCTTCAGGTAGTTTTAGTTCCCACCTTCCCACTGCCAACCTCTCTGCAGGTGTCTGGATTAAGTCGGGATTTCTGCTTCCCCTCCCTATTGGAATAATGCTGCAGTCCTTGTCTGGGCCCTAGAATCTCCCATTAGAATTTCCCATTCGAAGCCCCTCAGCACACCCGCTTAAGAAGGTAAAAACACATGGGAAGAAAACAATACATGAACTTCCCTTTGATTCATTCATGCATTCATCCATCAGTTATTTACTAAGTATCTAGTGTACGTCAGGTACTATGGGGGCTGAAAAGAAGTAGGAGATATAAATTGTTCTTGCACACAAGGCTCTAACAGAGTTGGTGATAGAAAAATAATCACAACTGGAAGTACAAGTGGGTACAAATGGTGACAGAGGAGAATAAAAAAAAAGTTGTAATTCTCTCACGTCAGAGGAAGACTTCATGAAATGAGTGGATAATGGGCTGAGCTTGGAAGGACATGAAAGATTTTAATAGCCGGAAAGGAACAAAGAGGGCATCTGACTTTGGAATGATGCAGAAAGAGGGGCGCGAGGCTGAAAAGATGGCAACAGGTATTGGTGGTGACCATACCAGCCTGATTAGGACAGAAAATTAGATAGGGGAGTTGTGGAGAAAACAAGAAACTTGGTTGAAGCCAAGTTAAGGAATATAGCCTTTCAATGGAAGTTTGGAATCAGAGAGTGCCATTTTCAGAATGGGGTCACAGATTGTTTTTATCCACTTACCTGTGTAAGATCCCATTCAATGCTCAGGTATACGGATACGATTTGGATATTTGTCCCCACCAAATCTCATGTTGAAATGTAGTCTCCAATGTTGGAGGTGGAGCCTGGTAGGATTATGGGAGAGGAACTCTCATGAATGGCTTAGCACCTTCCCTTTAGTGCTGTCTTTGAGAAAATGAGTGAGTTATCATGAGATGTGGTTGTTTAAAAGTGTGTGGCATCCTCCCTCCCTCTCTCTCTTGCTCCCACCCTCTCCATGTGATGTATCTGCTCTCACTTCACCTTCTGCCATGAGTAAAAGCTACTTGAGGCCTCCCCAGAAACTGAGCAGATGCTGGTGCCATGCTTCCTGTAAAGCCTACAGAACTGTGAGCCAATTAAATGTCTTTTCTTTATCTATAACCCAGTCTCAAGTGTTCCTTTATAACAATACAAGAATGGCCTAACATATATACCTAAATGATGTATGCACCCAGCTCAACCAGGTTTTCTCCGTGGCAAGCCCAAAGAGGGTATATTACAGAGAACAACTGCATGGTTAAACTGGGACTCTGTTTCTAACAAAGTTCTTAATGCAAACCTGGCTTCCTGCTAAAGTTGCCCTTGTGCTAACAGAGAGGCTTGTCTTCTGATATTTTGTAAGCATTTTTTAAATTCCCTATTGTTGCTTCCAGATCTTACTCTTCCATTATTATGAAAAAATCCCTCTTATTTTAGGTTTTGCAACTGGTGGCTACTCCTCACCACCCTTTTTTATTTAGGATTATGATTACTGCCTTCCCATTTTAATCTCTCTAAGGTCCTAGGTGACCTCAGTATTCACATTGACAGCCTAAGTAAGAAGTGGCAAAAACATGCCATATGTTTCTACTCTTACTACCTCAGTGCAGATATCACTCATCGATGATGACACTCTTTTCCATTAAGCCTAGATGGATTCTTAGAATCCTTGTCAACACAGCACTTCATGAGACAAAATATATTTGACCTTCCTGTACCTGTACCAGCCTTAAAACTTAAAGTAATATTTGTTCTTCTAATTCAAGCTTATAATTTCAAGATCACACTCTGTTTTTTTGGTGTGTTTCTTTTAATCAACTAACATCTGAAACTGGCTCTGTGGCCTTTGACCCTTCTTCTATCTTTCTTAGCATAGTGGACTTCCAGATTCTCTCATTTTATTCCAGGCTGCTATTTAGCATCGTTTCACCTTATTTGTTAGCCTACTTATCTCCATGGTTCTCATCTCTGTCAGGTAAGGTCTAGTCTCTGCCTCCACAAATCTCTGCTCTCCAGCGAAGAACCACTTTCATTTCCACAAAACCCCAGCCCCAAATCTAGCCCTCTTATAGCAGATGATCTAAAGTTTTACTTTCTGAGAAATTTATGCCTTTATGCAGTCTATTCTCCTTTCCTGGGGAACAGATGAAGAATCTCTCCAGAGCCTCTTACGATCCATCCCCCTGACCTCTCCCCTATGACATTGTCATTTTCAGCCTTTCTCCTCATTTTTGACTTCTTCCTCTTTATTGGTTGTTTTTCTTTATTCTATCAATATGTTTAAGCCTCTTCTATCTTAAAAAACAAAAAAATCCTCAAAACAACCTCTCTGCACTCCACACCTCTCTGTAGAAATGGTCTTTTCTTTCTCTCTTTGGAGAAGAGCCAAACTTCTTGAGCTTACACACTCAGGCTCCAATTCACTGCCTTCCGCTTTCCATCCCCACTCTACACTTCCACTCTCCTGGCAGAGAGTATGAAGGGTATCTGCAACTCAATCTAGCATACCTTTTAGACCTTATCTTACATGATCTCTGAGAAGTGTTTAACCTTATTGAATATGCCTGAGGAAAAATGGCCAGATTTTATCAATGTCCTTATAAAGCTTCACTGATGTTAATGAGCTTGAGCAGTTATAGTCTTGAGTGACTTGCAAAATATATTTCCATGTGAAGGTAAGCTTAGTTCATTATAACTTTTTAAAAAGCCTACTTTTGGGGCTGGCTTTGAGATGTGATATTAATTACTCCCTAGAAGATGGTGTTCATCACATAGTATATGCTCGATAAATATTGACTGACTAAATAAATGAAGTCAGCAGAGAATCTAAGTAATGCTCAATTCATTGGACTCCTGCTTCATCTTCTCAACTCTGGTGGTTTCCAGAGACTATGAATATTAAGTGTGGGGTGGTGAGTGTGGAACCTGGCACCACTAAAAGAAAGAACATGTAACCCAGGCTGATGGTTTCTGGAACTGCAGCTGACTATTGGTGGACAAGTAGAAATCAATCAGTCAAAAGGGGTTATGAGGGCATTCAGAAGAGGAAAAATATTATGGGCAGAAGGTATGGCTCATGTGGTACCACTGGACTTATATATTGCAAATATCAGATTCCATTCTTAACTTTTTCTTCCTTCTCAATCTTTGCAGGTTTTTCTTCATCTACATGGTTTTTAAACATCATGGTAATAAACACAGTAACATTGATGGAATACTTATTCTATGACTTGCATGCGTTATTCAATTTAATCATCATAACATTAATCTGTTGAACAAATACTAAGCATCTATCACATATCTGCCATTGGTTTTGATTCTATGATACAGAAAAGGAAAGCTGCAGTCCCTGTTCAGCAAGCTCATAGTCTAGAACTCAGGCACACAAGGACGTATGTCATTGTGATTCAGATAATTTGATGCCTAGAACATACTAGGTACTTAATGTTTGTCAATTAAATAATTAACGTTCAACTATTTAGAAGTTATAAGACTGGCTTCCTTTCCTCATCTTAATCTCTACCCTCACTGAATGCTCATTTCTCTCTGGCTATGAGATATTTATGTATAAACTCCAAATAAATAGAGGAAAATGACATAGAGGCTTTACTTAACATTTTTCTCTTAGTCAGTCATAGTCGAATTTTTGCCCTTCCTTAACTAGCATTTACAAGGTGGCTCAAATGATTCGATTTTTGTGGTATTTTCACAAATTGTTGCTAACATACAGAAAATGCTCCACTTCCATGAGGTGTCTCACTAAATAAAAGCTACAGGTAATTTAGCAGTTCTTATAGAACTGAAAGGAGCACAGTTTGACCAGGAGTTACTGGAAAGGGAGACATCCAAACAAAACAATATAAATGGCCTTGGTGATCTCAGATGGTTGGCATCCTCTATCTCTACCTATACCTAGATATTTACATATCTAAATTCATACCGCTATCCAAATCCACATTTAAATATATCTAAATATATTCCTGATAATATTGCTTACAAAATTTGTCTTCATAAATTACTGCAAACTCCTTACCACTAATCCCCAAAAATCAGTGTTATTAGACAATTCCCTTGACATTTGATATATGTTTTCCATCCTGTACATGAGTACAAAAGAACTTTTCAGATACAGCTCAAAAAAGCACTGCAAGATTTTCGCTTCTGTATCATGCATGCAAAAGCACACTTGGCCAAGACAAAGTTAGGGTATGGGATGTAAGAAGTAGACAAACAAAAGCTCAGGATGGTGTGAGGGAGAAAAAAGAGTATCTAATTCAGTAATTTCTCATTGATAAGAGACCAGGAAAGGAGAAAAATAGCGATCTATACATACAGTCGATTCTACTGGTCTTCCTAACAGGATTATGTCATCATGAAAAATGATGGGTGGATGGCCCTGGATGCTGAAGTCTGTAGATGAGTCAGGGTGCATGTGGAATGCTGGTACCCCGGTGCACCCTGACTCATCTACATAACAGGATTATGTCCTGTGCTTGTGTCCAGTCCAGGATCCTCTCTAGGTGAACAGAGAGTCTATAATGAAGCTTTTATGAGTGAAACTGATTTGTGATTGTGTGTAATGATGATGAAAATGATGTTTGTTCAGAGCTTTATTCTTATTAACAAACATTGTATCTATTTTAGATTATCAATTACATTCCACATTTATTAAGACTATTCTTATTATTCTGCCTAACTTTCTAATTCTTATCCTATATGTAGCCACCACTTCACCCAAAATTGATCGTCTCTACCCCTTGAAACTGGCTTATACTCTTATATATCATCTTACCTGGAATGCCCTCATTTTCCTTTCTATCTTCCTAAATTCTTTAAAGCATAGATCAAATTTCCATCTTTTCTGGAAAGTCTTCCCTTGAACTCCTATCCTGAATTCTCCTGACTTTCATTATCTGTATATCGCACTTGGCAGGTGTCTCTATGTATTAATTAGTTCTCTTTCAGTTATAAGTGATAGAAACCCACCTCAAACTATAAATTGTGTGGGGGAAGTCCTAGACCAGAGAAATTTAAAATGTGGATGTAGCCTCAGGGGCAGCTGATCTTAGTTGTTCAGTGATATTGTTGGGGTTTGTCATCTCTCTACCTCTCTCACCCTGGTTTCTTTCTGAGACAGGCTCTCTCTGTGTGTTGGGCAAGTTGCCACTGGCAGCCTCTGGCCCTCATTTTCCTAGTTTAGCACTTCTTGATGAGAATGAGGAATCTTCTGAGAGACCTCTAGCATAGAAGTCCTGGGGAAAACCCTAATTTGCCAAACTTAGTTCATTGATCATTTCTGCACCAATTATTGTGGCCAAGAATATGAGCTACTGGGGAGTCAGTGCCCTCTGAATCACAGAGACTGTTCCCTGCAGGAACAAAAGAATGAGAAAGGTAGGCAAACACAAATAACATTTATAATACCTAGTAGTATAAAGTTCTGATGTATTGAATGGTTTTCCCTCTATTCAAGAATGCAGAACTTTAAGGTTTGGGACTCAAATTCCTTTGTTGCTTTGACTATCCCTTACACATGTTGGTGTTCAAAAATATACTGAAATGATTTCAGAGTAATCATGTAACATATCTGCAGGTGGTTATTTTGGTTGGTTAGGATATGATTTTGTTTTGTTTTTTAAAAAGACCGAGTCTTACTCTGTCTCCCAGGCTGGAGTGCAGAGGTGCAATAATAGCTCACTGCAACCTTGAACTCCTGGGCTGAAATGATCCTCCTGCCTCAGCCTCTAGGGTAGCTAGGATTGCAGGTTTACACCACACCACACCAAATCACACACACACAAAAATTTTTTTTGAAAAAAGAAATTTATAGAGACAGGGTCTCATTATGTTGCCCAGGCTAGTCTCAATCTCCTGACCTCAAGCAATCCTCTCTCCTTAGCTTCTCAGGGTGTTGGGATTGCATGTGTGAGCCACTGCACCCAGTCAGGATAGGTTTAAAGAGACCAAACTGTTGAATATTACCCTCACAAGGGCCACCTACTTGCACATTCTTCCAGGGCCATGGGTTACTCCTCAGACCTCAGACAGCTGTCTTACAAATACAGCCATTGGTCTGGGGTCGAAGGTGGGGGTGCTAATGAGAGCCTGGAAATGGATCACTACAAATCGTATCCTTTTGTTGGAAAAGAAATTCTGTGTGCACATTCTTATGATGTATTATCTTCACCAAGAGAAGAACATGATTAATAGCAGAACATAATATATGACTCTAGGATGGCTGGGGAAAAAAAGCCAATTTTCTCTTCAGCATTTGGACCCCCTTGGAAGTGAGTTGTATTGTAAATTCAAGAGTCTTGTATAAATCTGGTAAAATTTCTATTGAAATAGATGACCTATTTAGTCTATTACATCTCTAGTTTCTACAATTCTGAGATTCCTTGGGGCGTGTGCAGAATGGAGCAATCGAAGAACAGCAAATTTCACAGTATGGTCTGCCATCTGTATAGGAACAGCAAGAAAACTGATGGGATTTCTCTCCCTGGCAGATATTTATTTCTCAAGTGCTTTTAAAACAGGAAGTCTGCAAAATTCTTCACAAGTGGTTAAAACATGAAGATTGATTTACAAATGTATATTTACGAGGAAGAACTATTTTACAATGTGTCTAAAATTTCCATTAAAAACCTAACCAAATATTTCTAGCTTCCCCCCAGACTCCTTTGCTCTACAATTTTAACAAATCAAGTAACATTTGTAAGTGCTAAATGTTAAACAGTTATTCACAGTTAATTTTTAATCAACTAACAACAGTTATGTGTTAATTGAATGCCATTAACAAACCATAACTTGATGCATCAGCTCTTTTGTTATGCAAGGAAACTTTTCCCTGAAGCTTTTATATATTGTCTGACTTCCTTCTAAATAGAACATCAATATCTATAGACTATGAATTTAACACGTGTTTCTTGACATTTAGGTGTGTGTATGTGTATGTGTGTCCCTGCACCCATGTAAAACAAATCAGAATGTACTAAAGTATTGAAAATGAAAGAGAAATCCAAATACAGTCCTGATGCAGAGTTAGATATGCAAAAGCCAAAACAGAAGCCAATTTGACATTTTGGAATTTTAATCTTAACTCTTATTTTTACTTTGAATTTCTGAACAAGTTACTTAATATTTCTTTGGCTTTTATTTTCAAGAAAACAGGGCTGGATTGATTTTGATAGGGGATATTTCTTCATCCTAGGCTGAAATAGAAAGTTAACACCATTCCTACAACTCAAAAGACTAATAAAAATTAACATATATCAGCATTCTAATATATTATTTATTTATTTTTGAGATAGGGTCTTGCTCTGTTGCCCAGGGTGGAGTGCAGTGGCATGATCTTCGCTCACTGCAGCCTCGACCTCCAAGGCTCAAGTAATCCTTCCACCTCAGCCTCCCAAGCAGCTGGGACTATAGGCATGTGCCACCATGCCCAGCTAATTTTTGTGTTTTTTGTAGAGACAGGGTTTCGCCATGTTGCTAAAGCTGGTCTCCAACTCCTGACCTCAAACAATATGTACACCTCAGTCTCCCAAAGTGCTAGGATTACAGGTGTGAGCCACTGTGCCCAGTTCTAATATATTTTTTAGATTGTAGCATAGCTTTGTGGTTAAAAGAAGATGCAACTTGGGTTACAGTGTGAGAAATTGTCACTACTCCAATAGAATGGGCTGGAGGCATACTAGGGCCTTAAGAAGAAGATCCAATGGGGGTTGAAAAAAATGGCCCCTGCAATATCAGCCATATTGTCCATGTATTCTGTTTAAGAGCTGTTCTGCAAATATAGTCATTGGCAGGTGCAGGCCAAAATGTACTGCTGAAAGGTACTAAACTATAAAGACTTTTTCTTTCTTTATTTAAAATTTGTTTGCTCACACACATATTCTGTTATGCCCTCAGACTTACTTATAAAACACAAGTTCAAAGATAACATTAATAGTAAGAAGAACATTAAACTAAGTATAAGCTCTTTCTTAGAGGAGGATCCTGTGTAATTGACTAGAAAAACTGCCTTGACTGTGGCACTGGTCTCTCCTTGGTTCTAAAGATGTATGGGAAGCAGACAGAGAATAGTATTCATTAGAAAGAATTGAGATGGGGTTAATTAAGGCAACAGGAGAAATTTACATCAAAACTAAATATATTGTTAGCTTGATTTTGTGGGATATCCTTATGATAATCTTGAAATTGCCTCAGTTATTACCAATCTTTTTTTTTTTTTTTTTTTTTACTTATCCAGAGTGGTTGTTGACTAGCCTTAAGGTCTTCTAAAACATTTCAGAGCCACAGGTAATGTCCCTGAAGCATGCATAAAGGAAAATATAATGCATTGTACATTGTATTTATGCTGTAATTAGAAGATATGTTGTTTCTATCAAAAAACATGCAATCTTATTAGTATTATGACATATGAGGGGGTTCTAACCAATCAGATGTATAGAAAAATATTCCATAGTTGTGTTTTCTGAAAGCAGTCACAGCATTTTCTGTATCTAAACATTGTTGAATTCTGACTTCTAGAAGGGTTAAGTGAGCTCCCAACCTATGCACTAACTTATCGACTACTTAAGACATAATAGGCCAGGCACAGTGGCTCATGCCTGTAATCCCAGCACTTTGGGGAGCCAAGGCAGGCGGATCACCTGAGGTCAGGAGTTCGAGACCAGCCTGGCCAATGTGGTGAAACACCATTTCTACTAAAAATACAGAAAAAATTAGTCGGGCATGGTGGCACATGCCTGTAATCTCAGCTACTCGGGAGGCTGAGGCAGAAGAAGTGCTTGAACCTGGGAGGCAGAGGTTGCAGTGAGCTGAGACTGCGCTATTGCACTCCAGCGGGGGCGACCGTCTCAAAAAAAACAAAAACCAACCAAACAAAAAAAAGGTAATAAATACATAGCGAGAATTTCTATGCTAGGAGCCAGATGCATATCACATATATACTAGGTCTTGATTTTCAATTTTAGGTAGATCTTTACTTTCCCAGAATATAAGTTCTTTTCAGGACAGACAAATTTAATTCTATGTCATGCACTGGCATTGGATGGCTTCCACCAGGTATGCTGGCCACATTTACACAATAATGATGATAATTAATATTTGTGAAGCTTTGTGTAGGATTTTTTTTTAGCTTTATCTTATTTGGCTCTCATAACCTTAATAAGTCAGTAGTAAAAATTCTCCCAGTTTATGGGTGAGAAAACAAGCTAAGGGAAGTTACATGATTTTTCCAAGTTATTCTCATGTTAAAGTATGAAGCCAGGCCTTGAATTTGGATCTAATTCACTCTACCACTTTAGAGAAATAGGCCAAGGGTTTAAGAGCACTTCAAGATTTTCTGGAATTTCTTGATGCCTAAAAGTGGAAAAAGGTCAAGATTGCCAAGGCCATGGGGCAGACCTTGTACAAGAACTACCTCCTGAGTTCTCGTCTTCTCTACTCCAGTCTGTAGGACTGCTTACAGTCCCAGAAACATATATTATATATCTTCTCTGTGTCCTTCTATAATGCACCATCCCTGATCTTCAACTATTGAGGTCTACTTCAGGTTCAGGTTTAGTGACACATTCACAATGAAGACTTTCTACAGTAGATGTAATAACCCACTCTCTCCTCATCCCAAACACATACCCTCATGGCTTAGGTTTTGCTTATACTTCCAGGCTGGACCTGATTTTCTGTCCTAGTAGGGTTATTTCTGTACATAGGCCATTTTCCCTTTCAGGCTGTGAGGGCATCATGGCTTCCTTCATACCTAATGCACACCATTGATCATATTAGGGTTCAGTGAATGCTGATTGGCCATACTTCTAAACCATAGCCATTGTATTTCTTCTGTTGCTATGTTTCTGTTAATTTTATCTCTTTACTCCTTTGCCATCTTCTTAAGAAAAGAAACACACTAAATTATCTTCTGTATCCCTTACAGAATGTAACACAGAGTAGGTGTGTGTATTAGTTTGTTTTCATGCTGCTGATAAAGACATACCCAAGACTGGGTAATTTACACAGGAAAAAGGTTTATTGGACCTACAGTTCCACATGGCTGGGGAGACCTCACAATCATGGCAGAAGGCAAGGAGGAGCAGGTCACAACTCATGTGGATGGCAGCAGGCAAAGGGAGAGCTTGTGCAGAGAAACTACCGTTTTTAAAACCATCAGATCTCATGAGACCCACTCACTATCATGGGAACAGTGCAGGAAAGACCACCTGCATGATTCAATCATCTCCCACCAGGTTCCTCCCACAGTATTTGGGAATTATGGGAGCTACAAGAGGAGATTTGGGTGAAGACACAGAGCCAAACCATATCAGTGTACAATAAATTCTTGCTGGATGAGTCATTAGGCTTATGTTAGCCTATGCTTTTCTTAGGAATCATTCAAAGTTAATCATAGCTCAAATTATGAAATAGGTCATTCTTTCTTTCTTTCATTTATCTATTTATTTTCCTCAGAAATTCAGCTACTTGCTCTTCTCAAATTGTAATCTGGCTCAATTAGAATCCACCTTTAAGCAACCTTTATGCTTCCCCTCCCTAGTCAGCACCCATGGCTTCAGAATCTACTCTTCCATGCATGGGCTCTGTGTCCCATTCAATCCCTCAGTGTCTCGCTATGTTAATGTATTAATGACTGCTGTTTGAGTCATGTGTTAGCCTTCCTAGAAGTAGCCATTTTACTGGAATATTCTGAAGATACAATGCTTTAAGTTTTAGTGTTTGGGGAATAATTTTCTAATGCTGAGAACTTTAAACACCATGATGGGCAAATGATAGGGAGAGTTCAAGGCACACGGGTGCTTTTTTAGTTCTCATAAATTGTACATCACAGGCATCTGCCAAAGTACAAATGTGGCATTGCATCCATTTCAGTCTTTTAAGGAAAAATAGGAAGGGGTGTAGAAGGAGAGACTCCTTGTAGCTATATTTATCATGGAAAAAGGGGTTTTTATATCCAAACTAAATCCTTTGTGTACATAGACTGCTTTTTTCCTAAGTTAGTTGACACCTGTGGAACGTCTCTTCTGGGAGGCAAGAAGAGGGCGTAGGAAAAGACAAAGCTATAAGAGAAGGGATCTGGCTGTGTGATCCAGGATTATTGGTTGTTCCAGTTGTCTCAGCTGTAAAGTATATGATCTGTCTAAGGTTTCTAAGGGTCCCTGACATTGAAATTTTAGCTAATCAGAGAAACATATAAAGTGGTAGTCAGGGAGGTTCCTGAGTTTTGGTAAATCTTGTCTCTTGGAACCTCAGCTTCATCATAAGGTGGAGTGGTGGGGGTGGCGGGTGTGGGGAGTGTGGATTGCTTGATCTCTAAGGACTCTTCCAGCAATAAACATCTTTATTTGAAGGCAGTTATTAATTGCACTTTAGCTTTCCTTGGCTTTATCATTTGGGGAATAATTTTAGAGAAATCCTAGCACTTTGGGAGGCCGAGGTGGGCGGATTGCCTGAGCTCAGGAGTTTGAGAACAGCCTGGGCAACATGGTGAAACCCCATCTCTACTAAAATAGAAAAAATTAGCCAGGCATAGTGGCGGGCACCTGTAGTCCAAGCTACTCGGGAGGCTGAGGTAGGAGAATTGCTTGAACCTGGGAGGTGGAGGTTGCAGTGAGCCGAGGTTGCACCACTGCACTCCAGCCTGGGCGACACAGCGAGACTCTGTCTCCAAAAAAAAAATCTCCAACTATTTGCTTAAGTTGTTTATGAAAATATTTCTAATTGGGTACTTTTCAAGCTACTAATTACTAAACTAAAGATGAAATATCTATGCCTCTCAAATTTGACAATGTCTCTTTAAATTGCTTTTTTCTTCCTCACAGCTAGATCCACATCTGTAAATGTCTAAGTCATGCTGCCAGCCAGTCTTGCCTACAGCTACTTGATTCTGGGAGAGCCTTCTATAAAACTGATTACAGCATTTCCCTGCCACACAGTGAAAAAACAATGTAGTTTGATATGATAAAACATTGATTGAATACAGGGGATATGAAAGTGTCTGTCATCAGATTGGAGGGGCAAAAAGAGTGGCTTTCTTCTTTCTTTGGGGTGAGGTAGGTATGAGAATTGCATAGATATTCATTGAGATAAGCTTGTTGGTCTTTCCTGTGAAATCACTTGTTATCAGAGCTTTGCCCCCTTTCAGCTCTCAGTGAATATTTCCATCCCCCTAGAAGTGTGTGTGTTTTGTGATAGGGGAGACTGAGAAAATGAAAGAGGATTAGCGTTTGCTAAATATCCCCTCATTCATTCACTGATTATTTCCTTTTATGTTAATTGATAGACTGATATCTTTCTAAGTGTCTGGCACCTAATAGGTATTGAATTAAACTATTGAATAAATAAAAATATAGGTTTCCAATTCAATAAAGCAAAATATAAAACCAAATGAGTATTTTATTTTGGGGTGAAATGATGATGTATTGACAGAGGTTGGGGTTCTGTGAATGGAAGAGGCAAGGGGCCTGGTCACTCTGCTCAGGGAGATTATAATCTCATTAATTAAACAGTTTTGTACAAGGTTTAATAACAATGTGAGAAATAATTAAAACGACGATTAGAAAGCTGTTTTAAGACAACGTATTGTGTGTGTTGATTTAGTGGGTTTCTAAGCTTTTCCTGAGAGAAGGAGCTGCCTGTAGCACCTTAAAAGAGGGGCTAGGTGGGAGGAGGGAGGCCTTTAAGTGGGGAGGGAACAGGACATGCAAAAAGGGATATATTTAAATACAAGTATTTATTGAGTAGCTACTACAGTCCAAACACTCTATTAGGTTCTGGGCATACAACAATAAGATTTAAATCATGGATACACTCAGAATTTAAATTAGGGGTTCTCAAACTTTTTTTTTTTTTTTTGAGACAGAGTCTTGCTCTGTTGCTCAGGCCGGAGCGCAAGTGGCATGATCTACACTCGCTGCAACCTCTGCCTCCTGGGTTCAAGCAATTCTTCTGCCTCAGGCTCCCGAGTAGCTGGGATTACAGGGGTTTGCCACCACACCCAGCTAATTTTTTATATTTTTGGTAGAGATGTGGTTTCACCATGTTGGTCAGGCTGGTCTCGAACTCTTGACCTCAAGTGATCCACCCGCCTAGGCTTCTCAAAGTGCTGGGATTACAGATGTGAGCCACCGTGCCTGGCCTACGATTCTCAAACTTTTATGGGCTTAAAATTCACCTGGGATAGTTGTGACAATACAGATTCCTAGGACCCATCCAAAGAATCACTTTCAACAAGTCTGGAGTGGGACATCAAAAGCTGAATTTTGATAATCACCCAAAATGATTGAATATAGATTCTCTGGGGACTGTTTTGGGAGACACTGACCTATGATAGTACTCAAAGCATGGTCTCCAGACCAGCAGGGTCATCTGGAAACCTGTTAGAAATGCAAATTCTCAGGATCCACCTTAAACCTACTGAATCAGAACCTATGAGATGGGCCCAAGAATTTGTGATTCTGATGCTCAGTAAAGTTTGATGACTAAGTCTGGAGGATGTGGTGGGTCTGGAGATAAGTTGTGCCTCCTTCACAATTCTTCTGGGCACATCAATGAATCAACATTTATTCTTTGAATATGTGTTTGTATTATTTACTTCAATCTGAAGGCACAGGGTGATGTCAAAAAACCAACAATCAAACTTTGTGTGAAATTAAAATACAGATAACTGGCATAGATGAAAAAAATAAGCTTAAATAGACAGCTTCCTAATGCCAAGTGGGTGTTCATCTGTTGGTAAAGTAGCAGATCAGATGTTAATTACAGCAGAGGAGTGCTCAGCTAGCAAGGGACAGTCATATTTCCTTCAATCATCTTCAATATTTGTACATTTCCCAACATTTGTGTGTTTTTTCCTCACTTATGCTGTTAGGGGACTGTGTGATATGGGGCTGGCACCAGGCAAGTAAGAATGCCTGGAGTTGATGGCCTTTACTAGCACTGTTACCCTTTGCAACTAACATAATTTCTCTCAGCCCAGATTTTCTCTTTCATATACAAATAATGTGGGCCTATTTACCTCGAAGGGTAGTTGTAAAGATGATAATAGAAATAGCTAACATTTATTGAGGGTTTTCTCTGTGCCAGATACTGTGTTAAGTGCTTTACATGAATTATCACATTTAATCTTCCCTAGAACCCTATTATCATTGTTGTTCAAATTAAGAAATTGAGCCTTGGTGAGATTAAGCAAATCGCCGGAGGTCACACAGCTGGAATGTGGTAGAGCCAGGATTTAAATTTAGAATGTCTGATTCAGAACTCAAGCATATCACTGCCATGCTGGACTATAAAGTTTGAAATGAGATAACATATAAACTGTAAAGTGCAATTTACATTGAGAAGAAGAAAAGTGTCCATGCACTTTGTTTATTCACGGGATCGTCTAATACATTGTGCATGTAATAAGGGCTCACTAAACACCAGTTAATAAATGACAACGATGTGTTCTTTAACTTTTTTCCCTAATCCAAAGGTCTTGTCTGATTGTGTTTTCAATGTTATATAACAAGCTCTACATAGGACTGAAACTGAGAAACTTAGAATAGTTCCTAGGGTAATATAGAGACCGAGGATGTTTTCTGAAGCTTCCATCAGCTTTTGGGTTCTAGTAGCTGCTCCATATCTCTGGAGCAGATGGGATATTAGGGTGTTTGGTTCTATCTCCTTATCATAATTGGAGCTCTTTGGGTTATTCTTTTAACATCTAGGCTTTTATATCTGTAGAATAATCCATAAATTGGTTAAGCAAGAAACAGTGGTTTTCTGCATTTATCCAGAACTATGTTAAGCCTTGTGGGATGTGAAAAAAAGTTTATGTCTTAAACTATAGAATTACTCAAGGACTTTATAATTGAGCAGGTGGGTTGAAGGATGAGGCACAGGAAATGAAACAGCAATGAATCACATAGCCTATAACTGTAGCTCATATTGACAGAATAAAGACTTATGGAAACACAATTACCAGATACACTGAAAAGAATTATAGAAAAGAGCCTATGGAGAGGGAGCTTAATAAATGTTTGTTAAATGAATGAATGGATAGATGGATTGACAGTTTAGAATGGGAAGGTTTGAACTCTAGTCCTTACTACTATGGATATGATTTAGAAGAAGTTACTGATGGTTTTGGGGCCTCATTTTTTTTTTTTTGTTTGCAAAATGGGTAAAATAATGCTGACCTTAGTACATTTTAGAGTGTATGATGATAATGAAATAAAATAAAATAATGGATGTAAACATACTTTGTAACTGGAGAATAATATATAATTTTAAATTGTTGTTTTCATTTTTGAATGTCTGCAGCATTCAAAAATATTTTAAAATTATTGTTTTGAAATATGCTGCTTGTGAATAAAGGTAAACGTAAAACACAAAAATAAAAGGAAGTTGAGCCCTGGTGGATGGACACAGGCCAATGGGCTTCTTGGCTGAGGGTGGACTTGAAGAAGAAGCCACTGCTCCCTAAATAGAGCCAGATTCCTGCTGCCTCATTAGCAGAATTAGGGAAGGCAGGTTCAAACCTGTCTCCACATTGAAACAGGATGCATTTAGATACAATCTCAGAATCAAGAGCCTGTATGTTTTATCGAAGAACAGTTCTTGAATGTCATATACAGATGTGAAGTGGATTGAAACAATAAGTACCTCATGCCAACTCCTCTTTGTAATTTTGGAAAGAAAAAAAGCAAAACAGAAGGATACATTGATTTCTATCTTTTTTTAAAAAAATCATTATATAAGTGATTTGTGAATTTTGATTCTTCTTTTTAAAAACGAAAATTAGAATAATAAGAAAAAGCTTACTTTCATCTTTGATTCCAGTTTCAATTCTAGTCCTTTGTCTTCCTTGACAGAGGGAATCACATTTGTGAGTTTGATGTGTGTGTATTCTCAGCTAGTTTTGAAAATCATTTGTTTTATAAGTCTTTAACATTCATATAACTAGTACACAATTCATATTGTTCTATCATTTTGTTCACTCTGATTTGCTTTTGATTTCTAGTCTGCAGAGATACACATATTTAGCTAATTCCCCTTAACTAGACAATGACCTATTAAAAATATATTTTCAGACCATATAAGACTTTGTCCTCCCAACGGGCTCGTCACATTTAAGAAAAAAACACAGCACAGCTCCAGGACACACTGCCTCCCATTTCCAGTAGGACAGGCAGAGCCTGACCAAAAAGGCAAAGAATGGCGGAGGACGGTTCATAATCAATATCATGAAACACAATTCAAACAATGGCCTGCTTCTGAAAGCTACTGTTCAGTTGACCTGAAAATAATCTCTTTTCCCTCTCCAAGACTGTGTTCTGTTCTCCACCCCATCGTCCCCCTCCCCAGAGTCTTTGTGTGCAGAATCCGAATGAGTTGGGTTTGAGCTCTAACAGCTCTCCCAAGAGTGTTATTATTTTTCCCCCTTTAAACTGAAGGGTGCTAATTAATGTAGGAAAAGTTATATGCCAAGTTTGCTTTGCCTGTGGTTTCCTTAGATTAAAGGCTACTGGCAACTCCAGCTCTGTCAGAAGGGCTGGTGCTGTATTCTTATCCCCTGAAGGAGGCTTCAGCTCTGCTGACTCAAGAAGACTTCAGCTTTTGATTTCGAGTTATTGGATATTGACCCATCACTCACAGCAGAGTTATGGGCCTGCTGCCCTGGATCCAGGGAACTGGGCCCAGGCCCTGCTTATAGCACCTCCCAGACCTCCCTTTCAGTTTCTGTTGAACCTAAGCCTGTAAATGTCAATTTCATTTTGTAAAGGCCAGGCAGTTGTCAGTTCTTCCAGGGGATTCAGGGAGAAGGAACTCAGGATGAGGCTTCCAGTGACACAAACATTCTGCAGTATTTTATTGCAGCTCTTCAACTTCAACCTCTCCCTCCTTCCGTATCCCAGTCTCTTCTAATACACCATCTTCCCTTGCCTTAGAAATTATCAGTGAACCAGCTTTTTATTGGGTCCAAACTGGAAATATAACCAGTTTCAAACTACTCCCATGTCTGGCAGATCAAGTGTGAAGTATTAAAAAAAGTTGTTTGGGTACAATTTCCTCTTTGTCAGAGACTGCTTCCAAACACAAAGTTGACCAGATCAGGTAATAAGACCGACAGAGAGTGATAATTTGGATAATCTTACTGGTGAGGAAAATCCCTATTTAACCTTAAACTTTAGTGTCACCACTAGTCCAGTTACTTCTCTTTAATTCTGATGGTGGCAAGATCCCAGTTTAAGATGAGATTCCTACATGCCCATGCCTACCCAACAGCTGGATTTGAGGACATGTCAGAAGACATTTGCATGAAAGCTAAATGGGCTCTTGGAAGGAAATTTATGTGAGGAGAAAAAGGAACTAGGCACAAAGACTTTGACCCAGTGGCAAAGCTGCCGAGGGCCACAAATAAAAGACAGAAAAGGTGGTTCCTCTTAAACCTTTCTAACACAGAAAGCACAAGAAACCTGGATTTGAAACCCCACTAACTGACTTTGACACAGGAGAGTAGAGGCCTAGAAGCCTTCCTTCCATTTCCATGCCAAGCACTTTGTCTCTTTAAATAGTCCATTGTAGCAGTAAAAGTGTCTAGTGAGAGATGCAGGAAATGGAAGCAGCAGATAAACACTGACTCCTGAACAAAGGCAGTGCCTTGTTCATAGGCAAAATCCCCTTAGTAGAATCAAAGATATGGAGCAGAACCTTAACTAGGAGACTGGAAACTTATGCCCAAGGAAGTCTAGCAGAAGGGTTGAGTGTGCAACTGGAAATGCTTGGTTATTACCTTTCTAGAGTCCAGATAAGCTGGAACTGGGGAGGGGTGGAGTATACGGGAGGGGAGAGTGGAAAAGGGTCAAGAGGCCATCAGCTGAGGGTGACAGGAAAGGTCAAGGCTAACAGGCACACCATAGATACTTGAAATCTCAAATCAAGAAAATGTGCAGAGATTTGCAACATTTAGTGAGCATCTGTTACATGCTTCACGTGTTTACACACAGGGCTTTGGCCTAATTATAATACAATAATATTTCCAATCTCTTATTCATCTTATGTATAGACCAAGCCACTAGGAATCTTTTTGTCCCAGCTCTGGGAACAGATCTATTTTTTTTATTTTTTATTTTTTATTTTTTATTTTATTATTATTATTTTTTAGACAAGAGTCTTGCTCTGCCGCCCAGGCTGGAGTGCAGTGGCGCAATCTCAGCTCACTGCAAGCCCCGCCTCCCAGGTTCACGCCATTCTCCTGCCTCAGTCTCCCGAATAGCTGGGACTACGGGTGCCTGCCACCACGCTGGCTAATTTTTTGTATTTTTAGTAGAGACGGGGTTTCACTGTGTTAGCCAGGATGGTCTGGATCTCCTGACCTCGTGATCTGCCCGCCTCGGCCTCCCAAAGTGCTGGGATTACAGGCCTGAGCCACCACGCCCGGCCAGAGCAGATTTATTTTTAAGACACAACACTGTGTCAGCTTTTCCACCATCAGAGCATTATGACTAATATCTACCTGTGATTGAAAGGTACAGACATATTTTTAGATAGGCCTACTTAATTGTGGATAATATTTTAATATAATATGTCTAGAATTTAAAGATAATAAGAGTAAGCATCAGCATAAATAATAACACCATATTTTTTGGCAATACTTTCACGTTTTTTGGATTGTAAAATTTCTGTTTTAAAAGAAGGCAGGATGGAGGTTTTTCTTTCGCTCATTTTGTAGATGAACTCACAGAAAATTTGAATGACTTGCCAGAAGGTACTTAGATAGTGTTACTGTGTCCGGAATTGGTGGGTTCTTGGTCTCACTGACTTCAAGAATGAAGCCGCGGACCCTCGCGGTGAGTGTTACAGCCCTTAAGGTGGCGCGTCTGGAGTCTGTCCCTTTTGATGTTCAGATGTGTTCGGAGTTTCTTCCTTCTGGTAGGTTTGTGGTCTCGCTGGCTCAGGAGTGAGGCTGCAGACCTTCGCTGTGAGTGTTACAGCTCTTAAGGCAGCACGTCTGGAGTTGTTCGTTCCTCCTGGTGGGCTCATGGTCTCGCTGGCTTCAGGAGAGAAGCTGCAGATCTTCTCGGTGAGTGTTATAGCTCATAAAAGCAGTGTGGACCCAAAGAGTGAGCAGTAGCAAGATGTATTGCAAAGAGTGAAAGAACAAAGCTTCCACAGTGTGGAAGGGTACCCGAGCGGGTTGCCAATGCTGGCTCCGGCAGCCTGCTTTTATTCTCTTATCTGGCCCCACCCACATCCTGCTGATTGGTAGAGCCGAGTGGCCTGTTTTGAGAGGGTGCTGATTGGTGCATTTACAATCCCTGAGCTAGACACAAAGGTTCTCCACGTCCCCATCAGATTAGTTAGATACAGAGTATGGACACAAAGGTTCTCCAAGGCCCCACCAGAGCAGCTAGATACAGAGTGTCGAATGGTGCACTCACAAACCTTGAGCTAAACACAGGGTGCTGATTGGTGTGTTTACAAACCTTGAGCTAGATACAGAGTGCCAATTGGTGTATTTACAATCCCTGAGCTAGACATAAAGGTTCTCCAAGGCCCCACCAGAGCAGCTAGATACAGAGTGTTGATTGGTGCACTCACAAACCTTGAGCTAAACACAGGGTGCTGATTGGTGTATTTACAATCCCTGAGCTAGACATAAAGACTCTCCACGTCCCCGCCAGACTCAGGAGCCCAGCTGGCTTCACTTAGTGGATCCCGCACCGGGGCTGCAGGTGGAGCTGCCTGCCAGTCCCGCGCCGTGCACTCATACTCCTCAGCCCTTGGGTGGTCGATGGGACTGGGCGCCATGGAGCAGGGGGTGGTGCTAGTCGGGGAGGCTCCGGCCGCACAGGAGCCCATGGAGTGGGTGGAAGGCTCAGGCATGGCGGGCTGCAGGTCCCGAGCCCTGCCCTGCGGGAAGGCAGCTAAGGCCCGGCGAGAAATCGAGCACAGCGCCGGTGAGCCGGCACTGCTGGAGAACCCAGTACATCCTCTGCAGCCGCTGGCCCGGGTGCCAAGTTCCTCACTGCCCGGGGCCGGCAGGGCCGGCCGGCTGCTCCGAGTGTGGGGCCCGCCAAGCCCATGCCCACCTGGAACTCCAGCTGGCCTGCAAGCGCTGCACGCAGCACCGGTTCCCGCTCGCGCCTCTCCCTCCACGCCTCCCTGCAAGCTGAGGGAGCCGGCTGTGGCCTTGGCCAGCCCAGAAAGGGGCTCCCATAGTGCAGCGGTGGGCTGAAGGGCTCCTCAAGTGCCACCAAAGTGGGAGCCCAGGCAGAGGAGGCACCCAGAGCAAGCGAGGGCTGTGAGGACTGCCGGCACGCTGTCACCTCTCATTACAACCAGACACAATTTCTGCCCAAGAAAAGGAAGGCGTGATCCAGTTTCTCTTCTTTATGGACCACACACTTGACATGTGACTTCACTTGGCCTTCACAACAGTGCTGCAAGGTAAGCTTTATTATTATTATCCTTTACAGATGAGGAAATTGAATATCAATGAATAGGCAATTCATGATTAACCATCTATTTAGGGTTCAAGAATGAGTTGAACTCGGATCAATCTTTCTAGTTTGAAAGCTGTGTTCTTTCTACTATTCCAAGCTTCTTCCATTCTGCTGTTCCCATTGCTGAGAGAGGAAACACTTAAGTATTACAACTCTGAAACTGTAGAGAATTCCCTTGAAGGGACTGGGATACTGGTGATGCATAACTGGAATTCAGCGGAGCCACATCTATAAGAAGTACTGCTAGGTTTAAGTTGGTAGGAGAAGCTGGTGGGAAAAGGGGTATAAAACACGGTTTGTGGACAAATTCAAGAGCTGAGGGGATGCGGGGGGCACTCTTGAGGTGTTGACCTCAGACCATGCCTGATGGGGACAGAGTGGTTGTTAGCACTAAGCACTTACCCAGTTGTACAATTTGGAGACTGGAAAAGTTCCCTTCTGATCTCGGATAGGCTTAAGCCCTGAAGCATGAATTGTGAATACCTTTTGCTCAGCATCCATTAAATAAATGTTATTCTTCTCCCTGGCAGAAAACACAAATTTCTCTGTTCAGAGCCATGGTTTAGCAGAAGGAACAGAATTTTACAATATCCCTCTTTACGATAATGGCTCTCACCTTCCAAGGAAATGAGCTTGGAGGAAAGGAGCACCATTGAGTGCCCAATGACAAGTCAGCTAGGCTTGCCACTGCTGCTAATTATCTGGCAGGGAGGAAAGGCTGTGTGTCCCTGGAATACGGAGAAGGGTTTGTGAACTTTGGAGAATGGGCAAGGCACTTTAGTGTCTGTGTCATACAAACTGGAGAATGGCCCCCATAGGGTCATGTCTGACCTTTACCTCTTCTCCACTACTGAGCAGACATTTTTGCCAATTATGATCCAAAACACGCTGAAAAGTATCCTTGGCCATTGACAGTTTGCAAGGGAGAAGCAATGCCTCTGGAATAATACCATAGCCAGGACAAAGAGGAAGGGTAAACAAAGCATTACTTTGTGTTGCAAATAGATGGCTTTGTTAAATACTGGAGAAATCCCCTCTGTGTCCACCTTACGCAGCTCTGATAAAAATGCATTTGCAATACGCTCAGTGTCAAGAAATCACATCTTACTGGGCCAAGGAGGTTAAGAGCATCTCCCCAACTACAGAATAAAACTCATTAAAATAGTCTTTCCAGCAAGAGAAAGCCCTGTTTGCTACCCTCCCCATACCCTTCTCTTTTTCATTTAAACTAATGTTTTGCAGAGCTAGACACATGATCAAAATAGCACAATCCACATTTGTATTAAAAATAATAAGCACAGCAAAAATGGGAGGAAAAATTAATGGTAAACAGCATCAGAAAACACAGCAGAGGCAGAAGTCAACTTAACAGAACATACTTGACTGGCAGGTAACACATTAAAATGCTATTTTGGCAGACAGAATTGATAGCAGACTTGCTCAAAGAAAATCCGCTCCAAAAAGACGACAAATACAATCCTAATCCCTTTTTCCTGCCACATGCTGCAGATGAGTGAAACCCAGGGGGAAAATTCTTATTACAGCAAATAGGTGTGAGTCCAAAGGAAAAATTAAGTCAAGTTGACAATTTACAAATTTCCTTTCAAGCATGAAAGGGGACTGGAAACCAGGTTTTTTTTTTTTTTTTTTTTTTTAATCTCAAGTCTGGTGTTTGGTACCTTTTAATATGGCTGACTGAGAATAAAGTTCTAAGAAAAGGCTCATTACCAGCCCAGGGATCATCTCTCGAAAATAAAGCCAGAAATAAAATAACTTTTGTCAGGCAAGCAACATTAGAAAACCTAATATTGGGATGAGACATTTTTCCTGCTGTCTGATGGTTATTGACAGATTGGCAGCTTGGGTTTAGCTATGGGACCGCTGATTAAAGTCAGAGGGGAAAAGCACAGCATCTCTCCACAGTTAACTACGGGACTGTCAGGGTCATTAGATAATCTCAGGAACATTCCTCTTCAGTTGAGGGGGTTTCTAAGGGTCCCCGTGTAGACTCTGATATTCACATGAGCTTCTGTTACACCTGCATAGCAGCCTTCTTTGCCCATTTAAATGGAAGAAATCCATGATGTGTTAATGTACTGAATCAATGGATTATTACCAGTGTGGTGGGGTCCAAGCCCCAAGGTTGGCCATTTAGAATATGGTGATAGGAAAGAAGTACAGAAAAAAGATAAATATTCTTAGGTTGATTTTGAGAAATAAGGGGGAACATGGACCCAAAGTGAAGTGAATTTGAATCACACAGGCTATGACTTTTGTTGATAAAGAAGAAGCCTGGAGGCTGAAGTTCTAGTCCCATTCATTGATATTTTTTTAGTCCCATTCATTGATATTTTTAGGTCCCCTCCCCTCCCCTCCCCTCCCCTCCCTTCCCATTCCCTCACCTCCTCTCCCCTCCCCTTCTCTTCTCTTCTCCTCTTTTCTTTTTTCTCTTTGAGACAGAGTCTCACTCTGTCACCCAGGCAGGAGTGTAGTGGCACGATCTCAGTTCACTGTAACTTCTGCCTTCCAGGTTCAAGCGATTCTTCTGCCTCAGCCTCCCAAGTAGCTGGGATTACATGTGCCCACCACCATGCCTGGCTAATTTTTGTATTTTTTAGTGGAGATGAGGTTTCACCATGTTGGCCAGGCTGGTCTTGAACTCCTGACCTCAGGTGATCCACCCGCCTAGGCCTACCAAAGTGTTGGGATTATAGGCATGAGCCATTGCGCCCGGCCAGGCACCGGCCCCCTCTTTTCAATATTAACTTTCTTTGCAATGCAGACAAGTCACTTTTAACTAGGGTAAAGGCTTATTCCTGTGTGCCCTGGAGGGTCCTGCTTTATATCTAAAGTAACTATCAATAATTTTCTTCTCACTTTCAAAAGTATCCTGTTTTGGTTAAGTATTATATGGTCACTATACTTGTAAATTATCTGGGGCCAATGTTCATATTTGAAAATAAAGAGAATGTTGTAGAAAATGCTACCCTCAACATACATAAGCATTTCTTGTGTTTCACTGTGTTAAGCATGCTTTTAATCAGTTAGTGCAGTTATTGAGAACTAGCAAATAAACTGTGGTGAATTCGGATGTTGCTCCTATTAAGGATGTTTTCTTTTAATGGAGAACTTTTGAAAATGAGCTTTTAATAACTCAGGACCATATTTTTAATGGTAAAATTACAGGCAGCCTCAGCTTATATCAGGGATTTTGTCTTCTTTGAGAACCACTAAACATTGGGCTGGTAAACTTCAGTGGATAGTTTAGGAGACCCTAAAAACCATTTCAGGGCAGGCTATACACAAAAAACTCGGGAAATTAAAACAAAAACATAATTGTGGGTCCTAACCCTCAAGGTTTTAGTGAAGTCCTTAATTTAGATTTTTCAGAAGCTCATTAGGTGTTTCTGATACTGAGCTGGCTTCGGGGACATCGACCTATCCCAGTATTTTCATTTTACAGGTGAAGAGACTGAGGTCCAGAAAGCGGCTGCAATAGCAATGACTATTTGTTCTTTGTTGTTTACCAAGTAGTATCAACAAAAAGTATTTCCTTTAATTTTTATCAGTGTCCCATGGTGTTTGAAATATTAGGGACTAATATGAGGCAAAATAAAAGCATGTGCCCGAAATCTCATAGCTAGTTAGCAGCAGGATCAGAATTAATATTCATGTCTCCCGATTCCTATTCTGGATCTATTTCTCTTATCTGTAGCTACTGAGGATATTTAGAAAAAGCCTAAGTTTTTTTGACTAAAGTGCTCAGCTCACTTTCTTTCCGTATTTTCCAGAGATAACTATTTAGGAGGTTGTTGTTTTCTTCCTGATTTTGGTCTTTTTTGGATGAACATTTAATTCAGCTCTCTTCCACTCCCTGTGTGTGTAGTGGGCTGCCTGGCAGAGATGGCAGGAGATGTTTTCATGCGCAATCAAGGACAGAGATGCATTGGCTGCCAGCCTCAGGCAGGGACACAGACTTGTCTCCCACCAGCAGAGCGATGATGCGTTTCCCCAAAATGTTCCAAGAATGGCCTGGAATATGACTAGACAAGGTCCATGCGGCCCCATGAATGGCTTCACACTGCACCGGCCAGAAAACAAACACAACAGTAATTCTTGGATTAGCATGAAAACACTTCCAAAGGGGTCTCAAAGACAGCCTTGTGTCCCTTTCATAAAAGGGAAGAGATGAGGTGTGACCAATAGCCTGTTGGATGTCTTTCTGTGCCAGGCAGAGGTCATCTTGGAAGGGCACCACAAACACAATCAGTTTAACAGAGAGGAAACAGACTTGAAGCTAAAGGACAAAGAACATTTCAGAAGAGACAAGGTGGTGTCTGAGGAAGGCAATTTCAATTAAAATAGGAAGGAGAGTTAGCATGACTCACATATTAAAAAAAAATACAGTATCTTTTGCACTGAAACACGATGCATGTAGCACAAAAAACATGGAGTTTGTATCAGGAGGTGCAAGTATTCCAACACTAGCCAAGGTCCTCTAAAGTTCTAGGCTTCAGCTTTTGCATTTATAAAATAAAGCTAGTAATATCTACTTTTCCTGGTTGCTGTGAGGATTAAATGAAGTTAGAGGTAGGAAGTCAAGAGGAGATGGATTAGTGAAGAGAACCTGTACTGGGATATAGATGATTTGGCTCAGAATCCTTGTTTCTCAGTGACTAGGTGATAAGGGCCAAGTGATTTTACCTGAGTGGCCCTAAAATTTTTCAAACATTTTTGGATGTGTCTGTTGTACCAGAATTTGACAAATTAAATTTTCAGCAAAATTCCCATGTATAATACAAATAGATGTGGAGCAGCCCTGTTTAAAGCAGAGGTGGGCTGAGGGGCGGTGTCCAATATTCTCTGTACCTCTCTTCTTCCATCTCTTCTTCCTGCCATGACAATGCCTGAGACAGCTCTTCCATTTCCATACTCTAGGAGTCAGCAGCTGTTCACCTCTGCTGCTTTTTTTGATCTTTCCAGCATGAATTGGAAAATAATTCTTTCAAAATCTCCCACTCAGTCTTCTGAAACTTCAGTGGAGTGGCCGATCTTCTTCATCTTAGATGAAGATGTTTTATAAACAAACATAAGAAGAAGATCCATGTGAATGAATATCTGGATGACAGAGTTAAATGCCTCTGATGGAGTTAGTGCTGCTTCCCAGAGCATGGGCCTTTAAAAAGTATCACCGGATTCATAGTCACAATATCATTATTAAAGTCTACAATGCTTATTTACTTATTTATGTTTTCAGTAGAAGGGGAAAGTAAGAATCTTAGTGTAAATTTTATAGGTAAGGAGTCACTTTGAATTTCAGGTGACCTAAGTGGATATATAAACAATGAATCCCAGTCTAAAATCAATAGTGTCACACAAAAAATAAATGTGATCATCTGACTTTCATTTTCATAGAATGATCAATTATACATTACACACACACACACATTACCATATAGAGTCCTCGATCCTCATAATGTCTTATTACTTCAAAAGCATTTCCTTTGTGATCTGCTTTAGGATCTACCTATCTCTTTCTTTATGGAGATTAGATAAGCCTTCAAAACTCTGAAGACAGAAAATAATTATATATTTGGAGCCATTTCAAGAAAAATGAACAAAGGGACTCCTATACTTTGCATTTTATAAAGTATATATGTCTTAATGCTGTGCCATGTGTCCTGGCTTTATCATGCTCTCACTGTGTAATCCTGGATAATCCCCTTGAACCTGGAGTTTAGTTTTCCTTATCTGTAAAATAGGGATACACAATGCCTTGTGAGTATCACATGGGACAGTATTTGTTGTGTTTTGAAAAGCTAAAGATGATAGTCAAATATGGCCTTTATGATTAAAAAATTAAAAAGAATGATTATTGTTATTATCTGGCCAATATTTTAAAAAACAAAGACATAAAAAGAGACCCATTCTTCTTTTCATTAACAACCAGAGCCCCATAAGCCTGCAACCACTAACAAAGAGAGTCATTGGCCTTCAGCACACATGGGTTTCATTTAAGCTTAGAGGGTTTACTTGTAGTGGTTTGGAATGTAATCACAATATCCTGTTTTTTCTTAGAGTTCTGAGACCTTTTTTGTTAATTCCTGGTAGAATCAGGAGGACATTGAGTAGTAAATTGGAGCTGTATTCTGCAATTATTGTCCTGTGACCTCTGGTGAGAAGTCTTGGTCTTCCACACTCTTGGGCTATCCCAAGTCTCATGGGGGATATAAAAATAGAAACTATGCTTAGGGTCAGCTCCCCACAAATAAGTATATATTTGGGGTTGCCAATTCCAATCACACCTTCAACTCGCCTACTGTTTTGTCAATCATGTTTTTCACTGGGAGAAAAGCTGATCTGGTTTGGCTGTGTTCCCACCCAAATCTCATCTTGAATTGTAGTTCCCATAATCCTCACGTGTCATGGGAGGGACCTAGTGGGAGGTAATTGAGTCATGGGGTTGATTTCCCCCATGCTGTTCTCATGATAGTGAGTGAGTTCTCATGAGATCTGATGGTTTTATAAGTGTCTTGCATTTCCCCTGCTGGCAGACATTCTCTCTCTTGCCTTCCACCAATGATTGTAAGTTTCCTGAGGCTTTCCCAGCCATGCAGAACTGTGAGTCAATTAAACATCTTTTCTTTATAAATTACCCAGTCTCAGGCATGTCCTTATAGCAACATGAGATTGGACTAATACAAAAGCAATTTAATAAATTGATTTACCTTGAAGCATTTGCAACTAAATGCAGCTTCTCATGAATCCTAAAGAAAGATGCATGAGCTCTTGGTGACGCCAAATCCACCCAAACCACATAGTTGAGAATGGGGGCAGGGTAGTGTCTTAAAAGGAATTTGGGATGCTACTAGGAAGAGAAATGGCTGCCAGGGAGCCTCAAAAAAAATAAATAAAAACAAATACTCTTTCTGATATGTTTAATTATAAAACCTCTTAAAGTTTTTTGGCTTTCTTGTTTCTGGTGATAATTTCAGCTGGATTTTTTGTCATTGCTCCTGAGAAGCAGTATTAGGGGACACGTTCTCTTGTCACAGGTCATGGATAAACTGAATGACCTTGAGCAGTGTCATTTTATCTCTCTGGTTTCAGCTTCCTTCTTTACTGTTTATTTTAGTTTGTAGATTTAAAGTGTACAACTTGATGTTTTGATACGTATACATTATGAACTAATCACAGCAATCAAGATAACAAGCATATCTATCACCTCACATAGTTAGCTTTTTCTTTTCTTTTTGGTGAGTAAACTTAGGATCTTCTTTTTTAGAAAATTTCAAGTACATAGCACAGTATTATTACCTATAGCCACCATGCTGTGCATTATATCTCCAGAGCTTATTCATATGGTTTTCCCTTTTTATGAAATGAGTTTGGATACAGAGGTTTTTCAAGGTGACTTCCAGTTTTAAATATTGTAATTATTTTCTATCTATTCAGTTCTGTAGATGGTGAGCAGCTTAATTATGATATGTAGGTTACTACTGAAAATAACAGGGAGATAGGAACACCGCAATGAGAGTTGACCACTGTGTGTGTCCTTCATCTTGTTTCTTTTCACCTCCAACATGGAAGGGTAGGAGTGATGTATTTTCTGTGTGCTGCACAGATGAATATTTGGCACCTGATTCTTGATCATTATAAGTGATGCTCAGATCAGGATAGCTGAGGTGAGCATAGATGATAACTGGGAGAGGAACATTATTGCTCTAGCAGGACTCCTAACTCTTGTAATTATTGTAAAATGAAAAAAAAGCTACTTCATTCTGGAAATGTAAATGGAAAGAATTGACTTCTTTTCTTCTTGAATGGCATAGATTGCAGCCTCAACCAGAGGCAAGAGGAGGAAGACTTGACCTCTGAGAGTCCTGTCTCAGCCCCTCTGTTCTCCAAAATGCTGGCCCTGAAGGAAAAGTGTCACCCGTCTTCTCGAATGCCCTGTCGCACACTGAGTAATGTTGCCCCTCTGCCCCCAGTGGAGCATTTTAATGATAACGCTGTCTTCAGGGACAGATTGTGACATGTCTTTTAAAGGAAGATGAAATCTATTAAGACAGTGAGGACAGAAAAGAAAAGCTATGTCCCTGGGAAGAGTGCTCTAGAGGAGAACACTATTTGCTCCTTTCGTGCCCGTCTCCTTCTACTTCTTCCTCTCTTTGTTGGAACGGCGTACCCTTCAACTGCTCTACTTTGTGTCTGGATTATTATGGTTGTTGGTGTATAAAATTGCTGCTTGGTGTATATAATTTATAAGCTCTAAAAAATGATAAATAGTCTCAAGTAAGAAGAGTGATTTGTGTTAAAGTCCTCAGGGTACTTTTGTACAGGAATTTAATTTCTTGAGGGAAATTGTCTATAACTTCCTGTGGAATATTAGTTAACTAGTTCAGAGCTGGGATTTATTTTGTGTTGTCTTTTTTTTTGTTTTTGTTTTTGTTGGTAAATTTTTCTATTTTGGGTCTGGATAGGTTTTACCTGAGCAAATGAGATTATATAACAAAGTGTGATGTGCTGGGAAGCTTAGGGAAACAGACTAGAGCTTAGTTAATTTATTTTTCTTAATTTTGTTTCAAACCAATTGCTGGGATTCTCTAAGTTGAGGTTATTTTTGTGCTGCAGCCCAGTGGTTCTAAATCAGGGGAAATTTTGCCAGCCAGGAGACACTTGGCAATGCCTGGAGATATTTTTGCTACTGGCATCTAGTGGGTAGAGGCCATGGATGCTGCTATAAAGCCTCTGATGCACAGAAGAGCCCCCCACAACAAAGAATTGTTAGGCCTAAAATTCTGCTTGTGTCAGGGTTGATAAGCATTTCTTCAACTCAGTAGGCTCCAGGGAACATAATTCAATATATTTTTACCAAAGAATTTCTATAGAATGGCACTGTTTTTTTTCTCAACTTGAATTCTCATCACCAAGAATGGGAAATGGGGACCAAGAAGATGCTGGAGTTGAGCTAAATGTAAATGGGTCCCACAGTATGTAGAGTTCAGTGTTTAAAAAAATGACCGTAACATGTTTTACTATCTTTTTTTTTGTATTTCCCTAATGTTTAAATTCAATTTTAGATTGCAACAAAAAGAAGTCTGACTAATTGAAGGAACCAGTGAAATGGATTTTTACTTATTAGTAGTATTACCACCATGGCCTTCTTGAAAAAATTTCTTAGCAAAAGATGGTCAGGCATTGAAAATGTAACCCTAAACTTCCACTGTATGTGTATGACTATGAAGATTCAGATCAAAGTTTAGGCAAGAAGTGTTTAAGGGTGGGAGTGGGACCTCAGATGCAAAGATCTCCCTGCCAATACCCTTTGTACTTTGCTGAGCTCTGAGCCTGGTAGTTATTGCTGAGATTAGTGGATTGATGAAAAGTGTAATAAGCAGAGTGAACACTAGTATAGTATTCAGTTATGCAATATGAATAGCTTTGAACTCCCTAGCCTTAGCTTAGTTTTCAAAACTCTCTAGTGCCTGATCTTAGTTTGCTTCTTACTAATAATTCTCCTTCTCAGATCTGCTCTAGACAAACTTTTGTCCCTATTGCTTCATAAACTCAACTTGCGTGTTCACAGGTAGTCATATACCTACAGTTTTGTTCATGCCAATTCCTTCTGCTACTAGTCATTGACATTTCAGCTATCCTTCTAGAGTGAGGTAAAATTTCATCTCCTGCCCATTCGCAGTGGCTCACACCTGTAATCCCAGCACTTTGGGAGTCCGAGGTGGTGGATCACGAGGTCAGGAGATCGAGACCATCCTGGCTAACATGGTGAAAGCCCGTCTGTACTAAAAATACAAAAAATTAGCTGGGCGTGGTGGTGGGCACCTGTAGTCCCAGCTACTTGGGAGGCTGAGGCAGGAGAATGGCATGAACCCGGGAGGCAGAGCTTGCAGTGAGCCAAGATAGCACCACTGCACTCCAGCCTGGGCCACAGAGCGAGACTCCGTCTCAAAAAAAAAAAAAATTTCATCTCCTTTGTGAACCAACCAGCCAGAAATACTCCTTGCCTTCCCATTGCTTCCCTTCCCTTCCCTTTTCCTTCCTTCCTTCCTTCTTAACTTCCTTCCTTCCTTGTAAATGATAGCATTTATTAATTGTGGGTAGTTAGCACATACTTTTAACTTTTTTTCTGTATTTAAAAACTAGGAACACAATGAATTAGGGGATGCTAAGTTCCAACATCATACTGACAAAACTTGTGTAACTCAAAACAGGTAACTTAACCTCTCTGATCCTCAGTTTTTTCAAGTCTGTAAGATTGGCAGAATAATACTTATTCTGCCCTCAAAAAATAGTTTCTTTTGTTTTTTTTTTTTTGAGTCTGGTCTCACTCTGTTGCCCAGGCTAGACTGAGGTTGCACTGTCATAGCTCACTGCAGCCTCGAACTCCTGGCCTCAAGTGATCCTCCCACCTTGGCCTCCTAAAGTTTTAGGATTATAGGTATGAGCCACCATACCCAGCCTCAAAAAAAAAAAAAAGGTTTTGGATTAAATAAGATAATGAACACAAAAAACCTTTTCAAAAATATAAAAACTACATAAATGTAAGGCATTATTATTGTCATCAATTTACAAAATTACAGTGAATCCCACAGAGTGCTAATGCTGTATATATTCTGTAAAGCACTTAGCATAGTCGGCACTTAATAAATGAGAGCTCATGCAAGAGAATTGTTTCCACAGTTAAGACAGACTGGTATGAACAGCAGTTAGAAACGGGAGGCTGAGTAAGAGTTTACTACCTGTATTGGTAGAGAAGCTATTAAAAGCAAAATGTGATTTTTAGCATCCCCAGAACCATGATAGAAATGAATAAAATTTTGTGTGCTTTATCATTTGTGACCCAGAAAAGAGAACCCTGAAGCCATGAAAAGTCCTAAAATAAATTATTTGTTTGCAAAAGGAGGCAACATATTGCACTGATTTGACAATTTCAGTTTCTCCATTACGGGTACAAATAGAAGATGGGGTCACCTAAGCAAAATGCTCACTTATTTGTTAAAGCATTTCTTGACTACAAATTAATAAGCCTGAATTTATTTTCATGGCTCATAAACTGGTTCAATGTCCAAGCTTCCCTTCTTGATTGGTAGGGTAAGAGTAGTCTTGGGAGATGAGTCTGAGGGTGAGGTCTCAAAACTGGGCAGAGCTGGCTTTCAGAGACTGAGCATGGAGCTAAATGAATACGGAACAAGTATTATAGGGGACAGAAATGGGAGAAACAAGAAAGGAATCAGCTGATGATAGCTAATAGCTAGTGGGTGGTAGTGAGTTAAATAGAGAATTAACAATTTAGCTAGTAAATATCCTCCGAGATAAAGTGCAGGTTGTTGGGGGGATCTTTTATAAATCACCTGTATCTCACTTTTCCCTGGTAGATGGGAGGAAGCTGTTCAGCATTTCCAGCCTGTAAGGACAATACACGAACAAGAGATGAATCTATTGCCTTAGAAGTAATGTAGTTATAGTTTGCAATGTAAATAGAGTATAAAAATACATAATATAGTGAATGGGAAGAGTTTAGACTCTATGCTACACTGCTTTTATTCAGTTCCCGCTTGGCCATCGATTAGTTAATGAGGCTTTGAAAAAATTATTCAGTGTCTCCTGGGCTCAGTTTCCTTATTTTAAAATAGGAAGAACAGTCCCTACCTTACAGTGTTGTTGTAAGGATGAAATCAGATTAAAAAATGTAGTGCACATTGAACCAATGCCTGTCAAAAAGAGTTCTCAGTAATTGCTAACCTTTGTTACTAGATGGTCAACAAATGGAAGCAGGCAACTATTTTTCTTGTATTTTTCCCTCCTCTGCCTCCCCAGCTATGTCTAGCTGTTTAAGGAAATACTTAGAACTGAAGAATTGTAAAGGGTTTTGAGAACAACTAATGCCTTGCTACTCAAAGTGTTCTCCGTTGGCCAGTGGCATTGTGTCTGGGATGTCTTTAGAAATGCAGAATTTCAGCCTTATCTAGCCAGACCTATTGAATCAGAATCTGCATTTTAACAAAGTCTCTGGTAATTTTTGTGCATATTAAAGTTTGTGAAGCACCACTCCAGAGCAATGACACAATGAAGGTTTTATGAAAGAAGAAAGAGAAAGAGAAAGAAAGAAAGAAAGAAAGAGAGAGAGAGAAATAAAAAAAGAAAGAAAGAAAGAAAAAGAAAAAAAGAGAGAAAGAGTGAATGAGAAACCATACACTATTGGGAAGTTTTGGAATTGTTTGGACTTAATATACTGAATCAAAACCCAAAAGTAAAATATTTTCAGAACTGAATGAATACACATTTGAAAGAAAGTAACGTTATGTGATAGTGGCTTATGACAAGAAAAAGAGCCTCAATTTATTAGGCATGTAACTGTGTGTCAGTCACTGTGTCAAGTGCTTTATTTTTGAGGACTCATGCAATTCTTAATAACCACAGTATGAAGTAGTGGCTCTCATTCCCACTTTACAGATGGTAATATTGGGGCTCAGAAGAGTCAAGTGACTTTTTCAGGGTTGCACTAGTTAGTTGTCAATATCAGAAGTGCTGCTTTTCCCAGATAAGAAGTGGGCAATACTAAGATTGTATTCTTCATTTCCTATGTGGAGAATTCACAAGAAAGACCCTAACATTAGACCCTGGGTGAAAAGATCAAAGAAAACTAGAGCTCTCCTGGGTGATGCTTTGGAAAAAATCTGTTTACCCCAGGTTTTAGGTTTGGGGTTGCATGTAACCGGTGTCCACGGGCTTTTGGTGTCTTTATAAAGCCTTTGAGACCAGGAAACAGCTTTCAAGTAAGATTGCAACAACATAAGGGCCATATTTTACATTAGCTAGTGAGATCAAGATGAAGCTTGTGCTCTGAACTCTACCTTCTCTAAATTCCTTTCTTGACCCTCTGTTCTGATTGGTCCTTTCTCTTGAGCATTTTTGGGTGTTTATTGCTTAGTTGACATATACATTGCATTATATGGTTAGTTACATGGAGAACTCAGATGTAAGCTTTGATCTTGTTTCTTCTTAAGATCTAGGTTGGCCTAAACTCCTGTTTTATATCTTGTGTTAAAGTCTAATGCCCTTCCTGAGATTTTCAAAACTTTTGACATTTCCAAGAATGAGTTATGTTATCAAGGTCAGTATCTGGCTGCAATTCCTTTGAATTCCAGATTTTCCATTCTGTGTTTTCTCTCTGTTTATTTCCACTAAATCATTTAGCCAGTAACTATGGATTTCATCCCCTTTCTCTGATTTCCATAATAATACCAGGTTTTGGATTTTGAAGACATTCCTGGTGACTACTTTATTCTTGAGACTTGGTTTTCTCATTTTCTTTAAAAAGTAATAACAATTGTTATTATTTTAACTATTCTTTCCAGCTTGCTAGATTTATGTTCTTTGGATGGGTAAGAGGAAGATTTCTGCAATTAGATCTTTTGGTGATAGAGTTTCCTAGAATTGGGGACTAGAGGTGGAGATTCTGGCCTGGGGGTAATTAAGAGCTCCAAGAAAAACAAAGACAGTATGGAATAGTAGAAATACAAAGATCCGAACTGGGAGGGCAGAGAACCAAAGTAGATCAGAGGCCAGTTTTGAATCAGGTTATGGAGCTGAGAATGCTGAAATGAGACAAATGAGGAAATGCAACTTAGATGACCTAGTTGGGAGGGAAAAGTGGATATGATGGATGCCAAGCAATTTTGAGGATACTTGTTTTTCATTATTTTTGTGTGCTTGCTTTTGTTTTTTGTTATGAGCAGTACAAAGAAGATTTATGTCCTAGCTGAAAGGGTACAGGATAGGATATACACTTGCTACTCTTCCTTTTGAAGAGTATACATTTTAAAAACGTTTATTGAAAGCAAACTATATATTAGAAGCTATATGAGGCTTTTGCCCTCTTTTAAACTTTTTAAAAAACACCAAATTATGCATACTTATTGTAACAAAATCAAACAGCTATAAATAGATAAATTGTTTGTGTGTGAGAGGGAGGGAGGATGGGAGAAGAATGAGAGAAATATATAGAGTATAAAGTTCTTCTTTATCTCAGTATCCTCTTACCCCGACCAAATTATCTTATGCAGAGCTTCCACTGTTAACAACAATGTCACTGTTTCGAAGACTCAGAATATCCATTTATTTGGTACCAAGAGAGGACATATTTCTTTTCTCTTTTCCGACCACTGGAGGGAACTTGTCTTTTGTTCTCTCATGAAATAGTTTCCTCAAAGGTCCCTTTATTCATGACCTGTGTTTTCAGACCACAGATGTACTCAGGTTCAAATCTATGAAGAGTTCTCAATATATGAAAAGTGAGCATGGTCTTCTACTGTGCTATTTTGTTTGTTGTGAAACAACAGCCTTCCATATGGGTGGAACTAGGCTATTTCATGCTGTATTGTTCACAAAGGGAAACATCCAGGTCACGAGAAGTTGTTTTACAGGTCAGGCAAGCCATAGTGTATAAGCACTACTCTATTGATGCCTTATTATGAGATACTGACATAGAATAAAAAGAAACGATTCTTTTAATGAAGACAAAATGCATGGTTCATTGAAGGAAGCAGAAATGTCACTTGCTGCTTTCAAAATTGGACCATTTGACTGAACATTTGTGTTGCTTTATTTGCTGCCTATTGAAAGATATTCCAAATTCCTGAGCTGAATTTGTGGGGCTAACCATAGGAAAAGAAAGAAAGAAAGAAAAAAATATATATATGTAAATTTTAAGACACAAATTTACTTCTAGAAGTCTTTGTACTTTTAAAAATTGTCACGCAGGCCCCATTACTGGTGGGGGAACAAAGTCATAATTTGAGGTTAAGCTAGAGAAAAAAGAGGGACTAACTGAGGCAGAGAGCAAGGCCATAAGATCTCCACAGTCCTCAGGCACTACTTTCTGTTTTTTTTTCTTGTTAAAGCCTAATCGGGAAGCTTTAGACTTCAATATTCTTGTATGAAATCCAGAAGCTATGGGTAAAAATAATTGTGCTTTCTTTCCTCAATGTTTCCTAGAGATAGAAGAAACGGACTTATATAAAATGAGTGAATTAGGTTTACTAGGTGCTAAGCTTCTTGAGGATAAGTACTTGGGTTGTATTTGTTTTTTGAATCCCCCACGATGACTAGCATAATGATTGGCACTAGACAGGCAATAATATATGCTTTGTGTTTGTTTTCATTTTTTATTGTTAAATAGAATAGACTGACAGTCTGATTCTGATTGATACGGACTGAGAGCTGAGATTGTGTAGGTGGGTGCTGCTTGAAGGCTGAGGACGAACAAAATGACCATTCAAACTCTCTTCTAATTTAAGAAATCCACTATTCAATCTAAATACTTATGATAAACTGTGTAATAGGAGGAAACAATAATAAAATGACCCTTTTGCAATCGCTTCTGAGACAACCAAATTAACACTTTGTCACACACCCATTTATTTTAATTGTTCTCTCCAAGGTAATATCAAAAAGTCAACATGGATAGAGGAAACAGAAGAAAAAAAACAATTTGTTCCTCATTAAATGTTAGAAAAGTCCGAGATAAACCTATTTAAAATTGATCTGATAAGCCCGAGAACAGTGATGCACTGATGTGTTTTCCTCAGCTAATGGTCTTCAGCTAATATTTATCCATTGCTTTGAGTAACCATTAATCTCTTGTGTTGAGAAACTCCACAAATGCAATTTCTAGGGCATTTAACCTTTCCATGTTTGCTGTCTCTTGAGTTTGGGTGACTTGGTTTTGGTGTATACTCAATTTCATTTAGTTTTCTTGGGTCCCAATTGCAAAGATAATAGCACCAAGTCCTTTTAAAATTAGTCTTTCTCATTTCACAACACAGCAATATGTTCCTGAGGTGTAATGAAGTTAAATTCATTTTGCCTTCCCACACTTACATTCTTATCCATTACTACTTTCTCTTCCTTGCACTGCATTCTCTGCTATTTTTCTCCTGTGTAATTTGACATCAGGAATGGCCACGAAGGAAACAACTGAGCAGTGTAAATGCCTTTCTAATGATCTCAAAGCTTCACTTCGAGTCTAATAATATTAATGTCCTTGGATCAATCTTTAGTGGATTTTTTTGTTGTTGTTGTTCTTGAAAATTTTTCATAGCTTTCTTAAATATGAGGCCAACTTAACTTCACTTTTTAACCTAAGGGCATCGAATTCAACCTTCCCCTCCTCCCTCTTCTTCTTCCCACTCTTCTCTTTTTTCTCCATCTCTCTCCTTCCCCCCAAGTCCAGAGTTGACAAGTAAGGCTTTTGAAAAAATGACCATGGTTCTGAACAAAGCCTGTTGTTGCAGGTAATTGTTGAAATATCAAGGGTATTGTGTCCTCCATTACTTAAGCTCTCATTTGTGGTTTTCATGGTTTTGAGGAATGTTTATGGCTGACAGTCCTTTCTTTACAGCTCTATCCTTCAAGCTCCGACTGATACTGTTGAGAATGACCGCTTGAGTGACTGATAAAATGTCAAGATGCCATTATTTCCAAGAGAGTGTTTGGGAGCAATAGATCTGTTTCAATTTATCCCATCCACCTGAATTTAAGTCTTCAGATTTAACTTTGTTGGCTGCTACAACCAAATTGTCTCTGGGTTTTGAGAGAACAGCCATCATGGAATGCAGACAGGATTATAATAATGGTCACGCCATGACATTTATGTTGTATTTCACTGTGCACATTGGTGCAATATTTTGGACTTAATTAATACTCTCCAGGAACCTCAGTTTATGGATGGCAATACCCATATTTTAGATCATGGGAAATACCGCAACAAAAATTCAATTCATAAGGCAGATGGCAAAGCCTAGTTTGAAGAACAACAAAACAGGAAGATTTACAATGAGTTTCAGAACTCTTCAACTGGAATCCAGCCGCTGCCAAAGCTCTGTTATTTCACTGGAGGGTAACAATCTGTGAGGGTCATTAGTGTCTTCAGAAAAACTGAGATTAAAAAGTAGTCAAATGAAATGAATAAATAGTCGAGTCTTTGTGCAATGGAAGTGGAGTTACTTAAAATGCAAGGTTTCCAAATGCTTAAAAAAATCATTCTGTAGTCATTTGATTTTCAACCTGGAATTTACTAAGTTAACAATTCTTAACAGAATGGTAAGGGTTTTGTTACAGTCTCAAGTATGTAACACACAGGAAGACATTCCAGAAGCAGGTATAGTCTCTCAGTGTGTCGCTCTGTCTCTGCCTCTCTCTTTTGTCTTTTCCAATTTCAGAAAAGAATTCATTGTGGATGCAGTTATGGCAGAAAAGGAAGGTTAATGAACAGAATGTTAATAACACCAGTGCTCAGTTGCCTTGGAATTTTTGATTTTGGTACTGCCACAGCACCATATAAAAGTAAAGTATGGTTCATATAGGTTTTAATCTAGTGAGGCACAAAGTTTATCAATAATTCAGGTTTTTTGGGCTTCTCAGGTTTTTTGAGACTGGTTTAGAGAAGGTTACTAAGGCTGACATCTGACCATCCATGGACTTAGCAAGCACTTTGTCTCTGCATAAGTGTTCAAGAAAGTGGTACAGTGAAATACATTTTTACAAATTAGAATAAATATGAGGCTTGCAACATCATAGGATGCTAACTTTTCAAGATGAACTTTTATGAATGCTTGTGTACACATGTATGTGTGTTTGTGTGTTTGGAATTTGTATCAGTTATTCACGTTAATTTATTTCTGTTCTAAAAATTACGGTTCTGTATAGTTATGAAAAAGAACTGAATGAAGTCAACTGTTGTTGTGAACTTTACCCTTAATACAATTTTGTACTTCAGTTGGAAATTCCTAAAACAGATTACTTGTGTAAACATCAGTACAAAGACTAAAAGCTCATTGTAATGAATATGTTAGTTAATTGACTATGTTGCATACAGGTAGGATAAACTGAGGCAACACATCTGGCTCTAATCACAGAGACTGTGATATCAGTAGAAAAACAATATTTATCCCAGTTCGTCTTCCTCTGCTGTATGTATAAGAAATAAGGTTAGTGGATGCTGCAGTGAGAGAGGAATAGAGCAATGATTTCAATTTGCCAGTTTCTAAGATGCAAGATCTTAGAAGGATCTGAAAAATGGTGACATTAAGCATCCCACAAACCTTCCTCTATTCTGGCCTATCCTACTTGTAACCACTCCCCCTGACCACTTGGCCAAGATAATACAAGCACTTTGTGGAGAGTCCGAAATTTAGGTGTTACTCTGCCTTCTTTTGTAAATCTGCCATTCTAATGTGGGCACTCTAGACCAGAGATTCCCCTTGATGTGTCCTTGATATGCTGAAGTCGTGTGAATAGGTGTTTGTTCCAAGATATTGATCCCCATAACCTCTTTGGTGGCCAAGCCTTTATAGATTGTCCCAATGTGCCATTAAAATATGGTACTTTCTATGTTGTCATGACATGAACATGGTTGGAGAGTATTGCTTTAGATCTCAGTTTCCTGTGAAACAAGAGGATTGTGTGAGTTGATTTCCAAGGTCCATTCCATCTCCGTATTCTATGAGCATATATCAGCCTGCAGTTAAAACATCCAGAACTCCCTGTTCCTTTAGCCATATTTCCCTCAGCCACAGAAACTCATAAAAATCGAATTAAAAAACATGGAAAAATGTAGTAGAGTATATTTCATATACTGGAAATCTACTACCTGATTTTTATTAGACTCTGTGCACAAAAGGCAATCCTTGTTTTTGTGGTAGAGAGGGGACTAAGGAACTAGAACACGATCTATTATTTTAAAATATTGTCATAATAAAAGTCCTGTGATGTATTTTTGTGATCCATTCAGTTCTCTGCTTCCTCTATCTGATTTGTTTTCTTTGGCCATCCCCAGTGGTTAGCTATATGAGCTCTCAAATTCTATTCAGAGAAGGTCCTAAGAGAAGAAAAATAATTATTTGCCCATTTCATTAGTCACCAAGAAAGAGTAAGGAGAAGGAGAAAAACAATGGAACTGAGTCTTACAAGTTCCGTAATATTCTCTAAGAAATCAAATTTAATTATTTGTGGAAAAGTATATACAATAATTTTCTTCTAGATTCAGGGCAATGGTACTGAAGAAAACCTTTTGTGTCTTCATTTTGCTTTTAGTTGCCTGTCAAGATTCCATGCCAGGTTTGAAATCATTTTATGAAATCTTCAAGATCCAGCTTATTCTCTCAGAGAAGATATAATCCTTTATAGATCTCATAGACAAAGACAATAAAATGATATCACTTTAACTCTACAAAACTTCATTTTGGCACACAATTACTTCTGAAGCCTTCTTTGACTGATTAACATAAAGTTGGTAATTCATTGCTTGATATACAGCTCCAACAATTTTTTACTCTATGTTCCTTAGTATATCTTTTTCTAAGGTAAATAAGTTAATGTTTATGAGATGGCTTTGTATACTATATGACACCTTATAAACATTAATATTGCATAGACTTTATCATTTAGAGTATAAATACAATAATTCATATTAATTTGTTCACTATTCCCCTCCCATTGTGACATTATGCCTTTTTCCTTTATTTTTAATTTTTAATTTTCTTATAGAGACAGGGTTTTGCTGCATTGCACAGACCGATCATGAACTTGTCGCCTCAAGGGTTTTGCCTAACTCAGCCTCCCAAAGTGCTGGGATTATAAGCATGAGTCACCGTACCTGGCCACCTTTTTCATTTAAATGCTACACCGTATTTGTTTCATGTGCCTTTGTTTACAAATACCTTAAAAGCAAGGATAAGGTCAAGACTCTTGCAAACTGTCTGGTCAAATATTTCTAACTATGTTTTGTGATCTCACTGTGTGCAAGAGAAAGGAGTACAAAAAAAGATTGCTGTCCTTATTACTCACAAAAAGCTTACAATTTCATTGAGGAAACAAGATCAACATACGTGAAACCATCATAGAAAAATATGAGAAAGAATTAATAAAGTAATAAAGTACCCTAGATATTTGGTAGTATGGGATCTCAGGAAGTGAGAGGTGGCTGTGAACTTGGGTGGTAAAGTTGGTGCCGAGCTGGTCCTTGGCAGAGGAAGAGGATTTGTAATTACTGATAGAGAAAATATGCATTAATAAACACTTTCCTTAAAAATGCCATGACAAAATAGTATTACATCAAACTAAAATGCTGCTATATAGCAAAGGAAACAATCAACATAGTAAAGAGACAAACAACAAAATGGAGGAAAATATTTGCAAATCATACACTTGATAAGGGGTTAATATCCAATGCATCTATGAAACTCCTACAACTCAATAGCAAGCAAACAAATAATCCATTTAAAAATAGGAAAGGACCAGAATCAACATTTTTCAAAAGCAGACATACAAAAGGCCAACAAGTATATGAAAAGATGCTTAACATCACTAATCCTCAGGGAAAACCACAATGAAATATCAACTAACACCTATCAAAATAAATAACAAGAATAACAAGTGTGGACAAAGATGCGGAGAAAAGAGAATCCTTATTTACTGTTGATGGGAATGTAAATTAGTGTAGCCATTACGGAAAACAGTATAGACGTGCCTCAAAAATTTCAAAATTGAACTACCACATGATCCAGCAATCTCACTATTGGGTATAAAAAGGAAATCAAATCAGTGTGTTGAAGAAATGTCTGCACTCCCATGTTCACTGCAGCATTATTTGCAATAATGCTGCAGTAATTAAAAAGTTAAGCTCATAGGTTGGGCACAGTGGCTCACGCCTGTAATCCTAGCACTTTGGGAGGCCAAGACAGGTGGATCGCTTGAGGTCAGGAGTTTGAGACCAGCCTGGCTAACATGGTGAAACCCCATCTCTATTAAAAATACAAAAATTAGCCAGGCTTAAACGCCGACACCTGTAATCCCAGCTTCTTGGGAAGCTGAGGCACGAGAATCACTTGAACCCGGGAGGCAGATGTTGCGATGAGTCAAGATTGCATCACTGCACTCCAGCTTGGGCAACAGAGTAAGACTCTGTCTCAAAAATAAAAAAATTTAAGTTCACAGAAGCAGAATAGAATGGTGGATATCAGGGGCTAGCAGTGGGCATGGGTGGAGGAACACAGCTGGAGAGATGTTGGCAAAAACATAAATTTTCAATTAGATAAGAGGAATATGTCTAAGCGATTTATTTTATAACATGGTGACCATAGTTAGTAACAATACATTATATTTTCAAAAATCACTAAGAGAATAGATTTCATGTGTTCTCACCACAAAAAATAAGTATGTGAGGCAATGTACATAGTGATTAGCTTGATTTGATCATTTCATAATGTAGAGATATTTCAAAACATCATGTTATGCATATTTATTTTTTATTTTTCAAATAAACAAATTAATTAGAAAACACGATGACCCAGTTTGTCACCAAAAATTTCACTCTTCACATCAGAATCATGTGTTTTGAAATTGATATACATTCATTTTTTTTTGTTTTAAGGAAGAATATTATTATAGTACACATAATTATGCTATGTGATAGTATATGTCATTCAGTTGTTGTCACTAGAACGTGAAGTAAACATCAGTTAAATTCAATAACACTTTTAAACACCCACTATTTATCTCACATGTTACAAGAAATATAAAGATGAGTAGTACTTGGTCACTTAAACAGTAAATAATCTAGGAGGTGAGAAATATAATTTTCCTGCTATATAATTCATCCATGTAACCAAAAACCACTTGTACCCCTAAATATGTTGAAATTAAAATTAAAAAAATATATATAATTTAAAACTTTAATGATAAAATTAAGTTTTTAAATTAAAATTTATTCACTTTATTTTTAAATGACATTTAAAAATAATATTTTTAAATTTAGAATATAATTATGGAAAAAGTGAGGAATCAGTTAACCTGAATTTTATTTTAAATTTTGCCTCATTGCCAGGTGCAGTGGCTTATGCCTGTAATCCCAGGCATAGGATTGGTGGGGGAGAGCTTGAGCCAGGAGTTTGAGACTAGCCTGGGGAACATGGCAAGACCCTGTCTCTATAAAAAAATTAGCTAGTTGTGGTGGTGGGTGCCTGTACTCCCAGCTACTCGGGAGGCTGAGGTGAGAGGATTGCTTGAGTCTGAGAGTTTGGGGCTGCAGTGAGCCCTGATTGCGCCACTGCACTCGAGCCTGGGGGACAGAGCAGGACTTCATCTCAAACAAACAAACAAACAAAAATCCAAACTGTTGCCAGAGTATGAGGAAATGTTCTTATTTTCCCAGATTTTTAGTTTTTTCTCTTACAATGCATGAGTTGGGTTTGATTAACTCTCGTACACACCAGCATAGTCATTGCTCTAGAACAGGCTGTGCCATCTCTGGAATGGCCTATTGCCATGGATGACTAATTTAACTCTCTCTTCTCTCATACTTGCCCTCTTCAACTTCACTGTTCATATACATGCTAAGAAATAAATTACAGAACTAATCTGGCCATGGCATTCTTCTAGCAATTCTTGAAGGTCTCCTTAGGGTGTCTCTTTGGGGAAAAAAATCCCAGTTCTTTAACATGGTGTAGGAGGCTCTCTATCATTGTATGCCCTTCCTCTCTGGTATTCTGACCACTCTGATTCCTGTTTTGCACCCGAGTAGTGCTGAAATATTTGCAGTTTCCCAGAAGCACCGCATTGCCCCTACCTCTAGGAAATTTCACTTGCACATGTGGTCCTTTTTATAGGGAATGCTCTGCGCCTTCTTGCTGGGCTTACTTATTCCCTGCAGGATTTCCCTACTTCTCTTCCTGGCCTCCCTTCTCAAAGTTTCTTAATGTGAGGCTGTCTGTATGTACCACAGTCACTGAACCTCCATCTTGTGTATCTGTGTCACTCCTCTTAGGAATTTCTTTGATGTCATGCACTGTATTGTATTCATTTTTGCTTAGCACTTAGGAGGCACTCCGTAAATACTTTGAAATGAATGAATCCATGAATAAAGAGTTTTATATCCTGTCAGTGAAAACTCATAGAAGAGAAATATGAACAAATTATTATGAGCCTAGACAGGAGAGAGAGGTTACTGCTGGCTAGGGGAATTGAGTTAGTTAACTTTTGATGAGTGGGTGAGATTTCAAAAGACAGAAATAAGGAGGAATATAGTTCTAAGCAGTTGGAACTGGCATGAGAAGAAGCACAGAGCCAGACAATTTGGCTGGTTTCAAATTATCTCCAAACTTAGTGGCTTAAAAACAATTTAGAATGATCCGTCATGGTTCTGTGAGTTGATGTGGCTCTGCTGGGGTGTCTTACACAGTTGTACTCAGAATAGCTGGGGCTACATCACCTGAAAGCTCAGTGGAGCGGGATGTCTGAGAGGGCGAACATTTCACTCATATATCGGGGGCCTCAGTATTCCTCCAAGTGCTTATCTGTCATAGGCTTCTTACAAGGGCTCCAAGAGGCAGGAGATGGAAGATGCCTGGCCAGTTAAAGGTTATACCAGGAAGGGGCACAGCATTACTTTGCTCTATTCTATGAATCAAAGCCACCATAGAGCCCACCAGGTTTAGAGAGTAGAGGAATAGACCCTGCCTCTTGTTGGGGAGGGTCAAAATCAAACTGTGAAAGGACAAAAAGATGGAGGACATTGCTGCAGCTGTCTTGGAAAATACACCCTACCATAGACCTTTTCTTGGGAACAATAAGGAGTTTGTGTATGTTACAGAAAGAGCAGTATGGGCTCTTCCACAGTACAGAAGGTTGACCTGAGCCCAGAGAGCTTTGAGTGCACAATCTCATTGGAGTTTTACTAAAAGGTGTAACATTCTATCAGTAGGCAGTTCATGGGGTTTTTCATCCTGCTGAAATATTGCTGTCTTTGGATTCCATGAAACTTTTTGTTTTAGTATGAGTTTGTTCTACATTGACCTATTCTGCTGAAATTGAGTACTGTATGATGGGATATCAAGATGTATTTTTATCAGAGTCATTCATCTTAAGACAAAATGGAAACTGAGCAAACTTATCAAACAGGCGTATCTTCTGTAATATTTGATAGATTTCACTGAAATTTAGTACACAGGTAGGGGTTATAGAAATAACAGATTGGATTGGGTGATGGTTACAGTTTACTTAACTGCTAGGGTAGCTGTCTCTGAGTATCTTCCAAAAAATGGCTTGCAGTAATTGATACCCTGGGAGAAGCTAATGCATTGGCAGAGGGGCTAGAAATTTAAGAAAGCTATATAGTGATTTGGTCGATGACATAGCCAGACTATATAAATTTAAATGCAACTGCCATTTTAGTGAAAAGTTCCTTTTTTTTTTTCTCTCCTGCCAAAGTTTCTGAATAATTATATCTCTACTTTAGGATACTTGGATAGGTACAGCCTCTGGGTCCAAGAAATCTTAGGAAGCTTTTCAAAAAGCCACAGCACAGTCAGTAACAGCCCATCTGTCTCTTAATTTTAGAGTATTTTTTTAAAAAGAAAAATTGCTTTCAATTTTTATGCCCACCTCTAAGCTGTAATGCAAATTACTCAGCAGGCTGCCCTGACAGGTGATAAACAAATGTCGTCACTTGCTAATTTCCTAATCAGACGCCTAATTTATCTATACAATTAACAGCAGAAAATGTTACTGCTATGTTTAACTTCATTGTCATGTCAATGGCCATATAGACTTTCTAAGAAATAACCCTAGTAAAATCATTAATGCAGTCCTACTCTGGATGCATTTTTTAAAAAGATTTTGTTCACTACATGAGACTGTTTTTCCTCTGCTCTTAGTACCAAAATACCACACTTCTCCTGTGCATCTGGCTTGATTTTTATCTTCCAAACACTGAACGATGTGATTGCTAGCTTCTTTTTTGTTGTTGCAGTTCTCTGAAAGCATAGAGACAAATTTGTGTTTCTACTCCAAATAAATGCACCGTCTTATACTATATATACTTTTCAATTCTACTTTAAATCCTTCTAGGGACAAACAGGTACAGAAACAAATAATTACCCATATAACTAATCTAAATTTGATTTTTCTAGATTTCATTTACTGTAACAACTGCCTGACTCTACATATGGACATCAACCTCCTAAGAATACTGGAAAATTACAAATTTATAACCTCTCTCCTTGAGATTGAACTTGAGATACAAGTTCATTAATCTTTAAGGTGAGATAAAACATGTTTGGTTTGCCTTCACCCTGAATAATGGGTGGTGGTTGTGATGGGTTACGAAACATCTAATTATTTGAAAAATCATGTGTTCATGTGGTTAGGGCTCCTGGCTTCTCTGCATGGGGACTTTTCTTCCAAATTGACTTCAGTTGGTAAATACTATAGAGAGCAGAATTCTGGAAGGAGCTCTGAATTACTTTTCTGTTCATTGACAGAATGTCTACACTAACCTCACATTTTTTATGGATAGTCTCACATATCTTCCCTGCTGAGGCTGTCAGGGAATCTGTGAGATGTGAGGCCAAGAGCAGTGTCCTCTACTGAATATGTGCCAAGAGAGGGGAGATGTTTTGATGGCACATATATTTAATTTTTGCACCATTGACTGATATAAGTGGGAAAAATGTTTAGATTAAAGAGAACAGGTAGTCTGAATGAAGCACCCAAACTCGGACAACAAAGTAGTATTCATTCCAGAGCATTCGTGTCTTTATTTGTAAAATGTATAAAGTATTCTTGTTGTTTAGCCTATGGGTTTATGTGCATTGTAAGAAACAACAAATAACAATTTATGGTGTAAATAAACCATGTTTGTGGTTCACCACCACCCAAAGAGTGATGACACTGACTCTCAATCTCTCTGACTTTGGATTCAAAACACAGTGACAAATGCTACCCAGCTGTCTGTCAGAAATAAATTTCTTGATTAAATCAACAAGGCTTCAACTCAATCCAGATAAAATTGTGGCAATGTTGGCAGCATAAAGACATGCTCTGAGGAACTCACCAGAAATGCATCCTCACGAGAGATTCGTCCAGAGAATCAAGAAAATTAAAGTGGGTTTGGGTTTGTTTGCTGGGTGAACAGGTGCACACTTTGCCCCCTCACCACCTGAAGCCTGTGTTCCATAATAAACGTGCATTACTTGTAGAAATCCCTTGTGTGTGGGACATGAGTAAAACTTTGAATCAATCAATTACTCAAATGATGACTAAGCTGTTAATGCCAACCAAGGCAGAATAAATATCACAGGGGCAGATACAAATACATATAAGACACTATTCTTCCTCTTGGCCAGTTGAACATCCACTTGGGAAGTGAGCTATGGACATAAAACGGAAGCAAGTTATGGACAAGTAGTATTAGGAGGAAGTTTCATGGAAGTTTATTTTTTATATTTATTTATTTATTTATTTATTTAATTTTATTTTTTTGAGACAGAGTCTGGCTCTATTGCCCAGGCTGGAGTGCATGCAGTAGCACAATCTCGACTCACTGCAACCTCTGCCTCCCAGATTCAAGTGATTCTCCTGCCTCAGCCTCCTGAGTAGCTGGGACTACGGGCGCGTGCCACCACGCCTGGCTAATTTTTTGTATTTTTAGTAGAGACAGGGTTTCATCGTGTTAGCCAGGATGGTCTTGATCTCCTGACCTTGTGATCTGCCTGCCTCAGCCTCCGAAAGTGCTGGGATTACAGGCGTGAGGCACCTTGCCCAGCCCATGGAAGTTTAAAATGAGGAGAGAAAAAGCTGGCAAGGCAATTTGGATTATGCTTCAGAGGAGAAAAAGTTGATCTTTCTGTACCCTTGTCATCTCTCCTTTGGTTCACTGATGCCCAGGGACTGTCTGCCTTTGAACATCTTGTGAAATAAGCAATATATAGCACCCTTAAAATTTGAGCCACTTTTAATTGGATATTTTGTTATTTGCAGCTGAACATGTCCTGCCATCAAAACCAGCTGGTCTATATTTAATCCCGTGAGAGTTTTGATGTATTCTGGTTTGTGCAGCAGCATCTAAAACATTCCCTTGGGATATTGCCATTTTTCAAATACTTTGTGTTTTGATTCAGTTCAAGAATATATTTACTAAATCATAAAATACACTTTTATTGAATTATATTCCATGGGATAGGCCTCAAGATGGGCACTAGGAACTTAAAGATTAGTGAGATGTGTTTCCCTTCTCAGCTCACAATCTGTTGGGTGGGGTTTAGGGAGAGACACAGAAACAACTCACTATAATAAAATGTGCTAAGTTTTCATGGAAATATAAATAAGGTACTCTGAGGTAACAAAAAAAAAGTGGCATGGAAGGAAGATGTTAAGAATGACCTCCCTTCAGAAAGTTTCTCCAGGATATTTTAGGAAGCCTCTTTAATGATGAGAATTGTAGGCAGCATGGCAGGATGGAGCCATCATTTGACAGCCACCTTTTTCTCTCATTTAGAAATAATGCTTCATGCAGAGCACATGGAAGTATTCCCTGTTCAACAAAAAAGAAAATTCTCTTCCAGAAGCTGAGAAGAGCCCTAAATGCAAATTTCTGAGCTGCTGAGATCTGGTCCTGTCTCTGACTGTATTAGTCTGTTCTCACACTGCTATAAAGAAATACCAGAGACTAGGCAATTTATAAAGAAAAGAGGTTCAAGTGGCTCATGGTTCTGCAGGCAGTACAGGAAGCAATGTGCATCTGCTTGACTTCTAGGGAGGCCTCAGGAAAGTTACCCTCATTGCACAAGGTGAAAGAGAAGCAGGCACATCCCATGGCCAGAGCAGAAAGAGAAAGGGCGAGAGGTGCTATACACTTTTAAACAACCAGTTCTCATGAGAACTTACTGTTGTCATGAGAGTACCAAGGGGAAAATCCACTTCCATGATCCAATTATCTCCCACCAGGCCCTGCCTGCAACATTGGGGATGACAATTAGTCATGAGATTTGGGCGGGGACAGAGACCCAAACCATATCACTGACATTTACTGACTCCTTCTCTGTTAGGATCACATCTGTGCCTCAACTCTTTGATTTCATTTCTAAAATGAAGATCATAACACCTACCTTTGGGTACAGATGTGAGGCTGGCCTGGAGAGAAGACGGGATGCCAGAAAATGTGCTCCTAGTGATAGAAGGAGGGCAATTTAGTTGTGGGCATGAGGAGTAGGCTCAGGAAAACTAGAGGGGAAGAGATAAGCCAATCAAAAAATCATAGAAAAGGCCAACAGATTTTGCTGTGTGCCAGGCGTTTACCTAATTCCTTTACTTGTATTGTGCTCATTTGTAACAAATTTTATCCTCCTAATAATTTTTTGAGATAGATGCTATTAATATCCTTATATTACTGATGGGTAAACTAGGCCCAGGGATGTTAAATGTTTTACCCTGAGTCATGCAGTAAATATTATAACTTAAGCATATAGGTTCTAGAGCCTGCACTTGTAATACTCTGCACTTCTGAGTCCTGGTTGATTAACACCATGTTGGAGCTGAAATTGTGATTGAGACAGAAAGTGAATTCCAATTGCAAAGTTAAGGATAGCAGGGAGTAGAGAAAACTATTGAACTGTTGTGGCATTCTTGTGTATCTAGTCCATGTATTGCATACTTGAAGATACAATGCTTTTCTAGGAAAGACCACATTTTAAATCTGTAACCAATGTGAAGATCAAGACAAAGTAACCACATGGAACTGTGATACACTTAGGCTAATGGGAAAAATTTGGCTATAAGGAGAAGGTAATTATCGTATTATGGGTCTCATTATACTATATCTTTTAAGCTTAGAGGTAAAATAAGCAAAATCGTACAGGTGAAAGGTGATAGTAACCTGAACTAAGTTATCAGCAGTGGGAAAAAGAGAAGTGAATGGATTTGAACTACTGAGGAAGGTGAAGTAACAGGATTTGGCGATTGGTTGGATGTAGGAGAGAAAAACGAGCAGGAAAAGACAGAATTGGAGATGACTAGTAGGTTCCTAGTTCAAGTAAGGGGGTAGATGGTCTGACCATTCACAGAGATAAAGAAGAATATAAAAGGGGTACATGTCTGTGGAAGTAGAATAATGAGTTTTTTTTCGACATGTTGAATTTGAGTTGCCTCTAGGATGTTCAAATGGAGGTGTTCACTATATGGTATGGTGGTTCTGGAGCTCAGGAAAAAGATCAGGCTGGAAATCTTCAGCACATAGGAAATTCTGAAGTCATGGGAATAGATGAACTTACCCAGGAAGACAAAGGCAAAGGAAAACAGAACTCAGATAGACCTTGACATTTAAGGTGTGGGTAAAAGAAAAGTCCCTGAAGAAATTGCTAGAGAGGTAGAAGAAAAACCAAATGACTGGAGTCTCCCAGAAGTCAAGGAAAGCGAACACAAGTGTTTCAGTGAGGGAGTGGGGACAGTGTCCATAGATGCAGAAGCCACATAATATGTGTGGAGTAAAAGGTTCACTGGATTTACTGGCAGAGATCATCACTGGCCTTTGGGAAAACAGTTTCAGTGGAGCAGTGAGTTAAAGAGGGTATGGAAGGTGAAAGCTGAGAGGAAATGAAGACAGTAATTGTGGACAACACTTTGAATGGGCTGAGTTGTGAAGTAAGAGATACACAAGGAGGTATCTAGAAAAAACAGATTTGGGAATATTTAATGCTGATTAGAAAAGCCATTTGCAAGGGGACTTTTGTTATTTATTTATTTATGACTTCTAATTTAATTTAATTAATTTATTTAAGAGACAGGGTCTCACTTTGTCACCCAGGCTGGAGTGCAGTGGTGTGAACATGTCTCACAGCAGCCTCAAATTCTCAGCTCAAACGGTCCTCCCGCCTCAGCCTCCCGAGTAGCTGAGACTACAGGCATGTGCCACTATTCCCGACTTTTTATTTAAATTTTTTTTTTTTTGTAGAAATGGGGGTCTCATTATGTTTTCCAGGCTGGTCATGAACCCCTGGCCTCAAGCAATTCTCCTGTCTCAGCCTCCCAAAACACTGAAATTACAGGCATGAGTCACTGTTTCCAGCACAAGTAGAACTTTTAAAGATAGAGAATGGATGGGGAGTATTCTGAGTAATAGAAAAAAATTATGAACTAAAAACTCTTAATAAGTTAAAAATCAAATTGTTTTTTATATGCCTCTGTATCCAGAAACCCTGTTGAACTCCTGTCCAGGACTACTTCTTTGGGTGCCCCAGAGGCACTGATAGAAGTGCTACATTAATGTGCTTTAGGGAATATAGTTTCTCTCTCTGAAGAGGATCAGAGGACCAACACAGCCCCCAACATACTCATGGTCCTCTCTATGGGAGTGAAAGAGGTTGTTGGAGAACCTTCTAGCATACTCTGTAAAGATGAGCCCAGCTAGAAAATAAATCAGTAGGGGCAAGGGTGGCTTATTAGCAATGCTGACTAAAACAATAAGCAAGGAAGGGGCACATGTAACACTCTGAAGTTTAATGAGTCTGGTCTGCCAAACCTTCAGCCTGTGAGGTGAAGTGTAAATCATGTTTCTCTGGCAACAAGAAGATGCCCTAGTGGCCAATGTATATGAAAATGGCTTGAGGCGAAAACAAACAGAAAGAAAACCACTGGCCCTGGGATAGGACCCAAGCCCTTGAGCACCTGTGGTGTATCTGTCTTCAAAGGAAGGATGCTAATCCACCTATACTCATTTTCTCTTATTCATTTATTCATTTCTTAAAGCTAACATTGAATTTGGCCCCACCTGTATGCCAAGCACTTAGCTGGGTTCTGGAGAGTCAAAATTGAATAAAGTCGTATGCTTACTTTCATGGGGGTCACAGTTTCCAAAGAAAGTCAGATGTACAAACAAACAGTCCTTGTGCCATGTGTAAAGTGCTGTCTCTATTAAAGATACAAGGAAGGAACTAGTGTGCCTAACCCTTCCTGGAGTCAGGAAAAACTTTGGAGAAGGGACATATCATCTTTCCCTTATTTTAAAACTATATGAAACAAACAAATCTATACAGTCATGGCTTTTTCATAAAGGCACTTTCTCCAGATTTTTAAAATGGATCTTTTATCTTGATGAGGAGCTCCTTATCTCATTTATACTTGTTGAACACATTAACATGAATGTATTATCAAAGGATCATGGAGTTTGATAGCTGGATGAGACTGCAGCAATCATTCTAACCACTCCATTGTTTATTGAAAAGGCTGATTTTTCAAGCTGCTATCAGTCATTTAAATAACCCATTATTAAACTACCCTAAATAGTTATTGTCACCTTTTTTGTAGTGTATGCATTTTTATTTGTATAGTTACTGAAGCAAAAATGCAATAAAATATTTTTCTACCACTATGTAACATTGACTTAGAATTTTTTTCCATGTTATTACAAGGTTTTTGTAATTTTTATTTTAATGGCTGCATGATAGTCTATTATCTTGATTCACCTTAAGTTACTAAATCATTTCTATAATTTTGGACATGTACAACCATTTCACTATATAGATGAAGGAACTGAGTCCAGGAAAGGTACTTCATGCTTTGGGTCTTTGTGAATCCATTCATTATGTTATGTCATCACTTTCTTTTTCTTTTTTTTTTTTTTTTTAAGACAGAGTCTCACTCTATTACTCAGGCTGCAGTGCAGTGGCACGATCTTGGCTCCCTGCAACCTCTGCCTCCTGGGCTCAAGCGATCCTCCTGTCTTGGCCTCCTGAGTAGCTGGGACTACCAGCATGCCCATCTAATTTTTTTTGTATTTTTTGCAGACATGAGGTTTTGCCATGTTGGCCAGGCTGGTCTCGAACTCCCAAGCTCTAGCAATTCACTTGCCTTGGCCTCCCAAAGTTTTGGGATTACAGGCATGAACTACTGCGCCTGTCCTATGTCATCACTTTCTTACGGAAAATGAGTTTTAAAACTGGTAGAAAATTACTGGCAAAATGTTTTGTGAGATTGGTCTCCTTAATTCTGGTACACCATTTGGTATTTTTAACATATCAGATTATAACGCAAAACAGATACCTCATGAAAATTGAGGAAGTTGGTTAACAGAGAGGGAACATGGGTGACTCCTTCCTGTGATCCAACAGTCACTTCTTTTTCCATGCTGGACAGATTTCATGGAGATCCTGTATTCTTACGTATGCATGTGAATGGACAGCATGAACTTACTTCATGTGTCAAGTATTTTACATCAGTGGCAGGTTTTTGAAGAGCCGAGGCACATGCGTGTGACACTGATATAGATGGAATCTGTTAGAACAGGTCCATCCTTTAGAAGCTGTTTGAGGAGGGCATGGTTTAGAGGAAAGAACACTACCCAGGAGGAAAAGGGGGTCCTGGGAACTTAGGTATGGAGTTACTCATTGGAGATATAGGAGGCCCCATCAGACCTCTCAAATGTTACAATATTAGTGCTGGAAGGGAGATGAAAGACTATTTTCAATTTGCCAAATATCTGTTTAGACAGCAGAAGTTGAACCAAAAGTCAGATCTCATAATGTCATATTGAATGCACATTGTCTATCATGAAATAACTCATGTCAGAGACAAACTTCCTCATTCAATGACTGAGAACTTTTATATGCAATTTCAATGTCTTTTAAAAAATCTCTGTTCACCCTATTTTTATTTCCGGATTCTAGAAAAATGTATTTGGCTCTGCTCCTTCTCCATATACTGGAGACAGAGAGTAACATGTAGCTGATGAGTCCATGTTTAGAGTCTTCAGCTTTGCTTCAATATGTCTTGAAATATATGTTTTCAAATGTAGACAAGTTAAATAGACTAGAAGTAGTCCATTTAGTAGTCATTCAGTAACACCTCTCTAAGCCCTTCTGGAAGTGGTGAGTTAGTTGGATTAGGGTTGAAGGAATATGTGGAATGCAGAAGGGCAAGAAATGGGAAAACATAAGAAAACTTCCCCTCCTTTGGGCACTTCCAAAGAGTATGTGCAAGTAGAACAATACAATCATAGAAGTCTACTTTTAGGATCACTACTGGAAAACATATTATTTAACATTTTCATTTTATAGATTGGAACATTGAAACTTAGACTTGTACAAAAGAGTTTATCACTGGCAACTCAAGTCCATGCTTTTTTTTCACTTTTAATCTACTGCTTTTTTTTAATCAATGGAATAATTACTGAGGTACTACTGTTACCATAATATAGGATGAGTATCATTGTAGACAATGAAAGAAATAGGGGATATATTACTAACTTTAAGACTTTGACAATTTGGACTTTATAGTAACAGACATAGTAAAGGCTCAAGAGCTCAATTGTGACATTAATAAGTCTTAACAGAGGTTCATCAAAGGCCGATTTGGAAGAAGTGGACCTTGTGGAAGTGGGACCTGAGCTAGTCTTAGAGAAGGCACGAGGTTTGAACTGGCAGGTGGTAGCTGATGCTAATACTTATTTCAGGCAATAGGTATTAGCATTGCCACAGGAAGAATCTGTGACTGCAGCGAACATTCACTTCATTCTTTACAATAGGTTTAATATTCTCATTTTAATCCATGTGAATAACTTTGGGCGAGTTATTTAGCCACTCTTGTCCTCTGTTTCTTTAGCAGCAAGGAGGGAATAACAAAGCAAGGCTGCATTACAGGGAAACTGGGAGGCATTATGAATTTGAAGCATTATAGAGAGTTTTATTCACCTAAAGGGGAAGGAGAGTATGCTCCACAAAATTCTACAGCCAGAATTTCAAAGCATCATTGTTGCCTAATGATGGTTTTCAGCTTTGCCCTCGGTGGGTATATAGTTGGAGTTTTGAAACTGGAAAATATCTTTGTTATGTTTTGCCTGGATCAAAGCACACATAAAGCCTGATCGAATGGAAAAAAAGGCAGAAGATACAGGCAAGTGCCGCAGCATGACAAGTAGCAGCCCTCAGGTTTCTGCTTATGTCCTAACCAGTTAAAATATTCTGAAACCTTTGTAAGCACGGACTGAAAATCCAAGAAAATTATCATATATATATATATATATATATATATATATATATATATATATATATATATATATATATAAAATCCAGAATGGGTGCTCACACCCTACTGCAGATCAGAGTTGCTACAGATAGAAAGACCAACATTTTGTGTTTTCCTCTACAGGGTATAAGGCCATGTCCCAACAGAAGAGATATTTGTTAGAAGAAAAGTGAAACTGCACAAAGTTAGAAAACTATAAGAGAGGGTGAAGATAAGAAAATCTGTATAAATAAGAACAAGCTTGTGCAACAAAATCCACATTTTTCATTCTTGGGTACACAATGAGCCCTTAATATGAGGAGGTTTTATGAACAGATAGAAGCGTCTTCCAAGGAACTTATCAATTGCTTGCATATAAATGAGTTTTTAAAAGGGAACCAGAGAATCCTTTCTCAAAATGAGTCTGATTGGTGTTTCTATTAACACTGGGAGGACAGACATCTTCCTTTTCTCCTCAGCTGTAGTTTCTAATGGCACCCTCACAGACTGAAGAGATGTCTTTTATCATGATTCCGGATATAAATCAAAGCAGGGGCTGTTACCATTAATGCTGTAAATTCCAACCAAACCTGGAAGAGTCATACGGTGAATGAGAGTTCCTGATGCAAACTTTCAGCATTATTGGCATCTTATCTTCTTCTGTGAATAACTAATTAATGTCTAGTTCTTATCTTTGATTTTTGAAGCCTTCTCTTTACCTTTCTCAACAATTCTCTCAAGAATTTATTTTTTCCTGCTTAGAAGGCAATTCTTTGGTGTCCTGAAGTCTCTTTGCTACATATGGGATATGTGTAATAAGACAGATGGAAAAGTAGAAAATTCAGTTTAAAAAAGATATATGGCTTTTCAGCTTCAAAATTAAAAACAAAAACAAAAACAACACCTAATTTGATTGGCTATTTTTTTTCTCACTGGAATGATTATTTATACAATAAAACTTGACTGCCTTGTAGGATTCTGAATGTAAAAAATTATTTCTTCAGTTTTCATTTCACATCTCCTGCCTCCTTGCTCCAATATTTAACATAAAGTCTTGTGATCAGAAAATGCACAATACATGTAGGTTGATTGAATGATTATTTATTTAGCAAAATGGTTTATCGACATGCCATAGACATTTTCTTGACGCTTCAGAATAGTTGGGGGTTTCCAGTGGAGACATGGGGAGGCTTTCAGGGACCATGGTGTAGCCATCTTCATCTTCCTTACATTGCTTAACATACTCTGCACATGCTTCCTAAAGGAAGGTGCTCCACTTCTGTTTATTGAATAAAAAAGTTTCTGTGGTTGAGCAATAGCTCTTCCATAAAATTCTGTTATGAGAACTTGTACCACCAGATTGAATTAACAAAATTCTTGCTAGATGATCTGGCCTTTCACTATTGAGTATCTAGTATAATAATAAAAAGTTATTTCCTTCAGGGTATATTATCTCTCTAGTGAGATGCTCATTGTAGTATGAAAGACAAGCTCCTTAGAGTGAAAAAGTTCTCCCTTGTGTGGATGGAGGAAAAAATGAAAACCACTTACCTGGTCAACATTATTTCATAGGCTGCTGAGGAATAAATCAGGCCTGGCATGACCTTCATTGAAATTTCCGATTTATTTACAGAGGTTTGTGCTGATCGCTTTATCTACCGGAGGCCCCGTTTCCCCTTGGTGACTCATAAGTAATGTGGTCCACGCAAACCCGTGTAAATAGAGCTAATATTTCAAGGGAGGTCATGCTGTATACTCTTCCCCTGAGAATAGATGATGGCTGACTGCCGGACTGATATGAAATTTATCTTTGTGAGGGAGAAGAAGGATTGTGTGGCCTAGAGGGCAATATCCAGGGCTTGTGAATCCTAAGAGGGGCCGAGATACATCAGAATCCAAGTGTGTTTGTATTGTGTGTTTTTGCTTATAGGAAACGATTAACAAAACAAAACAAAACAAAATAACTCACTCAGGTCAAGTCTTAAATAGTCTACAAAGTCATCATTGATTTTTCTCAATTTAGTTGTGTATTTGTTTTTTCCTTTCAACACTAAATCTAGTGGTCTCAGAAGAAGAATTTGTACTTACTGGTAAATAGATCTTTAACCAAGATTGTCTTAATCAGTTCTACCTATTCTTTTCCCTTGGCCAACTTTTAGTTTCTCCCCACATTCTTGTTTCCCCTTGCCTTGTAATATACTTCCTTGGGATCTCTTGCACTTAAGTGGTTCCTCTTCCCCAATTCCACCTTGGCCTTTTGATTAGCAGCCCTTCTCATTCATTGCCTAGTCTTCTCCAACAGTCACCCACCTACATGTTTTCAGGGTGAATGTAAAAGCTTTCAGAAAATAAAAACCATATCTCTTTGTAAAATGTATAAAATACAAAATCCTGTGCTCTAGGATTTCTGATCTCTGCTTTATAATGTGACAGTATTAAACTTTATAAATGTTATTAAGATATCTAGAAAGAAGCCAGGTAATAGTATTATCATTAATTAAGACATACATATCAAGCACATTTTGTGTGGCCTCAATATGTCGCTGCTTGCTTCATGAGATAATAGTTTTGCCCTGGCCAGGCATGGTGGCTCCTGCCTACAATCCCAGCATTTTGAGAGGCCGAGGTAGGAGGATTGCTTGTGCCCAGGAGTTTGAGACCAGCCTGGGTAACATAGTGAGACCTCATCTTTACAAAAAAGTTAAAAAATCAGTTGGGCATGGTGGCATGTGCATGTGGTCCCAGCTACTAGGGAGGCTGAGGTGGGAGGATATGCTTGAGCCTAGGCGGTTGAGGCTGCAGTGAGCCATGATTGCACCACTACACTCTAGGCTGGGTGACAGAGCAAGAAACCCTGTCTCAAAAAAAGAAAAGAAAAAAAAAATCTTGCCCTCAAGTAGTTTACAATATATTTGAGGAAATGAGACTAACATTCTGAAAAAAAAAATCACTTGAAGAACACAAATCTATATGAAATTAGCTGTATGATCCAGACTTCAGCGACATTCTACTACGTAAGTGGTTATGCCACTCTCTTTAAGTTGTCCTGGGGAAAAGTTCAGTCATCTTTACATGATCCAGAAGAGCTTCCTAACCTGGCCCCAGCTCATCCAACCATATCTCCTTCATGCCCCAGAAACTCTATGTTCCAGCTTTACTAGACACAAACAAACCACTGTTATGTTTATTTTGGCATGAGGTAGCTAAAGGTAAATAACCTGTGTAAGATGATAAAGCATATTAGTTACATTCATTTGACATGTAAAGTACTTTCCAAACGTATCACCTTATTATCTTTATCTCTCAGCTTGGAATGACTTCTACCACCATCTCCAACTGGCAAATACCAGTATCTTAAATCCTCCCGGAGCTAAATGAGTTATGCCTGCCCTGTGCTCACACAGCCCCTGCTTCTGCTCGCTTGCATTTTAAGTTATCTCTTTGTCTCACTGCCCCACTAGACTAGCTTTTTGAGGGCAAATACTGCATTTTATTCACTGTGGAATCCCTAGTGCCCAGCTCCAGAATGTTTGATGGGTGTCTTATGAGTGAATTAGTTCTCAGAAACTGGCAGAGTGATCTTCTACATGATTAGAGAATGCAGCCACATCCTGAGACCTGAGAGCCACTATTAGAACCCTCGTACCAAAATATCCCCCCTGCCATTCTGCTGCTGTGGCAAGAGAGCTCATGCTGGGAGCTCATGCTCCCTGGGGCTTAGATTACTGTGGTCTTGAGGCTGTGACCTGGGGCAAGTTACCCTTACCTTTATTATAACACTTTGCATCATCATCTACATCATTATCTTCAGCCAGAGCAGAAACAAGGCACATTTACTTAATGTCCATGGGATCTTGTGCCAGGGATTGTGGGTACAAAGAGCCACGAAACCAGTCTCTGCCCTGGAGAATCAAGTTTAGTAATAGAAAATAGTTGTTATATAATAGAAAGAGCTTTCCATAGATTACTGCTATCTCAAGAACACTTTAGAAAAGAAGGGTACTTTGGACAAATAAGGTGCTGTATCTGCTTTCTGGAGGTTTATAATGTATAATAACCTGATAGAAGCTTTTTGAAGTTTTGTGATAAAGACACCTTTTTAACTTTTTCACTGAGATAGAATTACATACAGAAAAATATACAGTTTGGTGAGTTTTGACCAATGGATACGCTCTTGTAGCCAAAACCCCAAACAAAATATAGAATATTTCTATCACTCTCAAAAGTTTTCTCATAATCCTTGCCAGTCAAGCCTCTTCCCCTTCACTTCCCTTCTCACAGGCAACCACAAATTTGATTTCTATCCCCATAAAGAGTTTTGCTTGTTCCTCACACTTACTAGGGAATCCTTTTTTTTTTTTTAAAGTACTATTTGTTTTATTGTGGAATATGATTTGAAAAATGCTGGGTTATCACTTTATAACTTTCAATGAATTTTCATATTAATTATCTGATTTAATTCAAAATAATAAGAAAAGAATGCTTTAAGTGCCAAATGAGTGATTTATACAGTGGTTTCCATAGGAATTTAGATGAAAACATGTCACACAAGGTTAGTTTGAATTGGAAAAGCTTCCCAGTGGTTGCCAACCAAACATCAACTTGACCTTTGGGATGGGTCAAGTGGGAAGAAAAGGAGAGGGAGTTCCAATATGTAGGAAAGGGGTGGGCTAAGATTTAATGATGGTGATGTGTATTATATATCAGAAGAGCAACATCGAGAATGAGAGCACTGAGAATGAAGCTACATTTCAGACTCCACAGGTCCTGCTCCCCAGTCTTGAGTGCATCACAGTATGCCTGGAGAGGCACTGCTTTCCTGACCTCTGGTGAGATATTTTTCCTGCACAGTCTGGGAAGTTGTGTTTCTTAACACTACTGAGGTTACATCAACTCCTTGTAGGAACTGAGCTCACCTCGTGTTTGAATTCAATTTTGCTTCTTACACCTGGGAATAGTACATAGCTATCAACAAAGCTTTTTAAATATTCATTTTTCTTTCAGTAAATTGTATTGGAAAGCAGACTTGCTTACAGTTTTGTGCTTAAATTTTTTATACAGAAAGTGATTTGCAAGGATTTCTTATGTCTTGGAACTCAAAGGAAGTTCAGATCTTATTAGGGTGGTTTCTTTTCAGACCATTTTCTTTCTTCTCTGGTCATAGGGCTGTCCTCCCAGGGGTGTACTTATCTCATCTCCCAGCTCTGACCTGTCCCTTACTCAGATCTCTTTAGTCATTCAGAGAAGAATGGTGTTAGGGGCAAAGGACTATGAACTGAGAAAATGCACATCTTCACTGATGACCAACAGGTAGATTTCTTGGCTGACTGCCCCCTACTTCCCAGAGAATTCCTCTCTAAACAGGTGGGTAGGATTTTTGGTAATTAATTCATCCAATGAGGTCACATCAGTTATGCTGAATCACCAACTCTGCCAATTTTTGGATATGATTTGAGGCATTGGGCCTACTTATAACGGCATTCCATTTTAAAAATTAGTATTAAAAAAAAAAAAGCACAGGACTACAAACACAGAGACACACCACACACAGATATAATGCATTGTGTAAGCAATATGAAAAAGGTGCTGTCTTAAAATGAATAGCAAGCAAGAAAGAAACAAATACTGTGTAGGATTAGTTATTGATAAACCAAAAACCAGTGCAGGCATCTTTGGCAACTTTCTGCCTTTCTTCCTTTTACACTCCACTCATCCAAACCTTTGTGTCCTCTTTTTACTTCTGCAAATTTTCTGTACCTATATCATCTTCTCATGTCATAGGCAGCAGCAGAAAGGAGACTGATGCCCTATCATTTATTCATCTAATACTAGACATTAGACATATACAAAATCATAAAATCATAGAAACCATCCGTATTATGTTTCTCTCCAACCTAATTTCACAGACAAGGGAACAGGCATACAAAAGTAATTGCCTTTTCAAGCCACGTGTAGAAGAATGAAACTGGATCCCTATCTCTCACCTTACACAAAAGTCAACTCAAGATGGATCAAAGATTTAAATCTAAGACCTGAAACCATAAAAATTCTAGAAAATAACATTGGAAAAAAATCTTTCTGGTCATTGGCTTAGGTAAAGAATTCATGACTAAGACCCCAAAAGCAAATGCAACAAAAACAGCAGTAAATACATGATGGCAAATTAAACTAAATAGCTTCTGCACAGCAAAATAAATAATCAGCAGAGTAAACAGACAACCCGTAAAGTGGGAGAAAATATTCACAAACTATGCATTTGACAAAGGACTAGTATCCAGAATTTACAAGGAACTCAGACAGATAAGCAAAACAAACAAACAAACAAAACAAAATAATACCATCAAAAACTGGGCAAAGGACATGAATAGACATGTCTCAAAAGAAGATGTACATACAGCCAACAAATATATGAAAAAATGCTCAACACCACTAATCATCAGGGAAATGCAAATTAAACCACAGTGAAATACCACCTTACTCCTGCAAGAAAGACCATAATTAAAAAGTCAGAAGATAATAGATGTTGGCTTGGATGTGCTGAAAATAGAACACTTTTACACTGCTGGTGGGAATGTAAATTAGTAGAACCAGTATGGAAAACAGTATGGACATTCCTTAAAGAACTAAAAGTGGAACTACCATTTTATCCAGGAATCCCACTACTGGGTATTTACCCACATGAAAAGAAGTCATTATGAAAAAGACACATGCACATTGCAATTGCAAAGATATGGAACCAACCTAAGTGCCCACTGATCAATGAATGGATAAAGAAAATGTGGTATATAGACACCATGGAATACTACTCAGCCATAAAAAGGAACAAAATAATGTCTTTTGCAGCAACTTAGATGGAGCTGGAGGCCATTATTCTAAGTGAAGTAATTCAGGAATGGAAAACCAAATATCTATAGTCTCACTTATGTATGGGAGCTAAGCTATGAGGCTGCAAAGGCATAAAAGTGATGTTGTAGACTTTGGGGACTCAGCAGGTAAATGTTGGGAGGGGTTGAAGGATAAAAGACTACATATTGGGTACAGTGTACATTACTCAGGTGACAGGTGCAATAAAATCTCAGAAATCACCACTAAGGAATTTATTCAAGTAACTGAAAACCACCGGTATCCCAAAACTATTGCATTTTTTTGAAAAAGTAATTGTCTTTTCAAGTTCACAGTGAATTAGCTGTAAGACCAGGAATAACACTCTACTTCCTAGCTTCCTCTTGTTATCCCTTTGCTCTGCAGCTTGGTGATGCACGAAATGGAGAGGAACAAGCTGTGCACATGCTTTTCTACCTTGGGGGACCTATTGTTCCCTCGCTTTAGAACTCCATCCCCATTCCCTCTAACCAGCAGACTCCTCCTCATCCCCTGTGTCTGAGGAAAAATATGACTTCTTCATGGAAAGTCTTCTCTCAGTTCCAGTCTGCCACCACAGTCTTCATTAGGAGCTTCTTTTCCTTCCCACACATTATCTTTCTAATTACCTGTTAACTGTTTGTCCTCCTCTCCTGTCTGTGAGCTGGTACTGTGTCAGATGCATAGTTTATGCTCGATGAATATTTGTTGGTTGAATGAATAAATATGGATTGAGACCTTAGGCTTGTATATTTCAGATATATTCACAAAGGCACAGTACATTTAGCATATAGGTGTATTTTTTTTAACACATAGTTTTGTTGTGTTGTAGGCAACTCCAGCTCCTAAAGGAAAAATCATATTTAGTGTAGTATGTTGCTAATTCACATAAAAGGCTGAGAACCAGGCTTGGAAGAGGGTAGAAATGGAGCCAGTTCTGGAGGAGCAAGACGTGTAATGATTGCAACAGTCTTATGTCAGAGAAAGCTGGGTCAAAGGCCGTGTCAATAATCAGTAAATTACTACTATTTAAAGGCTCTCTGCCACCATAGAACAAATTTTGTGTGTTAGGTCAGAACCCAGTCAGCATTGGTTGAGTCTGCTCCTTGGCCAATGAAGAAAGAGCAAATTCCTCCAAGAAGATCCTACTGGGAAAGAGGAATGAATGGTGAGTGACTGAGATGGAAAGCACGATAAGGCACATGTCCGTTCTGTGTATATGCTGATGAACTGCTTTGAATCCTTTTATGTTTTCATCCTCTGGGGTAGGTGCCCTCCAGAATTTTGGGTACTTCTCATATAGGGGTGCTATATTCAGCTGAGATGCCAGCCTTCTCCGTGCATCTGTGAGTTTCCACTGCCTGGCGTAGAGTTGGTATATGATAAATATGTGTTCAATAAATGAAAGAGTGAATAATAAGTGGGAGAAGTGGCAATCAGCAGAGACACTATCAGAGAGGATGGCAGAAGCAGAGATGCCATAAGGTAGATATGGACAATAATAAGCATTCTACTTCAAATTCATATTCAGTTTTCAAGTATTTCTTACAACGACCTTGCAAATAGACAAGACAGTTATGTTCTGTATTTTACTGATGAAGAAATTAGACTTAGTGAGAGTGAATTATTCTGGGTCACAAAACTAATTATTTGCAAAGCTGGGATCGGAATATAGGTCACCCATCTCCACTCTAGTGCTGGATATAATGGTTGAGTAATTTGTTTTCAAATGTTTGGTTATGGGTGAATAGTCAGAGATGAGTATAGTGTTTTGTAAGGGAACAAATAACATCTGAGGAAATTTGAAAATAAGGACTGGTATTAAAAGTGAAGCTAATAAGAAGTACCATGCTTATCTGTGTATAGAGTGTGAGAGTGGAGGGGGTATTTGCATGTGTATGTGTGTTTAAAATGGAAGATTTAGATAGAGATTCTCTTAGAAATAGAATTCTGAGCCAGAGAATAAAGAAAGAAGAATATTATGGAGTCTTTTAAAAGGTCCATTTCTCACTGCTACTATCCGTTGTATCTCTCTGAGTATTAAGGGTTGTTTTTAAATTGTTTAAGGAAGTATTATTGAAATTGGGGTCCTTTTGTTGTTTATATTATATAATATACTCCCCTGGCAACAACAACAAAAACCAACAACAAATTCTGGAGAAATAATTTATAGAAAGAGAGGAATTATTAAACACACATTTAAGATATTTTAGATTGAGTAGTCATGTGGTACCCAATTATCGCTATGGGATGAAAAGTCCCTTAAAGAATACTTGTGAATACAATGAATATGGACACAAAGCCTCTGGTGAATTACTAATAAGCCCATAGCACAGTTCAAGATCCTATGACTCTTTTGGATCAGGGACAATATGGATTACCCAGCAGTCCATCCAGGTGGGCCACCTCACCTCCTTTTGTTGTTTAGACAGCATCTGCTATTGTGGAAGGATAATGATGTGTAGAGCCCTCTCAACTCCCAGTTTTGGCAGACAGAGCAGAAAGTATTCCAGTTTGGCAGTTTATTTTCAAGCCAACTTATTCTCCACTTGTCATCTTTAAACATTATTTAAAAATTCATATTAAGGTTCCCAGGAAGGAATAATCTAAGACAGAGAAGGAAGTAGGGTGTTTGAGTAGCTGACACCTTTTGCTCATCCCTAATCTCCATTTGCAACTCCAACACACATGTTCACTTTGGTGAATGAACTAATGTATGTCAGAGAGAAAGGAGAAATGCTAGAAAGAAGTGAGAGCAATGACTGTGGTTGGTCCTAATTCTCGTTTTGTTAAAGATTGAAGTGAGCAGATTCTCAGTAAAGGTATTCCTGAAAGCAAACAGGTCAAGAAAAAGGCAAGAAATAAAGAAAGCCAGAGGCAGAGACCTCAGCAAGAGAAGGACATGACCCACAGACATCAGCCCATGATGGAAAACAAACCCCAAAGAAAGCTTGAGCCAGAACAGCAAAGAAAATGATCAAACTCCAGTCCCATTGGAACTTTGAGAAACTCACCTCCCAAAGACTGTGCTGTTGGCGGGGGCAAGGGGGTGGTGGATAGAAGGAGAGAGAGAATATATGTCAGGATTTATTGTTGGCAGCATTTTGATAATGAGAACGATAGTTTTATTCAGAGCTTCAGCTTAAAAAAAAGTGTTCCATCATTTTGGCAGTTTGGAGGTTTGGCAATTGGTGTAAAAAAGAAAAAAAATCAACATTTAAAACTGGTGAGTTTTACCTTCTTCCTCCATTTCTCTGAGCTCCAGTTTTTCTAAGGCAGTAAAGTCACCTATTCCCTGAAATTCTTGCAGATAGTCTAAAGAGAAAAGTATTCCTGAGATATTTCTGAGACGCATGTTTTACCTTTTTATAGAGAGCAAAAATCAGTATTCAGATTCCTTGTTACAAGTTCCATTTTGATATTTTTTTAATTGCCAGTGAAAAAGTAATGAAGAGCAATTCTGATTTAGTGACAAAAATCCTACAAATGATAAAAAAGACCAAGATGACAGGTGCACTGAAAATGGTCATATTTTTTCCTCTCTTTGAGTTGAACTATAGCTAATAATGATACTGACTCATCCTTTGAACTTCTCTTGGTGTCTTTCATGTGAAGAGTTCAAAGCCCTTTATGAATAACAAATAATTAGGTCTTGCAAAAGTCCTTAAAGTAGGAGTGTGAGAATGACACTGTACCCATTTCACAGTTGAATGATGGAGCTCCAGGCCAGGAGCTCGCCATGGAAACACAATCTTCTCTGCGGTCTCTGCTCTTGACTTACTTATCTCACTTTCGGGGTCTCTCAAACTCCCACACACTCCTAGAAGAAGTCAGCCTCCATATTTTCACTTCCATCTCATGCTAAACTCACTTATTTAAGCACCCTTTGTTGATCTTCCATTTTCTATTTCCGTCTGTCACTCGTTTTTGCTTGCTTCTAGGCTCATGTAATCAGAGTCTCTGCTGCTTTGTGAGAATTACTACGTCTCTGGTTTACCTTGCACCTGACAAAATAGAATAGGGCTTCTATTCCCTTTTAAAAAACAGTTAAGGAAGAAGTGTTTCTTGGTTCCCTAGTATGCCTGCAGCAGCGGCCTGAGCACAGCAAGAGCTCCAGAAAGAGCAAAAGACACAGATCCTTCCTTGGAAAAGCTGTAGGGAGGTGAGGAGACAGATCTGACACACAGGGTATAGCAAAGAACAACACCAAATCCTGTATCAAATAATTCATCCTGTGTTACCAAACACTATGAATACAAGAATTCAGAAGAAAAGGCTGAAAAGTCCGACACTTCCAGGAGGTTGGGTTTGGTTGAGATTTTGAAGATCGGGTGAGGAAAGGATTTAGGAGACAGTGGTGTTCCAGGTCCAGGGCGAAAGGCACCCTGGGGAGGAAGCACCTAGCGTGTTAGGGGATAATGACACATAAAGTTAGGGAACATCTCTCCAGAGCATGAAGCACAGGCCCTTGCCCGTATTAGAACTGAAGGAAATGGGGTGTGTGATTGACATGTACTGGGAGTACAGGGTACAGAGCTCAGCACAGCTTCTTTACAGGGATGGGAAACTCAACCTAGAAACATGTGAAGAAGAGATTTTCTTCCTGTCAAGCAAATTCATGATAGCTTTCATTTAATGAAATTCTTTTTTTCTCAAAAATTATAATTCACTTTTAATTACAAGTTATGATTTTTCATTACTTTTTTTACAAAATGGTCAATATAGTCTTTAAAAGATGTAAAAAATTATTTTTTTCATTTAGATAAGCATTTTAAAATATAAGGTAACACTACAAAGCAGTGTAACAGATTTTCTGTCACTTGTAAACCGGATTAGAACGCAATCCCCAGAATTCCAGAACTGTTGTGGAGATATGGTAATTTTAATTTACAAGCAGGATAAACTGCATTTGACAAGGAGTCAAGGGCGTTGGGTTTTAGTCACCATCTTGCATGTTATGATCTTGAACAAGTCTGTCAACTCCTGGATATCAGAAGCCCCACCAGAGAATGAAAGGTGTTAAATCAGGTCACTTTGAATATTCTTTCCAGCTCTGTTATTTTATAATGCCATGAAATCAGAGTAACATGCTCCAGGCTGTTTGGGGTCAGGGATTTTAGAACCTGTGTTCAACATATATTACTTTTTAAATGTCTACTTTTTGGAGTCTTATTCAAATTTATATATATATATTTGAATGTGCTTGTAACAGCCTCTTCATCATTAGCAATAAAAGTTTCTCAAGGATGTATTTTCCATTTCTTGCTTTGTTTTTCAGCTTTCTTTTTAAATTTCCTCAAGATTTCTTCTGGAGTTGTGGAGGCCAAAAGCTTCACTACCTTTTCAGCGATGTACCACCCGTATCCAAAACCACATCACTCTTCCTGAGTTCTAAGACCTTGGACAGATAAGCTACAAAGCTCAGCATTATCCTCCCCCACTGATGGAGGTGCTGCAATAGCCACATTTACCAACTGTGCTGTCAAATCTGTTACAGTATTTTGTTTGGAGCCAGGTTTGGCATGGATGGCTATGGTGACACAACCTATAGGAACAACTGCCACAGGACCTAAGGGAGGAAGTGGTCTCTCTGGTTCCTTGATCTGACTTTTACCCTAGGTCATTGCATCAGCTTTCTTGGCATCTTGGTGCCAAGAGGGAGCCGAGTGGAGTCCTGAGTACTCAGTGCTGCCCTTGAGCTGCTTCAGCCCGCTGCCAAGCCCCAGCATCCCCGCCTGGGGAGGCCTTAATGAAATTCTTTATCCTCATTTTATTTTTACTTCAATCTTCTGTGGGGAATCTTGAAATATATTCCACATTTCTGGAGGCAGAAGCTCTGCTATATGTCAGTATCCAGATCATAGATCAGTCTAGAGGAGGGTGCATATGTAAAGCAGTATTAGGAGCAAGGGAATGTTCCCTGTCCAGGGCTCTGCTCAGGGCTGGCTTCTGGGAGGAGCTGAGCTTGGTTATGGGTTGACAGAGAGCAGGAAAGAGGTCTTGAGAGGAAAGGAATGAGGACACGCAATGTGGCAACAGGAGGTAGTTGTGGGAAGGAAGGTTAACAGAACCACATTTACAGCATGGTGAATGTGAGAACAGTAAGCAATGAACTGGAAGACATCCGGGGAGGGCTGGGGACACAGCTAGAGAGTTTAAAGCAGGCGGAACCTGTGGGGGGAAGGGGAAGGCCAGTCAGCAATATCCTCATACGTTACACTAACCAGCACTTTGCCGTTCTCAGAAACTTTTTCTATCTACGTTAATTCATTTGATCCTTATAACATCCTTGGGTTTTATTACCCATTTTACAAAGAAGAAATGTGAAAAATGGAGAGTTTAGGGTTTTCCCAAAGATAATATTGTTATCTAATGGCAATTTAGGTCTAGAATCTGAAACTTATGTCTCTTAACTCAAGGCATTTCCCACTAGCATCAAGTAGCATGGGACGGGGGAAGATGCAGGACCAGTTGTGAGGAGACTGACATTTCTCTTTCTGACTCTGGGAACAAGCAGTCGCCAAGAACCCACCAGGAGTAGCTTGTAGTCTAGGCTCTGTTGGCTGGTGTCTTTGCCTGAGCTAGAATTTTAACAATGTTTCCCTGTTAGACAGGAAACTTAGTGCAGGGCCATGCACACAGTAGGTGTTCCATAAATATTTGTTGATGCTGTGGATGCAGTACAACGGGCTCACAGCAGGCCCATCACACCTAATCGCTTCAGAAAGGACTGGGAGGAGATGGAAAATAAAAATCTCATCAATAATAGAATATGTTGTTTTTCCTTCTCTGCCCAGGGAGACTTTGGTTTCTCCGTTGTATTTCCAGTATTTTAAGATGGGAATAATTTTCACAGTGGCAGGTACAGCTGGTGAGATGCTGTTTTAATACGAAGGAAAATGCTAGAAAAGAATTTTAGAATATTAAGAAGGGATTTGGTTTCTGACAGAAATATTAGCTGTAAAGGCCGGTATGAAGATTTTAGAGAAATTTAATTAAAATTTAATCTTCTTTCTAATTAAAGTTTCCTTTAATTCAACTTAAAATTAAATTTGCTTTAATTGGAGGAATTTAAAGGTTATTACCTTTTGAGTGTCAATCATTTTGAAAGAAAAAAGTTATGCTGCTTTGTCTAGTTTAAAATGAGGGTTGGTGTCAAATTTCTAGAAAAGTAATAAAAATGTTGTATTTAAATATAAATTAGCACTCCTTGCTGTTTGACTCCCCATTTGCCTGGTTCAGAAACATTGGTCTTAAATTGCAGTTTTCCTCTATGTGGGAGACCTACAGAGAAGGTCAGGCTCAGACCACCAAGGGCTTGAATGTGAGAGTTCAGCCTTTCTTTCTCCCTTATTCAGGTTCCTCTGGAAGCTGTCTCCCTCCTTGCTGGAATTCTCTAAGCCTTCCTCATGCCTTTCTTGGAGAGCCTTCTCAATCTATCAATCTTTGGCAATGGTTGCCTGCTGCCTTTCTCTGGGAGTTGGGGGAGGGGGTCCAAGCCCCCTCATGCCCTTTCCTTCCTCAAAGCCCTTTTCTGTGTGGTGAATTAGAATCCTTTCAAGCCCCATATGTTCCTTCCCTCAAACACTGAGGCCGAAAAGTGAGTTAATTTTTCCTCCCAGGATGAGAACTCCCTCTTATATGTTCCCCATTTCCAACAGTATTATCTCATTTCCTTACACCAGTCAAACTCAGAAGAAGTGGTTTTTCATTCTCCCTACAGCCTCTTCAACTACCAGATCCTTCAGAGCAGCCAGCACAACTATCGCTTCAGCTTAGTTCCTTATCCTGTCCCTAGATGGATGAAAGCAATGGTTGCTAGTAGGGTCTGGCTGCTGCCCATCTCTCCCTGATGTAGTTGCACACTATTGCCAAGTTGTTAGTCTAAAATTACTGGCTCTTTTCTTCTGAATAACCCAAATATCTAAACCTGGCATTCAAGGCCTCCAATGGTGTGTCTTCAACTTACTTTTTCCACATTCATGTCCCACAACTTTGCTAACATACTTAATCTGCTCCAGCCAGTAATCTAGTTTACTTACTGCTCCTTAAACATACGTCAAACGTTTTGGCTTCCAGGTTTATTTCTGCACCCTTCTTGCAGCCTAGAATGCTTTCTTTTTCCCTCATCTTCAAGACCCTCATGAAACTCCAAATCATCACAAAGTTACCCCTTATCAATCTGGCCTGGCATGAGAGCTTGTTCTTCTGCAGCTAAGAACACTTATTCTGGCAATATGAATGCAGTCACATTTATTCTGTGTTTTAGTTCATTCTCATGCTGCTAATAAAAACATACCTGAGACTGGGTAACTTATAAAGAAAAAGAGGTTTAATGGACTCACACTTCCACATAACTGGAGGGGCCACACAACCATGGCGAAAGGTGAAGGAGGAGCAAAGGCACGTCTTAACGTGGCAGCAGGCAAGAGAGGGTGTGCAGGGGAACTGCCCTTTATAAAGCCATCAGATCTCATGAGATGTTTTCACTATCACGAGAATAACATGGAAAAAAATCTGCCCCCATGATTCGATTACTTCCCACCAAGTCCCTTCCACAGCATGTGGAGATTATGTGAACTACATTTCAAGATGAGAACTGGATGGGGACACAGCCAAACCATATCATTTTGCTTACTAATGTTTACATCCTTTATTCTGATTTATCCTATATTTGACAATTTCTAAAGCCTGGAATGTATATATTTCCACTTGACCTCCAACGCCAGCTGTGATGTATGCCACAGAAGTGTTATTATTCATATCTTCTATCTGAACAATTAGAGCCTCTGAAGTGTTTTGATTCACTCAAGATCTCACAGGTTGAATAATGGAGTAAGGATCAGAATTCAGGTTCTCTCCCTGGTTATTTCACTAGGTTCACTTTACCATTTTCTCCATCTGTGGAAGCAGGACAGCAAGGCAACTGGCTCAGGGGAGTGAGGCCACTCTGAGTCCCAGGACTTCTATATCTCAAGAAAAGTAGCTCATCCACTGCAGGATTCATCATGACCTCAGGGCAATCACCAACAGAGACTGTCTGGTTGGGTGGATTTATTTTCCTTCAACATGGAGCATGCCTTATTCCACAAGGTATTATGGCTGGCCTTCTTCATGCTCAGCCTGTCCATGGCTATGAAAATGGTAGAAGAGCATGTTCTGTAATTCTCAACACTCAGTATAGGGTCCCTGCCAACTATATAGGAACTGTTTAGTTTTTCAGGTTTTAAGTTTCCTGAAAAACTCTGGTTTCTGGCTACTCTATTCAAATAATGTAAATGCTTTAGAAAAGAGAAAGACAAAGACCTTTCAGAAACTCAGATTTGAAAACTATGGGGACTTGCTGAGCTAGTTAAAAAGATAATCTTTTACTATTTTATTCAAAGTAAGTATGATACAAATAAATATCTTCAGAGGAGGGTAAATGACCAGCTCCCTGACAGCTTTTAATTGCTAATGCATAGACACACTCTCGAGGGCATCTCTCTCCTCTCTCTCTCTGTCTCTCTCTTCCTTCCCTCCTTCCCTCCCTCTCTCCCTCCCTTCCTTCCTTCTTTCTTTCCTTCTTTCCTTCCTTCCTCCCTTCCTCCCTTCCTCCCTTCTTCCCTCTTCCTTTCTCCTTCATTCCTGTTCCTTTTTTTGAAAAAGAACAGAAGTGCCTGCATTAAAAGACACAGAATGCTACAAGACAAAGTAGTTGTTAAAGCAATAGATAAAGCAGACTAGGTTTTTATGACACAACATTAGAATTCAAAGCTGAAGCTTTTACCTACTGATATGGTTTGGCTGGGTCCCCACCCAAATCTCATGTTGAATTCCATTGTGGGAAGGACTCGGTGGGAGGTAATTGAATCATGAGGGCAGGTGCTTCCTGTGCTGTTCTTGTGATAGTAAGTAAGTCTCACAAGATCCGATGGTTATTATAAGGGGGAGTTTCTGTGCACAAGCACTCTTCTCTTGTCTGTTGCTATGTGAAATGTGCCTTTCACCTTCCTCCATGATTGTGAGGCCTCCCCAGCCACATGGAACTGTAAGTCCACTAAATGGGTATGTCTTTATCAGCAGCACAAAAATGGACTAATACAATAAATTGGTACCAGGAGTGCGGTGCTGCTGAAAGATACCCCAAAATGTGGAAGCAACTTTGGAACTGGGTAACAGGCAGAGGTTGGAGTCTGGGGGGCTCAGAAGAAGACAGGAAAATGTAGGAATGTTTGGAACTCTCTAGAGATTTCTTGAATGGCTTTGACCAACATGCTGATAATAACATGGACAATGAAATCCAGGGTGAGGTGGTCTCAGATAGACAAGGGAAACTTGTTAGGAACTGGAGCAAAGGTGACTCTTGTTATGTTTTAGCAAAGAGGCTGGTGGCATTTTGCCCCTGCCCTGGAGATTTGTGGAACTTTGAACTTGAGAGAGATGATTTAGGGTATCTGGCAGAAGAAATTTCTAAGCAGCAAAGCATTCAAGATATGACTTGGGTGCTGTTAAAAGCATTCAGTTTTAAAAGGGAAGGAAAGCAGGAAAGTTCGGAAAATTTGCAGCCTGACAATGCGATAGAAAAAAAAAAAATCCCATTTTCTGAGGAGAAATTCAGGCTGGCTGCAGAAATTTGCATAAGTGATGAGGAGCGGAATGTTAATTCCCAAGACCATGGGGAAAATGTCTCCAGGGCATGTCAGAGGTCTTCATGGTAGCCCCTCCCATCACAGACCCACTGGCCTAGGAGGAAAATGTGGTTTAGTGGGCCACGCCCAGGGTCTCCGTGATGTATGCAGTGTAGGGACTTGGTGTCCTGTGTCCCAGCCACTCCAACCATGGCTGAAAAGGGCCAACATAGAGCTCAGGTCGTGGCTTCAGTGGGTGCAAGCCCTAAGGCTTGGCAACTTCTGTGGTGTTGAGCTTGCGAGTGCACAGAAGTCAAGAATTGAGGTTTGGGAACTTCCACCTAGATTTCAGAGGATGTATAGAAATGCCTGGATGTTCAGGCAGAAGTCTGATGCACGGGCAGGACTCTCATGGAGAACCTCTGCTAGGGCAGTGCAGAAGGGAAATGTGGGGTTGGAGCCCCCATACAGAGTCCCTGCTGGGGCACTGCCTACTGGAGCTGTGAGAAGAGGGCCACTGTCCTCCAGAACCCAGAATGATAGATCCACTAACAGTTTGTACTGTGCTCCTGGAAAAGCCACAGGCACTTAATGCCAGCTTGTGAAAGCAGCTGGGAGAGAGGCTGTACCCTGAAAAGCCACAGGGGCAGAGCTGTCCAAGACCATGAGAACTCACCCCTTGCATCAGTGTAACCTGGATGTAAGACATGGAATCAAAGGAGATCATTTTGGAGCTTTAAGATTTGACCACCTTGCTGGATTTTGGACTTGCATGGGGCCTATATCCCCTTTGTTTTGGCCAATTTCTCCCATTCGCAATGGCTGTATTTACCCAATGCCTGCACCCTCATTGTATCTAGGAAGTAACTGACTTGCTTTTGATTTTAGAGGTTCATAGGTGGAAGGGACTTGCCTTGTCTCAGATAAGACTTTGTACTGTGGACTTTTGTGTTAATGCTGAAATGAGTTAAGACTTTGGGGGACTTTCGGAAAGGCATGATTGGTTTTGAAATGTGAGGACATGTGATTTCAGAGGGGCCAGGGGTGGAGTGATATGGTTTGGCTGTGTCCCCATCTAAATCTCATCTTGAATTTCCACATGTTGTGGGAGGGACCTTGTGGGAGGTAATTGAATCGTGGGGCAGGTCTTTCCCATGCTGTTCTAATGATAGTAAGTAAAACTCATGAGATCTGATAGTTATTATAAGGAGGAGTTTCCCTGCACAAGCTCTCTTCTCTTGTCTGCTGCCATGTGAGACGTGCCTTTCACCTTCCACCATGATTGTGAGGCCACCCCAGCCACATGGAACTGTAAATTCATTAAATGGGTATATCTTTATCAGCAGCATGAAAATGGACTAATACACCTACCTTTGGGTACTTTGAACCAACAAGATACTTGCTGTAGTTGTGAAGCCTAGAGTAGGATAATGAGAGCAAAGATGCTGATGTGAAGATCTCCCCATCCCCTAACGCCCCCCACCACCTCCAGCCAACATAGGTGTATCACCCAAGGTAGCATCAGGGCCTATGTGGGCAGGATTTTTACTCTAACACTGAGAAAGAATCCTTAAAATGCTAAGGAGCTACTGTGCTCAAATCTTCTTTCAAAGGAAAATGCCCTCAAGCAGTTCTTGTACAGTTGCTGGGGCTCCAGTACTGAGTGTTGAGAAAGACAGAACATGCTCTTCTACCATTGTCTTGACCATGGACAGGCTAGGCATACAGGAGGCCAGCCATCATACCTTGTGGAATAAGGCATGCTCCATATTAGAGCGTGTTAAATCAACCTAGCCAGACAGGCTCTGTTGGTGGTCCCCCTGAGGTCATGATGAGTCCTGCAGTGGATGAGCTACTTTTCTTGAGGCACAGAAGTCCTGGGACTCAGAATGGCTCCACTCCCCCTGAGCCAGTTGCCTTACTGTCCTGCTTCCCTTTGTGACCTTATAATAAGTGATTATTACAGAGGGCATCTGGGAATGTCTTTTGTTTGCAATTTTAAAAGCCTAGTATCCCGATTATGCCACGTATCCCTCAAAGTCTTTCAACGTTCTCCTGTGCCTTTCAAATTATAAATCATCAAGCATGTTTTTGAAGACTGGTTGTCATTTACCCACCCTTCTCAACATCCCCCTGTTAATTCCCTTGATCAGGAGTTAGTAAGCTCTGTAAATGGCCAAGTAATAAACAATTTAGGTTTTGCAGCACCCACAGTTTATGTCATAACTACTCAATTCTCTGAAATTAGCCATGAACAATAGAAAATGAATGATTGTGCCTATGTTCCCATAAAACTTTATTACTGAATACTGGAATTTCATATAAGTTTACAAATTTTATATAATTTTCACATCATGAAATGTCATTCTTTTCTTTTTTGAATTTTTTTTCCAGTCACTTAAAAATATAAAATTCATTCTTTAATCACAGGCTGTACAAAAACAGGTGTTAAGCCAGATCTGGCCCATGGCCCAGTTTACCAGCCTCTGCTCCACATAGATATTGTGCTCTTGTCCCACTGAGCCACTTCCATACCCTGGGGATACCTCTTGTTTTCTCACTGCCACATTGTTTTGGATTTTTTTTTTTTTTTTTACATGATGGCCAGTTAGGTGCTGCCACAAGTGGAGACAGAGGAGAGGCTCAGGAAAGCAAAGTTTATTATATGTACAGGTCTTCGAGACAGGAGGCATGGCATGACACATGGGAAAGACACCAGAGTAGACAGGAGGCAGAAAACAGGCCCAGGGAGCCCTCAGGCCACAGCCTTCATTGGGGTTCCCAGGGAAAGGCAACACAGAGCATGAGAAGCATAGGACTGGCCGTTTGAAGAATTTCAGTGGGCTTTGGGCGGTGGAGGTGGTCAATAGTTGTTTGGTACTTTGTTATCTCTAAGAGTTGGCTAGCTCTTGGATGGGCAGGCTCTTCCTCAGCCAGAAACGTTTCATAAAATGTCAACATATTACAATACATAGGAAATTAAAAAAATACACACACAATACACACATCTATGAAGACATTGGTCTGTCAAACTGGAAAATCTTATCCTTCATCCAGTTTTGTCAATATTCTGCTTAATATTCAAAATTTAGATCAAATATAAAATTGAGATTAGATTCCCTATTTTCTATTCTCTAGCCATACTGGAAATAGAGAGTTGTTAGCACTTTGAAATTAGACTACTTGAGTCTGAATCCTGGCTTCACTGCTTAGTAACTCTGACGTCTTGGGCAAACTAATCTTATTAAGTGTCGTCTGTAAAATTGAGATAATAAGAGTACTCAATTTACAGCTCATAGAACTATTGTAAGGATGAAATATTATAAGCAGGTAAGGAGCTTAGCACAGTACCTGACCAAGATGAAGTAATCTGTCCATGTTAGCAGTTATCAACCCTATGTCCTGGGCTCTCTGCTGAACGGTTTACTATCCCTCTGCAGGTTAGAGAAGGAAGGAGAACAAACAATGCAATATACTTTGTTTTAGCAAATGTCTTCATTCTTATTTGTATATTTTAATTTCTTCTGCTTGGTTTAGAAATAACTTAAAAGAACAAATGTATTTTATCTCCCTTGTCTACGCTCACCCCCACAAAGGAAATGTAATTTTCTTTCTTTTCTATTATTTTTTAAAATTTTTGGTTTGTTATGTATGGTGATAGAATTAAGGTAGTTTCTCCCTTTAACAAAAATTTATGCTCTCAGAGTCTTATCCTACCAGCACATCTTGGTCTGGGTACTGGAGCCATCAATTTACATCATTTTAGTTCCAGGAATAATGTTGGTTTATTAATTCTTTCTGTAAAGTATAGAAGCAGGGCCTAGAAACTCTGCAGAAAGAATTTATTTCCTTTCACTTTTCTTTTGATAAAGTGTAAAGAACATCAGGTAATTAGGAGTAGGAGGTTAAGTTTTTTTAAAATTTAAACTTATTTTAAACCACGTCAGGTACAAGTTGGAAACCAATTTAAACTTTTTGAATTCAAGTGTAATTTTTTCATAATCAAACATATTTGCCTTCCATGGTGACTGCATTTATCATCTCATTCATTCAGGACATTTAATGAACATTTAAAGATCACCTTAGCTTGGTTGTCTGGAGGAAAGAAGACACATGAGAGGCAGTTATAGTGTTCAAGTGGCTTTCGGGCCAGATAGTGCAGAGTCATACAAAGGAAGAACTAAAACAGCTGGTAGAGTGAGTGCCTGGGGTTAGGCACATACCACTCTGCCGTGGGAAAGAGTGGCTAATAGTGGTGATGCAATGGGAAAAGGATCAAGGGCAGCTAGGTTGGGCTGAGAAGAGGTGAAGGTGTATCCCCAGCTAATGGATCAGCAGGAGTGTGAAGGTGAATGGCAACTGCAAGAAAAAAGAAAAACAATGGTTTTGTGTGATAAGAGCAAATAATGTGTAGAGGACTATAATGACAGATGGGACTGATAAATTTACATCCACTGTTGAAAATCTCATTGTATCCTTTCAAAGACCTAGCTCTTTTGGAAGAAGACAAGGAAATCTAATTAAAGATAATAATTATCTTTCTAATTCAGGAAATTTTCAGAAAACATTATTTATAGAACCAGATATGGAAATATGAAAAATTCCTGATGTTTTGATGGTAAGTTGTGGAGATTGTCACCACTGCATGGCAATTTCTAAGAAAGAAGCCAACTTATGGAAGGCACTGTCAAATCATTTCACCCTACTTTAAGTCAGAGAATCATAAAATAAAGAAGTTTAGAATAGAAAAAAAATATGAGTTGTCTAGTCTAATATTTCCAATATGAAGCTTCTGTAAAAGTGCCACAAAATGTCCCAGATTCCCCATGTAACAGTTGCATTCATTGATTTAAAAGTTCATAATTACAGCCAAGTACTGTGGCTCATGCCTGTAAATTCAGCACTTTGGGAGGCCAAGATGGGAGGATCTTCTGAGTCCAGGAGTTCGAGACCAGCCTGGGCAACATGGTGAAATTTTCTCTACTAAAAATACAAAAATTAGCCAGGCATGGTGGTATGCACCTGTGGTCTCAGCTACTGAGGCAGCTGAGGTGGGATAATCACCTAAGCCTGGAAGGTCGAGGCTGCAGTGAGCAGAGATTGCACCACTGTGCTCCAGCATGGACAACAGAGTGAGACCCTGTCTCAAAAATAAAAAAATCATAATTACAAAAAGTAACTGTGAATTCAGTGATATTGCTAAATGCATCTGAATTTTGTTTATTTCCACATCCATATTATCTTGAAGAAAAATGATCATAAAATGTATATACAAGATAGATTATTTATTCAGGCTATAGCCAATGCTAGTACCCAATAGATTTGTGACCTCCTTGCATGAATTGAAGAGGGGTGTGCCCTCCTTTATCCTGGGCCTCAGGTCCTGTTGCCTCCACTGAGTCCCAAGCATGGCTTGTTGCCTACTTAGCTGTTGATAGAGTCAGAAAAAGACTCCTGAGAGATTCAGCTAAATTCAGCCTTCATTGGTCAAGCATTTTTCTATGTGTTTGTTGCTATGCCAAGACTGATGGGTGCAAAAGAGAGCCAGAGAACATGATGCCTGCCCCGAAGGAGACTGTGGCTTGGTTGTTGCTCAATGGAATACTCTTTCTATAGTGTATTATTTTTAGTTTGGTCTGTAAGGATTCAATATTAGTTCATGATATGACTCAACAAAGGAAATGGTCAGAAACATTGGAAAATAGGCTTCATGTTTTTTTGAATTAATGATTTAGTTTGTAACTGGAACCTTCAAGCACAACCTTTCAGTTTACACACTCTCCATTCCATCTTCTCTCGTGCAGCCTGACCAGGGTTTCAGGGATGGCCTCGCTGGGGCTCACTACCAATTCCTGGAAGGAATGCTTGGACAGTAGCATTACTGCTGGTCCTCATCAAAGACCCCTTTGAGTGTTTCTACCTTGGAATTCAAAAAGTACAGGAGTAGTGTTGATTTGTTTTGGCAAGTTTGGATGAGGCTTTTCTGGATGCAGGGGCAGACGTTAAATGAGATTCAAGGAAAAGCCACTTCCAAGCAATGATTGAATCAATAAATAATGCTGTTGTGAACATGGCATGGGACTAGATGCCTGAACACAGAGGGTTTTCCTCTTGAATTTTCAGTCTCTTCATCTGAGTGGTGGTATACCAAATGGCGAAGAGCCTGGGCACCAGATGGAGAACACTGAGGTGCAAATCCCAGCTCTGCTTCTCACTAGCTGTATGGCCTTGTTCTTTAATGTCTCTGTGCTCCGGTTTCCTCATCTGTAACATGGATGTAGTTCATGTATTAATAGTGATTGCATCAGGTACTAACTAATATATGTGAAGCACTTAGCCCAATGCCTCTTGTATAACATTCAAAAAAGTTAGCTATTAGTAGGTGCTATAAAATTATAAAGTTTTTACTCTCTGACCTTTGGAGTTGAAACAGTGGCATTAGATGGGTTGAAATTCTAGCTCTGGTACTGCCTAACTGGGTGATTCTAAGTAACTTTTTTTCTTATTTCTGTAGGTTGGTTTTTTTTTTTTAAATAAAATGGGGACAATAGAACATATTACATTGTTCTAGAGATTAAATGAAATAATGACAAAAATTTCTTAGCAGAGTATCTGATATACAGCAAATGGACAATAATGTGTATTGATTTTGATTTATAACAGCATTTGATGATTGCGATTTTATGAACATATTGTGATTGGCTACTATACAGAAATTTCAGTGCTAAAAGTTTTGAGGAATAAAGTATCCTCTGTTTTCAGAGAACTGGCTAACTTGTGAAGGAGCTAAGAAATACAAATAACCAACAATATAAAAGTAAAATATTTGTTACTGAAAAGATGGTACAAGCCAGGGTATGATTAACTGTCAAATATCTTATGAGTTCAAATAAAGCAAAGAACCAGCAAAGACCTGTGATTCTGTGATAAACCAGACTTTATCTTAGAAATATATTTTTGGAAGATGGCAGCAAGAAACATTTCACCTCTCACAAGTATCAGGGATTCTTCCTCAAATGTACAGAAAATGAATAGTAGTTTTTCTCCTGGTTAAAGTCTAAGAATGACAGATGTCCAGACTGGGATGTCTGTGATTACCATGTGCTGATGAAATTGGGCCCTTCATATAGAATGTTTCTTTTAGTTTATTTTGGGCACTTTGCAGGGTTGGTTTTCAATGACTGCTACTACAATTCTGGCCATTTCCACACGGAAGCCATTCCACAGTCTAATTGACTCTTGGTTAGGAGCTCTTCCCTTGCAATAGGGCTTGTATTTTCTTTCTCTCAATCTCATTTCATTGTTCTAATACCTCCCTGGGTGACATAGAGCCATTTCCCACCTCTTCTGGCACTCGTGATCTTTCAGTGTTTGCCCATGCTCCCTTCTGCATCACTGCCACCCTATCTCAATGGCTTAGCTCTGGTATTAGTATAAACTTTCCAAATTCAAATTCCAAATCACCAGGTTACTTTTTAGGACCGTGAACTGACAGAAGTGGGGAGGGAACAAGAAATGGCTGTTGATATAGAATAGTGAATTGCAAGCCAGCAGAGGTGAATGATTTATGTGTCTGGTGAACTACCTGCCATCTTGCCCGGCTGGTGAGGAGGGGAGATATGGCGGGAATCAGCAAGAGACCAATTAAAGTCTGACCTCTTAGCCAGCACGGTTCTGGCTGCAGGTATCTGGGCAAGGTAGGTGGCCTCTAACTACTTCTCAACCTATGCACCTGGTTTCGAAGCTTCTATTCCGAGGTTAGATGAAGACAGGGTGGAAGAGCATACTGGAAAGAAACCGTGGCTTAAGAATAGTTCTCAATAACATGGCTCCCTTGGAAGCTGACCGTGAGGATGACTTAAACCTTCTGGGAAAAAAAGTGAGCAGAAGGCACTGAGAAGAGAAAGTGCAATGGAGCAAATGGGGTATTGCCAATTTGTTTTAGACAATGAGAGGAAAGAATCTTCAAGGACAAAAGGTAAGAAGCAAAAGGGAAAATGAATATACACTCTGCAAACACACCACGCCACACACACATACACCCATAGGTGCATGCTCACGCTCACTCACCTTCTTCAGAGGGGTTCTCTGATGTTCTGTGCAGAAGGATTGACAGTTTCCTGTCTGCAGGCTCTCTTTGTCCTCCAGAATCTGTCAAACAGGCAGTTACGAGAAGGTGCTTTTTTGGGATGACAGCGTTAATGATTAAGGATTTTCTGGTTGAGTTTAGCTTTCCTGACAAACTGGTGTTATCATAATTAAATGCACAAACTTTCCTCCTACTCTTCAAATTATCATTACCCAAGGTTATTTTTTTCTGTTTGCTTCAGTTTCTCCTGACACCTCTCCTCTTAAACCCCTCCCTCCAGGCAAAAGTTCTGCAGGATTCAGGATTTCTTTTTCTTTTTTTTTTTTCTCTCTGAAAAACTATCTTGTTTCCTCCGTACTGCTGAACAGAAATGTGAATGTTAACGTATCTTCAACTTTATTGCACTAGAGATGTCACAGGCTGTCCTGGGCACCTAGAGTCAAAGGTGAGTATTGTGTAAGGCTACTTCCAAGTTTTCTGAAATCATGTGCTTTGACTCTAAGAGCTTCAGTCTCAGAGTTACTTAGTCCTTAATTTTGAATCTATTGACTAGGCATGTTATAGCATATAGCATATAGCTATATTTGCATATATATAGCGTATATGGGTATCATCATATAGGCATGATGATTCTTACTATAATTTAAAACAAGAACCTTATCTTCTAGTTATTTCATTCTTCAGACTTATTTCCAAGTACTTTCCCTCATGCTCCTTTTGGTAGAATAAGGATGGGTTCTGGGAAGACCAAACATTCTGGGCCCCCGGCCTTTGCTTATTGTAGTTTTCTGATTCCACTAAGTGCATCGCTATTCAACCCTGTCTCAAGTCCCAAATCAAGGTCCATCCATAGATGCATTACTTCTAGAAAGCCTTCTATGACTCTCTTCCTAGTTTTATTCTAGAAGACTTTGTATCTTCCTATTTGTTTATTTATAATTGACTTTTTTTTAAAAGAGTAACTTTATCTTGAAAGGAAAAATTGAACAGAAGGTACAGGTAGTTCCCCTACATCCCTTGTTCCTGCAAGTACACCCCATTTAAAAAAATTATTCAGAACACCATCACATTTTTTGAGCTTTCATTTGTGTGTGTGTGAGTTTTGTCTTCCTCCTAGGGAGGGTAAGAGTCCTGTCTTCTTGCAGAGTGCCCAAGGTGATACTAGTGCATAAGTAGTGCTTAAAAATGACATGTTGGTTGATAATGCCATTGCTTTTTCTTAGTGGTAGAAAAGGTGAAAAATTATGGTACACTGTTATTTTTCTTGTATCTTGCTTTCCGATGTTTCTATTGTTTTTATGACACACTGGAAATAAAGAACAAATGGCTAAAATGTCCACAATGCATGATAACTCTATCCATATTTACTCTCAGGGCAGACTGCAGCCCTCATCTTGGCTAATCATTTGAAATAAAGTACTGTTTGTCACAAGAGTACGTATTTCACAAGAAATTATGTGTTTGGTTCTCTTCAGATTTGTCTGTCCTTTCCTAGTTTCTGGAAAAGGAACTTCAACTCATGTTAGAGGGATTCCTTTGTATACCGGTGATTATGATAAATGAAATGAAAAATTTCAAAAAGTCATCTTGATTTCTGCTTTCTCACTTGAATAGGCAGCTTAAATCTATTTAAGCACAGAATGGGAAAAAAAACTCACCTAAGAACCTATGACTAAGGATATTGAAAGATAACTAATATGATTCCCTCACAAAAGTAGGATTAGAAATGAACTATTAAAAATTTCTGAATCATATGCCCCAAAAGGGGCAACATTTCTTCTGTACAGACAGCTCTTTTTTTTTTTTTTTTTTAGAGCAGGAGTTTGTGAAGTAAGTCCTTAAAATCACATCTGTTCACCTTATGTGATGGGAAGGAGAGGCAACTTCTGAAGCAGGGTAATTGAAATGGAAATACATTCAAATAAATGGACTCTGGAGTTCCACTTTGTTCTAAATAACCTCTACTGTAAGTGATCAGCTTATTTGAAAGTATGATGGGTGGGCTATCGGGGCAAGGCTGTATCTGATTTTTTTTTCTAGTCATTAGTCTATCTTCCCTTTTCATTCAACCTTTTGGAATAAGTTCTTACACTTAGGGCAGAACAGGGGATGGTGGAGCTGAGCCTTCAAAGGACACTCTGCATGTGTTTCTAATGGGTTTTCAAGTGCATCCTGCTCCCCCTGGATTATGTCTCTATCAGAATACCTAGATTTGAAATTTGCTGTATTATTGTGAGGTGGTCAGAAACTAAGGAATGCCATAAGTACTAATTTGTGTGTAAGAGGAAAATAAATTTGAATTTTTCCTTAATCAAGAAAGCCAAGTGCTCAGCACCCTGCAACACTAACAATTACAACTTGACTAACACAGGTGCGACTATAGCTGAGCATGGCTGAGCTGCATGGGAAGAAAGGGCAGCTTACAATGGTATGTATATATCTGTGTATGATCAGCTCAAATTTTCCTTTCTAACCCTCTGACATACTTTAAATCAGCTTCATTTTATTTACTTTGATCTGTACATTGGACCTGTCACCTGAATTGCCTCTTTTGCTCAGTTGAATGCCCTTTTATCCATTCTTTCAAACAGAAGGTAAAGAAAACTTCCTCTTCATTGAAAACATGATACGTTTTAGGCATTGTGCCTGCAGCTTTACAAACTTTATCTTATTTTATCCTTTTAGCCACCCTAAAAATATGAAGTAGTTCATTCCCCATTTTATAGTTGGAAAATGTGAGGTTTAGAAAGGATTGAATAAATTGTTCAAGTTCCTACAGCTCATAAGTTGTAGAGTCAGGATCTCAGTTCTCTATCAAAGTTCAGTCATGCTCTCCTTTTGCCTTAAATTCTATGTATATTTTATTTATTCATGGATTTAGATAGATTTTTTAGATCCTGAACAAAAATACTTGCCTGCTCTTTCTCCTTTCCTGCTTTCTTCCCTTCCTCCTTCCCTCTTTCCTTTAAATTATTTGCTGGTGGCACAAAATTCAAACGATCTAGAAATATATAGAGTCAGAGTTTGAAGTCTCTTTTACCTTCTTGCCCCATTTTTTTTCCTCCATCACTTGTGGTAACACTTTGCAACTTAGTGTGTCTTTCCAAACAACAGTCCATGCATGTAGACAAATACACACACACACACACACACACACACACACACACACACACACACACACACACACACACACAGAGTCTTAGGCCGGGAAGTCCAAGATCAAGATGCTAGCAGATTTTGTGTCTGGTGAGGGTTTGCTTTCTTATAGATGACACCTTCTGTTTGCATTCTTACATAGTGGAAGGAATGAATGAATTCCTTTGAGCCTATTTTAAGGGTTCTAATCCCATTGATAAGAGCTCTGTTCTCAAGACCTAATCACCGTTCAAAGGCTCTACCTCTTAATACCCTCACTTTGGGGGTTAGATTTACCATATGAATTTGACGGGGGGTACCATAGCACAACACGTCTCTCTCTCTCATGGAATTATACCACATATATTTCTATGAGACTTTATATCTTTTACATAAAGTATCTGTTCTAGTTATTTGGCCACATAGGAAATTATCCCAGAACTTGGTGGCATAAAACAATTATTTATGATGTTCATGAATTCTGTGGATCAGATACGTGGAAAGGCCACAAAGGAGATCTTCCTGTGCATGGGTGGATCCCATCCATCACCCACAAATCTCCTTGGTGGATGGGATCTGCTTTATGTTTTGAATTTGTCCATTTGTGTTTATTTTGTGAATTGTTCACTAATACATTTTGGCCCTTATTTGAAAAGTCCACATTGTGGAAGGTGTGTGTCTACTTCCCAATGTCTGGAGTTTGAAGGACTTGAAAGCTGGAAGCTGGAATCATCTGAAAGTTGGTTTACTCGCATGTCTGGAGAATGATTATGGCTGTGGGTTGGGGGATTTTGTTATTCTTCATGTGGCCTTCTTTATTTGGTCTCTCTGTGTGGGCTAGCTTGGGCTTCCTCACAGGATAAAGGTGGCTTCTCCAGATTGTGTACCCCAAAAAAAGCCAGGTGGATGCCATATCTTCTTTCATAACCTAGCTTTAGAGGTCATATAGCATCACTCCCACCATAAACTATTGGTTAGAAGAGTCACGAATCCACTCAAATTCAAAGGGAGGGAACATAAACCCCATCTCTATGTAGGAGGAAAGTCAGTTATATTGCGAGGAAAGCATGTGGAATGGAAGATATTTTTGCCTGCATTTAGAGAAAACAAATCTGCTACAATAGCTTAGATGTATTTCCATATCAGTTCAGAGCTCTGTAGAGTGTTTGTAAATGGTTATATAGTATTCCATCTTACCCATATGCCGTAATTTATTTGACCTTCTGCCTATTAGTGGATATTTTGACGGTCCCCCTTTTTTGTCAGTATTAGAAATGTTGCAGCATATATCTTTGTTCATGTAAGTTTGGGCATCTGTGTATTTCTGTAGACTTGCGTCCTAGAAATAGAATTCTGGGCCAAAAGCTATACATATCAGATAGTATAAAATTGCCTGCCATAAAAGCTGTACTAAACTGTGTTTCCACAGTATATAGAGGGCCTGTTTCTCTGTGTCTTCATAGGCAAAAATATTTTTGATTTTTGCGTATCCAATGTGCAAAACAGATTCTGGTAGTTGTTTTCAAATTTGCATTTCCCTGATTTCTGGAGTGATTGAGTCTTTTTCCTTGAATGTATTCATTCAAGGAAATATTGTGTAGGAAAGAGCTTCCTATGCATCAATCCCATCCATCACCCACAAATCTCCTTGATGGATGGGATCTGCTTTATCTTTTGAATTTGTTGTTTGTGTTTATTTTGTGAATTGCTCACTAATATATTTTAGCCTTTATTGGGTTCCTTTTCCTTTTTACTATAGGCTGAAAGAGGTCTTAATATATTATAGATATTAATCCTTTCTTTATTATCTATGTTCTATTTGTCTCCAAGTGTGTTACTTGTGTTTTAACTTAGTTCATGATATCTTTTGTCTTACAGAGGTTTGTTAAGTTGCGTCACATAGTCATATTATAAAGACACAGGTTGTGGTGTGCTTTATGCCTTCTGGGTTTGTTCTCGCATAGGAAGATCTTTCCTACCCAAATATTTTCCTGTATATTCTTCCAATGTTACTTATGGCTTTGTTTTAATATTTAAATATTTAATCTACTGATATTACGTAAAAATGGGGAAAGCAAATAATCAGAAAAGGCCCTGAGCTCATGCCTGCTGGCCCATGTTTTCTCTCCAGTTCTACATGCTTAAATGCTTCATACCTTGACCAGCTTCATGTCATCTAAATGCATGTTTTTAATTTTCCTCTCATAAATTAAATCTAGTGGTTAGAATGGGAAATGCTTTTGCTGATGTCTTTAAAGGTTAGGAATGTTAGCATACTTATTTAGCATATGTGAATCTTTATCAGAAGTTGGCTGGAAGAGGACAAGTTTATCAGAGTAAGAAAGGTGCTCAGTAGCACTTCAGGAATACCTCTGCTCATTAACCACATGCTCCAGGTCTGAGTTATCTTTTACCTGCTTTGTGCTAAAAATAGAATGTCCTAATTCCATTCTATAGTCCCATTTTACTGTTCTGAGTTATTCTTTCAGTTTTTCTACTGACATCAATAGGCTCCTGAGAGAATCACAAAGAATCTTTAATAAGAGTGAATCTCTAATACCAGGATTTAAAAAATTGTTTCCAATCAGGGAAACAAGAAGCCAATTTAGTTGAATGTGAATGTCATTAAAAAAAAAATCTCCTGAGGAATGTTATTGCTCTTGCATCCCAGGAAAGCTGGTGTCACCTTCATAAGCCATACTCATTCCACAGTAAAGCTCGGACTCCTCCAGAGACAAGGCAGGTGGTTGAGTGGTAATCATAGCTATGGATCTCCTAGTAAGTACTATATGCCAGATGTTTCACATATATGTTCAACTTTTTCAAGTAGCCATTAATATCCCAATTTTCAGATTCAATAATTGAGGCTCAGAGGCATTGAGAATGTGTCCTAAATCATGTAACTAGAAAGGACCAGAGATAAGACATAAATTCAGGTTTGTCTAACTCCAAAGCCCACTACCTCCCGTGCTGCCTTCCATACTTATAGATTCAGAAATTGTTACCTGACATTAATAAACACAAAACCAACATGCAATACCTACTGCACACACTGCATTTTAAGCTTTTTACATATACTAACTCAGTTAATCTTTATAACTCTATGAGATAGTTATAATATCCGCTTCCTGATGAAGAGTCAGAAATTAAATAGCTAGACTAAATTTTCCTAGTTAGTAAGTGTTGAGGTTGGGATTCCAAAGATGCTATTGTCTGGAAATATAAATGTGTTTAAAAGACTTTGGGTTAATTGGTGAATTATAACTCTGTAAACTATTTTTACAGGGATGTTGATCTTGAGGCAACACTGTTGTGCTGTGCAACTGTCACACTCTTCCCTCCACATGCCCTGCAGGGCTACTCTTGGAGGCAGAGTTCTGGCCAGGATGGATCCAGTTTGTCAACACATGCATTATTAAGTTCTGGTCTTAATAATAAACCTCCACAGAGGAGTCTGGCTAATTCACCTACAAATCTGCTTCATCTTGAGCAGCAGGATTCCCACCCCATCTGAAGTATCTAATTAACCCGCCAAGTCTTCTCACTGTGACCAGATGAACACAGCCTTGGCAGAGCAGAGAAGCACCTCTGGCCTGCTGAAATGCAGGAAAGAGGTTGGGCACCCTGGAAAGGGCTTGTTTGGAGGTCAGCAGAATTATTGGTGAGCAATTTCTCTAACAGAGGGAGGGAATTTGGAATTCAAAAGTGTCTCCATTCCAAGAGCACACGTGCATGTGTAAGGAGATACTGTCCAGTCAGGGCTGGTGGCTTAGACACCCATTTATAGCCTCAGCAGGAGAAAGGCTTGGCCCTGAGGCAACATTACTGCTGTCAACTAAACATGTAGAAGAAGCTGTGGAGGAGCCATTATACGATGTTGCTTCCAGGGAAATATCTCCAACTGTGGACATCTGGATCCAGAAAGAGTTCTGGAAAAAGTTCAGAAGAAGAGGGCTGAGTCTGAGAGTGACAGGAGCCATCATTCTGTGGCCTTAGCCCCATTATTAGAATCATAGTCTTTTAAAACTAGAATGACTGCAGTTCAGAATTATCCACTCAGCCCTCTCATTTCACTGATGAAAAATCATAAGTTCCAAAAAAAAAAATGAATCGGCTGCCCATGTTTGTGTAGGAATTCAGTGGTAAAACCACACATAGGGGCCATCAAGCACTCAATAAATACTTGATAAACTAGCAGCTTTAATAAGTGCATACAGTAGGATTAACTCTGTTCTCCATCATTCTTCTATTGTTTTAAAAATTAGAATCCTACTGATTATAACATAAAAATGATTGTTGTTTAAAATCATGTTCCTGTGGTAATACAAGTTTGTGAAGTATTATATGATTTCTTAAAGATTAAATGATATCTGGTGAAATATCTGGGTGAAAAGGTATTATCTATTTTTTTGAGGATTTTTAATTCCTACAGAACATAAAATAATTCAGTCAACTGGAAAGTCTGATTATCTAAAACAGTTCACTCCGAACAAATTGTGCAAACAATGAGGAGTTTGTTAAATTCTGAAGCGCTGAGATTTACTGTCAGATGGAGTATGAACAAGATGGAACAAACATAGAAACCTTGCAATATCCTCTTCCTTACACAAAAACTTCCTCAGATATAACCATTGCCATTAAAAATACAATATGGCTTTATTGAATCTGCTATAAATTTTGTTCTAACAAGGAGCCAAACTTTCTTTGGTTCAATGAAGATAGAAGTCAACTTCTCTCTCCCATGAAAGTCTAAGCTGATCTGGGAGTTTAGACTATCCACAAATCTGCAAGGTGCCTAGAATGATTGGGACAAGTCCCTGTGGCTGGGAAATGTTATTGGGAAAGGCTATTTGTCCCTGTACACAAGGTATCTCTTTCATCCACATATTTCAAGCCAGTCATCTATATTCTTATTACTGCCATAGGAATGGGCTTTAACTTTCTTTTAATAGCATGACCCAGAAGTTGCCAATATCTATTGCATTAATGTCCCATTTCCCAGAATTTAGCCATGTGGTTGGGAAATGCAGTTCCAGCTAGATGGTCAATTGCCCAGCTGAAAAATCAACTGTAATGTAAGAAGACGAAGAGAATGGATAATGAGGAACCACTGGCAGTCTTCCCCATGAGACTTTAAATAAATAAGAGTTACAGGTAATTTCTCTCCCTTTGTTACAGATAGGTTTTGCTAGAAGACCCTAGTAGCTTTCTGTTAGCATGATGGAGATATTTATGCAACTGACACTTTTTCTAGTTCCATGGTATTGAGTTCAGAATGTACAATATGCAGGTCCCTAACTGCCCATCCACCAGCATCATACCAAAGCAGCTACCACCAATGGGGGATTTCACTTTTACTATATAGCAGACTTTGTCATTGGTGAAAGTGTCTCTCTGGTTCACTCTCAGGCTCTGCTGTCTCTATCTCTGTCCTCAGGTTGCTCATGTCTAGTGAAGCCTTACTCTCTCCTTTAGAAAGCTTGACTCAACTGAGCCTGCTCTTGATGTCAATTTGCACAAATTTTTATTCTTATTAAAGAGTGGGTGGGAGGAGACTCACACAGCATGACTTGGGTAAGGACATCGAGTTCATATGTTCCTGGGGCTATCTCTTCCAGTTGCTCTCTGGAGCAAGCTTCTTCATAAATTCCTAGGGCAAGGCTCAGTTTGCATGGCTCAGTTCTGTATCCTCAGTGTTTAATCCAGGATATGCCATAAAGTAGATACACAGTAGATATTTGTTTATTGAATATGTGGTATTCAAATATAAGAAACATTATAGGGGCCACCCTGGAGCAGTATCAGGGCCATTTAATATAACTTCCTCTTTTTGAACAAGAGTTAGATGTCAAAGATCCTAACATTCCATTAACATAGATGTTGGATTTATTATAGATAGGTCTAAACTTTGCTAGAAGCCTGTTTATAGGAATATGAGTTTCTAGTGTTCTTTGAAGAGAATTGCAGACAATCCAGTGCTTTGTTGACCTCAACATTTAGGCAGTAATAACGTTTGAACTCCTAGTTGATAAATCAGAATTACACAAATGCTGATATAGTAGATTTTAAAGGATGAGTTTTCATTGAAAAAGTATTTTGGGATTAAAATCAGTTAAGCCAATTTAATGCCTTGGTCAGTTTTCTATATGTGCAATTAAACTGTTTACTCTTTTCATTTTTATCCAGTTTTATTTTATGTAATTAAAATTATTTCATTCAGAAACAATTCTTCATGATAAAATGTAGAAACATGATTTGATTCATCAATCATCTATATAAAATGTTACAAGAATGCTTCTACCAGTCTTTATTTTCTTTCTTGATAGTTATTTCTACTAGGTCCACTTGTCCTAAATCAGATTCTACAGATCAAAATTTGGGCAAGAAGATTAGATAATTGTGTCAATTTCAGTCAATAACACATTTTTTTTCACAATGCAGTTTTAGCCATTGCCACTTTCATTTTGCAATGATTATTTCTTCTAAGTCTAAAATTCCTAAGTCAATTTTTGCAATTTTGGAAGTTTAACATGATGGGATTCTTCAATTTTTCTCTTAATTTTGCTGAGTGCTGCTTTATCTTTTCTCAATTTATCTCTGTTGATTATTTATTGCAGTACTTATTTATTTCTTGGAATAAAAAGCCGTAATTGGTCAAAGGCCTTGTAGGGTGCAGTCAAATGATGGGGTTAAAATGACCGTGTTCTGCTTCCCCTAGAAGTACCTCCTTAATGCTTTGGTGGAGAAATGGAGAGAGCCTTTCTTACAGAAAGTTTATAGTAATTATCACTTTGTGAATTTGTATTGAATTATCCCTGAAGACAGAACTAGGACCAGTAAGACCCAGGAGACACTTTAATCTCAAAATAAAAAAAAATGTCTGTCAACTAAAATGGTCTCAGTTGAAATGGAGTAGGTGAGCTGCTCCCTAGTATTCAAACAAATATGAGGGAAAATTTGTTAGAGATTCCATTAGATTTTCTAAACAATCTGTCATAAGTCCCTATCAACAATATTTTATTTATCAATTTATATTCTATCTCATACAAAAATATGGTTTAATGGCAGATGTGAGTTTTCTCTTCTTTAGCCTTCATATTTCTAAATGGTAGAGAACTCATTGATTTAATCATCTTTGTAAATGTAAAGAACTAATTGGCTCAATCTATTTTATGTTTTGGTCTTTCATGATAGATCCTCCTTTCCTCTCTTGGTCCCCTTTGTCTTACCCCAACCAAATTCTCAAGTCCGCTTCCTGAGTTTCTGAGAATGCTGCACCCTCTGACTACTTTCACTTGGGCTTCCTGGCTCCCCTGTGGTTCATCTTCAGGATTCTTCATCTTCCAGTGTCTCTAAGAAGCCAGTCCTGGTTCTCTGAAGGTGAGCTGTAGGTCTTCAGTGTCATTCAGATGTTTAGTAACAAGTGGCATTGGCTCATCTGGATGGCTGATGGATTTTCTAAAGTTTTATTACAGATGCATTGATGAAATACAAATGGACCAATATAACATGCTTTGTCAGAATGATACAAAGAATTTTGTGTGGCCTTTGAGGTATGTGGCAATCACACATACACACAAAATCCTCATCATACAGAAGAAATTTTTGAAAATTTATAAAAAAATTGAGAAACTCTGGCTAAAACGATGGTCCAGAGAGAGGGTAGTTGAATCCTAAATTTTCTGAGAGATCTCAAAGAACAAAAGTGAAGAGAAATTCCAGGCAGCATAGGATGTTTCTTCACTCCTGTCACAGATATTTACTGAGTACTTATGATGTGTCAGATGCTACACTAATTACTGGGGAGGCAGAAATGTACTAGACAGATGCAGTTGGGACATTTTATAATTGTAAGTGGGAGAAACCTCTGCATTCCTCCTGTTTTCCATCACCTATTTATAATACTTGTTGTGCCTCTAGCTCTATCTTGCATGTAAAATATTATTTTGCCGTGAAAGAGCAAATGGAGTTGCCTAGGGGAAGGGGAATGGACATAATGATCTCTGAATGCTCCTTCTAGCCTGAGAAAACCATGATGCTCTCCAGCCCTCTGTGATCCGTGAATCCCAAAGAGCTGATTATCTTTCCCTGGTTTTCTCCAGGCTTATTCTGGAGTTGGGGCTGATCCCCTTGCAAGGCTTGCAACTGACAATCATTGAATAATGCTCCTTTGCTTTTAACCTGGGGCTGCTCACTTTAAAAAATAGATCTGGAAATTCATATGGGGGGATTATATGTGTATATTTTCCCTTGAAGGTGGTAACATATGGAGCAATAATTATAGAAGATTTTCTTCCATCATTACCGTATTTAACACTTTTTTTTCACATGGAATATTCATTTCTAACTTGGCCAAGACTCAATGTTTTCTTTTCAAATGAGTAAACCTTTGTTGAGTTTTCCTGTACTGTATGATATAGGCTTAGCTAATCAGCTTCACCCAGCTCATATATTATAACAAAATGTTGCTTAGAACAACTCAGTCTAGTGGCATTGATGATGAAGCTATTGGATTTAATGGCCTCATTTCAGATTTACCCTTTCAAACTATAATTTTGGTGTCTGTGACACTAATCATTTTTCTTCTCTCCTATCCCTCTTTCTCCTCTTCCTCTTAAACCTCCTCTCCTCTTCATTCTTCTTCTCTTCCTCTTTGTTCTTACTGCCTTTTCTTCTTTCTCCTCCCTTTTTGCTAAGTCACATGGCAGGCAGTCATGACATCCTTGCTGATGATTGTCTTTAATCCATAAACCATGACAAACAATGTGAATTCCCTGATTCTTCAAACAGACTAAATTTGGGTCAACTCTCTCTAAGAGCTACAGGGTTTGTCCTATCTCCACAAGTTTCTTACCCTCTCTCCTGATTTACTCCTAGTTCAGTTTCCACCAATTTGCAGAATCCTTTCCTTACTGCTCCAAATGGACTGGCATTGTCAAATTCTGCATCTCTGACTTCTCTGCTTTGCTAATCTGGCCCTTGCCATGTTCTGTACTGCACTGTTCATCAACTTTCACGTGGGTAAGATTTAAGGTATCTAGGGAAGAAAAGGGGAAAAAAACTCATTGGTGTGATCCTCTACCACATGTCAGGCAGTGTCAGGAACTTCACGTAGATTATCTTCTTTAATCCTAACAACAACTGGATGTGGTGGGTCTCATTAACCTATTTATTTATTTATTTATTTATTTATTTGAGACAGAGTTTCACTCTTGTTGCCCAGGCTGGAGTGCAATGGTGCGATCTCAGCTCACTGCAACCTCCGCCTCTTGGGTTCAGGCGATTCTCCTGCCTCAGCCTCCTGAGTAGCTGGGATTACAGGTGTGCACCCCCACACCTGGCTAATTTTGTATTTTTAGTGCAGACACGGTTTCGCCATGTTGGTCAGGCTGGTCTCGAACTCCTGACCTCAGGTGATCCACCTGCCTAGGCTTCCCAAAGTGCCGGGATTACAGGTGTGATCCACCACACCCGGCCTCATTAACCCCTTTCTAAGTTGAGAAAACTGAAGTTCATAGGGTGTAAGACTATCTGGACTTGAAACATGGTCTATTGACTCCAAAACAATTGCTCTTGTTCCCAACCAGTTTGCATACTACTAGAGGAAAAAGGTTGTTCTTTTGAATGGTTATATCTAGCATAGCACCTTGCATATAGGAAGTATCTAAACATCCTTGTAGACTCTTTCCGTGTTCTCCAATATCCCAGTGGTTTCAAAATTTGGTGCCTATTTAAAGAAACATCAATTAATTAATGGATTTATTGATTTTTCTGCATAATTTAAAAATATTCACAGATATACATTTTTGAGGTGAATATACTGGCTATCCATAAAAATCAATATATTCTATTATTGATCATAAAACCATTGTTTATTATCACTGTTTTTTCTAGGCTTTGGATTATCTCCTTAAATATGTACATTACATTTTCTTCCTCCTGTTCTTCATGCTTAACTTCAATGACTTTAAGAAATCTTTATCATTGTTAGAGATTTCAGGGTATGGTTTTTGTGTCTCATTTATAACTCTAAACTCTCTTCTTTCTGGAATTACTGAAAGAAAGAGCTACACACAAACAATCACAGTAAGAATAGAAGACAAAATATTATTCTGTGGGTATCTAGGCTCCTACACGCTTCTTTTTCCAGTGTAATACTCTAAGAAAAGCTAAGTATGACTTGGGCCAATGAAGTCCTTTTTTCTTCCCCCCTTTTCTATGAATATCAAATGGTCAGACATTGTCAAGGTGATATTGTACCTAGGATATTTCCCAATTTTCTCCGTCCTTTCCCTGGTTGTAGCAGATATAGTGAAAGAAGTTAGAGAAGGACAGGAGGCCTGTTTCTGGAAAGCAGGCCCTGAATATGACTGCATAGCACACGACCCATGTGGAAAGTCAAAAAGGTAGGCAAGATACAGGATGACTCGTTGGGCTGCAAAGGAACAAACCTAGTCCTGTAGGGTTTAGCACATGGAGCAGGAAGTGGGAATGCTGCCTCTATACCTGGACACTGAGGGGTAACACACGGTGACCTTGACCGCTAGTAAGACATTTCTAAAAAATGGCTTTATGTCTCTGAGTCTTAATAATCAGACTGAGAGCTTCTCTTTCCTTGTTAGAAATTAATGAGGATAATGGACAGAGGCCTGGGTGAAACTTTCCTTTACAATAAGTACTCATTCCAAATGTTCTTCTTTGCTCGCTGAAGACTCCACTCAGAAAGTGGGGATATCTGGCGTTTCCCTGTCAACTCGCAGATCAACCCGTATTTATTTATTTATATATATACTTTCCTGTTTGAGAAGGAGAATGGAGAAAGCAGCAGCTATTTTATGATCCTTAGGGTGCATCAGCACAATGACCTGGAATCGTGGGACTTTTCCTGTCCAGCAATGAGCAAGTCACCCCATCCTGCTGCTCTCATCCCAGTCTAAGCCATCCCAGTATGGTCCACTGGGCTCGCCTTTGTGCGTTTGTCATTGTAATACTGTGTTATGGGTGGTAGAAGGATAGGCAATGCTTCCTAAAAGTGCGTTAAGCAGGGATTAGCCAACAGAGAAAATCAGCTAGACAAAAGTCAAGGAGAGAAAAAGTGGATTTTGGAACTGTGACTTCAAGAATTTGAAGCAGGTCTGAGATCCAGGACAGCCAGTCCAGTGCTTTCTCTTGTTTCTAGGCCTTGGCATTGGCCATGTGCCTTATGCTGTCTGTCCTTCTGGCTACCTTGAACTCCATGGTCTACACCCACCTAGTCTTGACCCTTTCCTGAGCATCTCTTTTTTTTCTCTGCTGTTTCCTGCCTTTGTCAGGTTGGGTCCTTAAGGAAGCATCCCCCTGTGTCCTCCTGAGGTCCTGTTCTCATCTCTAGCATGTTAGTTGTTAACTACTTATTTAATTGCATTCCACCCCACTCTCCTGGCTGTGAGTATCCCTCAGGGCAGCTTCTGGAATGGGGAGTCAGGTTCACTGAGTACCTTCAACTTGCCAGACATTGTGTGCCAGATGTGTCCTATTCATTATCTTAATACATCTTTGCACCCTGCCCTGTAAGGGGGATTTTATTATTTTTATTTTAGGGATGGGCAAATGGTGACTTAGAGATATTAAGTAGCTTGCCTAAGGCCATTTATTAAGTGGTAGAGCAGGGATTTGAAACCAGCTTTCTTTGACACTCCAGCCCTTGCTTGTCTCCTGGTGTACCTCTTCAGATCCTCTGGTATAGTTCATAGCCAGTACTGACTCACACATTCACCACTGGCACAATTAATGTTGCTGTCTCCATTTCACTTTGCTGACCTCCTATCAGGGGCACCTCCAGCCGTGGCTGAACTTGTTGGCTTCTCCATTTTCCGTTTCTGCTTCTAGGTCTCTTGTGCTGGCTGGAAGATTTGCAACTCCAGTGACAGAGTGACTGATATCATCCCCACTGATTTCACTGTCAAGGGTTGGCCCTGTCAGCAGTTAGTGAATAATTTGCTGGCGATGGGTACTGGTCATAAATCGTTACCTATTAGCTGTAGCGGTCAAATTCACCTCCCCAAGTCTTGGAGATTCAGATGGGCCACTTCCTGCTCTTATGCTTAAAAAAATTCACTATTTGGTCATTTGATTTTTCACTTTAGCAGGAGGCTGTCTGATTTCCTAGGGGTTTACATAACTGTATTCTCAGAGGAAAATGTGGATCATTCATGACAGGTCACCAACTGCTTTCTATGCTTATTGTGAATTGATCTTTGACAGATTAGAAAATATAAGCAACTTTATTTCTTTTTTTTTTTTCCTCTTAGGTTTCCAGTTAGAGCATGACTCTTTTTTGGTTTTGTTTTTCTTGCTATTTTCTATTTCCTCCTCCTCACCATTCTCTTATCAAATGGATTGACAATAACTTACTGAGTGTTTAATGGGTGCCAGCCTCCAGTCTAAGTGCTTTACATGATTAACTCATGTAATCTGAACTACAACCCTATACGGTAGGGTCTATTCAGGGCAGCAGAGAATAGTCTTTCCTAGCATGTATTGCACCCCTCCCAGCCACCACTAACACAGAGGCAATGTGAGTAGCATCTCTGGATGTGTGCAGTGCCACTATTCTTGCGCTACTATCACTTCCATTTTAAAGATGAGGAAATGGAGAATCAGAGAGATTAAGTAACTTGCCCAACCTCACACTGCTGCAGGTAATACCTGCTGGCATTCAAACTCAGGTGGCCTGGCTCCAGATTCCGTGAGCTTCTCCCATGATACTGCCTCTTTACTCTCTAGTTCATACAATCTGGGAAAGACAAGATTTTGTTTGGTTAGGCATTCTGGGTACTGAAAATCATAAAACTTTTTGTTGTAACAAATGTTCTTGAAAATTTTCTAAAATGAGTCAGTTGACTCTCCTGCTCTAATGAGACAGATCCTCAGTGAACCGTGTTTTTATCTGTTTAAGTAAGGGTACTGCAGGTCTACAAGTTCACACTGAAACTCCTCTTTCAACTCAGAAGAATTTCCATGTAAATGGATAAAGTATAGATTAGAAGAGTCTCTCCATGAAGCAGGATATACTTCAGATGTTCAACTTGAAAAATGAATTCCTCATCTCAGTGCATGGGATCTACTGGGTCCACATCCACTAAAATTGTGAATGTTCTCATTTTGACTGTTACATTAGGTTGTAGGTGACCACTAAATTAATTCAGAACTTTAATCCAAATTATCTTTCAATGTTAGTTATACAAACATATATACTCTGATGATGAGATAGAAACATTTAAAACTATTTCTTAATCATAGCATCCCAGGGTCTTTACACATCATATATTTCAACCCAAATTAGAAATCACTTTAATTGGACTGTGTTCTTCATAATTCATTGCCTCTGCTTCAACCATGTGCAATTCATCCTTTGGACCAGCCTTTAAACTAACCATTCATAAAAACAACTTGTGCCCATTTTCATCAGTATTCACCTTAACACCAAAAGGCCCTAGTTCTGTAGAAGACATTAAAGCAAAAATGCAAGCAAGTATAGAAAAAGGTGGTTCTCTTCCCAAAACGGAAGCCAAGTTAATCAATTATGTGAAGAATTCCTTCTGGATGACTGAGCAGGAGGCTATTCAAGATCTCTGGCAGTGAAGAAAGTCTCTTTAAGAAAATAGTTTAAACAGCTTGTTGAAATTTTCTATCTTATTTCATTTCTGTAACAGTTGATATCTGGCTGTTCTTTTTATAACGCAGAGTGAGAACTTTCCCTACCATGTTTGATAAATGTTGTCCAGGTTCCATTGCCAAAAATGTGTTGTTCAAAATGCCTGTTTAGTTTTTAAAGATGGAACTCCAGTCTTTGCTTGGTTTTAAGTATATATAAAACGCTATGATGTGACTTAGTAGTAGTGGTGGTCAGACATGGAAATGGGGGGAAACAAAAATATACATGTAAAATAAATTCAGTTGTTTTAATAAGGAATAAAAATCAGTTTACTGATTCCATAAATTTCTTAAATAAAAATTCTACTTTAATATCTTTATTAAAGGGATTTCTCTATCCCTAAAGATTGCTGACTTCATTAAAAGGGTATTCACTTAGATTAACTCCTGACTCTACCAATTAATATCACTCTTAGCTCAGGAAACAGGGGCCTCTGGCCTAGGTCTTGTGCTTTAGAGGGCTTTATATATCACGTACACACAAACATAATGCATTTATTTAAAAGAAGTGTTTGAGTGCCTGTGCTTCTTAGGGTCTGGGACTTAGTGCTGATACACTATCACCTATAACTCTAAACATCCACTCGATGACCAACACCATTCAGGCCCCAGGGAATGTCTTTTCCACATCTCTTTTCCTAAATACTCAGAATACAAACACCTGTATCTGAGTGCCATGAGGGCCTGGTGGTTGAACACTGTGGAAGCCTGAGCCAGACAGTGCTTTGGAGTATGGGAAGGATTTGAGCAGAGAAAGCATGTAGTTAAGATGAAAGACAAATTAATTAATGTCTCTAATCTTTTCTCTCCAATGGCGTAGGGACAAGCAATTCCCGTAATAAGGTTGGGTCCATTTCTTCTTGTTCTTCATGTTCCACTTCATGGTTCTGGAGGTATTCAGAAATTGCCATCGTGGCTGAGGAATTTTGTAACAACAAACAATTTTTATTATTTTCAAATTTGTATATATATGGTTTTAGCTAGATGTAAAACACATGAAGGGTAATACTGATTCTTTACACTGACAATTAGACGGACGTTGAAAACTAGTACAGTGAATTTTTTTTTACAAAAAATGTTTAATAATATCTTATTATATTTTCAAATTATATAATTCAGCTTATAGTAATAAGTTCCAAATGTTTAATTCATTAATTATAATCTATATTTAATCTCTTACTTTTTAATATTATAGAAGAAAATAAACTTTAAAAAGATATATAAATAATTTGTCTTAGTTTTTTATATTACATCTATTTACATTTTATCAAAATACATACAAAATTTATATAATTTGAATACAATTATATTTTATTTTTAAATTATAGATCATATATTTAATAAAACCCAGATTATATAAAAATATAGGAACAGCATAATTTGTGATTTTATTAAGTAAAGAAAATAAATTTGGGGAATATTTATATAACTTGTAACATATAAATTATAGATGTATTTTTAAACACCACAGTCTCATCAATAGAACATCCAGCCCTACAATAGTATTATTTAAAACGATTAAATTTAGTCATCTTTTATATTTTGCCAACTTTTAGTCATAAAAAAGCATATAGTTTGAAAATGTTGTTTGAAGATATATTATCTGAGGTAGGAGGCTGGACATATTTAACTGTTTGTTACTTGGTTTATAAATTTTAGATATTGAGACATAAGGTATGTGCTCCTCCAGTTGTACTCTTGCCCTGAAATCTGCAAATGTGTTACCCTGGGATAGCAAATTAACCTCTGCAGGACTCTGTCTGCTCATTTATAAGATGAAGATCATGATCTCTCTGGGCTATGGTGAGAATTGATAATGCTTGTCAAAGCACTTCATAAATTACGAGGCACCACCTCAATATGTAAGCTATTATTATTTAACATCACTGTCTAAAAACACTTTTTAAATGTTGAATGAAAATCTATTTCCACATAACTCAGAATAACAGAAACTTCAAAGTGAAAGAAACCTTACAAATTCTATAGACCACTTTTATATTCTTCCTCCTACACTTTCTGAGACAGCCCATTTCATGCTTTGATAGCATAGTTTTTAGAGAGTTGAAATGTGTCTCTCTTTTCATGTTTGTAATCTGCCCTTATCAGAGGCATCATTACTGCTACACCTTTTTCTTTGGATTGTACCTCCTGCTCACCTTTAAAACGGAGATAATTCTCAAAGACACAATAAATTGCAATTTAAGGACACTTCCACCTCTTGCAAGTCTTATTCCCTTAAAAAACCACTCACCAGGGTACCATATCTCTGTTTTCCTGATACTAAATTTTCCCCTCCCAATAATTCATATCCAAGTGCTCTTCTCTTTCATGTCATGAATTCCAGGCTGACACAATCACTTTCTCTTCTGTTTTGGCTTATTTCTGAATTATTAGTTTATTATTTTCATTGGTCGGAATCAAGCCTATAATAATAACTTCCCTCTTTGCTTTCTCCTCCTCTGAGCAACCACATAATGAACTAAAGGTGCATCAGTAACTGTACATTTAACATAATTAGATCAATTCTTCTACTGATGAGAAGTGTGCATATATTAATAGCCTATATGAGAGAATTCCTGAAATGATGCATTAATTTTAATTTAGCATAACTGTGAAATTATCCTTTCCCCAATCTAGGAGATGTCCAGAAAGAAGAGAATTGAATGTATAATAGTAGGAGCAAGTGGTAGTAGGAACCTCATGCTGAGTTAGGGAGATTTCTAAATACTTGCTTTCGTACAATTCCTGACAAAATCTTGAAAGATTGTTTTGTTTTTTTCTCCCTATGGAACATTGTAGCCAAAGATCTACACAGAATAAAGAAAAGTACAATTGTATTATGGAGCTAACAGTGTGTGTATATAACATTAACTGCTTGGGGCACCATGGCAGCAGTTTAGAGTGAAGTTATGGAGGCTCACACCCTCCTCCTGCTGCCTCCTCTCCACATTATCAAGTGATGGATCATTTGAAGTCAAAAGGAAACCCTGTTGAGTTTCTATATCCAACTTAGGGTTGTACCAGAATTAATTATACCTTCTGCTACTTTGCAAGGGATTGTCAACAATAAATTCTAATAAACGGGAGTAGAAAGATTTTATTCATGCCATCCTAAAGACATTAGAACATAGTAGTGTTATTTAGCAATGCAGATGTTATATTATTGTGTTGTTTATATGAAAATAGATATGACATGGAGAGGTATATCAAATGAGCAGGAGAGAGATTTGAGCTGGGCTACTGTTTTGATTATGCATATTTATTCATAATGCAGAAGTCGCTCCATGGAACCTCTTCTCCTAAGATGGATTGCCTATTTTTGGAAGCCTTATTCTATTTTTTAAAATATTTAGATGTGTCAATACCACCGTGGTACAATACTTATGAGTGCCTTGTTTAAATTGTACCTTAATTGGTTTAGTCTCCAGAGTTGTAAGACATGATGCTAATACCCGGTAGCCAAGTGAGCAGAGCAGATAATGATGTGGCACTGTCTGTTGGCTGCTGGGGAACCAGTTTGCTGTACATGTTCTGAAAACAGTAATTGCACTGTGACTCTGATTTGTTGTTTCGGTCACAATATTGTTTTATCAGTAGATCACCTCATTTTCTATTATGATTATTCTGCCAGGACCATACCTCCGTGTCCATACTTTATTTTATGTACTTAATAGCAGTATGCCGAAAGAAGATCTATGTTAACAAATTGATTAAAGAATTAAAACAATTAGTTACATGACCTGCATTCACACATGCTGTGCATGCACCTACACGCACATTCCCTCTCTCTCTTTCTTTTTCTCTCTCATCTGTCTCTCTCTCTTTCTCGTGTGTGTGTGTGTGTGTGTGTGTGTGTGTGTGTGTGTATTTCTTGCTTGAAATATTTATGTCATTGTGGTCAAAGTGGTTTAGGGAGTACTTTGAATTATCAAGACCCACCCTTTCTTTCCCACACTGTTTATACACTGCACTGTCCACTACCATTTTCATACTCTGGTCGTTTCTGTATGAAAGCTGAAACAGGATAGGAGAGCAGAGCGTTGTTTTATTTGAACTCAGCTGGGAAAAGAGGATCCTCAACTCAAATTCCTCACTGCTCCAAGCCTGTCCGCACATGTCCATGAATGACAGCAAAATTCCACAAGTACTGATTTCGGGGTTACAAATACAATTAAACAGTAAGCAAATTTGCAAATGTAGAATTTGTGAATAATGAGGCTAGACCATTTGTCATATTACTTTGGATGCTCCAAACACTGAATACAGTCCTTTGCTGTTAATAATTGCTCTATAAAGTTTGTTGAATGAAAGAGTTAGCAGTCCCAGAATCAAAGAGCAATAGCTGGATTTATTTCTCCTTCTTTTGTAGCATACCTTTCCAGTATGTTGAAAGGCATATAGGGAAGATGTTGAGAGCATGAACTCTGGAGATAAGACGATCTGGATTCGAGTCCTCATTCCACAACATGTCCACCTCTATGATACTGGGCCTCAGTTGCCTCCTTTATAAAGTGAGGGATAATAATAGTACTGACCTTAGGGTGTTACTACAAGAATTATATGAGTTGATATTGGAAAGAACTTTGAAAATGCTTGGTGCATAGTGCTATATAGGTCTTTGATTAAAACAACAACATCAGAAAAACCAATACCATGTTCTGAATACCTAGCATTGCAACAAACTATTTTTAATGTATTTTTGAAAAATAATATTTTTAAAATTTGCCATTTCCTGATCCTTATTGGAGATAAAAACATCCGCATTGCCTTCTTAATGAGGAGGTTAGGAAAGTACAATAAAAACTGTATTAGATGGTACAAATTTAAAGAAATGCAAAATTTTACTATAATTCCTTTGTAGTACGTCTGGCCCTCTTCAAATCTAGGATGCAGTCCCTTGGGTCTGTCCTAAACCACTCTGAAACTTGTACTCTGTGGTTCACCCAGCAGGTGGACAGGTAGCAATTTTGTTGTGACTTTCTCATACTTAATGTCTTTGAATGAACTGACAGGGATCACTGCTGTACTGCCTGGAAATAACCGTTTAGGGTGTAACAGTATACATTTCTTGCCTTTTCCACCAATCAACAGGTTGTAACTTAAGATAGAAATGAGGCCCCTGAGTTCATGCTGGAAATGGGGAAAAAAAGTAGGAAATGATAGGTTGTCAGATTCCCTGAAAAGGTGCAAGGCACTAGAACTGAAAAAAAATTGCCTTGCAAAGAAGGCTTGGTAGCATTCAGATATTACCTACATCTGCTTTAATGATTCCATTTAAGCTGTCATTTTCTGCATTTACCTTGCAGCATTCAAAAGCAACTATACTTACACATTCACAGCCAACGCATTGCCATCATCACAAAGAGGGAGGAAAAAAAAGAAAAGAAAATGGTATATGATGTATTTCAAAGAACAGTTTCCTTGTAGAAAATTAACAGTAATTTTGAGGCCACTCTTAAAGGGAAATAAAGTTTCTTCAGAGAGAAAGAAAAAAGTGCTGACGCTGAACAAAAGAGAAGTAGAAAGACAGAGAGAGAGAGAAGAGAGACTGAACTCATTCTCTTGTAGTTTCACTCTCCACCTTTTGATATTTGCTGGGACACCTGGTCAATCAGTTCAGTGGTGACTGTAAGAAAGCCAGGGATGAAGTCACCCTGCTTTTATTCCCAGCATAATCAGTCCTAACGGATAAAGAGGATTTCTTTATTCCCTGGGAATTCACTTGTCTACCTCTGAAACAGTGGCTGTGATTTCCAAAGGGTGTGAGGAAGGTCTCAAGGCTTTTTTAACCTTCCTTGGAAACCCCACAGTGACTTATAGCCCATGAATGCAAATCACTTTGAATACAGCAATTTTGTTATGACTGGTCAACTATTCTGAATCAAATGCCATGATCTCTTCTCTAAATAGGCTTCATTTCTGAAGGTCCAGCTTACACCCCACCACTGCTGCCTCTGATCTCTCCAGCCTGAGGACTGTTTTCCTCTTTTAAGTGTCTGTGGTTTTGCTTAACCTAACTCTGGGTCTGCGGATTGAGTGTGGAACTAGAGCAACTGTTTGTTGGCTTCTTTATCTGTGTTTATTTTTAATATCTCGAACTAAAATTTAATTTTGTGAATTCCAAGTTATACTTGGGGCCACTCATGATTCTGGCACAGCATGTTGCAGGGAAAAGGTATTTGAAACAGTAATAGTCTGTCTGCTAATTTTTACTAAAGGTGAACTCCACATCCACATGATCTATGGGGTTTTGTCTATTTATTTTCTTCGGATTGCTCCTCCTGCCCATTTACCTATTAGGGAATTCTATCTACTTTAAGTTTCCAAATGGTTTCAAAGTCATTGTGTTAGTAATCCAGATGAACTTGAGCCACCTATTCAGATCAAGAAAACTTCATTTCATGGAAAGAACACTGCTAATGACTAAGCAAACTTGGCCCATCTGCTTGTGATTTTCCACTGTAAGCCTCCTTTTTTTTTTTGAGGTGGAGTCTTGCTCTGTCGCCCACGTGAGAGTGCAATGGCACAATCTTGGCTCACTACAACTTCTGCTTCCCAAGTTCAAGTGATTCTCCTGCCTCAGCCTCCCGAGTAGCTGGGATTACAGGTGTGCACCACCACACCCAGTTGTTTTTTGTATTTTTAGTGGAGATGGAGTTTCATCATGTTGGCCAGGCTGGTCTCGAACTCCTGATCTCAAGTGATCTGCTCACCTTGGCCTCCCAAAGTGCTGGGATTACAGGTGTGAGCCACTGTGCCTAGCCGTAAGCCTCTTCTTTTAAGGGGTAATAGTGAAGTTATCTTTATGAGACCACAGGGAACCCATGCTTACACAAAGTGGGACTTCATAAGTCTCTTTTTAATAAATAAATGCACTAATGAATTAATAAACAAATTCAGCATCCTTGACCAATTCACTCAGGCACCTTTAGATTGCCTGAAATTATAAAGATGATGTTTAGTATGCTTTTAATCTGAGTCCCTAATTCAATGGGTTTATGCTCACATCTCAAAAGAAACCATTTCCAAATGCTTTTTTTTTTGAGGAATGAATAATTTAAAAGGAAAAAATTAGAGTTTCTGATATATAATAGCTAGTAGGGCCAGGAACAGAAGCAGAGGCAAGAAATGTTGTTCATTAACGTTCCTAAAAAGGTATTTTATTTCCTGGAAGTTGAGAGGACCCTAGAAAGCGTGGACTAGGGTTTAGTTATAGATTTTAATCATTTTTCTTGACTGAACAGATCTTGTCTTAATTTGCTTTTGTATTCTAAGTGACACACATTGTCTAGAATATGGCAGGTGTTTACTTTTTGAATAAATAAAGCAGGGCAAGAAGATAGCAGCGTCAGGAAGGTAGGCCAGATGGAAGGAAGCAGAAAGGCCCGATGGTTCTGACTCTTCTTTTTAGAGACACACTCCTGCATGGGACCTGAAGAGTAGGAAAGAGAAGGGAATACATTTTTGACTCCTGCTCAGTACCCCAGCCAGGCCCTGGCTCTAATCCCTTCTGTCTGGAGTTCAGAAGGTTGACTGCACACCTTCCTCCACACCCACCTTCCCATTTCACATTGATTTGGCTGTCCTGTTGGAGAGAACCTGAAGATATAGTTGCCATGGTGGTGTTAACAATTGAATGCAGATGGTTTTACCGTTTACAAATATTTAGCTTTTTTTTTTTTTTTTGTAATATTTTATTACTTTTAAAGATCTGAAGCAAATCTGGCAACATAGTAAGCTTTCACAGAGCTGAGTAGTTGGTAGTATTTTTCAAATAAAAAATAATGATTACAAGTATCAATATCAAATAAAAAGATTTTACTTTAAAACTTGGCTGCTTCTAAATTCATATTCATACTGCTTACTTAGGAAAACTAACTTGTCTTCTAAAAGAGTGTTTTTTCTATGCAAACTGTGGCAATGAATCTTTTTTTTTTTTTTTTTACTTTTCATTTTAATTTTTTATTGTGTGTACTTAAGGTATACAACATGATGCTTTGATATACATAGTGATATGATTACTTCAGTTATGCAAATTAACATGGTCATCACTTTCTGGGGTTTAATTTTTTTTTTTTTTTTTTACTTTTTAATTTTCTTTTCTTTTTTTTTTTAATTTTTTTTTTTTATTATACTCTAAGTTTTAGGGTACATGTGCACATTGTGCATGTTAGTTACATATGTATACATGTGCCATGCTGGTGCGCTGCACCCACTAACGTGTCATCTAGCATTAGGTATATCTCCCAATGCTATCCCTCCCCACTCCCCCAACCCCACCACAGTCCCCAGAGTGTGATATTCCCCTTCCTGTGTCCATGTGATCTCATTGTTCAATTCCCACCTATGAGTGAGAATATGCGGTGTTTGGTTTTTTGTTCTTGCGATAGTTTACTGAGAATGATGGTTTCCAATTTCATCCATGTCCCTACAAAGGACATGAACTCATCATTTTTTATGGCTGCATAGTATTCCATGGTGTATATGTGCCACATTTTCTTAATCCAGTCTATCATTGTTGGACATTTGGGTGGGTTCCAAGTCTTTGCTATTGTGAATAGTGCCGCAATAAACATACGTGTGCATGTGTCTTTATAGCAGCATGATTTATAGTCCTTTGGGTATATACCCAGTAACGGGATGGCTGGGTCAAATGGTATTTCTAGTTCTAGATCCCTGAGGAATCGCCACACTGACTTCCACAATGGTTGAACTAGTTTACAGTCCCACCAACAGTGTAAAAGTGTTCCTATTTCTCCACATCCTCTCCAGCACCTGTTGTTTCCTGACTTTTTAATGATTGCCATTCGAACTGGTGTGAGATGATATCTCATAGTGGTTTTGATTTGCATTTCTCTGATGGCCAGTGATGATGAGCATTTCTCCATGTGTTTTTTGGCTGCATAAATGTCTTCTTTTGAGAAGTGTCTGTTCATGTCCTTCGCCCACTTTTTGATGGGGTTCTTTGTTTTTTTCTTGTAAATTTGTTTGAGTTCATTGTAGATTCTGGATATTAGCCCTTTGTCAGATAAGTAGGTTGTGAAAATTTTCTCCCATGTTGTAGGTTGCCTGTTCACTCTGATGGTAGTTTCTTTTGCTGTGCAGAAGCTCTTGAGTTTAATTAGATCCCATTTGTCAATTTTGGCTTTTGTTGCCATTGCTTTTGGTATTTTGGACATGAAGTCCTTGCCCACGCCTATGTCCTGAATGGTAATGCCTAGGTTTTCTTCTAGGGTTTTTATGGTTTTAGGTCTAACGTTTAAATCTTTAATCCATCTTGAATTGATTTTTGTATAAGGTGTAAGGAAGGGATCCAGTTTCAGCTTTCTACATATGGCTAGCCAGTTTTCCCAGCACCATTTATTAAATAGGGAATCCTTTCCCCATTGCTTGTTTTTCTCAGGTTTGTCAAAGATCAGATAGTTGTAGATATGCGGCATTATTTCTGAGGGCTCTGTTCTGTTCCATTGATCTATATCTCTGTTTTGGTACCAGTACCATGCTGTTTTGGTTACTGTAGCCTTGTAGTATAGTTTGAAGTCAGGTAGCGTGATGCCTCCAGCTTTGTTCTTTTGGCTTAGGATTGACTTGGCGATGCGGGCTCTTTTTTGGTTCCATATGAACTTTAAAGTAGTTTTTTCCAATTCTGTGAAGAAAGTCATTGGTAGCTTGATGGGGATGGCATTGAATCTGTAAATTACCTTGGGCAGTATGGCCATTTTCACGATATTGATTCTTCCTACCCATGAGCATGGAATGTTCTTCCATTTGTTTGTGTCCTCTTTTATTTCCTTGAGCAGTGGTTTGTAGTTCTCCTTGAAGAGGTCCTTCACATCCCTTGTAAGTTGGATTCCTAGGTATTTTATTCTCTTTGAAGCAATTGTGAATGGGAGTTCACCCATGATTTGGCTCTCTGTTTGTCTGTTGTTGGTGTATAAGAATGCTTGTAATTTTTATACATTGATTTTGTATCCTGAGACTTTGCTGAAGTTGCTTATCAGCTTAAGGAGATTTTGGGCTGAGACGATGGGGTTTTCTAGATATACAATCATGTCGTCTGCAAACAGGGACAATTTAACTTCCTCTTTTCCTAATTGAATACCCTTTATTTCCTTCTCCTGCCTGATTGCCCTGGCCAGAACTTCCAACACTATGTTGAATAGGAGCGGTGAGAGAGGGCATCCCTGTCTTGTGCCAGTTTTCAAAGGGAATGCTTCCAGTTTTTGCCCATTCAGTATGATATTGGCTGTGGGTTTGTCATAGATAGCTCTTATTATTTTGAAATACGTCCCATCAATACCTAATTTATTGAGAGTTTTTAGCATGAAGGGTTGTTGAATTTTGTCAAAGGCTTTTTCTGCATCTATTGAGATAATCATGTGGTTTTTGTCTTTGGCTCTGTTTATATGCTGGATTACATTTATTGATTTGCGTATATTGAACCAGCCTTGCATCCCAGGGATGAAGCCCACTTGATCATGGTGGATAAGCTTTTTGATGTGCTGCTGGATTCGGTTTGCCAGTATTTTATTGAGGATTTTTGCATCAATGTTCATCAAGGATATTGGTCTAAAATTCTCTTTTTTGGTTGTGTCTCTGCCCGGCTTTGGTATCAGAATGATGCTGGCCTCATAAAATGAGTTAGGGAGGATTCCCTCTTTTTCTATTGATTGGAATAGTTTCAGAAGGAATGGTACCAGTTCCTCCTTGTACCTCTGGTAGAATTTGGCTGTGAATCCATCTGGTCCTGGACTCTTTTTGGTTGGTAAACTATTGATTATTGCCACAATTTCAGAGCCTGTTATTGGTCTATTCAGAGATTCAACTTCTTCCTGGTTTAGTCTTGGGAGAGTGTATGTGTCGAGGAATGTATCCATTTCTTCTAGATTTTCTAGTTTATTTGCGTAGAGGTGTTTGTAGTATTCTCTGATGGTAGTTTGTATTTCTGTGGGATCGGTGGTGATATCCCCTTTATCATTTTTTATTGTGTCTATTTGATTCTTCTCTCTTTTTTTCTTTATTAGTCTTGCTAGCGGTCTATCAATTTTGTTGATCCTTTCAAAAAACCAGCTCCTGGATTCATTGATTTTTTGAAGGGTTTTTTGTGTCTCTATTTCCTTCAGTTCTGCTCTGATTTTAGTTATTTCTTGCCTTCTGCTAGCTTTTGAATGTGTTTGCTCTTGCTTTTCTAGTTCTTTTAATTGTGATGTTAGGGTGTCAATTTTGGATCTTTCCTGCTTTCTCTTGTAGGCATTTAGTGCTATAAATTTCCCTCTACACACTGCTTTGAATGCGTCCCAGAGATTCTGGTATGTGGTGTCTTTGTTCTCGTTGGTTTCAAAGAACATCTTTATTTCTGCCTTCATTTTGTTATGTACCCAGTAGTCATTCAGGAGCAGGTGTTCAGTTTCCATGTAGTTGAGCGGCTTTGAGTGAGATTCTTAATCCTGAGTTCTAGTTTGATTGCACTGTGGTCTGAGAGATAGTTTGTTATAATTTCTGTTCTTTTACATTTGCTGAGGAGAGCTTTACTTCCAACTATGTGGTCAATTTTGGAATAGGTGTGGTGTGGTGCTGAAAAAAATGTATATCCTGTTGATTTGGGGTGGAGAGTTCTGTAGATGTCTATTAGGTCTGCTTGGTGCAGAGCTGAGTTCAATTCCTGGGTATCCTTGTTGACTTTCTGTCTCGTTGATCTGTCTAATGTTGACAGTGGGGTGTTAAAGTCTCCCATTATTAATGTGTGGGAGTCTAAGTCTCTTTGTAGGTCACTCGGGACTTGCTTTATGAATCTGGGTGCTCCTGTATTGGGTGCATAAATATTTAGGATAGTTAGCTCCTCTTGTTGAATTGATCCCTTTACCATTATGTAATGGCCTTCTTTGTCTCTTTTGATCTTTGTTGGTTTAAAGTCTGTTTTATCAGTGACTAGGATTGCAACCCCTGCCTTTTTTTGTTTTCCATTGGCTTGGTAGATCTTCCTCCATCCTTTTATTTTGAGCCTATGTGTGTCTCTGCACGTGAGATGGGTTTCCTGAATACAGCACACTGATGGGTCTTGACTCTTTATCCAACTTGCCAGTCTGTGTCTTTTAATTGCAGAATTTAGTCCATTTATATTTAAAGTTAATATTGTTATGTGTGAATCTGATCCTGTCATTATGATGTTAGCTGGTGATTTTGCTCATTAGTTGATGCAGTTTCTTCCTAGTCTCGATGGTCTTTACATTTTGGCATGATTTTGCAGCGGCTGGTACCGGTTGTTCCTTTCCATGTTTAGTGCTTCCTTCAGGAGCTCTTTTAGGGCAGGCCTGGTGGTGACAAAATCTCTCAGCATTTGCTTGTCTGTAAAGGATTTTATTTCTCCTTCACTTATGAAGCTTAGTTTGGCTGGATATGAAATTCTGGGTTGAAAATTCTTTTCTTTAAGAATGTTGAATATTGGCCCCCACTCTCTTCTGGCTTGTAGAGTTTCTGCCGAGAGATCCGCTGTTAGTCTGATGGGCTTTCCTTTGAGGGTAACCCGACCTTTCTCTCTGGCTGCCCTTAACATTTTTTCCTTCATTTCAACTTTGGTGAATCTGACAATTATGTGTCTTGGAGTTGCTCTTCTCGAGGAGTATCTTTGTGGCGTTCTCTGTATTTCCTGAATCTGAACGTTGGCCTGCCTTGCTAGATTGGGGAAGTTCTCCTGGATAATATCCTGCAGGGTGTTTTCCAACTTGGTTCCATTCTCCACATCACTTTCAGGTACACCAATCAGACGTAGATTTGGTCTTTTCACATAGTCCCATATTTCTTGGAGGCTTTGCTCATTTCTTTTTATTCTTTTTTCTCTAAACTTCCCTTCTCGCTTCATTTCATTCATTTCATCTTCCATTGCTGATACCCTTTCTTCCAGTTGATCGCATCAGCTCCTGAGGCTTCTGCATTCTTCACGTAGTTCTCGAGCCTTGGTTTTCAGCTCCATCAGCTCCTTTAAGCACTTCTCTGTATTGGTTATTCTAGTTATACATTCTTCTAAATTTTTTTCAAAGTTTTCAACTTCTTTGCCTTTGGTTTGAATGTCCTCCCGTAGCTCAGAGTAATTTGATCGTCTGAAGCCTTCTTCTCTCAGCTCGTCAAAATCATTCTCCATCCAGCTTTGTTCTGTTGCTGGTGAGGAACTGCGTTCCTTTGGAGGAGGAGAGGCGCTCTGCGTTTTAGAGTTTCCAGTTTATCTGTTCTGTTTTTTCCCCATCTTTGTGGTTTTTATCTACTTTTGGTCTTTGATGATGGTGATGTACAGATGGGTTTTCGGTGTAGATGTCCTTTCTGGTTGTTAGTTTTCCTTCTAACAGACAGGACCCTCAGCTGCAGGTCTGTTGGAATACCCTGCCGTGTGAGGTGTCAGTGTGCCCCTGCTGGGGGGTGCCTCCCAGTTAGGCTGCTCGGGGGTCAGGGGTCAGGGACCCACTTGAGGAGGCAGTCTGCCCGTTCTCAGATCTCCAGCTGCGTGCTGGGAGAACCACTGCTCTCTTCAAAGCTGTCAGACAGGGACACTTAAGTCTGCAGAGGTTACTGCTGTCTTTTTGTTTGTCTGTGCCCTGCCCCCAGAGGTGGAGCCTACAGAGGCAGGCAGGCCTCCTTGAGCTGTGGTGGGCTCCACCCAGTTCGAGCTTCCTGGCTGCTTTGTTTACCTAAGCAAGCCTGGGCAATGGCGGGCGCCCCTCCCCCAGCCTCGTTGCCGCCTTGCAGTTTGATCTCAGACTGCTGTGCTAGCAATCAGCAAGATTCCGTGGGCGTAGGACCCTCTGAGCCAGGTGTGGGATATAGTCTCGTGGTGCGCCGTTTCTTAAGCCGGTCTGAAAAGCGCAATATTCGGGTGGGAGTGACCCGATTTTCCAGGTGCATCCGTCACCCCTTTCTTTGACTCGGAAAGGGAACTCCCTGACCCCTTGCGCTTCCCAGGTGAGGCAATGCCTCGCCCTGCTTCGGCTCGCGCATGGTGCGCACACACACTGGCCTGCGCCCACTGTCTGGCACTCCCTAGTGAGATGAACCCGGTACCTCAGATGGAAATGCAGAAATCACCCGTCTTCTGCGTCGCTCACGCTGGGAGCTGTACACGGGAGCTGTTCCTATTCGGCCATCTTGGCTCCTCCTCCCTACAAATATTTAGCTTTATCAGAAAACAAATTCTAGTACCAAGTCTAATAGATTCTGAGGCAAGATTTTACAAAGGTATTACTTAGGCAATAATTTCCATATATTCCCCTGGGGGTCAAATAAGTTTGAAAAGGCAGCTTAAACACATTGAACTTCTCAATTTTCTGTATTTCACATACAAAAATTCTGTGCAAATCCCCGCATTTCTCAAAGTTATTTCCCATAGACTTTTTTTTTAACAGACTGTTTTGAGAGATTAGCATTCTATGCAAAATTCTTTGAGAAAATTTGTAATAAGCCATTTCCCAGAGCTTATTCACAGAGTGAAGGCTACAAGCTTCAATCCTGAAAATGATCTGGCATGGAATAGATAACGTTCTGATCCTTTTTTCCATTCCAGAATTCACACAGCATTATTCATCTCAAGGGACAAAAAAGTTGAACACTACTTCTCCTTCACCAAAACAAGAAAATGCATTATAGGTGTGTGCAAGATCTTTGCAATCAAATCCCTCCCTTGCTTAATAACTAGTTTGGTTATTGATAAGATTGGGGACAATAACTCTCTGAACTGTATGCTCTACCATTTCTCAGAAGTCATATCTCTATTTTTTCAGCTGCCTCAAAGCCATTAATTAGTGAAGAAGTGTATCTTGAATGCAGTAATTTTCCAATAAAAACCACAGGTATCAGAAGGAGTGGATAGCAGGCTGATCAAAATGTAATATTATGCTTCCTATAATCATGGTGGATCATTTTGTTAGTATCAAAATTTAGACTTTAATTTTCTGCCATGGCTGAAAGGAAATTTCAGACAAATGTGGCAGAAACTCTGGAGGTTCCATATGCCACAGGTGTTTAATCATCAGGCATGCTCTTGGGGAATAACATTGACTGCTGGCCAGACCAGTGTCTACAGATGGGGAAAAACTGGTAGGGGAGAGAGGCAGGTTATAAGAGTATCAAAATCTGGACAAGCTCCAAAGAAAATCTCATCTCTCATTTCACACCTTTGCTATTTGCTGTCAGTCTCTCCCCAGAAAGCGTTATTACTTTGCAGTTCTCAACAGGGGTTGATGGGCAACCTCGACGTTTCCCCTCGGCTTCACCGCCTCGTGGATGGACTTCTTCATTAAAGACCACACAGCAGTTACCCTGGATTAATGGGCATAAATATAGCTACTCAAAGAGGAGAAACACTTTCCTGTCCATGAAGATATTACATCCAAGAGACTAAAGGAAAACCTGTTAATGGAGAATAGCACTTTGGTTTAATTACACAGATGTTAAAATCATGTAACTGAAGCGCCTTAGAAATAGAATATCCATTATGCAATGCTAGAGAGCATGCTTTATCTTTTTGTGTTTAATGTACATGATCAAGAAAGAGCCAACAAAAGAATCATTCCTGAGTAATTTGGGAAACTGGGACAGGTTTGGGTTTGAAAGATGTTTCACAAAGTATCTTGCATTTGGAAGGAATCATCAAAGGTGTTTTGTGAGCAACTATATATAAAATACTTTTTCTTTACCTGTATGTTCTTCAAAGGCACCTGGGATTAAAATAAATAATAAATTTTAGGGAAGCTTGAAACTCTATCCAATTATCTCCTCCAACACCACACAGAGTGAATACTGCTGTACATTTGGAAAGACATATCGTGTTTACAGTGTTACTTAAAGAAGATCTGGAAATCTCCCCTGATTGACTGAATATTCCTTATAACCTTTCCTTCATCCTTAAGCCCCAGCCTGTTGAATTTATAGTATTATTAATACAATGCTGATTTGTTATAAATTTTTTTCCAGAACAATTTGCACAAATACTAATCTCTCAAAATATTCTCCTAAAAATGTACTTGATTGTGTATTTCTTTCCATTGTTATTTACTTTGTGTTTTTATGTGTGACCCATTCCTGATTTTCCTGGTGGATTTCTCCTGTGACTATGAGTAGTGTTTGCCACGGGTTATGGTAAATACTGGCTGATTGATACTAAGGCTGATTGATACTAATATTATGTGTTTATTATTAACATAGTGGGCTGTGGATGCTATTGCTGTCCTTCTAAGAAATAGTCTCTGGAAAAAAAATCTATAATAATTTAGGAAAGAAGGGCTAATAAAGCCTACTTCCATAAAGCAATCTAAAGATGGTACTTAATAAAACTTTATAGACCTAATTTTAGCTTTCTAGAGGTATAGAAAATTTTAGGCACTGGGGAAGGAAAGGCATTGTCATGAGAGGAGGGGGGGAGAAGCAGGAGATGGAATACATGGAGCTTCTAGAGCCAAGATAAGGAGGAGGACTACTGGGTTACATGGTACATCCGGAGATCATCTTGGGTAGCACCTGACATTAGCCGTGAAGCTTAGAAAAGTGGCCCACCTGTCTAACCTTCATTTCTTTATTTGTAAAATAAAGTTACTAATAGCACTCACTGCATTGAGTTGTTGTGATAATTAAATAAAACAACCCAAGTAACACGTTTAGAAGAGTGCCTAGCATCTTGTGAACACTCAAAAAATTATCTGGCATCAGTTCTCTGAAGCTCAGGCTGATTCTACTTTGCCAAAATATGTGTACATTTCAGACACCTTAGGTGTGAACACTCAGGAGGTGGTCTGTAGCTCTCAGAACCCTTGAGAAGAAAAGAAAATCTGCAAAGTTTGAGGAATCCTAGATTTTAAATCTAGTGCCCAGCTGCTACTGCTGCTGCATCCTCTGTCTACTAGGAGAAGGAAAGCATAGTTAAGAAATGGAGTTAGAACTGCACTGGGTAGTTCCCAGGTTGGACAGTCACAGATGTGTTTACATTCACATCTAGATGATACATGGCTCATTACTTCAGGGTGAGAGGCTACTGGGTACATGTGCATCCGCTAATGAATCAGGACCTGCCCTAGCAGACAACCCAGATAGTTAGATAGTTACATTTTTTTTTTTGATGATGTGCTATGTGTTTTGAATGGAGTGGAAAAAAAAAGAAAGAGAAGTATTTTGTTAATTGCTAACTAGTCTGAATAGTTAATGTTGATAGTGTTCTCTAATCTCATTATTGTTAAAATTGGAATAATAGTCAACATGTATAGAATGTTTTTATGTATAATCACATTTATTGTAAAAAGAAAAGGAACTTTCATAACATTTTAAAAAGTGCATTTGTATACTTAGGTTAATAATATTCCTCTCATTGTTTTGCCACTTGTTGATATATATCTCTCTTGTAAACTTTCTTGCTTAGGTTGATTTGTGCCCTTCTAGTCTTGATTAAAATGAAAGCTCTTTGTAAAGAGGGTGATACTATAATATAAAAACACGTGGGGTTAGGTGACCCTGGGCTGAATCTTAGCTTCACTACTTAGTAGTTGTGTGACTCTGAACAAATTAGGCTTACTGAGTCTCAGTTTTCTCATCTTCAATATGGGAATGTTAGTACTGATCTTTGGCTCTGTTCATTAGTTAGAACTGACATATTTAAAATCCCTGAAACATAGCAGGCAATAAAACAATATCAGTCCCTTGGTAGGTTTAATTTTGATTGCTCATCAGAGTAGCTTTCGCGCCACCCACCGAGGATGCCTATTGAGTCCTACTAACATGGTTCTTGCATCCCTAAAAGTTACCTCCAGCAGTGAATGTAGAATTGTAAGCAAGTAAGAGAATCAAGTGGGATGAGTACTGATTCTGACTTCAAAATGCATCTCACACCTGTCTCCTTCTCTCCTTCTCTGGTGCCTTATCCAAGGTTGGGTAACCAGCACCTTTCACCTCAGCTTTTACAGTAACCTCCTAATCAGTCTCTCACTTATACCGTGGTCCTCTCCAATGTGTTCCCCACCAGTGGTCAGAATCCTTCTTTTAAATTTAAATTTAAATCTAATTATGTCATTTCCTTGCTGAAGACCTGTATGGAGCTCCCCATGGCACCTAGGGTAAAATCCAAAATCCTCATTAAAGGGTCCCTAGTCATGGATGACCCAGCCCTGCCTGTCTTTCAGACTTCAGCTTTTATCATACTCCCATTTTTTCACTCTGCCCAAGCCACTCTGGCCTTGAAATTTCCTAAAGTCTGAGAAGTTCTTGCTTTCCTCTTGGCTTTCCACATGTTATCTTCTGATACTTAATTCATTGCTAGTTTCTTTCTCTGCTCATGTATTACCCATTGTCTCTGAAAGGTATATTTACCACTTGATTTAGATATATCAAACCACACTGTCATTATTCTCTCAGTTTCTTTATAAAATTGATTATATTTGGCATTTATTTATTCAACTGATAATTGTTTTCTCCTTGTTTCAGTAGAATTTAGGTTCTATATGTGCAAGGACCATGTGTTTCTGGCATTCCACGTGACTAGCACAATTATTGGCACACAGTAGGCATTCAATTGTTGAAATAACAGCCTAAATATGGGTGCATCACAAATTAACTAACCTACTCACCACTGATGACCATTTAAGTTGTTTGCAATTTCTTTCACTGTTAAAAACAACAATGCAATGAATTTCTTTAAGAACATTTCATGAACAACTATGCTGTTGTTCAATGGGATAGGTTCTTAAGTAAAGTCCTCATCTGGTATGTTTCTCATATCACTCTGATTTGCTTCTTCATAATCAAAATTTAATAAATATTTCTTTAGCTTCTTGTTTCCACTTTCCTGCCTTGTCCAAGATAATGTATTTTGCAGATAACGACCAGCTCCTTCACTGCTGATTTCCTAGCACCTAGGACAGTTTCTTTTCGTAGGAAATACTCAGTAGAGACTGGTTGGATGAGAGAAGTTTAGGACATGTGAATGTTGACCGGACCAAATGGGAGGATGCCACAATGATGCCAAAGCCGTCTTGCTAGAGTTAAAATAATTAGAGTTTTATTAATTCATGTGATTGATGCTAGCTGTTGTAACAGACACCTTTATTTTCGCACGGCTTAACCAGTTGTGTGGTGGTATTTAACAACTAACTATTCTAATGAATGGGAGAAAAAACACTTGACTTGTAACATTTGCTGATTTTTATGGTGTGAATACTTCCCCTATGGCTGATTTTAAGATTTAAGTTAACAATGTCATGTCACTGAATGTAGAGTTGAGAAGAGAGGCTAACAATTGTCTTGTCTGAGCTGGTAAGATTGTCTTCAACACACCACTAGGCCAAACTATGAAGTTTATTTCTCATTCATGTCTCAGTTCAATGTGGTGAGTATGATGCACAATGGGGCTCTGATGCTTGCAATCATTCAAGGATCCAGGTTAATAGAAGCCGTTTTCAGTGTGTTGCTCCTTAGGTAATATAGGGTGTTAACATCCTGCTGCAAGGCTGAGGACAAAAGAGAGCATGGGAGATTATGGCCTCTTTGGCCTATCAAGCTTGGAGGTGGTAACACTATTTCCTCCCATTTTCCTTTTACCATGAATTAATTATATGACCACATAATGTTAGGGGAGATTGGGAAGTGTAGTCTAGCTGTGTGCTCAGCAGTAAACAGAAATATAGCATTGTCCCCGACAGAGACTGACCTCTGGTAACCTGTCTGCCCAGCTGTCTCACCCTCTCCTACACTAAAATATATTCTGTCTTAAGGGGGAGGAGTAATCTGTCTAAGACAAATCACTTGCTGGCTGACTATATTAGTTTTCTGTGGCTACCATAACAAAATATCACAAATTGTGTGGCTTACAATGATATAATGTAGTCTTTCACAGTTTTGGAGGCTAGAAGCCTGAAATCAAGGTGCTGGCAGGACTATGCTTCCTCTGAAAGCCCTAGGAAAGAATCCTTTGCCTCTTATAGCTTCTGATGGTCGCTGACAATCCTTGGCATTACTTAGCTTACAAAAGTATCACTGTAAACTCTGCTTTCATCTATATTTGGCCTTCTCCCCTGTCTCTGTGTCCAGATTTTCTTCTTCTTCTAAGAACACCAGTCATTGTATTAGGACCCACCCTAATCCACTATGACCTTATCATAGTTTGATTGCATCTGTGAAGACTATTACCAAATAAGATTACATTTACAGATACTAGATCTACCCTCTTAACGACTTGAACATATCTTTTGGGGGATACAGTTCAACCCACAACATTGTGTTCCCCCACAAAAAAACTTGGCCTCTCAAAAACCTCTGAAGACTTAGGGGAATTAATCTTGTTAAAACTCCAAGGCTAGAAACCCAGTACCCCAATCACCCCAAAAAAGGAGCCAATGTTTTTCAACAATGAATGTCAAGCTGGCAGGAAAGGGCTGTGGCCAAGTATCTGCCATATCATACTGCAATTGTTTGCTGTCTCCTGATCATGCTGGAAAGAATCTTGTGTTTCCCAGTGTCTGATTTATGGTCCTGCTAAATGTCTGTGCATTGTCCTAGAATGAAGAGGCTACACTACCTACCACTCCTACTGCCTCTGTCTCTAGGAGTTTTTGCCAATTTCAGGGTGCAATTACTTGTAGGGTCTGGTTGGTCGTGTGCCCTTGTTTTTATGATACCTCTTCTTAAGGAAGGCAATTCCAAGCCCCGTACAATTATTGCAACCAGAACTGGTTGCCTAGTTAAGCCCACTCAGTATTGATAGGGCTTTTCTTTGGCTGTGCGTGAAAAGAAACAATATCTGCATGCCACCTACATCAGATCAATACACAGTGATGGAAAAAGAACAGAAGTATGTTAATTAAAACTCCTTTTTGGAGAAAGAATGAAGTAGAAAACACACAGATGTCACTGCCCCATAGTAAACTAAAATTCTCTAGGCCTAGTATGTGGAACTGTCTGCTCTGGCAGTGGGGAAGTCCCTTGATAAGACTCTACGGTCCTGCCCTCTGAGAGTGTTTTCTTTATTCATGTATCTTCATGGTTCCTAGCACCACCCGCTGGACAGAGCACCTCTTATTATTCTCCCTGCCACATTTGAAATAAGACATCAGGAAATATGTCCTTCTTAGGGCCGTGGAACTTTCGAGCCCATTTGGAAGGTTGGGGTCATAAGGATTGCTTTAAATGTTTAATAGTCATGGGATTGACTGGTTTATAGTTTCTGTAGCAATACAATTTCCTTGAAAACCTAGTAGGCTTCTGATCTATTTGCCTAAAGTCAGTTGTTCCACAGGCTGGTAACTGCGGTGCCCAAGGTTCTTTCCTAGATATAGCCCAAATGTGCTTTTATTTATTTATTTTTTATTTCTTTCAAGTCATGTCTCCCGCTTTTGGTTTAATGACAGCCACCTTGAAGTTATTTGGTTTTATTTATTTATTTATTTTTAATTTTATTGTGATAACAACACGTAATATGAGATCTACTCTCTTAACAAATTTTTAAGCATACAATATTGTTATCTATAGGTTCAGTGTTGTACTGCAGATCTCTACAACTTATTTGTCTTGCATAACTGAAATTTTATACTCGTTGATTAGCAATCTCATTTTCCCCTTCCCACTCCATCCCTTGATAACCACAAATCTATTCTTTGCTTCTTTGAGTGGGCCTATTTTAGACTCTTCCTATAAGTGGAATCGTGCAGTATTTATTGTTCTGTGACTGACTTATTTCGCTGAGCATAATGTCCTCCAGGTTCATCCATGTTGTTGCATATTGCAGGACTCCTTTCTTTTTTACTTTTAATCTCATCCCACAAAGCTGAATTTTAGTGACATTCTGTTGTTCAAAGGCTTAGTTTTTTTTTTTTTTTTTTAATCCTGCCCCTTGGGGCGTAGAAGATGTTAATTTTTGTAACATTTCAAAACCCTATATTGCTGGACTCTATTACCTTTTCTTTATTTTCATAAGCTGGTCAGTTTTCTCTTGAACTCATCCACTTATTATAATGCTAGCCAAATTTAGCAATAACTGCAAACACATTCCAATACCCTACTCTCTTTCCAACCATTTCCCTTAGAGCCACAGGCTCAGGAGGTATAATAAGATCTTCCTTCCAGGTTATTGCATCTGTTGATGCTGCATAACATGAATTGCCACCTTTCCAGCCTCTGGTAGCAGCTTCACTATCATCTGCTACCTGACTGCTAAGCCGATGCACACATTTTTGGTTTGGTTATAACAGCACTCCATTTCAATGGATTACTCCATACAGGGTAATCAATGCTAGCGGTTGTAACAAAATCTCGTGGTTCTCAGTAGCTTAACGTGAAAAGTTTATTCCTTATTCTTGATTGGCATGGGGAGGTGAGGTACAAGGCTCTGCTCTATGTGGTCAGTCAGGAACTCAGGACTCTACCATCTTTTGTCATTGTCAACTTCAACCTGTGATCTTTCAGCTCTCCACTGAAGGAGGAGAGAAGGACCACCTGTTCTCAGCTACTTCAGCTGGAAGTGACCCATCAGTTCTCCTTACACACCTCTGCTTTACTGAGACACAATGGGACTGGGGAATACAGTTTAACAATGTGTCCAGGAAAAGGAAATGGGACTGGTGAGCATCTAGAATGGTTTCTGCCAGTGATCTGTTTATTTCACTTATGGTAAGAGTAATTTTGCCTCGAGTCATTTCTTTTCGTTGTTGTTGATTTGTTTTGAGATGGAGTCTCGCTCTGTCTCCCAGTCTGGAGTGCAGTGGCACAATCTCTGCTCACTACAACCTCCGCCTCCTGGGCTCAAGCAATTCTCCTGCCTCAGCCTCCCGAGTAGCTGGGATTACAGGCATGTACCACCATGTCCAGTTAATTTTTGTATTTTTAGTAGAGATGAGGTTTCACCATGTTGGCCAGGCTGGTGTCGAACTCCTTACCTCAAATGGTCTGCCCACCTTGGCCTCCCAAAATGCTGGGATTACAGGCATGACCCACTGTCCCTGGCTACCCCCAGTCATATCTGAAAAGGACATTGGTATAAAAGTAGGGGAAGAAGTGTAGAGGGAATCAAAGAACCTACATTGGGTCCACCCAAATTTCAACACAATCAGTATTTTTTGAGCACTCAGTGTGTTCCTAACTCTTGTCTAGGTGGCCTTAATTTTAACACATCTTTTCTAGTACAGCAGGTCTAAATGCTAGGTAGAAACTAAACAGGTAAGGCACCCCATGGTTGTGTCACTTGGTGTGTCATTGTTTTGTGACAGTAAATAAATCTCGCCAAGGTGTCAGGATAATTTTTCATCAAAAGGGAAACTTCTTCAATAGATTTTCTATTCTCTAATTCACTAAACTATTAACCCTAAATTTAAAGGAAAACACGAATATTATTTCTTAATTAAATCCCTTTTAGGCTCAGTTATATCTGTTTCTTGCCGTGAGGATATAGCATGTAATACCCAGGTACTGGGGCATTATGATAACCAGATACTCACTGGTGGAGGCTGAGCTGAATAATGCATGAGCACAGCGTCACTCCATAACCTCCCTGCTCTCATTGAGTGAAGTGCTTTGTTTTTCAAAACCTCCTTTGGGAGGCTTCACAAACAACAGCTATTTAGCTCACAGATTCCAAAGATGATAGACAGTGGCCTTTTCCTGCAGGTACAGATAGCTTACCTTTAATGGTGAAAATCTGATTATTGGCATCCTCCCTGCAAATGAGTCTGTCCAAAATCAAATAAAAACTGGAGATATTCAAAACCAAATGAAAAAGAACTGAGAGTGTAGCCAAATTAATGCTAACCCCTACTAGCAGAGTACAGAAACCAGTATACTTATTAAGAGGCACATTTGAGTCATTTGGGGTTAAGAACTATGCTTTGCTGATTTTGAAAGAAAGAAAGAGAAAGAAAGGAAGGAAGGAAAAAAAAAAGCCCAGCAGCTGCCCTAGTTTCTACTAGGACATGAGAGTATTTACTCAGCACAGAGCCAGTCAGAGCTAATGGTTCTGAGTGCCTCTGATGGGCCTCCGGGTCACGCAGGGCGAATTTTGGCATGAGAAGGGAGGTGTGCCCACCTGAGAGTGGGCAGCTCTTCTCAGATGGGCTTTCTGACACCTACCCTCTTCCTCCACAGAGCATGTCTGTGCACTTCCAAAGCTCAAGAGCTTGGATCAATACCTGAAAATTTGAAGGCTTATGAAATCTTCTAAATTGGAATAAAAACATTTCCCTGGGTATCCTGCAATGCTAGTAAATGGAAATGAAACATCTGAGTGAAGGCAAAGCATTCCCCAGACCTTCATCTTATTTCCACTCAGATGTAATCCAAAATTAACACTTGCTCCAGACACCCAGCCTATTAGCGCCCTGGAATGATTCCTCAGCTTCAACGAGAAAGGCAGTGGCTGGGGGCCCGGGTGAGTGGTGAGGGGCTCCCTCACTTGGAATTCCACCCTGGTAACCCAACAAGAGAGGCGCATTACCATTTAATTATAATGATGGAGCAGATGTGATAACAAGGTTGTCTTCTCTGGCTCTGTTCCTGATGTCACCACAAGGGTTTCCAGTTGTTGCTCTTTTTCATTTTGTGCTTCCTCATTAATCTCAGCTCCTCCAGCTGCTTCCCGCTCGTCTCCCTGACAAGTCTGACTGGCCTTGGTGCGAGGTGATTGCGGCCTTTCAGAGAAGTGGCTGCGTGGGGCTGGGCCTTTGCTGAGCTTGGTTCCAGCCATCTATGCTTTCCTGCAGGCCACCATGCTCCCCTCAAAGCCCTGTGACTTCATCTTCACCAAATTATTGCATTTAAAAAAAAGATATTGCAAACCCAAATGATCCCATTGTCACATTCATGAAAGAACATTTTCTTTTAATTTCGTGACTGTTACTTGGCATTTGCTCCTCATTATTTCCCTGGCTGCCTCAAAGCTCTCTCCTTGTTCTTTTGTCTATTTTCTTAACTCCAAACTTGAATATAGATATAATCATTTAATTTTCCCAAAGCTCAGGCTTATGAGATCCAAAATTAGGAACAGAGTAATGGATTCATTAGTTTGACATGGGCTCGAATTCAATATCTCCTCCTATAAGAGTCAAGACTGAGGATCAGGTTGATTTTGGTAAAGTTTGGTTTAAATAGTTCACAAAGTGAATTGTGCTTGAGATTTCAAATAAAACTGGGCATATGCATTTTTTCCCAAGTTTTTTTGTTATCTACCCCTGGTGCAACAAACAGGTCATGAAATTCTTTAGCAAATTTGAAATAAGAGGCTGTATGTAAGTCTTTTGATGAGTGAGAACTTGAGTCTTATTCATCTTTGTATTTTTAATGATGTACTTAGACATAATAACTATTCAATAAATGATGGATGAATAACTTGCAAAAATGTTGTGTGGGAAAGCTCCGCAGAGACCTTGTTTCATCTGCTAAGGAAAAGTCTTAACTATTTCAAAAAAGTTTGGTGTAATAACCCACCTTCTGCTACATAATACACAGATTGAAATATAAATTCAGCCTGTTAGTAATTTGCCTGGCCTGAGTTACTACTTCTGCTAGGGGAAGAAGTGGGTGAAACAAAATTGGGAAGACACTTGTGAGGATCTACTTTGTGCTTGCATAGGGTGAGGAAGCACTTTGCATGCATTATCCATTCCATTCTCACAACCGCCCACCATTGTAGGTATTATTAGTCTCTCCAGTTTTTCAGATGAGGAATCAGAAGCTCAGAGAGATTGATGTACTTGCTCAGCAACACCAAGGTAGAATTGGTACTCACATTCAGACCCAATTCTTTTCAAAACTTATTATTTTCAATTTTTTTGCATTTGCATCACTCATTTTCAATAAATGCCATCTTACCAAATTATCCTTTTCAGGACATAGAGGAAAAGGAGGATGTTCCTGCATAAAGTGACTTTCTGCTGTGAGTTTTGAGCTTTAGGAAGGTGAAGAGTGAAAAGAAGCATCTGAAAGGTTAGCACACGTCCTATGGCGTGGCTCATGTGTTTGCTAGCAAACCAAATGGCCATCCTTTTCCAAACGAACTCTGTTACGCTGTTGTGGCTGGAAATGAATGCAGTGGTAGAGAGCCACAAATTTGAGGACAAAATTACAATTTAGAGGTCTTATGATCACTGCCTATTTCACAGGGCTGTCTTGTGCTGCATGTGTAGTTAAGGTCTGAATGCAGACACATCTCTCATATTCAGGGGGTGAGCCAAAGAGAGGAAGTGGAAGTCCTCAGCATTCCCAGGTGAGCTTTTCTTCTTCAAATCCTGTTCTTGCTCTTTAAGTTGGAGTTGCAGTTGTACCCAGCAGGCACACTGGACTGCAACATTGCTGATCTGATTCCAGCTGTCTTCTTGATCGATCTCAACTAGATCAATACAGAATACTCATACCAGAGGTCATTTCTTAAAGGTATACATTGAAGTCAAATAAAAGAAAACACTATTATACATAAAAATTGAAAAGGTTACATATTTTTAGACACAATGCCATCATTGTAGAGGTAAAACACATGAATAACTTCAAGTAGTGAAATGTATTTATAGGGACATGTAAATCCATAGATAGTTACTATCAATTTCTTCTAGGGAATATTATCCAAAGATGTAACTAATTTGCTGATTTTAGACCAAGGTCAGGTGTGATGTTGTTCTTACATTTGGGTATTAGGTATCCAGGTATCAATGATTACACATCCACAGAGCTATATGGTTACAGGACTTTCCACAGAGAGATGGCGGAGGGGGAGGGACAAGCCAGGATCAAAATCACTTAACCCATTTCAAGTTTATTGTTGTTCTAGTGGTGTGGCTCTTGGTAATTTATGAGACTGTCTGTGGGGTTCAGGAGCTCTTGAGACCTCCCGTCTAATAAAATAGCCATGTCGTTTTTCCTGAGTGAAGGGACCAACATATATCAAGAAGTGCAATTTGTTTGATATCCTTTTATATGGGAAAAGGAAAGGTTGTGGCATTTGTAGGTTAGTAAAAAGAGGGAGGAAGTGAAGGTATATAGGTATGCTGAGAGAGACCTCACAGTTGAAAGTACATGAAGGTCCTTTTGTGTTTAACATCTTGAGGGCATAGGACATTATATTAAGAATACTGAAGTTTCAAGTTGGAGCTGTCAGTTTAAAGACTTAAATGCAGCCCACCACATATTCTTTCAAGTTTTAAAGATACCAAAAAATCTCTTTCAAAGATACACAGAACAGTTCTTTCTTTTTAATAATTGGTCAAGCTACTCTTTACTTGAAGAGGTAAGCCACTCTGCTTTTCCTGAGCAATAAAAAGCCATGACCCTGATTATGAGAGAAAGCATTCTGAAGAGTCTGCATTCCCAGTGAGTGAGTTGCCCTTTTACAATAAAATTCTGCAAAGAGAGATTTTGTAATTGCATATTAGGTAATTTTGTCCAGAGGCTATGTCCCTGAGTGAGCATTCTGACTCATCACTCAGCTACCCGAGGAAGTAAAGAATCATTTAGGCTCTTGTTAAAGTCATAAAATTATAATTTTTACTGAATAAAGGTAAAGCTGTTCTACATGAATTAAGGATTCACATATTGAAGTATCCATGATCATAGGCAACAGCTAGACCTGGATAATTTGATACAGAATATATAACTAGTAATCATTTCTGTATATGTGCATGAGATATGAGTGTGCTCGTGTGTATGTGTACTTGTGAGTGTGTGTGTGAGATACTGAGATTATAAAGCTGAGGATTCTAGGGAATATGGGCCTAACTGGGGCTGTCAGTTGGCATACAGGATTCTAATGAGGAAAATTGAGATTATATGACTAAAAACTGGGAGTTTCTTGTCAACAGGACATAAATGTACAAATGCATGGGTATTGAACCATGGGCTCTTGTAACAGCTTATTGATGACAATGGTGTCATGCATTCAATACGTGGAAAGTTACAGAATAGTTTTATTCAAAAGGTATTTCTTCTCTGGCCGGAACATTTCTCAACATTGCTGGGAGTTTTGTTAATGCACAATTCAGAGTAAAAAGGTCTAATTCTTTACAACTCTGGTCTTTTCAGCCAATTCCTTCTGGGGTCCCTACTGAGAGCAGTGTGGAATCACTGGAGAGTGATTATACGAACAGCCCCAAATTACATTCTTCTCGAGGGTCCCTAGAAATGGATACCCCTGGCTTTGGGCTAAGTACTAGCCAGTAACTTACATGAAGCTCAGACAACTTTGTAGTAATTCTTCCACCTGTCTGACTCAATAGCAGTCTTCAGAGGATATTTTTTATCTATGACAGTTGCAGCTTTCAATCCTAGATTGGATTTCTCCCTCTCCTCCCAGAAGATGTTTTAGTGATGTTCCAGCTTTAGCATATGATTGGTAAGGCCTTGAAATAAATCCCCAGCTAACAGAAAGGCATGGTAGGGCAGGTGTAGAAAAGGACGTTAACATTCACTACTAAATCTAATATCCTGCTAACACTGTTTTTCGGAAAACAGGCATTTGTTCTTCATTTCTTCATTCTTTCTAAGTTTCTTAACTCTCTTCTCTTTTTATTGTCATTTCTTTATGGAAATAATTAATCAGGTCTTCTATCACTATTCTGAAGTTTGTGATGTCTGGTTGCTGTCTGTCAGAGAATTGATTTTTACATCCGAGGTAGTACAGTCGGTGCCATGAACTTCACGGGGTGTGGTTGTCCTCATTGACAAGAACTTACTGTGACCTTGAGCAAATGCCTCTCCTGCCAGGGCCTTAGTTTTCATCATCATAAAAAAACCTAGTTTGTCCTTCAGCCATCTAACAGGTAAATAAGAGACTGGTAAATCAAACTTGAGAATTTTGAACAAATGAGAACACATAGAGTGAAAAAAAAACACAATTATATTCAAAGCAATGATCAATGAGTGAAAGTTTATAGAGAAAAGCAAAGGCAATGCAGAACCAGAAATGTTAGGGAAATGGGAAAGCAGACAGAAGAGATGAGATGCATTGAGAAAGGAGGAAAAAGAAAGGAGAAAGAAAACAAGTGGGTGAGAGTATGCATAGGAGAGGAACAGACAAGAATGAGAAGCAAGACTTTCTGCAGCAGAAACTTTTGGAGCTCCTTGGGCTGGTGGAAACTCTCTTGGTCACAGAGTGACAGATAGCTTGGCCAATGTGCCACATATGACCAGATAACACCAATTCTTCTGGTGCTTCAATTAACTGGCTTCTTTAGGGCTATGCACGAGTGAGAGTTGCCAGGCCAATTGTACCAATTTAAAATGCCTCCTTAGGGACCACCCTGAATTTCTGATATTCTGAAGAGAGGCATTAGATAAAGGCAGGGGTGGTATCTTCTGAAGATTCCATAAAAATTCTGATCACTTGCCTGAGAGTTCTCAAAGTTTTTCATTAACTTTAGTGCAGATCCAACAATAAGTCTGGGCAGTAAGATTGGAGATGCTGAGTATACGATGGGCCTTGCCTTTTTCCAAAATCACAACCTGGGAAGCAAGTTTAGATGTATGACAAAGGTAGAAGACTTTGTGTATGCATGTGTGTGTGAATATGCATGCATGCACACTCATAAACGTGTTTTTAATTAAAAACTAAAAGAAGAGAGCATTATGCATTTGAGAAATCCGGGGTATCTTCAGGGAGGAGGCATAACATTAGAAGAATACGGACAGCTGAAACAGATGCAGAGACATGAGGTGGGACATTCCTCCAGATGAGAAAGGTAGGAATAAGCTCAAAGGCATGAAAAGCCATGGTATGCACAGATGACAGTTGGGAAACCTTAATTATATCAAAATTGAGTAAAAAGTTTCAGATAAGGAAAGGCTTTACATATCAGGATGAAAGATTGGAGTCCTGAGCACACAGGCTAAAAGCAGCCTGTGATTTGATGCTGGATCCAAAGCTGGAGAGCATGCCTCTTCTTTCTTAGTACAGTTTGCTTTGCTGTACTAAGCTGGAGTATTCAAAGTTGGAGAGCATGCATTTTCTCTCAGTATAGTTTGCTTTGCATTTCACAAACAGTTTGCAATTCATTTCTGCTTTAATTGTAGAAAAGGTCCTTTCTTTGAGTATAGATTAACATTATGTGTTCAACTCTATTGATTTTGAAATCTGTGGGTGACAGCTACTCAGACTCTAAGTTGTGAATTTTTTAGATTTAGTCAATTATACTCTATCAGCGAGGACTGTATTCAGCTGCAAGTAATACAAAACTTGATTATGGATGCTTATTATGCAAATATAGTTGAATTTTTCTCACACAACAAAATATCTAGAGTTAAACAGGTACAGAGTCGGTGGTTTAGTGATGTCGGGATTGAATTCTCGTGATTCTCTTAGCTTTTCCATTATTGTTTCAAGCTGGCATTAGCCATTATATCTGCATTCAAGTCAGAAAGAAAAGAGAAAGGAGAATGCCAAGATTGGGCCAAGAAGTCTTGCTTCCTCCTTAGTCAAAGAGAAAGCTGGAAAAGGTGGCTTTTGGCTTCCTGCCAATTCAAATTATAAACCTTTCATCTAAGGTTTATAATTTCAAATAACTTTATAAATATTCACATTTTCCGTTGTGTATCTATTTTTTGGTGAAGCACTGTAATGCCAAATATAAGATTTCTTCCAAGTAGCTGACCAGTTTTCCTATACCCTGTCTTCCCAGCAGTTTTCTGTTTTCAGTCATGATGGTGATTATCATCATCTTTCTAATTGTCAACATTTAATTGTGCTGTTGACACATGGGGTCTCTATATCTATCTCTCATTTTTACAATACTTCAAAGTAGTTATTGTTATCCCCTTTTTTACAAATAAGGAAGCTAAGGCTCAGATAAAAGTAAAATGACTTGTACAAGGCCACTTAGCTGGAAGGTGGCAGAATGAATTCAAACCTACTTTTGTCCATTCCAAAGCCTGTTTTGTTTTGCTTTGTTTTCAGAAGACTGTGCTGATTTTCCTGTGCCATTTAAGGAAGTTTGTATTTGTTTACTTCCCAGATCCTGTTTGGGAAAACTATAACCATGAATTCAGGTATCATTCATACACTAACTCAAATTTGGGTAATGACTATAAAGGGCCAACTCCAAAGATTGCAAAAATTGAAGCTATGCTAGATGAGTCTTTCCTCAATCATTAGGCAGATGATAATGACTAGAGTTTTAATAACTTTAACTATTCTCCCTATCCTCTGTTCCTAGCTGCTTTGTTCTAAAGGTACAGTTTTTATTCATGACAAGATTCTCCATGTCCACCTTTGATTTGCCTCTTGTTTTGAAAGGACTGGCCAAATGTGTTTCTGTCAGTGAACTGCCATGGTATAGCTGAAGCAGTGGTGCTCAACACTGATTATGCATTTGAATGACCTTGGAAGCTTGAAAAACTATGAAAACCTGTGCCAATCCACAGAGATTCTGGTTTAATTGGTGTGGAGTGCGACTGAGGCATCAATGTTTTCCTTTTTGTTGTTGTTGTGGTCGTTGTTTTGCTTATTATTTTTTTTAGCTCCCTGCGTGATTTTAATGCTCAGCTTGAGTAGAAAACCACTGGCCTGGATGATTAATAAGGGTACTAATGGAGGGAAGGAAAGAGAGAGAGCTCCAGAGTGAGTGGCCCTCAAACCTTTTGGTCTATAGACCATTTTATGGGGGTGTTGAAGGAAATAGGTATCTTCAGAATTAGTAGAGATAATTGTATTGCTGTTGATGAGACACCAGTGAGTGAAAGGATAAGTAAATGAGTAATCAGAGGGAAGTTTTGTGCAGAGAGTAACTTCACTGTGTGTTTCCATGACACTTTTATGGTTTTTAAAGTACCATCATCAAAATTTACCAATGGGAAAAAAATGAAGACCCTTTGGGAATAAAAACCTTAAAAAGACTATGTTTTAGTTAGTGGCAAACTTGAATTAGACCTTCAGTCTGCTAGGATCTAGTCCCGGTTCTTTCTCTTTTATTCTGGAAATCCTGGAGGACACCCCCATGTGGTGACCACCCTCTATGGACATTTCTGAGAGATCTCACTGAATGCACAGGTTTGTATTCTGGGGGAAGAATAATCAATTTGACTTGGTCCCCAGATTTCATTCTGCATGCTCTCTGTTCTGCATATTTTTCTCAGAGCATTGAGAGAAGGCAGTTGTGTGCTTTAACACAACGCTGTGCTAGTGTAGATGCTTGCTGTGGCTACTTCCAATGCTCTAGGCCTGATGCATTTCCTTTTTGTTTGGTGGCAGATGCCCCTTTGTTTCCCAAAACTCATTTCTTACACTTTGTTTTTCCGTTTTAAAGTTTGATCCATCTGAAATCTATACATTATTTCACAGACATCGGTGGCTTTTTTCCATGTTAAATTATTTAATGGCATTGTTTTATTGAAGGCTTCAGATTAGGTGCTGATACTTATTGGCAGAAAGAAACAGGTCTTCCCATTGGGATAAAACATATTTTTTTATTAGAGAAAAGAACAACTAAATTGAATTTCTGTCTTTTAAATCTTAGCTGTGGCAAATGAAAACATCTGGTGCTTTCAATGACAACTTACCTTTGTATCAAATTAAGCATCATTCACCCAACATATTTCCCCTGCTTTTCCCCCTCCTTCTCCTTGTTTCCTTTAGCTTTCTCCTCCTCCTCCACTTCTTCTGCTTTCATTCCTTTATCATTTCCCTCTCTCCTGCATTTGATCTCTCTCCCACATCTTTCCCTCCAACTCTCTTCCTCTTTCTTTCCGTAGCTCCACCCCTCCTCTCTTATTTCATTCATTGTTTTCTTTTTTCTCTACCCTGACTTCCCCCTCCTTTGCCTTTTCTAACTTACTCTATTTTGGTTGACTTATCTTCTCATCTTCCTAGCCGTTATTCCTCTAGGCTTGAAAGTTTAAATTCCAAATGCCACTTGTCTTCTGGAGTGAATAAATCAGGGGATCTGAGAGGAAGGAGGAAAAAAAAATTGAGGTTTGATTTTAGCTGTCTTTCTTCCTTTGCCAAGTACTTTCCTTGGGAATTTTACAGACACGAATGGAAAGAATATAAACTTTGCCTTGTTTTACTACGTGGGTGAGGAAATGGAGGCGGGGAGGCCAGCAGCTATCTGGGTGCTCCTTGCCTCTCCAAGGCTGTGGTGTAGAAGTATGTAAGTGCATTTGGGCACTTGTTCACCTAGGGTCCTTTCTAGAGATCTGATCTGCCTGGAATTCCATGCATTGCATTGCTATAGCACACCTTTATGTATTTGCCAAAATAATTTCATAGCTACAATTTGATATTTGTCTTCATGATAATTCCTCTTCATAGCACATTCCCATTTTTTTTAGTTTTGGTCATTGGCCTAAGCATTGGATGAAGCGATTCTCAGCTGTTTGAAAGGAGAGAAGTGCTATGTACTGAAGAGCCTGGAAACTGGGAATAAAAATTAGCAGTGATATCCAGAGACTGAAAATTGGGGGTAAAAATTGGCAGTCTGGAATAGCATCTTTTTGATGCCAAGTTTAAATGGGGCCAGATGAGTCGGGGCAAAGCTGAGGGGTCTGCAACATGCTGCCCAGCAAAGAGGGGAGGAGGAGTGGAAAGGAGAGATCAGGAAGAATTTTCTCAAATATCATTATAATACCAGAGGCTCCTAGAGCCACCTGGGTGTACTTGAAGTTGTGAAAGGATAGCTTGGGCCAGGCACTTTGGGAGGCCAAGGCAGGTGGATCACGTGGTCGGGAGTTCAAGACCAGCCTGGCCAACATAGTGAAACCCCATTGCTATTAAAAATACAAAAATTAGTTGGGTGTGGTGGTGCATGCCTGCAGTCCCAGCTACTTGGGAGGCTGAGGCAGGAGAATTGCTTGAACCTGGGAGGCAGACGTCACAGTGAGCCAAGATCGTGCCACTGTACTCCAGCCTGGGCAACAGGACGAGACTGTCTCAAAAATTAAATTAAATTAAAGAAAAAGGGGAGCTTGGTGAAGGACAACCAGGCAAGGCTACCTCCTATTGTGGGGGTGTGTGTATCCTGAGCAAAGGTGCCTGGCAGCGGCTAAGCAGGGACTGAATGCCAGACACTATGGCTCTCTAAGGTGGGCTACAGCCCTGGAAGCGGAGGGTCTTTGTCTTGGCAAAAGGGTCATATGGGCTTCCCTATCCAGGCCCATTTTGAACAACCAGGGTCTCCTAATTAGTAAGAGCGAGGCTCAAGGCCAGGGACCAAGATCCCAGACTCTGAGATCACCCTCAAGTGTTTCTTCCACCTGCTACTGCCCACTAGGCATCATAGAGTAATTATAAAAAGGATGAAAGGCCAAGAACCTATGTTCTTCTTTCAAAACTGTTTGAAGAGACTTCCTCAGAAATTTCTTTTAGATAAAGCAGGCGTTTTCTCTACCTGATTTAGCCAAATCGTTTTTGACCACACTGTGCTAAAGACAGCGCTTGACTGCTAGGCTACAAGTGTTTCACTAGGATTGCTCAGAATTTGCTTAGCCAGGGGTGTAGTAATTGGACTCAATTATTCATTCCCAACAAATGAGCCGAGTGACTGGGAGTACATGGGGTAGACTTGGTGGGTCACTGCCTCAGAATTGACAGGCAAGACAACTGAAAAGATTCTTGGATGTAAGGAGAAATAGGAGTATTTCAGGGAAGGATGTGTGGTGTTTGTTTTGAAACCCTCATCTATCTAGACTTAGAGGAAAAAAGAGGAACTGGGAAGAGATGAGCTGAGAACATTCCACATGGTATGTCTGTTTAGCACAATGAATTGTAGTCAGATTTACAGCTGAAAAATAAGCTTACTTCAAATATTGATTTGGATGCTGGAATTAGGAGATCTGTGACCCACTAGCTGGATCCTCTCTGTAAATATTAGGTTTCTCATCTGTAATATAACATGTACTGTGTGCATGGAGCTACAGTGGTGAGGTGGGGATGATACCTACTCTGGCTCCTTGCTGAGGCATCAAGAAGCCCAATCGAGAAAATGCATACGAAAGATCATTGCAAAATGTAGCAAATTGCTGTGCAAATAGAGGCATTTTTATAGCTTTTTAATTTTTTTTGTTCCTTGTCTCTTTTCTAAGCCTTCTCCTCCTGTGTCCTCTCTTCTATGTTCAACATTTTCCCGTTTCATGTAGAGCTACATCTGTCTGTGAGAAGTGAGTCACAAACAGATCATAGAGCTCTCATAGACCTCTTAGCTCATCAGGAGAAAGAAATGTTAGGACCATTTGGACCAGCATCATTTATGTGAGGGACTGCAGAGGAACGTTGTGCATTCATTTATATGTAAACTCATTTATCAGATATTTACAGAGGACCCATTGTATTATAGGAATTGCACTAGAGATGCAGGATGTGGTAAATAATATATAGTCATCCTCATGGAGATGTCAGTCCACCACTTTCTGGAAAGTCTTCCTGGAAAAAAAAGTAGTCATATATCCTCCAAAAGTCTAGAAATTTGGGAAACTATAAGGCATCTTCTAAGCAGAATAAGTGTGTTGTTTTGAAGGGATAGATTTCACCTCCCTGGATGTAAAAATGACTACCTGTGTTGGAAGTGCTTTTTGTATTTTTTGCCTTTGTTTTCCTTTCTCTGCCAGGAAGCAGAAGACTGATAACTTATGCATCTTGGGAGTGAACTTATAATTTAAAAAATTTTCTTTGGAAGTCAGTCAGCCACTGGGTTGGGTAAAATTGTTGCCAAAAAGCTAACCAGGTTATAAGCTACTTAATTACATGGTCAACCAAAAAAGGAAAAGGTTAGAGTATGTGTGAGGCCAGACAGGAAGGAAGTTGGGTGAATGGCATGAAGAAGGAAAAACTATGAAATACCAGGTGAGGCAGGACGTGTAAAAAATGAGAGGAGTGTGCATTAGGATATAAATATGTCTGCTGCGGCTAGGATGAGTCTTTAAAGTTACTAAACACAGTATTGAGTAAATGCCTCCTGAGCTAAATTACCATTCATAACAACTCAGAATGTGATTGTAATAATTTGTATCAAAGGGAAGAGATCATTTTTATTTACTTCATCAGAATTTCTACCCAGATTTTTCCTTCTTCTATAAATAAATTAATCAACAGCAAATTAATTCAGCAAATATCTACTGGGAACCTCTCTGTGTTAAGGGCCTTAGGGGTTTCAAAGATGCTAAAAGCCTAGGGATTTTCGAAGATGAATCAAACTTTTGGAGATCTTATTCTCAGAGAATTTATGGAATGGCAGAGTAAATATGACAAGCACAAGCATGACTCTATGGAATGTGCAAATCCATATGAGAGACATGTCTAATATTCTACGGAGGTTCAAGGAAGGCGGCGATTGCTTCAATTTGGAAGTCTCAGGGAGAAACAGGGAAGGGCGCACGAAGGAACTAACATTTGGCCAGGGAAAATATGAAATGATGAGAAAAGGAATATTTCATATAAAGAAAGCAAACTGAACCAAGCAATGCAAGGAATTGCGGCACATAAATAGCAAACTGTGAGCTGTATGGGGGCATAGGGGGAAATTAAAGTTGGAAAGGTCAGTTTGGGCTCAGTTACAAGGTGTGGAATAAGCTCAAAGTCTTAGACTGTATTTTACAGCTAATAGGGAGTCAGTGACAATTTGTGTGTGTGTGTGTATGTGTGTATGTGTGTGTGTGTATGGTAATGTTATAATAATCAGAGCCCTGTGTCGAGAATACTAGTGAAGCTATCAATGAACAGAAATTTATTGAGTATCTACGCATTGCAATGCACTGTGCTAAATACTGGTTTGGTACAAAAGAAATATATCACATAATCCCTGATTTAAAGATCCTACATTCGGATTAAGGAAACAAATGCCATATTCAAAGAAAGATAATGAACTATTGAGTTATTTTATAATTAATTAAATAGTGGCACTGTTAATCCTTATTTTGGTTTCTATTGAGTGAAATCTTGAGTCTTCTATGTTGAAATGGCTTGTTACCAGATTGTCTCTTTGCTCTCAGTGTGTAATCTATTAGCTGATTCTAAGTTGTTGTTTCTAAAAGAGGTATTATATAGTAAATTAGAGTGCTTCAAACCCACTACCCTGAGTGGATTTGTGAAGTGGATTTAAAATTTTCCGGTCTCCCTCTCTCCTCACCTGTGCCGTACATCTAGCTGAATGGAGATTCTTTGTTTTTCTCAATGATTAATTGTATCTTGTACTGTCCTAGAACCTGATATTTAATTATCCCAAAATGCTTTATGAATATAGATTATGTGTCTCCAGAATCATGTGAGTTGGCCAGGGATGTTTGTTGAGTGATTGCTTCTCTAATCAATGTAAATTTTGCCAGAGACAGGCAGTGACTTTATTGTCTGACTTTCAGCCACAGCTACATCATGAAAGTGGAACACTACCACAATGTGCCATTTATCTCAGGCCACAGCTGATGCTTTGACCAATGTCAGCTGTTAATTTTGTTTAGTTCCTTATCAGCAGGCACACATATGTGTGTGCATGCACATAAACAAACACATTGACAATACAGACGACATAAAAGAAGCTTTCTGTTTTTGTTTTTTGTTTTGTTTGTTTTATTTTATTTTTGGGCAGGACCACAAATAAATTGCTTGCCTTTTGCTGGTGGGAACCTTGAAAAAATATCTTCATCTTTGTTTTCATTAATACCATCATCACTACTATCATTATCAACATCATTATCAAAACTTTACTAAGTACTACCCATGAGTAGTGTTTGTGTTAGGACACTTTGTTCTCTATAAAAGGGAGACATTTAGAATCTGTTATGGACAGGAGATGCCATCTCTGTATCAATAGACTATTCTGACAGCAGAAGTGGCTTGCACTCCTGCCCAGCTAACTTTGCAAGATGACTAACTGGGATAAGGAGCTTAGCCTGAGGCCACAGGATATAACACGTGTAAAGTTGGGACCTATACTTTTATATGGGTTAGATCTTGTTCGCTCTGTACATGAATCCACTGGGCTAATTGCCTAGAGGCAAATAAGGACCTGAGAGTTTATGTATTAGGTGCTGATGAAGGCACTGGACATCTCAAAATAGCTTGCTCCCTTGAAACCTTTCTTCATGTATTTCCTCCTTATAGGAAGTCCTCCTCTGTCTTTTTCAGCCATAGACTAAACCAGCCTTAAAATTGGCACAGACACAGGCCCACACCTGGACATTATTAGTCTGCCCAAAAGAACTCGGTCTGTGAACCGATAAGAATTTAAATAAAATGGTTGAAAATCATATTTCTTCCCTTGCTCTAATGTTTCTACAGGTCTTTATGTTTTCTGGGTTAGCAGCCGTATTGCTTAGTATTGTTGAGTATGGAAAGGGTTTGTGAAAATGTTGTGGGCTGACAGATGTTTTGAACCTCTCTATCTCCCCAGCTGCACCAGATCTAACAGCCTGAAAGTGATTTCCCTTTATGATATTTCATACCACATTGCAAATCTAAATTGAGGCCTGTTTCCTAAATACATTTAAATATTAGCTGAATATAAAAATGTGAATACAGCCAACAATCCATGAATACGCAAATGTATTTCAAAACATTCTGCACCCTGAGAATCAGAAAATGGCATATCTGGGACAAGTGAAGATGGATACAAAAGACCAAAACAGCAACATGCCTATCTGTGTATCTAAGCGTTACTATTGTGTCTATCGCCATAGTACCTGGGCCTTTTGTTGAGAAACATTTCTGCTCCTTAATGATGATAAACTCAGGAATATGCAGAACAAGAGAGCTAATTTATAAATAACGTGAATCTCATTTATAACGGCCAGTATCAGGAGGCCATTATGTAGATGCATCCAGATCATTAAGTGGCAAGGTTGGCAACATTACAAATTCTTTATCCAGTGTGCAAAGGTTGGAAGAGAGTGGGAGAAGAGAAAAGGCATAAGAGTCAGGTGTTCTTTTTTGTTTTGGAGATCCAAAATGTGATGAGAACACCTCAGTTTCAGATTTTAGCATCTTGGTTCCTATAATGCATTGCAACACTTTGTAATCGAGGTCTTGATTTGCAGACCCGCTGATCACAGGTATACTTTCTTTCAGAAATTCATTTCTGGCAGTGAAAGAGGTATGGATAGATTGAAAAGAAAGCACATTACTATATCATGGCTTTGTCTTTATTGTGGGTTACATAAAATTTCTCATTTACATAGTTACCAAAGATGCAACAAAATCCATGCCAATACGCTTTGTAAGACATATGTTGAAAGCCATCACGGTTGTTGACTGGGACAAAGTTGAGCCCAATTTCAGAGTATTTCCTTCAACTTTTTCATAAAAAAAATTCTTGTCCTCACCCCTTTTTTTCCCGCTGAGGCTATTCTCAGTGTACGTTACAAAGAATATGAATTTTATAATCAGTCCCCAGTATAGGATAGGTGCCATAAACAGTGATTAGTTGAAAGAGTAATTTTTAGTGGGTTATGAACTACTATTTCACTTAAAAAAATAAACACCTGGCTGGGCACGGTGGCTCATGCCTGTAATCCCAGCACTTTGGGAGGCTGAGCCGGGTAGATCACCTGAGGTCGGGAGCACAAGACCAGCCTGACCAACATGGAGAAACCCCGTCTCTACTAAAAATGCAAAATTAGCCGGGCGTGGTGGTGCATGCCTGTAATCCCAGCTACTCGGGAGGCTGAGGCAGGAGAACCGCTTGAACCTGGGAGGCAGAGGTTGTGGTGAGCGGAGATTGCACCATTGCACTCTGGCCTGGGCAACAAGAGTGAAACTCTGTCTCAAGAAAAAAAGACAAACAAACAAAAACAAAAACAAAAATAAAAAAAACTACCCCCAAATCAAATGCAATTATTGAATAAATCTCACAACTTGAACTATTTTTAATTTTATGTTTCTGTATTATTTTTGATTTTTATCTCTATATTTCATTGGAGATTGTTAGCCAAATAGAAATTCACCGTAAGAGGGCTTATAATGTTTGTTTTTCTCTTTAAAGGATGAATGGGATTTTCTTTTTTAACATATTTAAAATAACTTGTAGATACTTCCATTCTCCTGACATTTATCTAACGTGGTCTGTACATGTACAGAGTCAAGAGGAGCAGATGTTCTTCGTATCTGAGAAATCCAAAAGGAAAAGTGCTGCTTTCCTTTCCGCAGCTCGCTAGATTCTATGCCAAGGTCTAGGAATATAGTAGTGAACACATGACCTGATTCTTGACCTTGCTGTGCATCAAGTCTAGGGCAGGCACAGTACCAGATTCTGTAAAAAGGTGAAAGTTTTAAAACACAGGTGTGATCTTATGAAATTGTCATTTAGAAAGGGAGAAAGGCCTATTCATAGAAACAGATAATTAGCCATGTAATGTAGTGTGTGACATGGCAGTGGAGATATCAAGCACTACCAGTCCTCAGAAGAAGATATTTCATAATGAGACTTTCAAAGAAGACTCTATGGGAGAGGAAGGGACCGACTTGGATGTTGGGGAAGATTTTGTTTGATGAATAAAATGCTGTTATTTTTTGTTGTTACAATTTTTTATGGTAAAATGTTGTAGTGGATGGCCAATCTCGTGCAATGGATGGGGGCAAGTTTCAGTAATGTGTATTCAGAGGGTATTATGCAGCTCAACGCAAATGGAACAGAATTTATGTGGGAGGACAGTGTGAAAAAAGTTTGCCTGACTAGTTTGAGCTAGATGATCAAGGGCTTTGAATCTCCTGTTAAGAAGTTTATACCATGCAGACTATAGGAGTCCATTAAAAGTTTGTCTGAGTAAAATAAAATTAAATGATTCAGGCTTATGTATTGAAGAGCTAATAGGAATCTTGTGAGACCATCACCTTCTAGCCTATGTCCTCATATAACAAAGTATTATACCAACCAGGATAGATAGCATTTCTTCTGGAGCATTCTAATTCCCTAGCCAAGTAGATTACTATGTTCTTTCAATTAAGATGTGGACTCTTTGCAATCCCACTTGAACAGATCACATTTTCAAGAATCAGGGCCTAGCCATGTTTATCTTGGACCATTTATGGGGTATCTTTGATTACCTCAGACACTTGAAAGCCTGGCGTTTGTCAGAGGTTGATATACTGGTCACCCTGCTGAATTTCAGCACATTTTATAATTGCAATACAGGAAGATGAAATGAAGTAATAACACTCCACTTTCTCACATGACACTCTTTCTTACCCATCTGCTCTGATGTCTCTGTAACAATATTATGAAGTTCTATTTGACATGATGATCCAATGATGATCAGGGTGATTCTTACTGCAGTGATTTTAGTCTTATCTCCTGCATGCCTTTTTCCTTCCAGACACTGTGCAAGTTAAAGCAAGGTAAGCATTATTTCCTTTTTAAAGTACATTAAGGATGGGTAGTGGGCAGCCAAGGGGATAAATTAATTGTCTGCTTAATGCAGCTGAGTGCATTATCTTACTCACAAGTGGAAATCTTTAACTCTCAGGTAGCAGCACAATGGGAAAAACCAACCATGTACTTCTTCGAGATTCAACATATGCAGAAGTGGGGCAATCAGGGAGGCCTTGGACAAAAGGGAAATGTGGACATTTGTTGAGACAGAACATGGACCATGTTTGAGACTGTTTGGTACTTACTTCTTTTTATTTCGATAGCTATATCTTTGGCTATTTTCTGGCTCAGAGGTGAGCTGCACTCACTGTTCTCCAAGATACTCATTCAGTTTTACCAGGCAGGTCTCTGTGATCCTTAGAATTTGCAGCATATTTTCCAGCAGAAGCGCTGATATCCTCACCTAGAATACCTTCTCCTAAGTTCTTGCTCTATGTATGTCCCACCCATTCTTGAAGCTCTGCCCTCTCCAGGACACTTTTCTGTGTCTGTGCTAACCCCCTCGCTCATTGGTTTCTCCCCTTAACCACCCACAGTGGCTAAGGTCCTGCCGCGCCATCTGCAATTGCATTTTATATGCTTGTTCTCATTTCTGGCTGCTCAAAAGAATCACCCATGCAAGAATCTTTTTATTTTTTATTTTTATTTTTTAATTTTGAGTCATTGGCTTTCAACTTCACTCCACATCAGAATTAGCTGTGGAATTTGCAAAAATAGAGAAGCTGCACCTAGAGATTGGGATTGTCGGTGGCCTGATCTGCACTTGTATGAAGTCTTGCAGGTGATTCAAAGGCATAGTTAAGGTTCAGAAATTTTGTTTTGATATGTTTTGCATCATTGCCTATTTTTGTTTTATGTGAGTCAATCTCTTTTTTTGTAACTAGATTAGGAGGCACTGCAGTGATGGTGGAGAATTTTCTCTCACAGCATTTGCATTATCAATAGTATAGTATATTGCTTTGGTTAATACATTTTTGCAGAGATTCTGGGAGAAGATATGGCTCTGACCCCAGAAATGCTTCTCTAGGGTGGTTATCAAGCAATTCTTATCAGGACAGACATGCAAAGACGCCCCCTTTTCCCCCAGCTCTCTCAGGACACACACAAGCTCGTGTGCGCGCACACACACACACACATCAAGAGAACATTGTTTTATTAGCAGCAGAAGCCTGAAGGCATTTTTAGATATTTTTATTTGAGAATACAGAATTTATACGCATGACAATAACTCCTGATGAAAATTAAAATCTAGGATGATCTGATCTTTGAATCTACATCTAGCCCTGGTTGTTTGAGATTTACTTCAGAAAAAGGTGGAATTTCAGATTCTTACCTGAATCTCGGAATAGACCAAAAGGAGGCAAACAGCAATGGGTGTAGCCTGTTCTTCAAGCGCTTCTACCCCTATGGATTCTGAAAAGAATTGAAATCAGGTGGCGGAAAATTTCACCTTCCCCCACACGCGCCTTGGTCTTCCCTTTCTATTGCTGTGGGTTGTTTTGTTTCTTCTCATAGTGGGAGAGCATTGCTGTGTACTTCTGTATATGATCTGGAAACCCACTGATTTAGGGAGTGGCGATAAAGATGCAGCCACCTTTGGAATAAGGGCAGGGGACCGTTCTTACAATCTCTTCTGCAACCAGGCTGGTCAGGTGAGCATGGACATGCCACCTCCTGGTCAGAAAGAGGAGCCCTTATTTTCCTGTAACAGGATCCCTTTCGCCCTAGAAAGTGGAACCAGGTGTTTTTCCAAACACTGCCTTCTGATAACAGTGCCCCCTGACCTCCTCCTAGACTCCCAAGAGTCCATCCACTATCCCCTCCTCTTTGAGCTTTGCTGTTCTGAGGATTTGTTAGTCTGGGCTCCAAGAAGTGAGAAGGGCAAAGCAGCAGCATTTGAAAGGCTTTGCCCTTGACTTGCTTTTAGGTCAGAGAGTCTGCTTGTTTGGCTAAGCTACTTTTAGGCCTCCTTCCTTCTTCCCCCTTGGCATGGAGGGTAGGCCTATTTTCACATATGCGCTCAGACATGCAGAAACAAACGCCAAAATGAATTAACTGGAATAGCCCTATTAATTTATGCTTTGACAGTAATGACCTTAAGACACAGAAGAATTATATATTAATTTGTTTCTAGTATATAGCACTGCTAAGTTAACACATTTAGGAGAATCCACTTCCCTGTCTCCAGCTGTGAGGGTAAATGAGGCCGACTGTGGCTGGAAGAGGTGTTCATTTGGGCAGTGCCCCACTAGATGGCAGGGTGGCTTCAGGGATGGACCCACTGCTGGCGGCTGCAAAACACCTTGTTTGCAGTCATTATTTGACACACTCAAAAATCGACAATTTTTCTCATGTTGTTCATTTGGAAATTATATTTAAACTTATTTATTTACATGAGCACATACATAACATGTATATTTACAAACAAATATGCCTACACTGTCCAAGATAAGGGTGTTTAAGAAACAATGCTTTCCCTCCACCAGCCTGGCTGACTTCTCTGAGACTGCATCCTTCTGCAGACCCCCAGTGGCTCCACACCAGGGCACACACCACCACCCAGCCTTATTGAGGCTGGGAAGGGGAGGGATGATTTTTGAAAGTCAAAGGGCATAATCCCTTCCAGGAGGGAAACTGTTTTTAACACATGGTTTGGTCAGTTAGGGGAACTCAGGAAAAAAAAAAATAAAGTGGAACAATAAGCATTTTACATTCATGCCCTCCCTCAGAGGGAAGATTAAAAGTAAAACCAGATTAGAGACTTGAATTTTATTCAAATCCTTTCTCCTCTTTCCTCTCCCTTGTTCTCTAATCTCTCCTATTCTTTTGCCTTCCTGTCTCTCCTGTCTTTGTTCCTATTTCTGTCAAATCTCCCTCCTCTTTCTTTTCCCTTTTCTCCTCAGTCTGAATTTCCACATCTCCCCTTTCTCGGTCTTCATTCTCTCGGAATTTGATGCTGTTGAGCTGCCTCTGATCCTGCATCCCTTTATGCAGCCCTTTCCTGTTAATGAATTGTTAAAATTTCATAGGGTTCAGTGACTGTGCTTTTCTCTGCTCCTGGACACTGCAGCTCGCAAGCTGCTTTCCCTCGGAACAGAAAAGTCACAGCTATGAGCTGGCTGACTACTCCTTGTCTGTAAACAGTTTTCCAGGATTTACACATTCAGTATGCAGGAAGGTCTTTCATTTGTTTGTTTGTTTGTTTTCCTTATTCAAGTTTAAGCAGGATTAGAATTTCAGTTAATGAAGGCTTCTGAAAAATGGTGACTCCATTCATGGCAGAGAAAAGTGAGATTCTAGCAGTCTTCCAAGATGCCTGGATTCTGCAGTTTTCTGCAGTGGAAAGATCTTAGGAAATCAGTGCAAGCCGAGGACTGTTTGACTACATTTTCAGAACGAGATTCTTTGTAGCACCTTCTGCCTCAGTTGCCTAGCAGGCAATCCTGTACCAAAAATTGTAGCTTTTAATGTATTTTCTTTTCAGATAAAATTAAAGTTACCTTCTTGATTGTTCTTTAGTCTAATTACACCCACAGGTTTTTGTGGTTGAATGTGCCATCTTCTCTTTTGGTTGGAGGATTCTTGCCTTAGGAATAATGTGTGGGTAGAAAAAAATAAAACACAAAACTCCCCAATAAATTGCAATCTAGATTAAAAGTGATCTTCTGCCTTAAAATCTACATATAAAATATGTAGGCAATTATATGCAGTTCCGTATCATGTGCAAATATGGTTATGACCCACTTCGATATTTTACATAAAGGTGTGTATTCTTCCGGAAAATTATGTTGTCTTCACATCTCTGACCCACTACAAGTTTTACATTTTACTAATAATATCAACTAAATGTTATTCCTCCCTTTATTACTTTGCAAAATTGTTGTTGATAGTCATTAATATATCTCAGGCACTTGAGATTCCGAAGTTCTTTCAAAAATTTCTGGCAAAGTTATATTAATTGGAGTTTCTTTGTTAAATATCTTAAATTTCTAATAATAGGAAAGCTATACATAGTATGCACATTATTTTCATTCGTAAAGAAATACTGCTTACACAGAACATCCTATTCTTTAAAGATGTTGGGTAACTCGATATTTAATATCCTCCCATCTCTTTTATTTTCCATTCTTTAACTTCCTTTTGTCCTGACTTTTCTCTTTACGTCTTTTCTATTCGTCACTGTGGTTCTTAATGAGAAATTTATGTCAGCAGTTTATCAAATAAAAAAGGAGAACCAGTGAATTTCCTTTTTCATCTTAGCATTTTCTTCAAACTAGAGATGCTGACCATTTGGAAACTGGTAGATAGGTGCTGACATTTTGTAAATTTGTGCCCTTACCATAAACCTCAACGAAGTCCTCTAGATTATTCCAGGGAAATCTTTCTTCTAAGCCAATACTGGACACATTTAGAGATCTAAGAAAAAATAAATTGTTCTCCTTCTGGTCTACTGTGGCACGCTTCCTGTTAGGAGAATAATTGAGCAGTTTATTTTAATCAGGAGCTCTTTTCAGAGCGGGGTGCTGGAGAGGGTTAATTGCTAGGGTGAAACAACTATGGGAGTTCAGCTTACTGGGGTGCTAATTGGGTAATAGGTGAACATAAATAGTGTGGAGAAACAGGAAATCAGAACATAGGAGGGAAAATGTAGATGTTAAGTTCCACAACCCTTATAAATGTAGTTAAGTCATAGGTGCTGCAAACCAGGTAGCAAGCTGTTTTCCTTTTGAAAATTTCAGGCTGCACGGCTTTGGCCACAATAGGCTAGGGAGGGAAAGGGAGGTGAGTTTCCTATTGAGTAAATAACCTTAGCTGGATCAGACAGTGTGGTTTTGGGTCTTCAGCATCATTGACGTGTGTTCAGGTAAAGCAGCTGTCTGTGAAGCTGGGCTTACTCTCAGTTATGGCATGACCGGAAGGCTCCAAGATGACCCCTTTCTGTATCTACTGAGAGTTTGTGCATCTTTTAATGGGCTTCAAAGCTGTTCAACTCGCAAATGAAAGTTAGGTTGAAATCATGAACATTTTTGGAAAAAAAAAACGTGGTGAATTGTTTCCACTTTTAAGTGTACTGAATTGAGAGCAAATCTCTTCAAGACCAGTTTAGAAGGAAAAAAGAAACTAGAATAGTGATCCGCAATCTTGGCTCCAAGCGAGAATCACCTAGGGAATGTTTATAACTCCCTGTGCTTAGGCCAGGCGTGGTGGCTCACGCCTGTAATTCCAGCACTTTGGGAGGCCGAGGCGGGTGGATCACGAGGTCAGCAGATCCAGACCATCCTGGCTAACACAGTGAAACCCCGTCTCTACTAAAAATACAAAAAATTACCTGGGCGCGGTGGCGGGCGCCTGTAGTCCCAACTACTCAGGAGGCTGAGGCAGGAGAATGGCGTGAACCCAGGAGGCGGAGCTTGCAGTGAGCCGAGATCACGCCACTGCACTCCAGCCTGGGCTACAGAGCAAGACTCCATCTGGAAAAAAAAAAAAAAAAAAAAAAAACTCCCTATGCTTCTAATAAAAGTCAGGGCCAGGTGTGGTGGCTAACGCCTGTAATCCCAACAATTCTGGAGGCCAAGGCAGGCAGATCACTTGAGCTCAGGAGTTTGAAACCTGCCTGGGCAACATGGCAGCACCTTGTCTCTATCAAAAATACAAAAAAATAAGAAATTAGCTGAGCGTGGTGGCACGTATCTGTAGTCCCAGGTACTTGGGAGGCTGGGGTGGGAGGACCGCTTTAGCCTGGGTGGCAGAGTGAGACACCGTCTCAGAAAAAAAAAAAAAAAGAATAATGGCTATCTCTTGAGAGGTTAGGTACCATCTGATCTGGGAAGGATGTCAGATGACCTACAAGATTAGTTTTGCCTGTTCTTGAACTTCATATAAATAGAATGACAAAGTATGCATATCTTTATGTGAAGCTTCTTTTGTTCAACATAATGGTTGTGAGATTTTTCCATGTGGGTCCATATCAGTAGGGATTTTATTGTTGTTGCTGCTGTCTATACATTATCCCATTTGTTCATCTATTCTCCTGTTGGTGGACATTTAGGTTGTTTCTAGTTTTTAGTTATTGTTAATGAAACTGCTGTAAATATTATTGTACATCATGTTTCTGATGGTCATATGCATTGGTCTTCCTTGGATATATAAGTGTAATTGGTGGACCATAGAGTTCTAAGACGTGTACCAATAAAGTAATATACCCAAAAGCTCATATTATATATATATTTAAAAAAACACTCCCTGTGCTCCGGCTGTGCTCATCCCAATTAAATTAGAATCTCTGAGGGTGGGACTCACACATCAGTAAACTGTAAAATACTCTGGGTGATTCTGATGTGCAGTCAAGGTTGAGAAGGATGGACTAGAGAGAAAAGCAGAGTTTAGAAGAGAGCATCTCTCCTGTAACTGTATGTGAGATATCTTGGAGGCATATCTTGGAGATATTGCACGTTTGGTTCTAGATCATCATAATAATATGAGTCACACAACTTTTGGTTTTTCAGTGCATATAAAAGTTATGTTTGGCCAGTTGCGGTGGCTCACACCTGTAACCCCAGCACTTTGGGAGGCTGAGGTAGGTGGATCACTGGAGGTTAGGAGTTCAAAATCAGCCTGACTAACATGTTGAAACCCTACCTCTACTAAAAATAAAAAAAAAAAAATTAGCCAGGTGTGGTGGCACATGCCTGTAATCCCAGCTACTCGGGATGCTGAGGCAGGAGAATCGCTTGAACTTGGGAGGTGGAGTTTGCAGTGAGCCGAGGTCACGCCATTTCACTCCAACCTGGGCATCAAAAGCAAAACTACATCAAAAAAAAAAAAGTTACGTTTACACTATACTGAAGTCTACAAAGTGGGCAATAGCATTACACCTAAAGAAACAATGTACATACCTCAATTAAAAATACTTAATTGCTAAAAAATGCTAATAATTATCTCCCTATTGCTTGTTTACCAATTAAATTCAAGTCATATTCTAAATTCTTTGCTGTCATTTCCACAATGTTCATAGCATCTTCACCAAGAGTAGATTTTATCTCAAGAAACTACTTTTTTTTTGCTCATTCATAAGAAGTAATCTTCTCTGCTCAAGATTTACCAAGAGATTTTAGCAATTCAGTCACATCTTCAAGATCCACTTTTAATTCTAGTTCTCTTGCTATTTCCCTCACATCTGTAGTTGCTTCCTTTGTTGAAGTCTTGAACCCTCAACGTCATCCATGAGGGTTGGAAGCAACTTCTTCCAAACTCCTGTTAATAACATTTTGACCTTCTCTCATAATTCATGGAGGTTCTTAATGGCATCTAGAATGCTGAATTTTTTCCAGAAGGTTTTCCATTTGCTTTGCCTATATCCATCAGAAGAAAGATTATCCATGACAACTATAGTCTTATAAAATATATTTCTTAAATAATAAGACTTGAAAGTCTTCTTGATCTTTGGGGTATAGAATAAACACGTTAACAGGCATGAAAACAACATTAATCCCCTTGTACATATCCATCAGAGTTCTTGAATGGCAAGGTGCCCTGTGACTGAAAAGTAATACTTTGAAAGGAATCTTTTATTTTAAGCAGTAGATTTCAACAGTAGGCTTGAAATATTCAGTAAACCATGGCATAAACTGAGCAGCTGTCATTCAGGCTTTGTTCCATTTACAGGGCACGAGCTGGGTAGATTTAGCATAATTCTTAAGGGCCCTAGGATTTTTGCAATGGTAAAAAAGCACCAACTTCAACTTAGGTTACCAGCTACATTAGCCCCTACTACTAGAGTTAGCCTGTTCTTTGAAACTTTGGAGCCAGCCATTGACTTCTTTTCTTTTCTTTCTTTTTTTTTCTCTCACTCCATCGTCCAGGCTGGAGTACAATGGTGCGATCTTGGCTCACTGCAACCTCCGCCTCCTGGGTTTAAGCAATTCTCTGTCTCAGCTTCCCGAGTAGCTGTGATTACAGGTGCCTGCCACCAAGCCTGGCTCTTTTTTTTTTTTTTTTTTTTTTGTATTTTTAGTAGAGAAGGGGTTTCACCATCTTGGCCAGGCTGGTCTTGAACTCCTGACCTCATGATCCACCTGCCTCGACCTCCCAAAGTGCTGGGATTACAGGCGTGAGCCACCATGCCCGGTCAACTTTTTCTTTATAACCGTGAAAATCCTAGACAGAGTCTTCTTCCCACAGAATGCTGTTTTGTCTACACTGAAAATATGTTGTTTGGTGTAGCCACCTTCATTAATTTAGCTAGATCTTCTGGATAACTTGTTGCAGCTTCTACATCAGCACTTACTGCTTCATCTTGCACTTTTATGTTATGGAGATGGCTTCTTTCCTTAAACCTCATGAACCAACCTCCGCTAGTTTCAGACACTTTTTTTCTGCAGCTTTCTCACCTCTCACGGCCTTCATAGAATTGAAGAGAGTTAAGGCCTTGCTCTGGATTAGGCTTCAGTTTTTGGAAATATTCTGGCTGGTTTGATCTTCTATCCAGACCACTAATACATTCTCCATGTCGGTTGTTTCTCTTTCTTATCATTTGTGTGTTCACTGGCATAGCACTTTTAATATCTTTCAATAATTTTTCTTTTTCATTCAGAACTTGGCTAACTACTTGGTGTGAAAGGTGTAACTTTCAACCTATATTGGTTTGACATGCCTTCTTCACTAAGCTTAATCATTTCTAGCTTCTGATTTTAAGTGAGAGACTTGCAACTCTTTCTTTCACTTGAATACTTAGAAGACATTGTAGGGTTATTAATTGGCCTATTTTCAATATTGCTGTGTCTCAGGGGAGAGGGAGTGAGATGGGGGAATGGCTGGTTGGTCGAACAGTCAGAATACACACACACTTATTGATTGATTATGTTTATTTTCTTGAATGGGCACAGTTCGTGGTAACATCAAAGATTACTGATCACAGATCACCATAACAGATATAATAATAATAATAAAGTTTGCCAAAATGTGACACAGAGACATAAAGTGAGCACATGCTGTTGACAAAAATAACTCTAGTAGAGGTGCTTTACACAGGGTTGCCATAAACCTTCAATTTTTTTTTAAAAAAAAAAACGCAGTATCTGTGAAGTATAATAAAGTAAAGCACAGTAAAATGAGGTATGTCTATAGTATAATTGTTTTGTGCTTTAATGTCATACTTTTGAACTCCTCTAAGGGATAAAGAGTTTGCAGGGAATGCAGACTTATTAGAAAGCAATGTAATTATTGTGCTAGTGGCTTAGGGAAAGAGTTATTTTTTAGACTAGAGTTAAGAACTGAGTAAGAAGAATCCTGGATGAGTGAGAGAGGGGACTCAGTCTCTCTTTGTTTAGAGTGAGAAGGGTGAAAATATATGAAAATGTTCTGTATTCTATACCACTGTACCTCTGAAATGTCTAATATGATCACTGGGTAATATCTCTTTACTACTCCTTCTCACCAGGAAATGCCACCCCGATTAATAAGCTCACGTCTTAGACCAGTCTGGGGTAGGTGCATTTGAACTTCAGAAAATCCATTAATTTCTCAAGGTCTCCTTCGTTTTATCTTGGGAGATTGTATTAATTTCCTATGTCTGCCAGTCACAATTTGTTTTCTTAGAAACAGTAAATTTGTTTTCTTACAATTCTGGAAGCCAAAGCCTAAAGTAAGTATCACTGGACAGAAATAAAGGTGTTGGCAAGACCATGCTCCTTCCAGTGGCTTTAGAGAGAATCTGTTCCTTGCTTCTTCCAGTTTCTTGTGGCTGCTGGCCTTCCTTGGCTTATGGCCCCATCACTTCAATCTTCTAGGCCAGCATTTTCAAATCTCTTCCTACTCAGTCTTCACACTGCTTTCTTCTCTGGGTGTGTGTCACATCTCTTTCTGCCTATTCTTATAAGTATACATGTGATTGCCATTATGTCCCATGTGAATAGTCCAGGATAATTTTCTTTACCACAGGATAATTTAATCACATAAGGGAAGACTCTACCATATACAGTAATATTTATGAACCCCAGGGAGTAGGACCTAATATTTTTTGGGCCATTATGCAGTCCACCACAGAGGTCTATGAGTTCTCCTTGCTGCTATGCCATATAAGGCTAATGTATTTGATCATTTAGCTCAGAATTTCCTCATCTGTTAAGCAGATGCCTCCTCAGACTCTGAAACTCACCTGAACCATTTTCTTCCTCCAATTTTGCCTAAGTAATGGGAACGGAGCTTCTGGAAAGTACTGGATGTTGGGATAGTAGGGATCTTCATACCTATTAGGGGAGAGAGTAGAATGTGTGCAGGAAGAAAGGAAGGAGGGAAGGAAGGAAGGGAGGGAGAGAAGGAGGGAAAGATGAAGAAAAGGAGGGTGGGATAAAGGAAGAAGGGGAAGGAGGAAAGAAAGTAGGGAGGGAAGGGGAAGGAAATAAATTTGTACCAATGAATTTTGACAGTTAGTGGTAGTCTAAAGACTATGATTATTGCAGTCACCTGAACTTGAGGTCCCCCAAATTTATTTCTGTAACCCAGTGCATTTTTTTTTGTGGTAATTTGTGACAGCAGCCATGGAAACGAATACAATCTCTCAAGGTAAAATGAAAGAAAAAGAATAAAGTAATAATAGCTGTTTATGAACCTTCTTTTGCCAATAGTTTTAACCTAATTTCTTCTAATCCTCTTCATCTGGGCTTCCAAATAGTATTTATCATTCACTAATCTATTCATCAGCCATCCATCCATCCATCCATCCATCCATCCATCCACCCACCCACCAGAAGTCACTCGTCAAGCACTAACTCTGTGTAAAGTATGAACATACAGTATTGTGTAAGCACTGGAATACAAACATAAATTTTAGGGACCTCAAATTCAGAAGACTGCAATAAACACAGTATTTAGTGTATTATTAACTGTCATAATTCATCGTCACAAATTTCTTTTCTTCCTCTTCCTTCCCTCCTTCCCTCCTGCCTTCCAACTGTCCTCATTTTCATATTATTCCCTTGCCTAGGCAACCATGAAAAAGCATTTATTAAATATTCTTAAATTTGCATCTTTGTAGAATATACATTGTTGATTTGCATATGCAATTTTACTTTTCAAAAATGTTGTGCTATGGAATTGATAATGTTTCTCAGTTTTTAAGCTCAACATGGTGTTAAAAGATTCATCTCTTTTGCTTATATGTCCTTTTGTTGTCATTGCTTCTAATGGCACTGTAATATTCCATAATATGCCTTAACCACATTTTACTTTTTTCTACCTCTAGCTATGAAAACCTAAGTTGTCTCCTTTTCTATGCTACAATGAATATCCTTATAGGTGCCATAGACATTATGCTGAATCATAGACTATAAGTTTACTTAACTTAACGTCTCTCTGCATTCACAGTGCAAGAGGGTACTTCTTTCTCTATAGTCCCAGTAACTCTTGGTATTATCAAACATTCTAGTTTTTTTATGCAGGTAAGTGTACAGTATCTCATCATTATGATTTATATTTATTTGATTATTATTGAGCTTGAATATCCGTTCATATATTTGATAATCAGTTAGAACTAACTTCTGTAAATTATCTGTACATTTTTTGGCCACTTTTATTTAACTTTCCTGTCTTTTTATTGTTGATTTGCAGGAATATCATTCATATATACAGCTATACTATCCATTGTAGTAGCAACTAGCCATTTGTGACTATTTAAATTTAAATTAACTAAAAGTTGAATAAGATTAAAATTCAGTGCCTTACTAACATTAGCTACACTTCAAATTCTCAATAGCCACGTGTTTACTACATGGCTACCATATTGGATAGTGCAGAATATTTCCATTACCATACAAAGTTGCTTTGGACAGTGCTCTTCTAGAGATATTAGTTTCTTATTAGTTTTAGACGTGATTAATATTTTCTCCAAATCTATCAACTGCTTCTGTGATGTGGCAGATTAAAGATGGTTGCCCATTCTTTGACAATCCTCATAATAAGTATAGTGTATATCCCCTCTCCTTGGATCTGGGACTCTTTTTACCAATAGAATAGCATAGAAGTGACATTGTGCAAGTTTCTTGGTGAAAGATACACTCAACTGGCAGCTTCTACTTTCTGTCTCTTGGAGCAATCTCTCTGGGAGCCCTGGGCCTTTATGTCTGACTACTCTGAAACAACAGTGCTGGAGAAGTCACATGCAAGTGCTCTGGTTAACAGTACCAGCTGAGCCCAGTCTACCAGCAATCTCTATTCAGGCACCAGACAATTTAGAGAAGTTCTCTTGGCCAGCCTATATGCTGAGTATGACCAAATAAATTCATCCAATTAATGTGAAATCGAAGAATTATCCAGCTGAGCCCTTCTTGCATGCCTGACCCACAAAATCACGAACTACAATAAAATGTCTTTTTAACTCACTACATTTCAGGGTTCTTTTGTAATGCAGCAGCAGATAACCAGAGTATATGATAGCCTTTAAAAAACAGAAATTCTAAATTTTTAGGTAAGTAATGCAGTTTCATATGCACATGATTGTATAGCAGCTATGAATGATAGAGCCTTAGCAACAGTTAGACAGGAGTTTGGATAACGGCTCTGCCAGTTAAGAGGCGTGGGACTTTGTCAGGTTAGACATATGATTTTCACTATCTTCATCTATAAAATTTGGAAGCGAATACAACACAACACTAAGATTGGGATGAGAGAGAAATGAGATAGCAGATGTTAGGAAAGCTCATAACACAGTGCCTAACTCATGAAGGGAACACTCTAATTAAGGAATGTGCAAGGTACAGATGTAGCACAAAGGATAGATGACTGGCTCTGCTTGGCCAAGTGAGGTGAGAGAAGCTCTCAGGAAGTCTGTCAGCTAGTCTCTCAGAACTGAAGGGTTAGCTGAGTATTAGAGGTGAGACAGGAGTTTACCAGACTAACTTAAGGGTGAAATGACATCCTGGGTAGAGCAGTCATGCTGCACTAAAGCAGGCTCAACCTCATTTGTTTGTTTGCCCAAAATTTCTATAACTATATTTTTATTTTCACATTTTTTTGAAGATTATTTAATGATAGAGGAAAATGCACATCACACTGTTAAATGAACAAAACGAAGGCACAACAGCAAGGTTCCAAATCTGCTAGAAATTGTAGACATTTGTAAAGTTTAAAGAATGGAAGAAAACATCTCAAAGTATTTACCATAATTATCTCTAGGTGATCAAATCATAGGTTATTTTCTAAATTCCATCCTTACTTTTTTGGGTGTCTTGCAAATTTTTTATAAAGTATAACTACTTTTACAATAAAAAAGCCAACACATCTCAATACAAAGACATTCATTTCAAAAATGAACATTTTCAAATGTCCAAAGAAGACTCAAGTAAAGAAGGAGGTCTCTCTGTTGAAATGCTCTGCAGGGTGCATACAGTAGCTTGTGCCTGTAATCACAGCACTTTGGGAGGCCAAGTCAGGTGAATTGCTTGAGCTCAGGAGTTCCAGACCAGCCTGGGCCAAAAGATGAAACTCTGTCTCTACAAAAAATATGAAAAAAATTAGCCAGCTTTGGTGGCATGCACCTGTAGTCCCAGCTACATAGGAGGCTGAGGTAGGGGAATCACCTGAGCCCAGGAGGTCAAGTGAGCCATGACTGCACCACTGCACTCCAGGCTGGATGGCAGAGTGAGACACTCTCAAAAAAAAAGTTGTTTTTTTTTTTTTATCTCACATCTAAACTATTGGGCTCCAACAGGTTTGATACTTTCAGTAGTCTTACAATTAGAGACAGATTATCTCAAAAAATCGTGTCCAGCAAGCAGATTTTCAGCTGCTTAAGTCAGGTTTATGTTTATACTCAATTTAATGAGGACAGATGTTGTGGGATTCTCTGCCAGGGCTTTGTCTGTCTTCTACCCTCTGCTCACATGCTGAACTGTCTCTGATGCTAGGGTTTGCTAACTATGCTCAGAGATCACCCCACATGAGCTTCATATGTTGGGACTATTTTTTTAAATTCCTATATAATTCTATTTTCTTTATTGTATTATCTGCTGGTGTTAAGTTTTGTATCCTTAGAGGAATCAATACGTTTTTTTACAGCTTGACTTGTAAGTGAGTTTCTATTCTTGCCCCTGGTTCTGAGAAGAAATTCCTTTGCTTGTGGGATCCACAGGTCACCACATACATGTCAATGGTGATAGTGATCAGCCTCTCCCTTGAATCCCAGTGAGTCGGCCCTGAGCCCCATTCTTAAAGAAATATTGTATCGATCAAGGCATCTCTGCTAACAAAGCAATTTTAATCTTGGGTCTTGGTTCACAGATGGATATGATAGGATCTTAATGGATACCTGGTTGAATGCTTGAAGGCAACTTCTAAAAGTCATTCATTCTTAATTAGGTTTGCTTTTCATCATCAAATTCTTTCTCAACACTGAAATTCTGGATTCTGGAAAAATCACTGGGAATTATAGTCCTTTGGAAGATGTACTAAGCCAGATGCCCGGAAGTTTCTATATAATTTTTATTCTTTTGCTGTCCTTGGGCCTGTTACATCCCTATACTGTACTTTTAACATTTGTAGACAAAAATAAATCTATATACTTCATGGGGCTGTGATGATGTTGATGATTCTACACTGGTTATTTTTTCTCTGGCTTTTCATTTCATAAAAAATAAGGTCTTACCATCAATGCAGTGTATTTAAAGATTTCAAAAACACAAGCCCATCCTTCATTGCCACTTCCCATCTATCTTTTTCCTTATACTCTCTGGATAAGTCATTCACCAGACTCCTCACAATTTTATAATGAGATCATATATTTTTCAGTCTTAGTCCCATGTTATTCTCTTAGTCCAAAATATCCTTCACTAAGATTCAAAATCTTGGAAGCCTTTCTTGTCCAAAATCTCAGAAATGTTTTGCTCTCCAGGAAGGCTTTATAGAACTCACCATTCAGAATGACTGTCTCTCTGTTCTGTTTCCCTACTGCGTTTTGCTTTTGCATTCTTCCTAGTGCTTTGGCAACCATGCCTATAACATCATAAGATACATACATGTCTGTTTTCTTAGTTAGGTTATGAGGTTTTTGCAGACAGAAACATACATTGACATTTTTGTGCCATCTCTCAGGTTCCACCCCAGTTGCATCTATCACATTGCTGATACAGAATACCAAATGAGTTTTGAATTGAATGGGCAAGAGAGCACCTTGAAAAATAGAAAGCAATGTGCAAATCCAAGATACTTAAAATTTCTTCACCTTCTACTCAGTAACAGACTGTTTCTAATTGGCCTTCTTTCTCTGCTGATAGTCTACCCATCTTTCAGCTGGTTTGACATTTGAAGAAAGTCCATATTTTGTTGTCTTGCTCACCCAGAGAAGAATGCCACTCTTCCTGTCCCTAACCGTGTCTTAAGAAAATTCCTTTCTTTCAGCAGATTCCACCTCCCACTGCACTCACTATTCTGTAGATATTTAGGAAACTTATTAAAGGAAGAAAAAAGAAAACTTTTAGAAAAGCTTATTTTAAAAACAACCCTCTTTTTTTTTCTTTTAACCTTTGGATATATTGACGAGCCGATCAAGCTCTATATGGCAGGAAATGAATCAAACTACAAATATTGATCCAGAAGCATGTTTGTTGCTGATCAGAGATAACATTACTTGTAAAAATGTTCATTTTGGTCAATATTTATTTCTTTCTAAAGTTACACAATTATGTTTTCTTCTCTTAAACTCGATTTGTCCAATTTGCTATAATGCAATTTCCTGTACCTATGTATAATTTATTTATATGATTAGTGTATCCTCTGTGGAAACTTAAACTGATATAACTTCTTTTGAACAACATATCTGGGGCAGTTATGATGTGTTATCATCAGCTAAGGGAAATACTTTGCCCATGACTCACAAAAACAAATGTGAGCAAACAATTGCTTACAGTGATCAACTTTCATAGGGTAGTTCTAGCAAGGGCAGAGATGGACAAAATTTATGCTAATCATGTAACTAAATTATCCCAATATTAAACATAGCTAAATCTATTCTTTGGTAATAAGATAATGGTAGTTAACAAACTAAAGGATTTTAAACTATTGTTTATTATCTTTGGCGTATTACAATCATTGACTGGTTCACATAATGAATATACTGTTTATGCAGGTGATAGAGAGGCTAAATAATAATCTAGTAACAGTGAGCATAGGCAATCTTTGCTCAAAGAGCATTTACAAGGTGTCTGGGGTATGTACAATACTGTGCTTGTTGTTGAGAGAAACATAAATAAGCTAAAATGTGTTTCTGTAAAGTTTATACCAATCCATATACAGAGCCTAAAATAGCCCTGTGATATGTAATGTGCTTCAATTTTCTCACCTAACTCTATGTAAAATGAATAAAAATAAGTCCTAGGTTATTTCAGATCTGAGAAATAAGGGAAGATCTGATGGAAACAGTTGAACTTGAGATCATCTGTAAAAATGAATAGTACAGGCATGTGGAGAGGTTGTGAGAGGCCACGGCTAGAGGAGCAGTTGCAGCCTGAGCAAGTTCAGGTTGCTGGAAACAAAAACAGTGTTAAAGTGTTAGCCACGCTGATGAGAAATCAGACATGTTCATTGGGAGAAACTAGAAATAATGCCAGAAATATAGACTGGGTCCAGTTGATGGACCATCTTGTGGTAGGGTAAAAATAATAACACTATTATGAGTTTGGAGTTAGTAGAGATTATTTTCAATAACTTTCTGTGGATTTGAGCAAGTCATGTAGCTTTTGTGTGTCTCAATTGCCTCATCTATAATAGACATTAACTTTGAGAGATAACTTTAAATTATTTTTAAGTATAATAAAATGTATTTAGTTTATGATACTCCTATAATATATGTCAACTTACATGGGGAACGTAACTCTGCTAAGTGCTCACTGGTACTTTATAAATGTACTATAAACTCTATGCATTGTAGAAATACAAGTTAACATAATAATCATCACTGTTGTCATTATTATTAATAAAATTCATCAGTTGAGGAGGTGTTTTTTTTAAGTAGTAGAGAACAAATGAATTTGTTTTACAATAGGGAAGTGTCTGAAGGAAAATAACACTGTAGCAGGAGTGACTCTAAAATTTATGAGGATGTCACATTAAGGAAATATTTGTAACATATAAACAAAATAATTCACACACCTACTACATAAGAAGGTCTTATCCCTCTCAAAACAAATTGAACAAAGGACATGAACAGAAAATTCACAAAGAATTTCACGTGACTCTACTGGGCGTCTACCCAGAGGAAAAGAAGTCATTACGCGAAAAACATATTTACACACCCATGTTTATAGCAGCACAATTCGCAATTGCAAAAATATGGAACCAGCCCAAATGCCCATCAATCAACGAGTAAAGAAATAAAGAAATTGTGATATATATATATGTACACACACACATATATACATACGTATATACATATATGTGTATACAAGTATTTATATGTATATACATATGTATATATATCACAATTGTATATATGTATGTATACATGTATTTATACACAATATGTATATATGTATGTATATATGTGTATACATATATGTATGTGTATGTATATGTATATACACATATATATATGCCATGGAATACTACTCATAAGAAGGAATGAAATATTGGCATTTACAGCCACCTGGATAGAACTGGCGACCATTACTCTAAGTGAAGTAACTCAGGAATGGAAAACCAAACATCGTATGCTCTCACTCATAAGTGAGAGCTAAGCTATGAAGATGCAAAGGCATAAGAATGATACAATGGACTTTGGGGACTCGGGGGAATGGGTGGGAGTGGGGTAAGGGATAAAAGAGTAAAAATTGGGTACAGTGTACACTGCTCGGGTGATGGGTGCACCAAAATCTCAGAAATCACCACTAAATAACTTATTCATGTAACCAAACACCATCTGTTCCCCAAAAGCCTATGGAAATAAAAATTAAAAAATTTTTAAAAACAGAAAGAGGTACCAAAAAAAAAGAATTTCAAGTGACTGATACACTTAAAAATTTATGAGTCATAAAAACTTGTTTAACTTATAATGTATAATAATATAGAAAGATATGTAGAATATACAAATGCTGTTTCAAATTTAACTCCACTGTGTTGTCTATATCTACAGGAACATAATCACACATAGGCATAGAAATAAATATAGGCATGAGTGAAAGTACATTATAATGTTATAGAAAATGTGTGGATGACAGGTTTATACTCCTATTTTGTTTATTTCTTCTGAACTATCTTTTTCAGATTTTCTGAACCAACTATATATTTTGTAATAATACAAAAAATAATAAAAACTTGGTGGCATGGATAAGATCACTGGATGTGGCTCCCTAGGGAGAGGAAATTGGATCACCATGGTGAAGTTTTTATTCTGGCTTACTCTTAGGGTGCACATGAAACTCATGACTTTTGACCTACAGCAAACTCAGAGGTTTATCATCTATTGACCTGTATTTGATTTTCTATCCTAATGGGAGTTCATTTGAATTTGAACAATCAGTCTGTTATTTAACTACCTGACTCTGCCTCTTCAAAGACAAAATAATATCACTGAAGTTTGTTTTGCAGTAATTCTCTACACGTTTCAAACTTTCATGATAACGTAAAGCCTTAAAAGCACTAGAAAATATTATTGTCATTTTTTGACAATGCTGTAATGGAAATTAACTCAATGATAAAACTTATCTGTTGAATATGTACTTACTATATTTATTCGTACACTTTAATGGTCAGTTAACACTGCCTCTTGGCCAGCGTGGTCATCTGTTCAAAGAATTAAAGTTAACACAGTTCTGTTCTTCCAAACAATTGACCTTGTCCCACAATTGTTAAATTGCTACAGATAAACAAAACTATAATTTATAAAAGACTTTGTTCAATCACACCATGGTACCCATGCTTAAAAAGGGATTTTAAGGTCAGTCTCCCTGTTCAGCCCCTATGCTTCCTTAATACCCCGGGAAGGGGTAAGGACAGTTTGTGGTTAAATGTTTAACAACTGGTTTTCTCCAGAGGAAATACAAGTGCTGATTTGTAGCATTTGCCTGTTCTTGTGGTGTAAATATTGTCACCATAGCCAATTTCAAGATCCCATTGTCACTGAACATGGTTGGAAAGAGAAATGCAGTTAGCTCTCTCAAGTCAGTACGAGCCAGCTGCACCCCTAGCTACCTGCACTGCATGCTGCACTTACATCTTTCATTGTATAGATCACAATGTGTTCATTATGCCTGTCTCTTTCCAACATAAGAGGTTATGAAGTTATTAAAGGAAAGAACAATGTCTTGTTCATTTTTGTTTCCCTAGCACATCAAACAATGGTGGGCATATAGTAATATTTATTGAAAAAAAATTCTTTGAGCAATATCATTTTTGTGTTAATTAGAGAATGAATAGGGAAAACTAAAGAATTTAACAGTCTGAGCTAAAGAATTGAAAATATTTTTATACACAATACTTTGTTCGTAAGTATTCAGGCATCAGCCTTGTTTACAAAAATGCAGTAAGTACCATTTGACGAGGTAAAAATATTTAGTATTGTTATTTGGGAGCATTTGGCTTAAGAACATAAAGGAAAGGAGATAAATATAAAGACATAGTGTTAGTAAAAGAGGAATATTTCTGTGGCTAAAGCTAAATACCTGGGAAAAAAGCAATTTAGTTTCCCAATATTAATTATTGGGCCATATCCTGCTATTGATTTGAGCATGTAAAAATCAATGCTAAGATAAGGACCTTCATAATTGACAGGAGTAATTTTGAGGTATATACTCATTGACATTCAAAGAGCCAAGAGACAATGAAGACATTATGGATGAGCAAACTTTGAATTCATCTGAAGTTTTAATAACTACTTCTCAAACTTTTAAAGGAAGTGGGAAAGGGAGAGGATAACAGAAGCATATTACAATATTTTATTCCCTATTGTTTCCTGGTTTGCGATATATGTGTATACATATATATATAAAATACATATATATAAAATACATATATATACATATATTATACAAATACACACACATGTTTAACATTTAACAGTATCTTACATTCTTAAAGTGTATTTTAATTTTAGAGAATTCTTTCACATTCATGTTTGAGTCTAATTTAACCTGTGGGTTTCAAGCTATGGATAGAGGCCATGCAGGTATTTTTCTCATTTTCTTTTTTCTTTTTCTTTTCTTTTCTTTTTCTTTTTTTACAGATGAGGAATGAGAGTACAACCCTGGAGTCTGACTTTTACTTATTGCTTTCTACTTTTTACTAGAATGAATTTTCTCCCTCATGTGTGTTTGTGAGTATACTGACTTCTTGCTTGGAAAGATAAAAGTATGGAAGAATTTATGAGGGAACCCTAATAAGCTTATATCTTCTGGTGAAAAACAATCCTTTTTCCTCCTATTTGTTTCCCTTGTGCCTTCTCTTTTGGCTCATGATGACTGTCTACTTGGCAATCCAATGGGATACTTGCAGCAAGTAAACAGCATAGCCAACAAGAAAAGAAAATCCACTGGTTTAAGACTTTTTTTTTGCCTACTTGGATTATTTATCACTTCAGCTAGGTGCAGGGCACAACAAGACTTCTTTATGTAGCTCAGGACTCATCTGACTTTATCTTACCCCATATGTCAACATTCAAATAACATCCTACTTATTTTATTTCTTTGAGGGATAACATTTACAAATCTCTCAACTTCATTTTTTTCTTTTTTCATCAATCTCTAGATTTAAGCACTTCCATTTCCTTGTTATGCAAAAGAAATAACATGCAACTCTCCTTCCCTGTTTACTTAACCTTAAGCAGTGAATAAAAAATTTAAAACTAAAATATTACTATTTGTATAATCTTACCCATAATTTTTGTCTTGTACAAAGTTTTCAAAGCTGTGCTGGTATAGTGTGGTTAAAAACAAGCTGGACTCAAAGAGAAATGTGATGAGAACCTACAGGTGTTTCTTAGTCAAGGAAGACTTTGCTACAAGGAACAGAAACCCACTAAAACTGGCTCAAATAGAAAAGAACTTTAATGAAAGGCCCTAATAGGCATTGTTGCAGCTAGCAAAGTTCATAAAATTAAGTCTTGCTTAGGCATCGATGAAAGGATTGGAATAGGCAAGATGTGAGTAGAACCTGTTCGCTCAACTACTGGTGGAGCCACGTGGTCTCTGCTTCTATTAGGCCCTTTGCATCCCTAAACCGTTCTGTTACTTGTTTCACCTGGCTTACAACACTAATGGCCTGCCTACTCCCCTTAACTTCCTTCTGTGCTTCCCTTCCATTTACCTTGTTGGTTACTCTTTCTTAACAACGCAATTTCCCAATGTAAGAGCTAACTACCTTCCAACTGACTTTTGTCTAAATTCTGACAAGATACAATTTCATTGCCAGCATGATCTGGATATTCATCCCCGGGGCTAGAGTTATGAGCTGCCCTTTCCAGGTTCTCAGGAGGAGGCAACTTCCCTAAGAAGTGGGTGAGGTGGGAGATGCAATAATTTGGAAATTTTAGCACACAGGGATTAAAAGGATAGATGACAAAACTGGAAGCCCTTGAAATTGAAACCTTCTTCAGTGTACTATATTGAGAGTCATAAGTAGGGAAATAAAGTCAGTTAAGAATGAAGATAGTTTGAAAATGTATATTATTGTATTTTACCCCCTAAGAAATTAGGGCACTTTGATAGGTTTTGATTTGGGGTGTATTGCATGCAAGAAATATCCTAAGAGAGTTTTATGGGATAAATTACACCCTGGGGCAGTAGATGTTTAGAATCATAGAAGGGGAGGCCATTAGCATATCAAAATTGTATATATGGTATAACTATTATGTAAAAGGTAATTGATAACTGCATGTTGTGGCTTTTTATGTTCCCTATTTGACTCCACGTGGCAGAGGATATTTTCCCCCTCCCTCCCTCCCTCCCCACCATTGAAGAGAAATCACATTGTCTTCCTAAATGATTGTGTATAGCTTGAGTCATTTGAAAAAATAGCATACATCACATCATTTTGCCCTATATTTACTTATATGTTAAGGGTGTTTCTGTTCCCCCAGTATAGTATACATTTTTTGTGGATATGATATTGTATTTCTCCCATCTTTGTATCTTTATCATCCTTGAATTTAGTACAGTGTCTGAGACATTTTCTCAATAAATGATAATTATCTTTTCTATTCAGGGAATATTTTGCTTCCACTTAAAGAAATCTTCCAACTGAATTTAAAGAAGACCACACTGTGATTAAGAGGATGTTGGAGTGTAATAAAGATGAGAAGACAGCAAGAGATGAACCATATTTGGGGGTACTAAAACAACCTATAAGTATGGTCACAGAGCCTCTCACAGGGTGGATCTTTGGGTCTCCATGGAGAATGTAAGAGGTGGTAAAGAATGAGGGCGGGTTCTCACTCATAGGTGGAATTGAACAATGAGAACACTTGGACACAGGGTGGGGATCGTCACACCCCGGGGGCCTGTCGTGGGGTGGGGGCGGGGGACGGATAGCATTAGGAGAAACGCCTAATGTAAATGACGAGTTAATGCGTGCAGCAAACCAACATGGCACATGTATACCTATGTAACAATCCTACACGTTGTTCACATGGACCCTAGAACTTAAAGTATAATAATAAAAAAAAGAAAATTCAATTAGAAAGAATTAAATTCAAATATATAATTAAAAAAAGAATGAGGGCAGGAAGAAAATTTTTCTGGGTTGAGGAAGAGAAAAACATACATCTTTGAAACTGTGGACATCCAGCTTAGGCCAGCCCTGAGTTATCATGTAGAGGAGAGATGGGACTTACTTTCTGTGGTTCCAGCTGAAAAAAAAAATACCTAGCACTTAGGGAGATGAATTAAAGGAAGTTGAATTAACGAAGGAAGAAATTTCAAGAGGTAGAAGTACTCTGAATAAGGTTGGCTTTCAAATGAACTTATATTAACAAAAAGTATTCACATAGAAGCTAACTCTCTGAGAGAAGACATAGGGATTCTTTTATTGGTTGGAAAGTTGTACTAAACTCTGAAGACCTTTCCAAATATATTTTTTTAATGGTATCATATTTGTTGAGTTGAATCGGATCCTCATGTCCCTTTAGGATACAATCTACAAATATGGTGATGTCTATATTCCTTTGGGAAAATTCACTAATCAGATTGAATAGCTACTTCTTTGATACATTCATATGATTTTTTTTCCTCACAAAAGTCATGAACAGGAATAAAAATAACATTTTAAATCATCTTGCACCTTAAGAAAAATATTTTCAAGAGAAAGAAATGACAGGCTTGTTAAGAGTGAGGAAGGCTCCCAAGAAGATTAGCAAGTATAAATCATGCGTCAAGATCAGAAGGGTCAGTTCAATAAGGCAAGCTTTAAAAAGGTCCATTGGTCCGATCCCCAAGAGACAGGTTATGAAATGACTGATGCCAATCAAATTTCAAGTTGAAGGCTCTGTGTGTGTGAGTGTGAGTGAGTGTGTCTGTGTATTTCAACGGCTAAAATGTCAAATCAAAACCAACGTCAGTCATCATGGTGTCAGTGTGGTGGAGATGGAGTTGACATGTAGCTGGAGATTGGAGGAAGTGAAAGGTCTCTTTAAATGTTGAGAATTCATCTTAAAGAGTATTGGCAAGCAAGAGACGATTTAAGACATAGTATATAATTCTCGGCATGTTTTTGACTGGGAAAGTTCTTATGTTAATCATAAAAGAATACGCATCTATCATAATACTGAGCACCTTCCCACAAACAAGCTCTAATTGGAGGCTTCTCATTTCTCATTCATTTAAGCCAAGTATTATTCTCATCCTTTCATTTTCTCCCTCACGACTCTTTACTATTGAATGTAGTCAGCCCTTTTCAAAGTTCTCCAAAGACATAGATATCATGTCTTCATGTATTGCTTCTTCCATTTATAAGTGTTCTTATACCTCATTTCTAGTTATTTATTAAAACTTAAGATTTCAAAAAACTCAAAATGTACCATATTTTTAAAGTGTTGAAGTATCACAGCATATCATATCATGGTATATCATTCATTTCCAGCTATCTAGGCTTATTCCACTTCCTACCCCGAGCTGTCCCAAACATTCTTGTCCAAAACTCCCTCTGTTCACTTACTTGCTCCTGAGAGACAAGCTGGCACCTTCAAGAGGAATAACAAACAGCATAATTAATTTTTTCAGCATTTGTGTTGTAATATCAGTAACTTTTGAGTCTAGTACATTTCTTACAATTCTCCCATATTTCCCTCTAACATGACACTTTTGCAAAACACCACATTAAATTCCAGCTCAATCATACTAATATTTTAAAGTTAACAACAATGCTGTTGAATTTAAAATATGTGGTGTGAGGTAATAATTTAAAACATCCACTCAATGTCTTTATTTTATTCATGAGGCTTTGCCTGTTTCATTGGGACTTGATGGAGTGGGAGTTTATCAAAAAGCAGAAGCTATGACTTATTTAGCTCTGTGAGAATAGTACCTTCATAGTAGCCAGCATGTAAAAAGTACTCATACATTCATTTATTTTGTAAATATTTTTGAGCCTTATTAGCACTGTGCTAGGCACTGGGGGAACATCGGTAAAAAATAGGACAGCCTGATTGCTGCTATCCAAGGCAAGCAACCTAGTATATTGTTCAAAACAATGTGAATTTGAATACTAGTTCTACCACTTAGAATCTGTGTAACCTGAGAAAATTACTTGAGCCCCAACTTTCTAAAATCAGAAGAGAGGGGAATCTTATTGGTGGGGAGAATTTATTGAATTCATGCAAAGTGCTTTGACCCCTGTCTGACCTACTACATATTAATGATTTTATGACTATCTTTTTTTCTCCTTTTTTTTTTATTATACTTTAAGTTTTAGGGTACATGTGCACATTGTGCAGGTTACTATCTTTATGACAATTATTTTATGACCATGGGGTCTGTAAATTCTAGCCAAAGGATCTATAATTTAAAAATAACAACACGAAAGTGTGACAAAGGTTATGAGAAATATAGTATGGAGTATTATGGAAGAATCCCACAGAAGCACCTGACCTAGTCTAAGGCTCAAAATTCCTTCTATCTGTAGGAAATCAAGTTTGCTATGAGTCCTCATCAATTAATGCCACTGAATGAATGCCAATAGCAAGCTTCCATTCCTTGTGGGAAAACTTTCCAGGTTTTTCCCATTTGCTTCTCTTAATTCTTTCCCTGTTAGCAGCAATGGTGGCCATTCTGACCTTTCATACTCTTCAGAAGTTACTGCTTCATGGATGATGGGTACTGCCTCCCGCACATGTGTGTTGTTTAATTGCTGTGTGCTTCTCTCAGTTCATTTTAATTGATAGTTTGAGTGGTTTTAACGAAGCACGAGAGATGCTGCATTACATTCCACATGCGATGAAGGAAACGCTGGAAACCAGATATGGACAGCCTAAGTGTTCCAGATTAGAACAGGGCTAAAGCAAAATTATAGAATACATTTATCTTCAGTGCTGTTAGTCCTCCCTTTCCAGAACTTCATAGTAGGCAAAGACCCATGGTCCTTGTGTTTCTCTAGAGTCTCTACTGTTACTGAGAAGAACAAACTAACAGACTGTTTGAAAATACGGATTTTATTGAAAATATGGTTTTCATAGGGTGAGTATATAATTTGTTATTTAATGTAACTTTCACGAATGAAATGAATTCCTATTAATTATTATAAGACAATAGACAAACAGAGTGTCTGGGGCCAGGCAGTGTGTTTGGTCATCCTAAATTTTAAAGACTAAATATATAGCCTTTTAGAGACACTTCAGTGTACATTTAATAAGAGCTACCTCTAGATTTGAGCCCTTTTAACTCACAAATAAAAAGACCAAATGAGAAGACAATGATTCACCCAAATTGACACATCTCTAGTGATAGAATTTTAGATACTTTATTCTAGGATGTAGAAAATATTTATAGGTAGATCATATTACCAGTGCCTGTTGAATTATACACTTCATAAGTGAATCTAAACTTGGCGTATAGATAACCTTTCAGGAACACTGGGGTATGTGTGTGTCCATGGGAATATACAGCCAGAAAAGTTGGCAACTTGTTTTTATTTCAGTTCATACACACCAAGACAACCCCACAATTAGGACTAGGATCAAAGCTAAAATATAACCAGTGGTAAATAATTCATAACACGCTTCCCTTTCTCATCTCCCTTGCTTAACCCAAACTGAGACCCATTTTGTGTTCCATTGCTCCTTTGAGAAATAATCACTCACCACCTCAGCCCTTTTCCCAATTTCTGTCTTTCTGACAATGTCCGCTGTTTCAAAATACCTCATTATCTCCACTCTCCCACTGAGCCTGCAATGTGATGGCATTTGCCTTGCCTGAGGAATGAAGAGACAGTTTTTTCTCTCTCAACAATCCTGCACGTTGAGATCTGACCAGAGCATTCTCAAGCTGATTCCAAATGCATTCCCTGGAAAGGGGATAGCAGACTTGCTCATCCCCACTGTCATCGAGTGGGGGAATGTTCTGCCAGGTCTCCCGACAGATTTCCTAGTCAAAGAGAAAAGCTCTGTAGTGCTTAGAAAACAAAGCTATTTCAGGTTGCTTGGCTGTGAGCTGATAAACAAGGCCTGGGGTGAGAGATGCAAAACACACATCCACACTCACTCAGACTCTGGTCAGTTGAAGGCAGAACTGACATACTTAGCAGTCAAGCCACATTGCTTTCTTTCTGACCTGTTGGCTACATACTCAGTTGATAGCTTCCTGTTACCTATCACAAAACAATAAAAATCTTTTAAGAAGACAGCCCAAATTGCTCTAATACCTTCTTTAAAGAGAACAAAAATGCAGAAAGTTAGCCTGTAGGGACTTCATTTTTCATAGATATGCAATTTGCGGTGTTTAAATATAAGCTTTTGATTTTAGGTTGAAACGATCTTGTCAAAAATGTACATGAAAGACATTTATGCTGGGCTCTTTTCTGCTTAGGGTTATAGCTGTTCCTTTTCTCATCTTTTATCTGCAGAACACTTGACTGGCACCTGACTTCACTTTAGTAGCTGATTCAGGGTAGGATGTTTTCTGTTTTTTTCTTTCTTTCCTTCCTTCTGTCCTTTATTTCTTTTTTGGTCATGAAGAAAAATGGATTTAGGGCTGGGACTAGAGTGAGATGAGAGTGAGACAAATGCACTTGCCTCAAACACATTTAAGGGAGCACCCCAAACCCTAATAATCAAAAATCATGTTTTAATGCAATATTTTCACAAAAATCAATGCCAAAATCCAAGATGAATAAAATATCAAAAATTTAAAGTAAGACAGGATCAGTATGACTGATTTTTCCTTTTACCTCACGGACCAGTATGGCTCTGTGTGGTACCGGATGGATTGCAGTGAAAAACTGGAGAATGGGGTAACATTTCTGAGGCAAGTACACATCTATTTCTCCATCCTTTCTGGGAAGTGATTGGCCAAGGGCATCATGGATCAAAGTCAGCTGAATCATGAGCATTCACTAAGCAAGAACTCTCTTTAGCTCTCAGATACCACCATCACATAAAATGGCCCTGAAGGTACAGTTTTGACTTAAGTCTGAAGGGAGACCTGAGAAAAGGCAAACTGGTTAGACAAAAGATTACACATCTGAATGGATCTACTCACTGGATGGGTAGGAAGGGAGGAAGGAATAGGCAGTTAGACTACGGAGGAGATCGTGCTATTGTGGATGGTGTCATGGTATGACATAGACATAGACTAGTGTTTATGCACAATACCCTTGGCAGTGCTTCTGTTGGTTTCCCAGGAAGGATACTGGAAAGGAATCATAAATTGCATTAGACCTTAGACAAGTTACTTAGCCTGCCTGTGGTTCAGTATTGTTATCTGAAAAACGGGATTTACAATGTCTGCTAATCACAAGGAAGTGACACAATGTCCCCATGATAAATGATTATAGTTTTTATCTTCAGGCTTCCTATCAAAATACTGGAATTGACTCATAACTTAGGCCTGTGAGTCTCTCCCCTAATCTCCCTCAACTTTTTAAAAAATTGTGGGAAAATATACATAATATGATATTTACCACTTAACAATTTTTAAACTTATGGTTCTGTAGTATTTAGCACGTTTGCATTGTTGTACAGCCATCACCACCATCTATATCAGAAAATTTTCATCTTCACAAAGTGAAACTCTGTTCTCATTGAATGCTACCTCCCCATTTTCTTGAACACTACCTCCCCATTTTCTCTTTCCCCCAACCCCTGGAAACCACCATTATACTTTCTGTCTCTATGAATTTGATGACCCTAGTACCACATATAAGTGGAATCACACAATAATTCTCCTTTTGTGTCTGGCTTATTTCGCCTAGCATAACGTCTTCAAGGTTCATCCATGTGTAGCATGTGTCAGAATTTACTTCGTTTTTAAGACTGAATAATATTCCATTGTGTATCCATTCATCTGTGGATGGACACTTGGGTTGCTTTCCCTTTTTGGCTACTGTGAATACTGCTGATAAAAACAGTATCACAGGAACTAGCCAAGGGGGATTTAACTTATTATCCAGTCAAATGAAAAGATTTAGCACTGGAATGTCTGGTAAGGCTGAGCAAACTGAGACAGCCCTGCTTGGTGGCTTCATAACTAAAAGAATACATAAGGGTTTTCATCACAGTCTGCTCTTTATATCTTACTTATCCTACATGAAAGCTATAGGTGTAGACAAAATGAGAACATTTCAGAATTTATATATGGAGTCTTCTATACATATAGGCAGCAGCAGCAGATACAGAGTCAGGACACATACACTGACCTAGAGTGAAGGATTTGGGAGGAGCCGTGTTATTTTGTGTGTAGTTTCAAATTATCCAGTTTTAGCAGGACCTCCAAACATACTTGAATGTCAGATTATGTGATGCATACCATATAGAGCACAGACTTATACAAGAGAAGGAATATGACTGTCTGCCTGCCCAGGCCACAAGCTCAGGGCCTTCCTTACTGTTTGGTCACCTGCCCACCTCACCATCTGGGCTCTTGAGCTGGTTTTGCCTATATTGGTACCCCCTTTCCTGACCTTGTGCTGCATTTTACTGGAGCCTGGCTTCCTTGATTTTTTTTTTTCTTTTGGGATAAAAACTATATTTTTCCTTTGTTTTGCTGGGTAACAGAATCCTCTCTGAAAATTTATTCTGAGCCAAAGCATTCAAGGGACCCTACTTTATAGATTATTATACCCATAAAAATTGGCTTTGATCAGGGCCATTTAAGGTCTTGTTCTAAAATGGTTAATTTTATGATGTAAATGCTAACACCTGTGACGGGGGAGCTTGTGTGTGGGATATCTCTTGAGATGGATGATGATTTGGGCTTCTTTTCTCCTATCAGGAAGTGAGTATTCACAGTAAGAAGGGATGGCTAGGGTAATCAGTTGGCCAAGGATCCAGCTGAACTGGACTTTGCTTTCTTTCCTGGGGGACAAAACTGGGGAGGGAAGGGAGGGGAGGGAGTTGGGATTGCTTTGGATGTTTGAACTGATTCCCCCTTGCTAGTTAAGAAATCACTCTGGCATAGCTGTTTGCTGCGGTATTTTTCACACTTTATCTAGCATTCTGTGTCTCTGTTGCCTGAGAACTGTATTTATATTTACACTGTGAAGCGTGAATATGCTGCCGTCCTTTGGGGAAAGGGATTCATCAAATAATCCTTTTGCTTGAGTATTATTAAGTGGACCATGGCACTTCCTCTGCTTGTTTTTGCTTGGAGCCCTTGGGACATGTGAGGTGGCCTTGTCCATTTCAATGGGTTTCAGCAGGGTGAGCCAGGTTTAAAGAAACATAAATTCAGTTGAGAGAGAAGGCAACATGGCATAGCTGAATAATGGGCTTTAATAGGCAAACCAAATAGTTAAATGCAAGATGTTCACTGCATGCTAAAACTTAAGGAATGCATATTCAATGCAATGCATTATTAAATACAACATTGAGCATATGGGTACCCACAATTAATGTATATAAGTAGCTGATAAAATTGCTCAGTATTAGAAAGCTAGCGGCAAAAATGACCTCATATGTCAAGCAGACAAGTAGGCAGCTACCATTTTCTTTGTACACCTTACAGATGATAAATTAGTTTTATGGTCTGCATGGGGTTCTTATCACACTACAGCACCAAGTGCATGATAAAGAAAAAAAATGCCTTGGCTCAAAAATCGAACTGGAATTTGGAGTCCCAACGGAGCTCATTTTTTAAATGTAAAGAATTTTAGCTGCTTCCTTTGGGGAAGATTTATTGAGGCCAAGAGAAATGTAGATCTTGGTTATGTGTTTTGATTAAAACTTGATTTTTGTTTTTATTGACACCGGCTAGAATGTGAATCCGTCATAACTGGCTGCCTATTGATTGAGAGCAGTTTGGTCCAATGGACACAGGACAGGAAAAAGAAGGGGAGTCCTGGCTTTTATTTCCAGCTCTACTACTAACAGGTGAAGCTGACCTTGGACAAAACTTTGTAACTCTTTGCTAGCTCTGCTTGCTCTATTTAAAACCCCTCAAGGCTGGTGAACGAACTCTCTGTTTTATCCTAAATCTATAGAATATAGGAGAGCAGCTACCTCCTATAGAATTAAAGGGAATGAACTAATTTGCTCTAGCATTATATGGAGCAAGCAATGCCTTAAAAATGGCATTATTGTACAGTGTGTTTGTGTGTGTGTGTGTGTGTGTGTGTGTGTGTGTGTGTATGTGTGCGTGTTGTACTGGGGAGCCATTGATGTCTATTTAAAAATCTTCCATGGAAAGAAACACAGAAAGATATCAGGTTTGTTGCACGATTTGTGTGTGGTTTCTCAGCCTTTATAAGACTCCACCTCTCTTTGATAAATACAAAAATCTTATGCACTACTTTCCTACAATTTGAAATTTAAAAGAAGCTAAACTCAATTACTGTGAGGGGACAGAGAGCTGCTTTGCTTTCAAATGGCATGAGACCCTGTCTCCAAACCCTGCTTCCCTGGAGTCACTGCTTTGCCAGCCAAGGGTCTTGTTAGCATTATTTTCATATCAAACCACATCAGCGATCAGTTGTTTCATATCCGAGACAAGCAGTAGTGTGTATCTGTGATAGGATGCGTTCCTGTGCCTCTGGGGTGTGGCTGAGACTTCAGAGGTGATTAAATTCCTTGTTTTAGGACTAGCATCATTCAGAGAGCTGTGGTGTAAGAAACGGTCTATTAGAGATACATAGAGGGGTAGCCTGAAGAAGTGAGAAATTTTTTTCTTTTTCTCTTCTGTGATTCTCTACCCTTGTGGGTTTTTTTTTTTTTTTATTCTTTTTCTCAGGTCTTCTGGGAAAATACTCTTCCCTTTTTTAAGTTATAAAATTAAAAAGTTTTAAAAAATTATCTTTAATTTCTATGTATAATTAGAAACAATTAGAAATGGTGTTTATCTTATCTGTTTTAACTTCCCACGTGGTAATCAGAAATGACACGTTTGGACATTCTGTGAGTAAGTAGCTGCATCCTTACAGGGAGAAGCTGCACTCTGGGATGTGCTAAGGGCAAGTCAGAGGCAAAGCCTTTGAGCCCCATTTCCATTAAGGCATTTTCTCCATGGTCTCAGCAAAGCTTCATAGTGCAGTTTGATGTCTGATCTCCACTGAGATCTCTGGTGTAAATGCGTGCTTTGCCTCATAGGATTAGTTTTGGTCCCTTTTAAGAATTATGGGAATGGTGTGTAGGGGAGCTGGTTATCTCCCTAAACCCTGAGCAAAGTAAGCATTTCTTCCTGGTCATTATTATTCCTAGGATCTCCTGTATGTCCTGATATTTCATTCATCCATGCACACATTCATTTGACGCATATTTATTGAACAATCACTCCGTGAAGAGCCAGTGATGCAACCCAATACTCCTCATGAACCAACCTGTTACCTCCTCACCCCCATCTTCATCCCCCTCACCACCACCACCATTTTCCCATGCCCATGCTATGTTTCAGCTCTACCAACATCATCCATTTCTTGAATGGGTCACATGCTTTCTTGTATCTGAGCCTCTGTACGTGATGTTTCTCTGCCAAAATTATCTTTTGCCCCTCCTCTCAACTCACATGTAGTCATTCTTTAGGTGCCCACTGAATGGACACTTTCTCCAGAAAGGCTTAACCTAGACCTCTTTGAATAGATTGGATTTTCTTCTGCTACAGTCAGTCCTTGTAAAGCTTTACTGCTACAGCTGTTCAGTTGTGTTTCATCCCTGCTGGTTCCATGAAAGCAGAGGCCATCCTCACCATTATATTCCCAGCATTTACAAAAACACTGGTACATAGAGGACACTTAACAAATACTTTTAAATAAATGAATGAAACTGCAATGGTCTCTGTCTCATACCCTGAAGAAGAGTCTGAGACTAGAGTTTTAAATTCTCAGAGGGGCAGGTTTTACCTCCTCCTGGCTGTTACAGCCTAGGAGTGCGTAACTGTGCTGTTTGAGATGACAGAGAGATTCAGAGGACCAAGAATCATGGAGAGGCTTTTAATTTACTAAATATTTAAAACACTGTTACTATTTGTAGGGCTCTGCCTGGAATTGATCCTAATGTATATTTATGGTATGTGTAATTTCATGCCAATATCATTGGCTATATAAATAACATTTTGCACAGGTTTATTAGTCAGGGTACACACTGTGAAATTCCTGAGGATGATAAGGAAGAAAGGGCTGTCTAGCTACTCTTCTTGAACTGTTAGATCTGGGAAATGCTATATGACACCATGTGGGCACTCTTATCTATACTGTTTACATAACTGCTTATGTAGTTCCACATGGCAGTTGTCATTCTCCTTGGCTGGCAATAAACTTATCATTACATAGAGGAAACTAATCTGGATAGGTGATGACAGGGATGAAAAAAGTCACTTTGTAGCTGAGCAATGATGGCCATTAAAAATAAAGTAAGACCCTTCTCAGGGGGTTGTTAACCTTGCCAGCTACTAGGTATTGTTTAGATCAGAGGACACTTAGCATTGTGTCTGAACAGAGAAGAAAAACAGCAGGATTTCCCAACATGCTTTTATAAAAAGTTTTACTTGAATTTATTAACTGCAGTGGAGCTGATTTAGAATAAAAATGAAGTGGTGCCCACAAGTGGGGTCCACCCGAACCATTGTTAGCATTATAGTGTGGGACAATTGTCAGACATATGTGTGCAGATAACCTTTATCTCAGCTTAGCTCATGAGTCTGTCCTCTCCCCTCCCAGGAAATATTTGGACTCTAGAGATGCTTACAAAGGGACAAAATGCTTTGTCCTTGTTTTTTGGTAAAGTCACTGTGGAAAGTGCCGCTGACAAAAGGGTTAGGGATTAGTTTCTTTTCACAGAGATTCTAAATGAGTACATAGACATACACACAAAAAGTAGGATTTATGCCTCTGAATATGGCTTGCAAGGAGGGAGTAAACCTCCTGAATTTAGCAATCAAATTTGTTAAGGCTTCTCTAAAGCCTAAACTTCCAATTAACAAGCAAATCATCATCAGACAGCCAGTGAATGGCAAATTCATTCCATTCAACATCTTTTCAAAAGTGGATTTTGTGCACTTATCTCTATGAAAACCCAGCAGGAAGATTTTCCCTGGGAGTGCTCCTACATCTGCCTGTTTTTAATGATGGTAATGGCAAGCAATATTGTACAATTACTTTGGCGATCTCATTTCAAGCATGCAAATCATATTATTGAAGAGCCCAGCAAAAGCCATTTGTTCCTTGGAACCACCAGATAAGTTTTTTGGGGTGAGCAAATGCTACTTGAAGAAGGCCAGGCCCTCTGTCTCATAACCTCAACTTCACAGTGGTAGAATTTGCCCAACACATTTAGAAAAGGCAAACTAAATAGAGACATCAAAGGAGAAATGAAACAAAATTGTATACCTAACATAAAGAAGTTCTTCTTTTGGTTTTATTCATAAAATATTAGTTTTGTGACTCATTTATTAATTAAAGATGATGCCATTAACAACAACAACAACAACAAAGAGAAAGAAAAAACACACTGCTGATAAAGTCGATGAAGTCAAAGGTACACAATTTTCAGTGCACCTGACTCAAAAGTGAGAACTTCCTTAGGTATCACAATGGTCCTAAAGCCCTTTCCATTTCCTCTCTTTATATCTTACTCATTTGGACCATTAATATAGTCAGGAAACAGTTTTATTATACATATACTTACAGGCAGTGTAAATGGGGCAATCTTATAGTGCTACTGCATAAAGATCCTTCTACCTGCCTCCTTTTTCCAACCCCAAGATATTTGATAACTTTTTTTGGATGTGATGGAAGCCATGATGTCCAGATGCCCCTTCCAGAATAAAGGATTGTTTATTTCAGCTGGTAAGAGTGCTGTTGAAAGGGAATATTCACTTGTCAGTCCCTCTGGAGATTGTCTCAACCTCTGCTTACTGGGTTGTCAATGACTGATCAATAAGGGATATAAAGTCTGGTCTTTTCACACCAACTCACAGCAACTTCTGGAAGGACATCACATCTTCATAACTCCCTAATAGACAGTCTGAGGTTTGTATTGAGACCTCATCAAGGCTCGACTTCTCCCTCTGCCCAAACCTGCTTCCTTCCCATCTGTTTCATATGTGCCATTCCCAGGAGCACTGCCTCCTAAACCCCAGGCACACTAATGTCTATCTCAGAGTCAATGCGGCACGCGCCCTTGGGAAAATCTGGTGTTTCACCATAAACACTTCACTCTTCTCATGCAAGACCTCTGCTCTGTTTTAAAATGCCAATACTTGGTGTTATTTTTAAGCCAATACTTGGTGCTGTTTTTTTGCCATTTATACTTTTTTTTTTTTTTTTTTGAGATGGAGTTTCACTCTTGTCGCCCAGGCTGGAATGCAATGGCGCTTTTTGGGCTCACTGCAACCTCCACCTCCCGTGTTCAAGTGATTCTCTGCCTCAGCCTCCTGAGTAGCTGGGATTACAGGCATCCGCCACCACGCCCAGCTAATGTTTTTGTATTTTTAGTAGAGACTGGGTTTCACCATGTTGTCTAGGCTGGTCTCAAACTCCTGACCACAAGTGATCCGCTGGCCTCAGCCTCCCAAAAGTGCTGGGATTACAGGCATGAGCCACCACACCTGGCCCTAAGCCATTTATACTTTAGTGTAAATGAGTTTAAGATTTTTTTCTATGGGAAATTTCTTGGCTATAAAGAGTAGGAAGCAATAGCCATGGAAGACAGAGAATACGTCTGCATTAGGACAAAGGCAAAGAAGCAGACATCCGGGGACACCACAGACAATTTCTAACAGCCTTGTGTTTTTTTCCAGGAATTTTAGCTAAGCTTTTTGGCAACAAATGATGCCTTCTTTGAAGAATGGGGCAGGGAAGTTTGCCACTTTAAAGAGTCTTTGGGGGTTCCAAGGGATATGTTGTTTCATAGACATCCAAGAAGATCCATTCAGGGCAGCACCTCTCTGAGTTTGGAGCTCGCAGATAGTTATAGGAATTAGGTACCAGGAGTTTTCAAATTGCTAAGTTACCACTCTGCCGTTAATGGGATGTGGGTCCTCACTGTATAATCCCTCTGTTCTCCTGCTGCTATCGACTGAGCTTTTCTTCATAACACTTGCTTTCCCAGTTTATGCTTCTGTATAACTTCAGCTGGCTCACAACTTCACATGGGCCCTATTTTACTTTACAAATTCTCTCTAGGCAAACTTTCAGTTTTATTTCTTCCTATTAACTGCCTGATTCTCTCTCAAAGGCTCCTGAGAAAGAGAATCTGAACCTCAGCTCAGGAATTTTTCCACTGGTTGCTGGTAAGTTCATGAACTGGCTGCTCTGTGGTCCAGTCTCTACCCCAGGGCAGCCAATTGTCTGTAACTTCAGGGGTTGAGAGAGTAATGAATTAACAGGAGATGCGCCAGCTTCAGGCAATTTATTCCAAGGGGTTGGGGTTGAATTTCTCCTTAGGCAGGGCTATAGGTGCAGAAAGTATAACAGCCTGCTCATCTTACACCTCATCCTTGACCTTGCCCTTCAAGATTTTGGCCCCAGGAAATCTTTCTTATATAAACATGTAAGCTTTATTAAACTTCACCTTTGTCATGAGATGGCTTGTCTTTCACTGCTCCATTTTGGCCTAAGCATTTCTGAGAACTATCAACAAAGTAACCTAATGAAAACCCAACTGAACCAAAGACTGAACTGTTGCAAAAATCTTAAGTAATGGTTCTTGTTCTCAAAGATCTTACATATTTCTGGCAAAATGAGATATACATACATGCAAAAAAAAAAAAAAGATCACAATGTAGTAGCATTTGTATAACTTCAGCTGGCTCACAACTTCACAAGGGCCCTATTTTAGTTTACAAATTCTCTCTAGGGAAACTTCCAGTTTTTAATTTTAAAGATTAAAATTTTATCACTTAAGATAAAGTATATTTTATCTTAAGTGATAAAATTTATTTAACAAACATCATTATGCAAGGTTTGGTGGGGAAAGGGCAAAGATAAACCAATACGGTGACTTCTCTTAACTGGCTCACAATTGTTAGAGGATGAGAGAAACTTTAGACTGGGATGATCAAGAAAGATGTTATGCAAAGGTAGGAGTTGGGTACCAATGGAGAGAGAATATTTCAATAAGTGATAAAGACTATAGGAGGATATTCCAGGCCTGAGAAATTTTGACCTAAGCCACAGAGGGGAACTAAGCTTATTTTTATACAACTTATGAGGAAAGTAGAGAGGAATAGTGGCAGACAACACTGAAGAAAGAAAATGAAGGCCTCTGTGGAAGTCCCTTGTTAGTGCTCCTACAGTGTTAAGGGCACATTTTGTAGTCAATGCTTTTTACATAGTTTTATCCATTTTGAATACCAAGATCTTGGCTCCTGTCTTAAGGAAGCATCCTATTGTTTCAGATGGCTCCTTTAACACCCCTTGAGAAGGTTCTATAACTTGGAGCTTCCTAAGAACACACATAAGTTAATCTGAGATTAACAAAATTTACAACATAATATTTGAACTCTCTTAATTTATTACTCATTTAAGTTAAGCAGAGAGAATGCCGTAATCTATACATAGGATATAGCACAGCTCTGATATTAATTTCTGGTTTCCTCTCCAAGAAAAAAATTGTGAGAGGCTTTAGCCTATTATAATTAAGACATTTTGTTTTTCTGTTTAGATTCGGTCTGAAATTTTCAATGTTCAAATTCTGCTAATCCTTTTCTGTGCCCTTGTCCCATGGCACTTTATATTGGGTACAATTTCTTGATATTGGGGTCCTTTTCCCATAGGCAGGAAAAATCAATTGCAGCATAAGTAAAAATGCCCAAAGTTGTTTGCAGGTAAAGCAAGGCTTCAGGGGGTTTGGCTTCTTTGTGACATGTTATACAAATGCCTGACAGGAGAATGCATCTTTTTTGTTTGTTTGTTTGTTTGTTTGTTTGTAGGTGCTGTGGTTCACTGTTGATCCCTCTGTTGCAGGTACCCTACATTTCTAGGCAGATGCCCATCTATTTTGTCCATATGTGCAAATGAAAGGCAGGGGTGCTTATATTTTGTCTTCCTATAGAAATAATAACTCAAAAATTGAGTTTTGCATTGCTAAGATTTCAAGTGTGGACAGCATCTTCCCTCCTGTAAAAACTCCACTAGAAACTTCCTTGACTGCAGCAGCTCAGAATCATTTGTGTTCATTTCTTTCAATCCCTCTTTCTTGAACAAAAGAGATCTTCAGTAATGTTTGTTGACTTGAATACAATTTTCGTCTAAGGACTAGGAGTTTTTTAAAATGGAAAGGTTGTTTAAGGTTTCTGAGCAGAGTGTTTTGTGAGGATTTATCTGGAAGCAACCAGCAGGATGTAATAATAACAATAATATTCATAGCTAACACTTAATAGAGTTATCATATTCCAGGCCCTGCTTTGAGCATTTTACTCATACTATCTCATTTAATCCTTAAAACAATCTTGTGAAATAGGTATTGTTATTATCCTCATTTTACAGATGAGGAAATAAAGATGCAAAGAGATTATCACACATATATTTAAATGCAGGTATCTGGCTCCAAAATATATGCTTTTTAGTGTACAGAGGACATATAAGAACTCATCAAAATAGTAATAATATGAAGTAAAAATGGATCACATATTGTATGTTTCCTTGTGACTCTACCTACTATAGCAAAATAACCCAATAATTTGTTGTAGAGCCTTTGCTTTTAGGAGACATGAGCTGTCGGTGTTATAAGGCACTATGTCAACATATCAACCATGCTGAGAGTCTGGCCCCAGAGATTTTCCCAGACATATTAGAATATCTTGCAGCATCTGTCTTCTTGGTCTTTGAGCACCTGAGTTACATTCTGAGTGGTCATAGAGCAAGTCCTTCCGTCATCACCCATAACTGATTACTTGAGAGGTACAGTTAGGGAAGTGTTGATTCCATTCTCCTAAAAGCAACTTCAGTGAACCCACCGGTTTTTCATTCCTTGCCCTCCTACTCCTTGTGAGCGTTCCCATAGCAATTTTCTAAAGTCCTTGAGGATTAAGAGTAACAACATTTGGTTATAGAAGAAAGGTAACTGAAGGTATAAATGTTCTCATTTCACTTTTCTTCTCAAGACTCAGAGCCAAAGGCACAGTTACTTTCATTAGAAGCTACAACTTATTGAGAAGACAAGAATATCTGCAGTGCCCGAGAACTCTGCTGTGCTCTAGGAGCCACTTCATTCTGTCTTTAATGGGAACCAATAAATAATCTGAGTTAAAACCATGAAGGCAGAGAATGCAACAAGCTGAAGACCGTAGACATTGTGTCCATTAACTAAGGCATGGGCTAATTAGACATAGATTAAATGAAGCAGGGGTAGGTGGATGAGCGACAAAGCCCTGAGAACTAACTCAACAAATACTCATTGACCAGCATTAAATGACTTTAAAAGGAATTTCATGACAGTGATTTAGAGTTTCTTCTCATTGGCTGTTTTTGGAAATTATCAAGTTGGGGAAAAATCATCCTCTCTATTTCTAACTCCAAAATTTGACCACTTGATATTGACTTTAATTTGGCCATACTGTGCCTTGACACATGGTGCACATATTAATTGTTCTTTTCTTTTTATTCTCTCACTGCTTTTGTTTGCTGGGGGTGGTCAGGAGCTAACCTTGCTTTTAGACTCCCTGAGTCTGGAAAATGATAGTATCTTATCTGAAGATATAAAAGATATGGAACTCAGGGAGGAGTGAAGAATAGAAAGTCAAGAAGGCAACAATTTCACTAAAGCAGAGAGGAGAATTTGAACAAGTTGCCCAACTATGGAGGTAGAAATAGATATTGATAGGCAGCTTGTCAGGCTAAAGAGGCAAGCAATCTGAGAACAAACCTGGGCAATAATCCGTAAATGAATTTCTATCTATAGCTGGCCTTTGTCTGACTGCTGTGCAGGAAAGGGACAAGATGTGCTGGCAATTTTAAAGGGCTAGAAAAAGGAGAGCTATTTCTCCCAAACTGGCCCGTTTCCTCACTTTACTATATTTGGTATTATTCACTCAGCCTTTATTATTTACTACATTTGAGGCAGGAGAATAGGGTCTGGAGGCAAGGAACCTAAGGGCAATTCACGCTGACTTCGTGGAACTAAATCAAAAGGAAAATGCTAACTTTCCACACCTAAATTACAAAAGGACCAGAGGCCACTCCCTTTGCAATGTCCCCACTCCCCCTCCCCACCCCTTTTTCTGCGTGGCAGATGGAAAATTGAAAGTATCTCTGACTGGTTGCTTTCTGTAATCAATCAGACCTTAGCATAGGAGTGTAATTTTGTAACTTCACTTCAGCCTCTGATTGGTTGCTTTCTGCAACCAATCAGACTGATTGCAGGCCACTACTTTATCTACATAGGGTGTACGCCAAGTAACCAGTGGGAAACCTCTAAAGGGCATTTAAACCCCAGAAAATTCTGTAAAGGTGCCCTTAAGCCCCTATGCTCAGGCTGCTCCCACACTGTGGAGTGTACTTTCAATTTCAATAAATCTCTTCTTTTGTTGCTTCATTCTTTCCTTGCTTTGTTTGTGCGTTTTTTCCATTTATTTGTTTAAGATGCCAAGAACCTGGACACCCTCCACCAATAACACATTGTATATAATTAGCTAGCTTTCATGTACACATACCTTATTTTCCTATTCTATTGTAAGCTCCTGAGGGCAGGGGTCTTGACGAAATCTTCTTTGCATTCCACACAACTTATAAAGATTGTCTTATACATCCCAAGGTGAATACTTGTGATGGATTGATCGAGACAGGTCGTTAGGACTCACTGCTGTGAGCTGACTGTAACTGCTTTGAACAGATGGTAGTGGTTTTGCTCATTTCATGTGGACATAGTATGAGAACAGAAACTATCCCAGGCATGGCTGAAAGGTAAGCCAATGGAACTTGGACTCCACATTATGGTCACCTCTGATCACAGTGACTCATTCACAAAAGGGAACTGTATCTCTTATTTAGGTAGCACTGAGAAGGCATTCTAGTAAAGGCCCTCTTGGTCCATTACCATTATAATATGATGAAATGTCTTAAAACTTAAACCCATCTCATTAATAGTGGTTTTTGCTACTACCTGAAATCTATTGGCAAATATCTCATTTTTGTGATCAAATCACTGTTATAAAGTAGATAATTCAGTCCAAAAAGTTTATTATTTAGATAAGTTTCCCAACTTATCTATTCTTATGCTATTAACTAGATTACTGTTTTATCTCTATAGAGTTTCTGAAATCTTTATTAATACTTCAGCCCATACTGGTTTCACTCTGATTTGACCTCATGTAATACATATTACCTGAACCACTCATTTTGACATTTAGTTATATGTAATTGTATTTGTAGTATATTATAATCTTGTACATTACAGTAGATGGCACATACTATATCTTGTGTCTATTTTATATCCCCAGAATCATTCAGCACAGATTAAATGCAATAAGTGTTCAATGTTTCATTTTTGAATTAAAATAAATAGCAAACATGGATTAAGTTATGGGAGTCTTTACATTTGTTTTGAAGCCTGCACTAAATTAATTGCTCCCTCTCACTTGATGGCAAGCTTCTCAAGGGCTCTCCCTCTGTTCAGAATATAATTTTTCATAATTCCAAAGCAATAACCTCAAAGCATTGTTGGTTTAGTAAATATTAATGGCCTATGAAGACCATGGTTTTTAAGATGAGGGACTATCTAGAGACAGCACATTGAATCTAATAAATACAGAAATAACACACTAAGCTAAAAAAATGGGAGCTGCAGAGCACAGGAAATGATAATGGGCTGAGGGGGTCTCTTGCTAGTTGGTTGAAAATTCGCAAGTATCGAGTCATTACCTTCTGACACCACAGTTCTAATCTTGGCTTCTATGAGTTCAACTTTTTTAGACATGGGAAAAATGGGGAGATATTGGTCAAAGTGTACACATTTTCAGTTATAATATGAACACGTTCTGGGGATTTAATGAACAAAATAGGTGGTGACAGATGTGTTAATTATTTTGATTTTGATCACTATTATATGACATATATATACACATATCAGATCATCACATTGAACATTTTAAATCTTGGTCAATTAAATATTTTTTTAATAAAGCTAAAAACAAATAAATACCATGAAAGAGATTTTATTGAAGATCCTTTACATGTATTGTGAGTGGCACTTGTATCAAATGGATTTTTAAAAAATAATAAAATGCAATTGTTCTTCTAACCCCTTAACATACTCTTTAGGTCATAATAAAAAATTATCCATAAAAACAAAACAACAACAACAACAATAAAGCATCTTTATCTTTTGATGGCTGCTTCATTGTCTGAAAAGAAGGCTTTAGTCTAACTCTTAGCTAAGGGGTTTGTGTATGTGTACAGGGTGGGGGTGGGACATCTCATAGCCATATTTTTAAAGCTAACTTCTTAAATATCACTATCTAATTGGTTGCTGTTTCTCTGAACCCAGTTAACATTTCTGTGAAACTTCTATTATATCTTGAAGATATAATGGAAGTATGTATGTTATACATTTCTACTTATTGACAAGTTGCTCTTAAATTTCATACGTGAAATCCCTGAGGAAAGAGCCATTCACAGTGGTCTCTCTCTTCTTCTTACCTAGGGCAAAGTTTGTGTTCAATCAATATTAATACCTTTCTGACTCCCTCATCCTCAAATGTCTGTTTCAGCAGAAATCACTGGTCCATGAAAGAGTCCGTACAGAAATTAAAGTGTTAATACAATCGGAACTCTTCTGTCCTTTAATTTCTACTTAGCTCTCTCATGCAGTTGTAGACTACTTGACTAGTTCTCTCTCTCTCCCTAAAGCATTTTGAGGCTGACCTTAAAGCAAACAGATTATTCTTGAAATTCCAACTTCTCTGCATCTCCCAGAAGTTGTTCAGTAAGGTCAGTGCTAGGGCATCAGGGCCCAGCTCCTCCCAAATATGGCCATTGTGTCTCTCAGTTTCCCTAGAGTGAGGACTGTCAATTCCTTAAAGTTGTAAACCTGATAGTTTTTAACAACATTGATGAAAGCCACCGAACAACAATGACAAGCCCCTAAAATAGATTCACAGGGTTTGTGGTGGCTAAGAGCTGGGTTTGCTAAAAATAAAGCTGCTTCTGCTCCCTCCATCATCTTTTTTCTGCCTGACTATAATTAAAGTCCACATCTGAAATTCTTATTGAGCAGCAAAGTCCCATGAGTGATTGGCATCTGGCATCCAAAAATATTCTGCAAAGAATAGTGTTCTCAGTGGCACATCTGACAGGCTTGGCTCACTTTCAGTGCTCCTGGCTTCCTGATGAGTGGCAAACCAATGGATGAACAGGAAGATTGTTTCAGCCCAATATCAATCAATCAGTTGATTCTTCCATCAGTGACTTGAAGCAATTTCCCATGCCTACCCTCACTTACCCCACACAGGCACATGAGAGAAGAGTGATAGGGAAAAAAATCAGCCTCACTAATTGGAACACTTTTTGCCTCTGCCAGTGCTAGGAAAGAGGGACCCAGCTTGGTTGGGAAAATGCAGTCCCCTGGTGAGATGGAGGATTGCACTTGCCTGCTAGTCCAAATAGCATTAGTTTTTGCACAGAAATTCTACCCAATTAAAGGACTTTTATTTGAACCTGAGATTTGTTGTCCCCCTGGAATGAAGAGATTAATTTTAGAGAGGAGGAAAATAAGCCTTTCCTATCATCTTGTTTTTCGTGCTTGTGTCATTTGCATGAGGACTAGACATTGTGTGATTGCACATGGGTTACTCCTCATAGCATCCTAAATAAGAAGATGTTGGACAATGAGAGGCATTTTTTTTAATCTGAGCAGTCAAATAAACCTAATCATATGAATATACAATGAGATAAAACACCAATCTTGCACCAAAAGGTTTTATGATTTTAAGTAGACTTGTGCTAAGCTCTTATCATGATTGTAATTAGAAAGAGCAGGCCAGTTTCCTGCTGCTTTTGCTCACATTTGACATGTGAACAGTATGAGGGTAGTTGCCTGAGCTGAGTTCTTGATTTGCATTAGTCCAAAGTTGCTGTTTGTTATGTGGCAAGTAAAGAGGTCATATAAAGTGATACTAACTCTGCTAAAAACAAATAATCTTTCTTTATTTGCTAGAGACAGCCAGTATTTCAAAACTTTTATTGTGTAAAAAAAAAACCCGCTTAGTATACATTATATTAAATAATAGAATTATCTGACAAAGGAGACCCAGGTATATAAGAAATATAAACTTAGGATAGAGGTAATGATCCAAATGTTTTGAGATCCATGTGACTCATCTCATGGAATGGGGGCTGGTGGCATGGATTCCTGCAATTGATTAAGCCCGTTTCCTAGATCTTGCTTTATCACTGAGAGTCAAAGTGGGAGAAACAAAACAACAGCCCTGACTGGGAATGAGTCATGGAAATGACTGCAGAAGTGAGCAGAAAGAGAGTGGAATGTCAGTTAGAAATGTTTTCTACAGAAGAAATTGATGAACCAATATATATTGACAATTTGTACTTCAATTGAGTCTTTTGGTGAGTTTCAGATAGCCTTTGAAGATATTATAGATGGCAATACTTGACACAAATGCCAAAGGCAGTTACTTGCTTGCTGTTGCGCAGCTCATTTCTCTATCCTTAGACTACTAGAAAAATGGACATTGGAGCTGGAAAAGCACCTCCGATATGCTATAGTTCTTTTTCCTCAGATGAAGAAGCTGTTAATCAAAGAAGGTTAAGGGATGGACATAAAGTCCTACAGCTAATCATGGGAGATCTTGAAGACTGGAAGTTTGGACCCTTGAATGTAATCCAAATGCACCTTAAAGTCTGGCCAATGATCAAAGGTATGGCCTGAATGGAATATGAGAAATGAAGCAATGCTTCACTCACTTTCCACGAGTACCACTATAGGTACGCTTAGGTCAGTAATGTGGTGAAACTGGCTTGTTTTTGTCTTAGAGTCTCAGCTCATGAGAATCAATTCACATATTTTCAGAAATTTTGTTAGCTGGTTGATGTCATGTTGGAAGCTTGAAATTGGCCATGGTGGAGGAATTTTCAGTAAGTAGTACTAATACATGGAATGAAAAATGCAGTGTTTGCTTGTGCAAATGTACCAGGCTAAAACTATATGCCAAACATCTATTCAACATAAAAGAAACACTTATTGAATTCTACTCCTTCAACAGATGCTCATAAAAATGGCACCATCTATTAGGGACCTAATAGAGTAACGTTATGATTGTAGAGATGAGTTCTGATCTGGAAATGGAGAGAGATAATTCCTGTTCTTCATACTGAAGAAGGAATACGTCAGTCTCTCTTAAAAAAACCTAGGAAGGAATTCCAAAGACGAATTTCCTAAAGTGGAAAGTTCAAATTTGTCCCTGATAGTTCTTGAGTATATTTGTCACTATGAATGATATTTACAGAATAAATCTATTTTAGGGCTCCCTGGAGAGATAAGATTGTACAATATCTTAAAACAGAAAAAAAATCACCCATAGTAAAGATAGAAGTATATTCAGTAGTGAGCTGGAGTTGCCACACACTGGCTCAAGGGGCTACGTGTGCACATCTCTTCTCTTTGTGCTTTATATTATCACTTTGGAAGCTTGAAATCAGCCATGATGGAACAATTTACACCATGGAAGCTGGCAAACATTACAAATCAGGTTTTGATATTTTTTGTTTTGTTTTATACAGAAAGATGGCTGTTAAACATTTACCAGATATCACTGGACATTACAGTGCCCTAACATTAAAGCCACAGACAATAACAGTCATTTTATACAAAAGATGTTTTTTCTTTTTTTTTTTTCTGTTTTTTGACTCGGAGTCTCTCTCTGTAGCCCGGACTGGACCAGGTCTGGAGTACAGTGGCGCAATCTTGGCTCACTGCAACCTCCGCCTCCCAGGTTCAAGCGATTTTCCTGCCTCAGCCTCCTGAGTAGCTGGGATAACAGGCGCCTGCCACCACTACTGGCTAATTTTTCTATTTTTAGTACAGACAGGGTTTTGCCGTGTTGACTGCTCTCAAACTCCTGACCTCAAGCGATCTGTCAGCTGTGGCCTCCCAAAGTGCTAATATTTCAGAGGCATGAGCTACCACACCTGACCTCCTTTTAAAATTATTCTCAAAAAATCATTTCAGCAAAATACATACTTATGAAACAGAGACATGGCAATTATAGACCTATGAAGTGAAGCCCTTATAGGAGAATGAGAGAATCTTTTCACCTGGGAATATAAGGGGATCTATTAAAATAAATAGAACCAAAGTTAAGAGAATTGGACTAATAGTCCCCATTCATTTAAAATATTTTATATAAAACTTAAACTATGCCCACAAATATGATAGATACTTTAGGAAATGCAAAAGATATGCAAGCTCACAATTTGAGAGCTTAGAATGTAACTAAATAGACAAAACCTGAATAAAATATTAAAGGAAAATACAATAAGTAGAATAAAATTGCAAACAACAACAACAACAACCACAACAACAAAAAAACCAAAAAACAACAACAACAAAACATTAACATTGGGTAGAATTAACAGACAAGGTCCCGGTGAAGGTAAAACTGAGGTAGAATCTTGAAGGACAGACATTATTTGGGAAATATTTAGAGCACCACAATGGAGAGGTGATTGTAGACATGATCTAGGGGCATGCAAGGAAAAAATCTACAGGAAAGTGCATGGCATGTGTAGACTATGTTAATTATCTTCCTAGGTAGAGCAGAGGGGGCAGCTGGGAAACATGGCAGATACGGTGGGTTACAGAAAAGGGAAGAAAGAAAGGAAGAGAGGGAGTGATGGAGATAGAGCAGGAGAGAGGAGAGGCAGTAAGTTAAAAAGTGAAGCAAAGGAAGAGAAACAGAAAAAGTCAATTACTCAACACAAGGCATTGTATGAAATAGCTCTTATGTGTATCACATCAGGTAGTTAGCAAACATCACTGGGGGCAGACATTATCCTCATTTCACAGATGAAGACACCAAGGCTAAGCCAAATAGACTTTCTAAAAAACCATAGTTACTAAGGGTGGAGCTTGGTGTCCAGTCCAACTCCACTGGCTCTATATCCAGGGTTCTTGCATACCACCACACACCCTTTTACTTGATTTCTTGGAAACTCCAGTAGTTTCCCTAACGCATTGTTTTATTAAATGCTGATAGGAGAGGGAAAGAGATCATATGCAGAAACTTGGGGAGTTGAACCACTTATATCCCAGGCAATTAAACATTTAATAAATGGCTTGGTTTAGTATGGAGTCTTCTTAAGTTTGGGTGAAGGTCAAGATTGTCAAAGGGGTATGTTTTCACATGTAGCTGAAAATACACCAAAGGGAGAATAGGCATAACTTATGGAAGGAAAGAGTTTCCAGTCATTGAAATGGGAGTAGACAGAAGATTGAACTAAAAAGAAATACTAAATCCTGAGCATTTGTTATGAGCTGTACCTCTAAATCTTTCCCAAATGGTAGAACTACTGCAAGTTAGCTCACCAGGGCCTAAAGACACTTTTGACAGAACTACAAGATCCCCTGGTAAAGATAAATGGGGCGTAATTTAAGTAGTCTCAAACTTTTCTGCAAGCTTCAAGATCATTGCACATTGTTGGATCTGTTCATAATGGCCTGGACTGTATCCCAAAAACACCAGTGGGAGAGACTCAAGTGGACTGGCCAGGGTAGAAAAGGGAAATGAAGCCATTTGGACTTGGCTGAGGCTATGGATGATCTGACAGTTTGCAATTTATAATTTTTTTAGTCCTTTTAACATTCTTTATCTGCCTTTATTTGCTCAACAGCGCTTTGCTCAAGTTCACGCTCAGCTTACCACATTCGGTGAAGCACACAGCAGTGGACAGGGGAATTTAATCTAGAAATCCGCCTGACTTGTCTTCGAAATGTAGTTTAGCTTCCAGAGCTGTGCTAGGAGGATGCATAAGTAAGAGCCCTGTCTAGGTCAGGTGGCCTGAGAGTCCTGCCAGCATCCCTAACAATGCCTTTTAGGCAATGCTGTCAAACAGACTCCCGTCTCCTTAACTGACAGCGATGAGCATTTTAATAAAATGAGGTTCTGGTTGATTTGAAGCATGAAGCCTAGTAGAAAGGAGAATCTGATCAGCTTTTGCCATGGCTTTCATAATTGTGAATCCTTCCATCTGACTGCCAGTAATTCGCCTTCCCAGACCTTCAGAATAGATCATCCTCACTTCAAGCTGTCTCCGACGCATTGCTCAGGATTCTTTCAACCTGCCTCGTAGCTTTCAGGTGCTAAGATGGCAGGTGTCCAGTCTTTCTGAAGAGAAAGCCTTCATTGTTCATTGTGCCACCGTATCTTCCAACCCTTTTTGTTATATCCCGGAAACCTATTTGCTTTTTAACTGCTGCCACATCCTGGGAAAACATCTTTATTGAGCAGTCCTCAATGCTGTGGCTTGAGTCCTTTTCATCAGGGGGCCTGTAAGTCCCTAGCTGAGATGAAAAGTCAGAATTTTTCCATCCACCTGGTTTTCTTTATGTTAAACCAATTCAAATGGCATTGGTTCTTGTGCTGCCTTGTTGCTGAAATTTTTCTGGAATTGTCACCATCTTCCCAGAAGGAAACTCAAAACCATTGGCAAATGTTTTCAAATTAGAATTCCTTATAGTTGTAAATACATGCATTACTTAACAGTGTTCTATAAAAGGGTCTTTCCCAATGAAATAAAGAAGCTCTTGGTCAAGCATGCCACAAGAATGGATACTTGTCCACATTGCCATAAAAACTGTATAATCTGTCTCTCATATTGCCTAAAATCTCATTTTCCGTTCAACATACAAAAGGGCTTGATTTCTACAAACTAAAGCTTAACTTAGATTCTAAACATACCCTGTGATTCAACATATATATTTTAAGCATACCTTTTTAAAGTATGTATAATCCTGGTAAGATCAAGAAGGCATCACTCATTCATACCTTAGAAAAATGTGTTAATTACATCACTTCCCTTCTGATGTACAGCAGACACCAGCTACACTGAAAAATGCTGTTAATCATGTGAGGCAATCTTGTATCCTTTGACCAACATCTCCTTCTAAGTGTCCTCATCACATATACACACACAGTAGTAACTATGCATGGTAATGGATGTGTTGATTAATTTGATTATGATAATCAATACACAATGTATATGTATATCAAATCATCACAGTGTACACCTTGAATATTTACCATTTTTATTTGTCAATTATAGCTCAATGCATCTGGAAAACAATCAGTTGGGCAAGAGGAAATTAGGAAGAAAGCAAAAAGTTGTTTTGTGCAAGTAACTCTCTAAGAAAGAAAACCAAAAAGTATTCTCTATACAAAGGACTATGAGGGTACTGAGTGTCTGGAAAAATATAGTGGTGAGTTCACTAGAAGGAGGGAGACGTGTGTGGAAATAGAAAAGGGGTCACTCCAAACCAACTTCTGAAATTTCTCAATTTGGAGGAGGACTATAGGCATTTGGGATACCCTAATCTAATTGATGTAATTAAATTAGTTTAACTCTGTCCTTTCCCCCTTGGAGACTATTCCCAGGGGAACATTGCCAGCTTGGTATATGCAGCATTAAGCTTCTCCTATCTCCCTCCACTCCCTGGGTAGCACATCCTCCAGCATCAAACCTACTTTTCTTTTTGATATGCTGTTTTCTGTTTTCCTCAGTTACTTGCTCAGAGGGGAAGCAGTCCCAGTTTTCACAGAACATATATTATTTTGCAGGTATAGCAAATAAACATATTTGGTACCCACTGAATGCTATGAGATTCCAAGAAGGGACAGAATCTTTGCTCAATTGAAATTACTAGAAGCCTTCATGGAAAAGGTGAGCCAACTCTCCTATGTAATTATATCTGTAGAATAGCAACCACATCTCTATTCTCCTTCTGAACTTAAACAATGTAAGGGTTCATATCATACTTTGTGCTTTTTAATTCTTAAAACAGTGCCTTGCACAGTGTGTTGATAAATAACTAGTATTTATTGAGCGATTCCTGTATGTTAGACACAGAGCTAAATGTGCTGTAGGAAATATTTAATCCTCATGATAGTCCTATGACTTACTTGCTATTATTATTCCCATTTGGCAGATGTGGATACTGAGGCTTGGAATAGTTTAATGGCCTCTCAAAGGTCTTATCCTGAAGTATGAAGACCAGGATTAAATTCAGGTTTGTCTGACAAGGAGTATCTGCTGGACTTGTGAAGGAAATAATTCTATCAATTCCTTATGCTGAATCTGTGGGGAAAACAAAAATTTGTGAAGTTCTGCATTTACAGGTCTACGTTGAAGCCTTTTATCAAGAAACCTGGATATACAATTCATCTGACACTCCAATAAATACTGGAAATTACAAGGACTGTCTTAGGAATGTACAAAGCGTGTATTTAAGATGTCTGTTTTACCCTTCTATCAAGAAGGCTTCAACATAGAGACCTGCAATAGACCTGTAATAGACATTGCATTTTTTTTATACAGACTTTACTATTCTCCCTGCCTGTCTACCTTCAGGATCCTGCTGAGGATGTCCATGAGGGTTCAGGTTGTGAGTTCAAATGTTCTGGGTTATAGGACCTGTGCCATTTCTTACTAACTGCCTAACTTCATGTAATCTATTCTAAACTGCTCTCCTGATCTGTAAGTAAAAGAAGTGATGGTATCTGACTCACAGGTGTAATGTGAGGAATAAATGATGTAAGACACTTAGTATGAAGTCTGGCATATAGAATGTGTTCGGTAAATATTACTATTATTGTTGTTGTGTTTATGTCAGACCACCTTCATCATTTTCTTTGAACCTACTCAAAACTAGTACTTCAGTAGCAGTTCTGTTTTATGTGTGCTGTTTTATTTCACCAGCTAGTGACATAAATCCCCTTGATGACAAGGAGTAATTGTATACAAAATTGTGTACAAAATTGGGGATACAAAATTTCTGTGCCCACCTTATCCATAGTCAGAATGTGCCTGGGCAACAGTAGGCTGGCCTACCTAGGTGAATGTTTTTCAGGCCTTGAGACATCTACAAGTAGGCAGAGAGCATATGTGACAGATCAGATGTCAAAGAGGAAGTCAGCCTTACCCTGGGGTTAAACTCACTTCTTCTGCATGATGATTGGAGTTAGTGTCTTGCTTACCTAATCTCCAAGAATCAAGATATACATTTTCTTTAACCATAGGCATGGTGATTGCTTCAGACCTTTGAAGACTTGAATTTTGGCCTCCAGACTTTAACTTGCTCATGATAATGTATCTTAGATGCCTAGTTGCAAACTTGCCTATGGTTCTATTCGCTTTGAGAAAATGGCGGGGTAAGTTGTAGAAGAAGGAGTCAATGTCCTCTGCTCAAGTATTTTTGTGTGTGTATGTGTGGTTGTTATTGTTTTTAACAGTATGTGTCTGTTTTCAAGGAATTTCTAGTTAGATTATGTAAAAACACTCCTTTGTGCAACAAATTTAATCTGTTCCTTAGCCTCTTGCCTTTCACAACTTGAAGTAAATACTTGACTAAACATCCTGCCCTGAGTGCCCGGTAAACTATGTTATGTCAGCCTAAAAAGGGGAGAGGGAGCCAGAAATTGCATATATTGAACAACGCCCTCCTTCTATTTCCCCAGGATCTACATCCCAAAGCCTCAGAAATAGGAAAATCTTCGTCGAAATTTATAGGTGATGTTTACAGGGTGTTAATGAAGATACATAATTCATCTGACACTCCAATAAATACTGGAAACTAGAGGACTCTTGTAGGAATGTGCAAAGCATATATTTAAGATGTCTGTTTTACCCCAAGTTTTATACTACTTTAATCTGCTGCAAGTGAAATTGTACCCTCTGCTAGAGGAAATATTAAAAGGACTTGGAGACTATCTGCATTCCAGTATGGTTGAGAGAATGAAGCATCATTAAGCTAAATTTTAAAAAGTTACTGATGAGGGAAACCAGAGATAAGATTAATCTGAAACAATGTAGAGAATTCAAAGTAAATAAATCACTTGTGGGGCAGGGAAGAGAACCAGGATTATATTTAAACATGCATACACAAAATACAATTGCCAAAACCTCTGTTGAGACTTAGCAGGGCCAGATTTATGAATGAAAGGACATAATGTGTTCTTAAGATAGTTTAATGTTTAGAGAACAGAAAAAGTTTTATAGCTTCAAAATGTCTATAACTGCAAAAATCAATACAAATGCAGTGGTAGAAATGATGGGGAGCATTTGAACTAAAATAAGAGGAATAAAACAAAGAATCAGTGGTGTAGGAGGAGTATTCTGCAAAACTCATGCAGATAAATTAAGTAGGAAATGATTTTCAAATACAGAACACAGAATGTCTATATCATGGATGCACATGTATGTAGAGTAACTTATTTTGCTAAAAGTAGAAACTACATACTTAACATACTAACCATTTAATTTTTATGAGATGTTAAAGGAAGCTGATATTCTAGGCTATTTTTGATTTTAAGAAGAGTAACAAAAACCTTGGGACAAAGGGATCATGGCATCCTGGAATTCCTAGTAAAGAGAAAAGAAAGACAATATAAAACTGGAAGTACCAAATGTGGTGGGGCAAAGTGAAAGTAAAAGTACATCAGAATCACTCAGAGGGCATAGTAGACCACACATACATTTCTCTTGCTTAACTGATAATATATCTGAATTTCTGGGTTGTCAAAGGGCAAAAGAAAGACTTGAAGGTGAGTTCTTTCTCCCTTAGAGATTCCACAATGCCAGATCTCTCTGTCTTACTTATTGAAGCTACAACAAGCACTTGCTTGGAGATACCTAGCTTTAGATTCCTGTACAAACAAAATAAACAAAAGAAACAATGTCAGCATTAGGTTTTATTAGATTCCAATGGGAGTGCAAGTTGGAATGATCCACTTTTTGGACATTCAATACCCTTGGGCATTTTTAAACTATTCAGTAGGAAAAGGGAACCTTAAAACTGAAATACTGAATTTCTTTCTATGCAAGCATGTTGGAAGTCTTTAGGATCCTCTCTATTTGAACATATTTGTAACCTGATTTTTTTGGATCTATTTATGCCAGTTAGAAAATAAATTTGATCATCTACAAGGGGAGATAATTTGGGTAGAGGGTTGGTAAACTAAGTTTTGGACATAAGAATTTTAAGTTGCTGGTGGGGCATCTAGGCAGAAACGGAATTAGACAATATTGCCAAGGTAGAGGGCACATCAAGGACGAAGATAGATCCAGGATGAGCAGCTGTAGTCATTGTTGCTGGTGTTGGAATATCAAGAAAAGGAGAAAGCACAATTAGAGAAAAAAGATGGAAAAATAATAAAGCAGAGAAGGAACTAAAAGTGTATCTTGATACTGACCAAACATCATTGAGGAATTTGTGTGGGTAAAGAGGAGATGGAAAAGCCTGAAAAATAAAATTAAGATTATACATTCTGAGCATGAAGATTCTTTTAGAAAAAATGTAACTTTGCTGGTTTTAAAATCAGATGAAGCCCAAAAGTAAATAGATAGAAAAAAAAATGACTAAGAACAAATACAACAGAAAACCATAAAATTATTTTAAAAAATACCAAAATACGTAAATCCCAGGCTAAACTGAGGCCGAGAAAAGCAATATTTTAAAAAATAGTATACATGATTTTTAATGCTGTATACAAATCAAGAGTAAGAAAAGAGCTGATATAAGGCTTGGGGACAAAAATAAAAAGGCAGTAGGTAGCAAGAAAAGATCAACTTTTCCTCAGCTTCTATTTGCCTTTCAGATTTTTTGACTAGCAGATTCATTCTTAGACTCACTCCTTAGACTATGATCTTCAGTATAGTGACATAGCCCCTGTCCTTGTTTTGCTGTGTTCAATACCTTTATAATTGTATGTCTATACAGACTTTTTTTTTATAAGTAGAGGTGTATAGATATATCATTATATTTGCAAGCATTCACTATCTTTGGTGTACATTTCCTTAAATCCTTTACAGATCAAGGTCAGCAAGTTGATGTAGCTCAAGGTCACCAACACTGCAATAGCTTGAGTAATGCTTTGACCTTTATGAATATGCATCACACTTATTTTAGGCTTAATTTTTCTTTCTTTTCTTTTTTACATTAAAGAACTAAAACCCTAGGAAAAAAATCTGAGTTTCTTATTTTAGTCTGAATGTGATCCAAAGGTAGTTAACCTTGGAAGGAAGGTAGAAATGAAGACAAACTTTCCTTCTGGCCTCCTGATGCTTCCGTGTAAATTGATGGATCCCTCAAGGATGAATGCGACACCATGACAAGTGTGGAGGGAAAAGTTATGCTGAAGCTGACATTCACAGGGTGTATTAATTATAAGTATCCATCTCCCTAGTGATCACGTACTTTTTTTTCCCCCCAGGAAGCAAGCTGACCAAGAATTTCTCTTTTGATGGAAATGAAGAATGTTTGGAGTTCTTGTTAAGTTTCAATACATTTAAGTTAAATTCATCTTCACATTAACTTTAGAGATCTGCATATCTCAAACTTATGGATAAAAAGAGCAGAGGTGGAAAATGTGCTCTTTCTTTTTCTCACGGAACTTCACAGAACTTGGGGTGAACCCAAAGTTCAGTTAATCTGTATGGGTAAAATTTGGACTTTGGTGGCTGAAAGGAACAAAATTTCTTAGGATAGAATCAATATTTTTCTTTTTATTAAGCCGGAGGAGTGTTTCTTTGTTTAAATCTTGCATGCTGAATGTATTCATGATTATGATGCCAAAAAGGGAAAGGAAAGTCAACTGAAAGTGGCCATTATCATCTCTGTAAGGTGGAGCTTCAGAAACAGGTATTGGGTTTGTGAACAGACCAAAGGAGGGGCATGACCCTCCTGCAGATCCTGAAACAACCGTGCTCAGCTACCACCTAAAGACAAACAACTGTGTCTGGGAAATCCATTCAGTTTGACTGATGGTTATGTTGTGGGCCAAAATATAAAAAGAAAATGGTGTTGACAGTCTGTTCATGAGAAAGTTCTATGGCAACAAAATACATATGTATTTATTTAATCTTCTCTTACTATTTGGTGATGTGCAGACACAGCCTTAGGCAGCCCGTCTGGCTAATTCAGGTCAAACTCAATGCATTTTCTCAGCAGGTTCTTTTGCATGAGTTAAGTGCAGCTAACATTTCACTTGCACACACATATTTTAGTTCTTCTGATTTCCATATCCACTGGGGGTTCTGAAATTATTATTTAACTAAGTTGATCCTTTATTCCCTGAATGGATTTTTGTTGCTGCTCCTGTTGCTGTTATTGTCATTTGTTTGTTTCCTTCCAGGTAGCTTCACAAGAACAAAGAGCTGACTTTACTTATTTTGGACATAAAGTTTTTTTCTTATCTGAAACTACTTTGTAGCTTTTAAAAAAACTTTAATGAAAGCAATTATCTCAAGTGAATAAGCATATGCAAAAACGCTGAGAGGTAAGCCAGAAAGATATTTCTATCTTTTTAAACCAATCACTTTTCAGGTGTTTTCTATATATAGGAAAGAACATAAAATCTGCATGGATTTTCCTGAATTGGTAAATCGCCATTTTAGATTGCAGAGTCCTTATTCTCCAACATTTTATCTAACTGTCCATCATTTACTCATAGCTTTACTCATAGCACTGAATTTTGCTTCCTTTACAATATGAATTTTATAATGTTCAGAAGCTCAGGAGCTATTTTCTTATAGTCAAATGTTTTCCTACTGGAAAATGTCACCACATAGATAAGTCACAATAAGATCAACTCATGAATATTCACAGGGCATATTTTGAGTACTGTATTACCCACTTAATGCTCCTTTACTGGCTAGATCACCCATATTCCTGATTACTTTCCCTCATTAAATCCTTAATTGCTATTTAAACCAGGCAATTTTTCATAGTAATTCTTGCCCAGTCTAGTGTCCTGGTATTGCCACTTGATATTACATATGACACATAATTTCCTCTCATTCTTGAAATTTACGTGTGATTCATTTCTTGCTTTTTCAAGTAGGGATGTTTTAATTTTTGCTGAATTCATTGTCCATATTTTACCAAAGAGAGAACTACTGAGCTATTAGAAAGCAGATTTTAATGTAGAAGTTCTATAACATCCCCCCTTTATATGAAAAGACCTATGTTATTATAATCACTCAAAACCCTTCATTTCTCAATTTTGAATAAAGTATTTTGCACTTTGATATTTATTATACTTGGTGCTAGACATATACTTGTGCCATTTTGAGCTACTTTTACTCCCTAGGAAGTCATAGAAGGTAGAAAACTTTTTTCTTAGAATTAATATTGAGCTCTAACTACTACCTCCACTACTTTTGTTATATGATTTCTTACTTATTAGTTATTGAAGATATAAAAAATCTTTATTAAATGGTTGCATAAATACAACGTCATGTGTTATCTTTTTTTTTAGGCTTTGGTTGATGGTTTTGGAGGGGTAGGCAAACTTTGAGAAATCTTGGCTGTGTTGGTGAAGGCTATATCCATAGAGCTCAACTTGCCTGTAAACTGCCTTGAGAATGAGATACTTAAATTTTCCCTTTAAGCATACAGTTTCATTACATAGAATTATCAATGTTCAATCTGTTTTGACCCATGAAAATATGATTAGATATATATTTTCATTTCTTTTGAATATTTAACTGGTATGTACATATGATTGTGTTTATTTAAATAATTCAAGTAATTGTCTTCTATAAGGATGTTAGCATATTCCATAATCTCTATCTGGTTTCAATTCTTAATTCTTATCCTGAGTTCTGAGGGACAGTCTCTGCTACACTTTTTAATATTTTGAATCATTCTGGTTCAATGGGCCAGTCATGGCCCGATACTCTATGATGGGATTAGAAGGATGCCTATTTTAGTGTACTAAGCTTATTGTCTTATCCCATGAAAACATTCCTTAGAGACATAATAAATTAAAAGACACAGTTCCTTTTCATTTCTGTGGAAATAAGATTTTTAAGGATATATGAAGTCATTAGAATATAGCAATTTTGGTGTCAAACAGACTTCAGATTTGGCCCTGGAACTACCTGTTTTTTAAATGTATGTCTTTGAGCTAGCTACTCATTCTCTCTATGTCCCAGTTTTCTCATCTATCAAACATGGATAATAATACTTGTAGATAAATGCTAACCTTCCCAAGCCTGATCCCTTACAAAGCAGTTGGCTGCCTTCAAAGCCTCATGGAAACCGGTTATGGACCAGTGTCATATAACAAGGCTGAGGTCCCAACAACTGCTCTCCCTACCTCCATCCATCTTACCATGACAGGGGCTGTGTTTCTGCAACAAAGGATTCTTGTGTGATGAATCCTGTCACTATCTTAGCACATTGCATCAGTGCAACCACAAAGCTTGGACCCCAGATTGCAAAAGGGTAGGGTCTGGTTTTCTCTCAAATCATGAGCACTAAGCTCACAGGAAAGTGCTAGGGCTAAGATTTGGTCATGTTTTATTTCTATTTATATACCAGCCTCTAATGATAGCAGCAGAGGGGCATTCCTAGCATGCAGCTTACAGCCAACAGCCCAAAGACTGGGTCCCTCTCCTAGCTCTGCTAAGTCTCCCTACACAGCTCTAAAATGCAGTGGAGAAAGGCAAATCCACAAACTACTTCTACTCCTGTCTCCATAACTTTTCCCCAAAGAAAGATGCTCCAGCAGTTTAGAACAAAATCTTAGTTATCTAAAGTCACTTCCTTTGGTGTTTCAATTCATCAGATAATTGCGCAATTATCCACTTTGTTTTGTCTGTGTAGATATCCTGGCTTGAGTCCATTAACCAACTAATGTACGCCAAAGATGGGAAAATTAGGCGATTGTGCCTATGTTGATACTTCTGTTCTCAATCCAATGGTTTGTCTGTATCACTGATGTGTGCTGTCCTCATTAGAAGTTTTCAAATTAAATAATGTTTATTGTACCCAGGAAATGAGATAAAATAGGCTTGAATTTACTCATTGGCTCTTAGCTTGAAGAGGCATTGTTTCTATGTTGGGGACAGAAAGGTAGATGTCCCCTTTAATATTGGAAGACATTTCAGTTAAAAAAATTCAGCTTCTCGTAAGAATATAAAAATATGCTATATGGACCCCGAAAATATTATATCTCAAGCTCTGTTTCTCAGCTGGAATTGTAATACCATCAAGTCTACATTTCTCAGCTGGAGTTAATGGTGCCCCTATTTCATCAAGATCACCTCTACCTAGTTCCTGAGATGATATTGGACAAGCAGAGGCCTGTGTCAGTGCCTTTAGGTGGCTGACCAGTTGGTGGCACCTGATTTCTGGTGTGCTTCTATGCTAGGTAATCTATAGGATGATGGACTCATTTTTACTACATAGCATTCTTTCTTCCTTCTAATATTATAGCTCTGTATTGAACTCCAGCTTGGCTAGGGTTGCCTGCCCTGCTGCATGGGGGAATTTTGTGCCTAGCATGGAATGATAGAAAGATAATGGTCTTTGGAGTCAGAATCCACATTCTGTCTCTTACAAGTTGAATCACTATCTCAAGTTACTTAACTTACGTAATAATGTTCATTATTTGTAAAATATAATGTCCATCTCACATTCTGTAAGGGTTAAATGGGTTAATGTATAAAAGGCAGCAAGCACAGTGCTTGGCAGTTTTTGGCACCCAATTATTGACATGGTCATGCAGTAAAGCATTTATTATTTAGATCTGCATATGCCTAGCTTAATAATTACCTAGATTCCTTCTATAATGTCTACTTTTATATCTTTCTTATCTTTTTAGCTACTGAATGTCCCTTTTCTAGTTTAGTGCCTACATCATAGTGAGATTTTGAATGACTAGTTAGTTGGCTGGATAGGTGGAAAAATAGAAGGCTCTCCAGCCAAACCAGTACAAAATCTACTTCCTTTTTAGAACACAACTCACTGAACTGCTGACTATCCTCAGAGAGACCAACATTTATATTAATTAATTTCACCTTGTCCTTATCTTACTCTTTTTCCTGCATTGTTCCTGATGTTTCTTGTCCAAAGACAATGTGCATTATAACACATCATGGGGGTTTTCTAGAGATTAAGGAAGGCAGTCCTCTATCTTCAACTCCGGAAGACTAGCAATGTAGAAAACTCATGATTATCTTGACTAGAGAATTTTTTAAAAAATCAACCATTACTACGCCATATTTGGTATTTTTGACTATCTAATATCTTTAGTGCAGCTAAAGATACTTGGGGAGTATGTGAAGTACAGTATGCATACATAAATATTTTTGAATAAATGACTAAAAAGGCAGTAGTTTCTTACTTTTGCTTAGCATTTATTAAATGGTCACCTCAATCCCCATTTGCATCATCACCAACTAACTTTCTGACCTTGAGGAAGGAAGTTAGTGCTAGAACTGTCTAGGCCACTGGACAGAGCGGGACTTAAGAAAAAATATTGTGTAGGCTTCTTAGTGGCATGGTAGCCGGTGTTATTCTTCATTAATATCTGTTCCTCTTCTTGACATTGAGCTTGCCTGCATAACTTTTTAAAAACATATTGTTTGTTTTAGTCCTTTTTTTCTTCTAAGCTTATACTACAACATAGTATTCTTGTTTTCTCTGCATTAATGTGATCATACCATATATACTGGCCTATAATCTGCTTACTTCACTCAAAAGTAGAAAAATATCTTTGATATTCTTTTAAAAAATTATCTTATTTGAGATTAAGGGGTACATGTGCAGGCTTGTTACATGGATATATTGTGTGATGCTGAGGTTTGGCTTCTAATGATCCTGTCACCCAAGTAGTGAATATAGTACTTGACAGGTAGTTTTAAAACCTTTGTCCCCCTCCTCCCATATTTTGGAATTCCTGTTTATTGTTTTTCATCTTTGTTTCTGTGCATACCGAATGTTCAGCTTCCACTTATAAGTGAGAAAATGCAGTATTTGGTTTTTCTGTTTCTGTGTTAATTTGCTTAGTATAATGGTCTCCAGCTGCATCCATGTTGCTGCAAAGAACATTATTTCATTCTTTTTGCCCACAAAAGTTGATTTGACCAGTAGAATGTGAGCAGAACTGACCTCAGAACAAATTCTAGGAGTCAATGGAAGCTTGATGACTTTTTTAAAAACAAACCTTGTTCCTGTGATCATGAAATCATGGGTTGAGATGGTATCTTTATCAGCCTATAACTCTGAGTTACTACAATGATTGGAGTCTTCTGCTCACCTGTGATGGACATATAACATGTACAAGACATAAACTGTTTTTTTAAGCTACTGACATTTTAAGGTTGTCCAATATTGCAGCATAATTTAGTATCTTTTAAGTAATACATTGCTTGACTCTTCTGTCTCTAGTTCAAGTGTTCCAGCAATAAGCAGAACTTCCTTACTAAACCCTGAACAGCAGGGAGAGGGGGCCAGATGCAAGGGTGAGAAGTGACAGAAATAACTTCTGTGTCTTAACCAGGCTCAGATAACATAACACTGCCTATAGTTTTGTTTTAACAGGTATATTGGGATAACCGTAGCTTTTGCCTCCCTTCCATTACCCTTTCTATTCAAGAACTGTGTATTAATAGCCACTTGTCAGGAGCCCTAAAAGCAAGTCAAAGAAACTGTTTTGCTATGTGAGCCAATAGATTTGATGACCCATACTATGACAACACAAAACAACACAGTATGGGCCATTTCATTCCGCTTAGAGTACTTAAAAGTTAAGAAAAGTGAATATAGGCATAAGATATTCTAAAGTGTTTATGTCTTAAATCGTGTCACTTTAAAATATTTACTATTTTGTAATCAATGATATAGGAATTCTATTATTCAATATCCCTAATGTAAAAAGTTGTAACTAGTTGTGATTATTGTCACTCTTATTGGTTATAACAATTGCAGCAGACACCTTTAGAGACAGGCCACTTCAGAGAGCTGGACTTTGGACAAGCCTCTTCTTTCCCAGTTGCCTAAAGAGGAAGTGGTGGTAGTAATAAATGGTCTGAAAGGAGTTCTAGTTCTGGTCATACTCATGAAATTGTGAACTTAGAAAACAGCATAAGTAATATGTGATTATTTTTAAAAGTTGAGATATAATTCAAATACCATAAAATTCACCGCTTTACAGGGTGCAGTTCAGTGGTTTTTAGTATATTCACAGTGTTATACAACTATGACCACTAGGTAATTACAGAACATTTTCATCATCCCAAAAAGAAACCCTGTATTTATTAGCAGTCACTCCTCATTGTCCCATCCCCACAGCACTGGTGACTACTAATCCACCTCCTCCTATCCCTATGGATTTGCTTACTGTGAATATTTCATATAAATGGTACTATACTTTATTTCAATTTTAGTCTTTGCTTTTTATAAAAACTTAGTATAATGCTTTCAATGTTAATTTATGATGTAGCATGTGTCAATACTTAATCCCTTTTGATTGCCAAATATTAATTCATTGTGTAGAAACTGTATATTAGACCATTATCAGATATATGATTAGCAAATACTTTCTGTGATTCATTGTGTTACATTTGCACTTTCTTCATGGTGTCCCTTGAAGCACACACAGAAGTTTTTCATTTTGATGAGGTCTAAGTTGTGTATTTGTTTCTCGTGCTTTTGGTGTCGTATCAAAGAAGTCATGGCCTAATTCAAGGTCAAAAAATTTACTCCTACATTTTCTTCCACTGTTTTATAGTTTAACTCTTGCATTTAGATTTATGATCCATTTTGAGTTAATTTTTGTATATTGTGTATATATCCAACTTCATTTTGTTGTCGTTCATTTTGTTTTCTTGAAAAGACTATTCTTTCCCCCATTGAATTGTGTTGTCACCCTTGTTGAAAATCATTGACATAAAGTCAGGGTTTATTTCTGCACTCTAAATTATTTTTCATTGATCTAGATGCCTATCTTTATGGTGGTATAAAACTCTATGAATTACAATGGTTTCATAGAAAGTTTTGAAATATGGAAATGTGTGTCCTCCAACTTTGTTCTCTACCAAAATTATTTTGGCTATTTAGGGTCCCTGAATGCCGATGTAAATTATAGAATCAGTTTGTCAATTTATGCAAGAAATTAAGCTGTAATTTTGATGGAGATTACATTGAATCCCTCTATCAATTTGAGGAGGCTTGCCATCTTAACACTATTATGACTTTCAATTCATGAACATGGATGTCTTTCTATTCACTTAGGACTTTAATGCTTTTTATCAATGTTTTGTAGTTTTTAGTGTGCAAGTATTGGACTTCTTTGGTTAAATTTATTACTAATATTTAATTTTTTGATACTATAATAAACTGAATTGTTTTCTTAATTATCCTTTAGGTTATTCATTGCCAATGTATAGAAGTACAATTGATTTTTGTATATTGATCTTGTATCCTGCAACCTTGTTGGACTTGTTTTTGAATATAAAAGTTGAGTAATTACTGTTGTGGATTCTTTACAATTTTCTGTATAAATAAGAATATGTCATTTGCAAATAGAGATAGCTTTACTTCTTTCTTTTCAATTCCCTTTATTACTTTTCTTGCCTTGTTTTTCTGGCTAGTAGCTAATAGCTTCAGTACAATGTTGAACAGAATGATGAAAATGGACATTCTTATGTCCATTTTGTTGCTGATCTTCAATCATAAGTTCACAGTGTTTCACAATTAAGTATGATGTTGACTGTGGGATTTTGTAGATGTCCTTTACTAAGTTGAGGATATTCTTATTCTGTTTGTATTTGTTGAGTTTTATATTTTTAAGTTATGAAAGAATGTTGGATTTTTTTCAACTTCTTTTTCTGCATCTATTGAGATTATCACTTTTTTGTTTTTATTCTATTAATATAACATATTACATTGATTAATTTTAATATGGTGAACTAATGTTGCATTTTGGGACAAATACTATTTGGTGATAGGATACAAGCTTTTTTATATGTTGCTAGCCTTGGTTTGATAACATTTTGTTGAGAATTTTTGTGTCTATATTTATACTGGATATTGATCTATAGTATTCTTTTTTTGCAATATCTTTGGTTTAGTTATCAAGATAATACTGGCTTTAATTTGAGTTAGTATGTTTTCCCTTCTATTCTATTTTTGCAAGAGTTTGTGATGGATTGCAGTTAATTCTACTTTAAATGTTTGGTAAAACTCACCAGTGAAGCCATCTGGTCGTGGGCTTTTTTTTTTTTTTTTTTTGTGGGAAGCTTTTTGATGACTAATTCAATTTCTTAACTTGTTATAGGTCTATTCAGATTTTCTATTTCATCTTAAGTCAGTTTTAACATTTTTCTCTTTCTATGAATTTGTTCATTTTATGTAGGTCATTTAATCTGTTGATATAAAATTGTACTTCATATTACTTTATCATTCTTTTTATAGGCATTGAACTCTTTTTACTGAATGGTAGTAATGTCTGTTCTTTTATTTCTGATATTAGCAATTTGAGTCTTTTATCTCTTTAAATTGGTCAGCTTAGTTATAGTTTTGTCAATTCTGTTGATTGTAATTATTATCAAGATTTCTCCTTAGTAAGAAATACAGAGACTTTATGGAATATCCCTTATGACTGACTGTCAGAGCCTGACATGTTCACCTATTTCCTTATAAAAGTAAATTATTTATTATTATTAGCCAACCATTTTCCTAAAACAGCTCATAACTCATTATAGATGTATTCTTTGGGGATTAAGATTAAAACTTCTAAAATTATACTTTCAACTTGTATTATTTCTTGGGTTACAAATTTAGTAAGTTCTAGAAAGTAGACTTTCTTAAATTTGCCCCAACCCACTTTTTTAAGCTATAGATCATGCTATGTCCATTTCAAAAGACTAACAATATGAACTCTATTTTGATTCTTTGTATCCTTAATATCTGAGATTTGTTCATCCAACACAGATTTCACCTATTATCATTTTTATTGTTAAAGACTTTGCTTGTATTTCCCTTCTGTTTTGGTTTATGGACTTCAGTCCTCTTCTCTTAGACTATCCTCACACAGAAGCTCCTTAATCAGTCCCCTCGATTATCTGGAACTTTCCCATCATGTTATGTCTCCCTTGAGGACGAGTGCCCAGAATTGCATGCTGTATTCCAGATGTAAAAGTGCCGTGGTTTTGTAACAGTAGAGGATAATTTTCTTTGTGTTATGGAAAAGAGATTTCAGGCTATATGACAGTAGTAATTCTGTAAAGAGAGAGGTGGTAGGATGGTGGTTTTGAGATCTTTGAAAAGGAGGAAAAAGGTATCCTTTATTTTACCAGGACCAGATGCCTCAAATAAAGACAAAAGAACATAACTTTCTCTAAATTGTTTTATGACAAAGATACACATATTTTTTGGTGAGAAGTTTCTACTGCCAAAGTGTCCTTCTGGTGTCTGAGATCAGAGTCTGATTTGAAGTCTGCATGCTCTATTCATCTTAGCACTCTTTTTTGCATGACTTATGTTGCTCAGTAGCCAAATGGAAGATTAATCACAGAATTAGCATTTCCAAATCGCCAACAATCTCCTTTGCAGATGTGCAGTAATATTACTGAAGTCTGTTGTTTTGCCCTACATTTATTGTTAATAATTAATGTACATTTCTGGGTGAAATTATGTGCTATCACCATCTGGATAATTTAATAGAAATACTCAAATCTAAAGCACTTTATTAAATATGTTGGAAATAATCATCATCATTACTATAATTTAGCAAGTATCATTTTTTTCTATAAAAATGCCGGAAAATAGAACAATTCACCGTATGTTAGCTTAGTTATTGTTACTACAAACTCATTTTTTGAAAATCTCTCTCCCTATATTGTATAGCCAATGTGGGAATTAACAAAATGCAAAGTTCATAGATTAAAAGGTAAGCTATAAGCAGATTATTAAATTTCCAATAAAGAACTTGGGTAATAAAAGTAAACTATGTCAGATAGGTAAAGAAATTATTTTCCATCTTCACATATTACTCTTCTTATTGAATATCAAATGAAAATTATAGAGAGTAACAAGGATATAAATATTTGACATTTTTCTTCTTAGAACTAAGGAAAATAAATGATGTGAGGTAAGTTCTACTTTCTGAATTTATAAAGTGCCAATATAATAAAGAAAACATTTAGCCGTTTTACAGCTTATCCTTCTGATAAGTTTTGCTCTGAAGATTGAAGCATAAATGACCACTGGATTTTTAATGTTGTGTTTTTAATACTCTACTTATGTAATAGAATACTCAATCTTTATGTCAAAGAGGTACAGGTAAGCTGTCAGGGTTTTCCCACCCCACAGTTGATATTTCTCTCATCTTAAAGACTGAGATTCCTCCAAGTTGCACTTTTTCATAATTTAAATATGTTAAAACACAGCCTTTCCTCTTCTTTATATTTGCTCCCTGTGAAGACCAGCCAAAAGCAAAACTTAAGTAGCATGTTATCTAATTTTCCTTTGTGATACTCTTATTCCCATTTTTTTCCCCAGGTGTATATTTTGCCGTAAGTGGTACCCAGTTAGTCTTTTCAAGCTGTGAGTGGATAATGGTTTAGGTTATGATTTCACTCTGCATGGTTTTGAATTGTAACACAGCTGAAAGAAGGCTCTAACTGATCCATAAGCACGAATGGAGTGTGCACTAGTTATACAGTCGCATTTCTGTGATGAGGCGTGAACATAAGGCATAGTCCCTGCCCTTGAAAAGAATGATATAAAGCTGATTTTTATTAATAATCTTAGCTTTCATTTATTGAGCTCTAACTATGTCCTTGATGGTATTCGAAGCACCTTCCATGGATTATCTCTTTCAATCCTCATAACAACTTGGTGAGAAAGGAACCATTATTAACCCCATTTTACAGACTGAGAGAATGAAGCCTAGAGAGATTAATTTACTTGCCTTAAGTTGCATAAAAGATAAGTGGTGGAGCTGGGATCTGAATTTAGGCAGACCTACTTCAGTGATATTATTCGCAACCTTGGTTGTACATTAGAATCACCTGGACAATTTTGAAAAATTACCTATGATTAGACTTTTTTCTCCAAGGAGCTAATTAATCTGGGGTGGGGCCTGGGAATCAGTGATTTTTTTAAAGTCCTTTCAAGTGATTCTACAACATGGTTAGGGTTGCGAACTCAGGCTCCAGAAGCTGCACTCTTACAGGAAACTAACTTAGATTCAGATCCAGCCAAGAGCAGAGACATCTGTAATATATAAGCTGCAGCTCTATGGGCTTCCCATGAATGACTTGATCTACTCTCCTCCCTGTGAAGGGAGAGAGATATTATTACCTTTTACAGATAAAGAGACTCAATGTAGAGAAATTAAGCCGCCTGATCAAGATTTTCTAGCTAATCAGCAACAAACCCTGGATGTAAATGGAGTTCTTTCAACTTTCATATCCAGGACTTTTAAAGTAATACCATTGTGCCCATAAAGTAACAAATATTTATTGTATATCTAGTATGTGAAGTGTAATGTGCTAACTGCTGTGGTAGGGATGCATGAAATTACAGCAAATAACATCAAAGTTACATTATTAGGTGCTAAATTGTATAGTACTGACCAGGGTGCTGAGGCGTTTAGAGAAATGATTGATTAATGGGGACACTACTCTCAGGGAAAGCTTGGTCATAGGATGACTCAGAGAAAAGAAAAGGAAATGTTTACTTATAAAGAGAATCAGGTTGCAAAACCTGCTCACCAAATCAAATAACACAAATATCTAAAAGAAAAATAAATACAAAGTTAACCAAGATTACCAGCTTTGAAAAAGTAGAAAAAAACCTTTGTTCTCTCTCTCTTTTTTTTTTTTTTTTTGCTAGAGTCATGTTTGTGAAAAATGCTGAAGATTTCATTTATCTGGGGGACCATAACTAGATGACTTTCTTTTTTTTTGTTTGTTTGGTTTTGTTTTTAGACAGAGTCTTGCTCTGTTGCCCAGGCTGGAGTGCAGTGACGCGATCTCGGCTCACTGCAAGCTCCGCCGGCCGGGCTCACGCCATTCTCCTGCCTCAGCCTCCCTGAGGTATTTTTTTTTTTTTCCTGACTATGGTATAAGTAGTGCTAAGCCAACTAGAATGTGGGGCAACATGTCAGTTTTTGCTCCTGTGGCTTCATTGGTGAGATAGAGGCTTTTTTTTTTTTTTTTTTTTCCACTGGAGCTTTTTATATTTAGATAAAAAATTAAGTTCCAATGCCATTCAACTTAAGGGGTTTTCTTGAGCTGAATAACTTGCTTAGTTTTCCTCAAATTATAACACTGGTATCTTGACTAATAATTTGAGCCCCCATTCCTGTGGGTCTTTGTAGCATCAACTGTAAAGTAGCCATGTTTTTTCTTGAGGCTTAACACTTATTTGATACAATTACCATTTATTTATTTATTTATTCATTCAAATATGATGATTTTATTGTCTCCCTACTATGCACCAGGTACTATTCTAGGCAGTGAGGATTGACAGTGAACAAAATAAATTTCTTGCTTATGTGGAATTTACCTTCTAGTGCGGTTGACGAGGAAAGATAGATCATAAATAACAGGCAGTAAACTGGATGAGGACAAGGGCCTGGAGATAAATATAACAGAAAAATGAGGATAGGAAGAACCCAGAATAAGAACATGCTATTTTAGGGGAAAGATTAGTGGAGAAACAAAAAGTGGAGATGAAACATTTGTTTTCTTGTCCAGGAAAATAGCAAGAGAAAAGTTTCGAGGCAGAAGGCTTAGTACCTTTGAAAAATAGCAGAAAAACAGTGGTGGCTACAGCAGGGTAAAAAGAGAGAGGTCAGAGATTTGTCCAGTGAGATAGCGGGGAGCTCGCTTATGCAGAGCTTTATAGTTCATGGGAATACTTACCTTCTGCTCTGGTAAAATGGGGAACCCCTAGAAGAATTTGAGAAGAGGACAGTTATAATCAGAATTAAGTTTTTTAAAAAATTATTTGAGTTTCTATAGGTAAAAGTAGGGAGACCAACTAAAAAGCTATTGCAATGTTTTTGCTGAGGAATGATGATAGCTTGGACTGAGTAGTTGGGGGCAGAAAAATGGCTACACTCTGTTTTCTATTTCGAAAGTGAAGATAATGGGATTTTCTTTTGAGTTGGAGGTAAGTTATGAGTTCAAGAGAGGATGAGATGTTGACTTCAAGTTTTTAACCTGAGTGCATGAAAAAATGCAACAATCATTTTTAGTGATGGAGAAGGCAGCAGGAAGTTCAGGGTTGGGGTAAAATCGATATTATTACTTTATACAGGTTAAAGTCCAATGCCTGTTAGACATCCAGCTGTAGATTTTGAAAAGGCAGTTGGTTATAAGATTATGGAATTCAGTATAGAGGCATGCGATGGAAGTCAAGAACATTTAGATAATATCTGAAGTCACACACTTGGATGAAACTGCTCAGGGCATGTGTGTAAATAATAAAGATATCTAAAATCTTAGATGGAGCAGCCCAATGTTTAAAGTTAGGTCAATGAAGACAAGTTCAAAAAGGAGTATGAGAATGAACAGCCAGTGTGCCAGGATGAAATAAGGGCATTGTTGCAAAGGACAAAAGAAGAAAGGACTTCATAGAAAAGGGAGTGGTTAGTTGTTTTAAATGCTACTGATGGAAGAGGCCAGATCAAGGATTAACATACGATCATTGAATTTAGCAACACAGAGGTCATTGTTGACTTTAGCAAGAGTTTTTTCAGTGGATTTATCAAAGATTTTCAAAGTTGAATTACTTTGTAAAAATATGCATGTTACTTCCTTAAACAGGTGAATGAAACAGAGATCCTTTAAGAATCTTTCATTCTTTGAATTCTATGGATGAATCTTCTGAAACCTTTGATCACGGGTTTGGTTTTTTGAGTTTAGTAAGACATGTGAACTAACTTCCTTGACTGTGGAAAACTTTTCAAATGAATGAGATTAAATAATACACGTTGAAAAGATAAGAGGTAGTCAACCTGTTGTTTGGTCTGTATCACTTCAAATGACCAATTGAACCACATATTTGCCCACAATGATCCAGGTAGCCATCACCCAGATACAAATTGAAGGCCTTGAGAGAAAGGGTGTTGAATCTAAATATTTGAAGTGACTCAAAATAGATAGTTCTTAGCACTTGGATGATAGGGAAAGAAACCATATGAAAGGTCATCATTACAGAGCTGTCTGGGGTTTTTCCCACATGCATGATTAAGCTCTGAACACTTAAGTTATGAAAATGGACATAATTGCCAAAGTTGCCCAAACATGATATATTGGTGGGCTTGATGAGTACCTGGAGCACACACTAAGAGAAATTCTGTAGTTGTGGGGTTGGGATGCATTTTGGGTTGGAGGTAAGTCTGTATGATTCCATAATCTGTGCTCTTTACATTATGGTATCTTACTTTTCTGTGTGTGCAGAGGTTAAATGTCAAATAAATGGTTTGTCTTAAGACATATGAGCTAAATAAGTACACTTTTGCTATTTATTTTGATTTGTTTTTGATTTGACATCTGTCTCCACTGTATCTTCTCTTCCCATACCTAAGGCTGACACTCTATTTCATGTCTCTACAAAGGCAGTCATTACTGTTCATTTGATGTAAGTTTCTCTTATTCCAGGATTTTCATGTTACAAGGAGGTGTTTAACTTTTCTTGACCTTAGTTTCAGCTTCTTAGAATAGAAGTTTGTATTAGCTGATCTACATAATCTTTTCAGGTACTGCAAAAAATTACAAATTTTATGAGTATATGTTAATAAACATGAAATCATGCTTGTAGACATAAAGAGTGACTTGAAGTGCTTTCTTTCCCCATAAGGGCAAGAATAGCTCTATGATGGTGCTCGGTCACATTACAAAAGGAGGAGAAAAGGTTACACAGTATCTCATAATCCTGAGATGTGGTGTGTAATTATCCATTTGCAAAAAGCTTTCTTTATGTTCTGTTTCACTGGGAAAGTTAGAGCAAAGTGAAAATAAAGTTCTGCAATTATGAAATCTGCTCACTTGGCTCTTTCTGCTCTTCAAAGTAAATTCTGCGTTAATAGAGAAAAGTTAGTTAGTGTAACAGACCCCTAATTTGTTACCATTGTAATTATTTTTTTCAGACCCATTAACATTTGTGAATGAATTTAATGCTCAGGAAAATGACGATCTCAGCTGTGGTCTGATCCAGGCATGGCACCATCCTGCTGGGATAAGGACCCTTTAAATTGCTTCCAATGTGCCTAATTCTCACTTAAAGAGTGTCCTCCTTTCTATCTCTTGGAGACTTGCTTGCCTCAGATTAAATGGTCTGGTTATCATTGAGTAATCATTCATTTATCCAATATTTATTAAGCATCATGTGCGTGTTTTGTGCTAAACACCAGGGACAATTTGAGGCACAAGTCAGACCTTTCAGTTCTATGGAGAAGACAGACATTTAAGAAATTAGCATAAAGTGAGGCACATATTGTGATGGAGCAAATAAGATGCTATAGAAACAGGGTCTAAGCAAATAAAATACTATGGAAACAGGGTCTAGGGAGTCAAGGAAACTCCTCTAAAAGAAGTGAGGCTTAAGCTGAAATCTAAAGACGAGTTGAAGCTAGCCGTGTGAAATATGTATGCATATCTGCATTGTCTTCATGTGTATGGCTGTGTGACTGGGTGGAAAGAATGTAACAGGGATTCAGATAGGGAAACAGTATGTACAAAGGGAAGAAAATATGACAATACCAAGGAATCAAGCAGAACCCAATATTAATGGAGTAGATGGGATATTGTAAGGGGAAATAAAATTGGTGGGAGATGAGACTGGGAAAGTGAGCAGGGGAAAAATGAGAAAGAAGCTTTGCAAGATGTTAAGCAGTTTTGTACTTAATGCTAAAAGCAATGGTAAGAAGAAAGATAGAACTAGATGTGAGTTAAAGAATGTTCATTTATGTTTGAGTGTATATTATATATTTAATTGGAGGAGGAGAGGAGTTAGGAAGCAAAGATAGCAGTTAGTACATTCATGCCATCATCCAGGAGGAAGATAATGGGGTCTTGGACTAGGTCATTGGCACTGAGTCCTGAGTTTTTAGAGCCATCCAAGAGAGGAAACCACTCAGAGATGACTGGATGTAAAAAGTGAATGGATGGGAAGACTGAAGGATGACCTCCATATTCCTGGCTTGAGTAACATGGGAGGTGGTGTCAGGATGGTGTTGCCACTTACTAAGGTGGAAAACTAAAGTGTGTTGCTGAGATGGGGAACTCAGGAGGAGGATTGGATTTGGAAGATGCAGGGGGGTGGAAGTTATGAATTCAGTTTTGAATTTTTGACACTGAGGAGATTATGAGACATCCAGGTGGGAATGCCAACAGGCAGGTGGATGTATGGGTCTGGAAAGCAGAAGCTAAATCTAGAAGAGATTTGACAGTCATTTGTATGTAAATGCTCTCAGCCTTTGAAGCACTGTGATTGCCCCTCTATCATGAAGATCACCTTACCATGATTTATAGACATCTCTGAGTACTTCTCATCTCCTTACTCTAGAGAGTTCCTTAAGCTCAGAAACTGTATTATCTATTTTTTGTCACTCCCATTGAGTCTAGTATGGTGCTTTATACTGGGAACTCATTCAATGATTGCTTGCTAAATGAATTCTAAGGTCTTCCTGTGTCAGGTATCTTGGCCATGGCCCACGGAGCGCCATATCTTAGTTCTTCCTCCTATATCAAAGGAGAACTGCTCTCTCTTTTCCTAGTTTTAACCCTCATTTCTTCAAATAGTCTAATTCTCCCTAGTCTAGAGAAGACAGCACAAAGTAAAAAAGCACAATAAACTGGAGGTTGAGGAGATGTGTGGAACAGTATCAATTATGTTTCTTCTGACTTGGGAAATTGTGGACAAGTCACATTATTTCTTTGGGCCTCAGCTTACCCATCCATTAAAGAAATGGTCTACAAGATCTCTTATAACTTCAATAAACTCCAATTCAAGTTTTTCCTCTTTTCATCTGATTTGTCATTTTACAATTCTCTTATGTTCTTAACTGTGCTTATTGGCATTCATATTCTTAAAAATAGGGTCATTTATGGATTTTGTGAGTTTTCTCTGCTCAAATAAATTGAAAAGCTCATAGAGTTGTATTTTGTTCTCAATATAACCTTCAGCCTAGTACAATGAAAACCATAAGACAATGCTCAATACATAATTCTTGAATGCAATTGAATAGAAACAAAAGCATCACAAACTTACATGTGGTCACTCTGCTGGTGTGTCATACACACTGTTGCCTTGCATGGCCCCAACTCAACAAGGTGTTGTGAAATAGGAATTAAAGTCTGTTGTTTCTCATGGACTTGCATAAGGAAATGTTAGATGATAATCTTGTTGGGGTGCTATATAAAAATTTCTCCAATTTATTTTCTAAGCAATGGAAAACTTTTCTTCAAACAGTACTCTCATATCACATCTCACAAATTATTTAAAAATTAAATGAGAGTGGATCTGTTAATAGTGATGGAACGTGGAGCCCTCTTACATAACTTTCTCTTTATGCCTCTTTCTGAACATTGAGCAAAATTCTTACATTTCTGAAGAGATTAGGTGTTTAAGTTTCTAGCTTTTTGATTCTATAATTCTAATTGCCAGTGTACATACATCTCTCTGTTTCTCTTGTACTCAGGCTTAAACCAGATGCTGTGAGGGCTTTTAGAGATGAAGACAATATAGTCCCTACCACTATTTAGAAGGATAACCTGACTCACATGAACAAAGCAAGTAGAGGATCCATAACAGCACTGTGTATTTTTCTGTCTATGGAGGCGTTGACGCAGGTAATCCTCACAGTCTCTTCCAGTTTTCACATTCTGTGACTCTTAAGTGTTAATGATGTGGCCATGTGCATTAAGTACTTTGAGCTCAGGAGTAACACACTGTATAAATTCAAGGACCATTACATGCATAATCACAGCTGCCAAACAGGGACAAATTCCCTATTTGCATGATATTCTCAAGAAATCCCAAGGGAAACACTGTTTAGGAGCAAAACACCATTACCACTTTTTCAAGAAAGAAAGAAGAAAGAAAGAGAAAGAAAGAAAGAAAGAAAGAAAGAAAGAAAGAAAGAAAGAAAGAAAGAAAGAAAGAAAGAAAGAGAAAGAAAGAAAAGACAAGACAGAAAGGAAAACGTAAGCCTCTTCTGCTCCACAAACTCTTTCTTAACACATTGCTGCAGGTAAATCATTCATTTGTCATTTAGGAAAATATCTCAAATAATATTCTCCCCTGATTCAAATAAAACTTCCAATGCCAAGCCGTGCTTTTTGCCAGAAGTGTGTCTGCGTTAATTGCACACCTGCATTTTCTTTTAAGTAAATTGCATGGTGCCCCCCTCTTTGTGCCCCTCACAAAGCAGGAGCCCACCTGTCTGGAGGCTCTTTGGGCAATGAAGGGCTGCAGGAAAAAATTAGTCATCCTCTTTTCTTCCTTGCGACTTCTTTGACCTTGAGATTTCTAATGGCATCTCAGACAAAATGAACATAATCTAATGGACAGCGGGGAAGAGGGAACGGCTGGGTACATCTGTCGTATTACTGGGCTGTCTGAACAGTCAATGAAGCAGGGCCAAACCATAAAAGGCCTGTTCAGTTTAGCTCCAGGGTCTGCAGAGAAAGAGCACAATCATTTATCTTTATTTACTGAACTCTGCTTTCTGTTTAAGGAAAAAAAAAATTGACAGGTTGACAAAAACTCGCGTTGGTGCTGCCCGCTGCCCAGAGATAAATGTTATTTGTGCTCTAGAGAGTCAAGGACAGCTCATGATGCCCTTTAGCTGGTTTTAGTAGGTGCCTAGTGTACGGAAACAAAGATGCCAAGGCACTTGGATCCTCTATCCCCACCAACACCTCCACATCTTCTCATAGAAGGATTCCTGTAGATGGATCCACAAGAAGGAAGTTTTGCAAGGAATGGGAGGAAGAATTCTTCAAGGAAGCAAATCAGATCAGAAGAATTCAGGCAACAGAATCAGAGAACAAAGTCAGCTGGGAAATGTTGAATATCCCATAGGTTTCTTTATGATGATAGATCTATCCATGGCATCCATAACAATATACACTGTCTTATATTCATAAAAGAAAGACACAAATAATGCATGTTCCAGCTGCAGAGAGAAATTTCACAAGCAGGAATTCAGAAATAGGCCTTTAAAGTTCTGTCCACTTATGTCTCTTCTTTGCCAAGTCATACCACTCATCCTTTTAGTGAGCTTACCACACTTTTCTTAGTATACTCATTGCCAAAGTGGGATTCCTGTCACTCAGGGAATGTGTAGGACTCTTAACTGGGAGAGTTTCTTTTTTTTTCCCCTTCTTTCCTTTTCTCATCTCATCCTTTAAAACTTCTATTTGTTACGAAGATTTTATAGTGTATATAATGTGTTTGTATAGTAGTATCTGATGATGATTTCTAAACATAAAAGAGGAGCGATATGTGCACACAAACTTTTTAAAAATGGGAAGCACGATGAAATAAATTCAAGACCATTTCAGAGCATTAGTAATGTGCTATGTCCATTAAGGTTAATCCCCCAGGCTAATTACCTAGGCTGAAGTCGCCTTGCTGTTTATGGAGATAGTTTTCCAGAAATTCTGGAAAATATTTACCTCTTTATCTTCCCTAATTCTTGGAATAAATAATTGTGCACAAAATTGGTAGAGCATCACTCTTTATCTCTCTGTTAAGATGACTCATGTGTATTTTAGTATTACCAATAGTCAATTTTTGAGATAATTTCTGCACTTCTCCCCTCTCTAATGCCATTCACATAAGACATACCAAGTATCTTATGGGACAGGGGTTGAATTTGGAGACTGAGTGGGAAATATGTAGGAAAGACTGAGGCTTGGGGTTTCCTGCATTTGGGCCTAGGAGGGTGTCTTAGGAGAGTAGAAGAAACCTTGCATGACACAGTGACTCTGCTTTGGGGCACTAAAAGGGACAGCCCAGAAGTAGACCCATCCATTTCCATCCTCTTGACTGGCTTTGATGTTCTACATTTTAAGTATTTGCTTTAACTACATCAAAAAGGACACGAATGTGAGGCACAGGTACGTACCTGCGAATAATCGTACTGTTAGAGGATTAAATGGAGGTCTGAGCAGAGGCAGGGGACCAGCATTCCGGAGCCAGGATTGGTTCTGGATAGCTCCCTGCAGGGTATGCTGCAGCAGTGATTGGAGTTATGGCATCCCGTTGGAGGGATGGGATGAGTGGAAGCAGCAGAAAAAGGGTGAATTCTAGATGTGCCAGAGGCTGAGCAGGGAAGCTTGAAGAGAAGTTGGAAGGGATTCTACTGACACAAAGCCATGATCTCACTACATGGGTACAAATGAACCAGACAGACATAAGGATATGAACGGAATGAGAAGAGGCCACTCAGAGGGTGTGAGTGGAGAGAGATTAAATGATAGTGGCCCAGAATGTGTTAGGTTGAGTTTACTACAAGTGATCCTTGAATTCTTAGCAGTGGGACTTGGAGAAGAAGGCTGATACATTCTGCTGAGTCAAAACTGGCAGCTGTGGAGACCAGTAGGATGGGAAAGGTTATGTCTCTAAAAGCCACTTTAAAAGTTTGTGATCCATAGTGTGTGCTGGATTGCAACACTGGCACTGTGTCAGATTTTGTCATGTTTAGGGAACTCACCTTGACTAATGCAGTGGATGGGGCCACCAGAACCTGACGCTATAGACCAGAACCATTGAAGAAGCAAAGAAGCCATTTATGAACATAGGCTCAAGTGCTGTAAATGTCACAAACCCCAGTAAGCCTGACTTCCCTTGCTCTAAGCTGTTTGCTAAAATTGTTGACTAATATTTTCTACCCCCTGAGGAAATAAATAATCACCAGGATTTTTTAATTGTGTTAACTAAGAAAGCAATAAATTTGTAATAAAGAGTGTAGCTATATATTTCATCAATTTACTTAATGGTTTATGTAAATAAAAAACAATTTGGGGGCATTGTGATGAGTATTTTCTGAAAATGTCTCAACTAATTATTATTTTCTATTCATTTCATTATAATTGAATAATTCAACTCATAGCTGTTAAGAATAATTATTTCAAGATATTAAATATAATCACCATTTTATTCCTTGATATTTATTTCTTATGTTATTTATATAGTAATTGTGCACTAGTATCTATGAATGGCTGTATACTTTTTACTCATTAAAATCAGTTCCAAATATGAGTTTTTGTTTCTATTTGATTTAAGAAGCACTGAACATTTAGCTGTATGCATAGAACTGTGCTAGGTACTGGAATTGAAGGTGTAGACCTTGTGGGCTATCAAACACAACACTCTAGGGCATGCTTTGTATAAAAATAAACCCCAATGTCTCAGAACTTAACACAACAACAGATTACTTCTCTTTCATTTCAGAGTCCTGTGTAGATCCTTTTTTTTTTTTTTTCTTGGAGACTATCTTCCAGCACTGAGTTAGAGGTCCAAAGTCCTTCTCTCTCTAGATTCTGCTATCTTCTACACAGCATCTCCAAGGTTTCTGTGGAGGGAAAGAGCTAGAGGACTGCATAGGATGAATTTCAGTGCAGATCTAGAGGTGGCTTCATTGCTTCGGTGAACATTTTATTGACTAAAGCCTAATCACCTTTCCAACACACACTACAGTTGACCTTTGAACAATATGGATTTGTATAGCATGGGTCCACTTATAAAAGGATTTTTTTTCAACCTCTCCAACCTTGGAAGCAGTAAGACCAACCCCTCTTCTTCCTCCTTCTCCACAGCCTACTCAACATGAAGACAATGAAAATGAAGACCTTTATGATGATCCACTTCCATTTAATGAATAGCAAACATATTTTCTTCTCCTTATGATTTTCTTAACAGTTTCTTTCCTCTAGCTTACTTTATTGTAAGAATACAGTATATAAAATATGTAACATATAATATGCAAAATACGTGTTAATTGACTACGTTATTGGTAAGTCTTCTGTTCAATAGTAGGCCATTAGTAGTTAAGTTCTAGAGGGGTCAAAAGATGTACACAGATCTTTCACTGCACAGAGATTGGTTCCCCTAACCCCCATGTTGTTCAATGGTCAACTGTACTTTCAGTCTTTCAACTTCTTTTCCAGTACCATAAGCTCATTAGACATGTAATCTGACTTCCAAGTTCTAGCAGGCAACAGTTCTACCAAAGTTTATTCACTGCGTAATATGCATAGCCACATTTTTGTTTTTTTTTGAGATGGAGTCTCACTTTGTCGCCAGGCTGTGCAGTGGCACGATCTCGGCTCACTGCAACCCCAGACTCCCTGGTTCAAGCAATTCTCCTGCCTCAGGCTCCCGAGTAGTTGGGATTACAGGCACCTGCCGCCACACCCAGCTAATTTGTATTTTTTAGTAGATACAGGGTTTCACCATGTTGATCAGAAGGGTCTCAGTCTCCTGACCTCATGATCTGTCCACCTTGGCCTCTCAAAGTGAGCCACCATGCCTGGTCAATCTTTTTAACCTCTTTTTCTTTATTAGTTTTATTGCCTCTAATCATTCAGTTTCTAAGTCAGTGACACACACACATTAGGTGTTTGTTATAGCATCACCTGACTTAAAGGTACTCATGTCTGTACATGAGTATAGCTATGCTATAATTCAGTAACAAATAAATCCTAGAATTAGATAGAAGGGACAAGCAAGAGTTAAAACTAGAAATGACTGCAGGATCCAGATCACAGTAAAGTGAGAAAGAGTTGTGATTTAGCAGGAGCATGCAGGCATAAAACAAGGAGAAGTAGAGGTAGAGTAACCATTTAGGAGATCATTGTTATAACGAGAGAAAGAATAGCACGGGTCTAAACCAAGGTTGCGTCGAAGAAACAGAAAAAAAGAGAGGCATCTGAAAGATATCCTGAAGGAAGAACATCTGGCTTTGTCGAAAAGTAGTCAATCAACGTCAAAGGCACAAGTCCTCATACCAATTACTCAATTTACTCACTGTTTAATTTTCTTTATGCTTTGAAGCCTCCCTTTGAGGCTGAGATGATCAAATCTAACCTATAGATTTACAAAGTTTATTTTGAGAATCAAATGACATTAAGTAAATGAAAATGTTTTGTAAACTATAAAATGTAATACCAGTGTTAGTTAAATCATGGAGTGAAAAGAAAACATTTAAACATGCCTCCAAACCTTTGTGCTTGAGTAACTATGAGAATGTTGCATTCCTAACAGGAATGATTATTGGAAGTGGTAAGTGGGACACGGTGATGCATTTGGTGTTGGCCATGATAAATTCAAGTTTGTCCAAATCTTCAAGTGGATATATATGGAAATGGCATGTCATAGTTGGGTTCCCCAGAAGAAGGCTCTGAGATGGTGTGCAAATGATTTTTTAAAGAGAATCTAGTAAGAAAGTGGGGAAGTAGCCCAGAAAAAGGGAGGAAGCCAAGCAAGGCTGAGATTTCAGGCAAGGACCTGTGAAGGATAAGCTCAATCTGATCCAGGAAAATTCTGGATTTTAAGTCATGCCTCTGTGTTCATTCTACAGGAAATGAGGGTGCCAGGCTTTCATATTCCAGTAGCTCTAGTATTCACTCGCTGGCTAAGAGCTTAGGGAACACAAACTTCTAGGTTTGCCTGAATTGGCAAATTTACTCTAGGAACCAAGTATATAAATGCAGCTAAAGAAGAGCTGCAGGGGTGGTCAGCTGGAATCAGTAATGTCGAGGCTAGAAACAGCAAAAGGAAGATGATGGAATCTGAGGGAAGCTTCAAAAGTGCAATTTTTGATTTTAGGAGGAAGAGTGAAATGAATAATCTGTTTTTTAGTGTCTAATAAGTAATCAAAGTTAAGGGTTCTATATATTAATGAAAATGTATAAGTATATCTGAGCTTTTAATTATTATCTCTCTTTGCATATTTTTCCAATGTATAGACACTAATATTACCCCTATTCCTGTTTTCTTCTGTTGCCCTTGGAGATCTGCAGACAGAATTGTGACCCAGGCAAAGTTATCTTTCATACTCTACCATACCTTTGGAAAGATTTTCCCATCTTTTCAACTGTTATTGTATATATGACCCTCGCCCTCATGTTCTCCCAAACACGACAACACCCTGTCTTCACTCCCAGTGATATTCTAAACAAATTCATATGAAGTTTTACGTGTCTAATAGAGATTAAGTTCTTTTTATCCTCTCATACTCTTCATCCTTTCTCCTGACCTTTTAGAGATGTTATCATTTAATAACAAATTTATTTCTGATGGTAAAATTTTAGGTAATACCAGATGACTATTGAGTAGATTTAAAAAAAAATTCTCACAGAATAGGTTATTTTTAGGGAAGATTTTGTTATCTCCAGCCATAGCTCAGTACCAGGGAGCACTAAGTGAAGAGTCAAACAATTTATGAGAATAAATATGAGATGCCGAGAAAGAAGACACAGTGCTTGAGCATAAGGAAGTGAGCCCCACTTTGCAGGGTCCTCTGTTTTTCGCACTGGTATACAGAATTTTTAGACGTGTCTTGAAGGCAAATTTTCTTGCACAGTCTGCTCTCTGAGCCCTTCAAATGAGGTTAGAAACTTTTTTTTCCTCCATGGGAAGTGAGGATTTATGTGGCAAAATTTTTACTTCGTAATTAATTTGGACCCCAACAGCGTGGAGATGGTGAGAAAGGGACCCTATTAAGACTTGATATTAAGTTAATAGCAGGTGACAGTGACTTCATCAAAACCCCTGTGCAAAACATCAAGTAGATGGAAATTTCAGTTCTGGTACATTACTCAGCTGAGTATCATCAGACCTGCTTACAAGGGTCATAAAGATTATTTGTACATTAAAGAAGGGCCTGTCCATCAAGCTCAGTATGAAAGAGAAGCAGCAAAATTACCATTTCATCAAATGCAAAAAAATCAGTGCAATTCTTTTAATGAAACTCCCAAGACTTCAGAAAATTCTCTCTGGCTATTTTTCATTATTTCTTTAGACACACACACACACACACACACACACACACACACACACACACACACACACACATTCTTGCCAGGAACATGAGTGAGGGTTGAAGAAGAGCTGGGACAGATATCACTAGCATTTCCATCTCTTCCATGAAAAACCACCAGGGGAGGAGGAGATGAGAGGGCAGCAGAGAAGATGTCTATTGTGATTTACACAAAATTTGCTAGCTAAATAGGTGGCAAGGGTCATTTGATGAAATGGAAGCTTGGTAAACCTAAGATAAATGCAAAGAAAAATCACAGTCTATTTGGAATATTAACCTCTCCGATTCATTGCTGTATAAGGTCATCATGTATAGATCAGGGATCAGGAAAAAAAGCAGTTAACAGAAAATGTCTGAATAAAATTTCTGCCAAGTGACAACATTTTCCACTGTATAAAGTTAAAATATAAAAGGGTGATTCAATTAAGTGTTCAAGACATACAGGAGTTTGGGAGGTCATGAGACACCCATTTATTTGGAATGCTTTGAATAATTGGTACAGGAAGACTGGAACATCTTCTAGTTACAATGGATTGAGCCCACAATTTAGCAACATTTCTGTATCATCTGAATAGGAAGCTTAGAAGTTCTGTACAAGGGGATTGCAAGAGGAATATCTTTGTTTCTTACCTCTGTCCCTTGTGCCTTCTATAAGCCAAAAGGACATTTCTGATTAATACAGTAATTAGATGGTTATTAAAAACAGTAATCATCCAGAAATTATTTGGTGTCATAAACATCCCATGCAGAGAAAATATTTGAACATTTAAAAGCTGAACATTACAATTGGCTTCATATGCAAGAAGCCAAAGGGGACATGAAGAATTTTTAAGTTCCCAAGAAAGCACTCACATTAAGAACAAGTTGTCTTCTTGATCAGGTTGGAAGTTAGTGCCACACATCCTATAGATTCCCCTTGTGGCTAGTAGCAATGAGCCAATTTCTATTAATGAAGAGCTCATGTTTACGGCTAATATAGAAGAAAATGTACTGAAGGGGGGAGCTCAGTCATTCATTGGAGATAGCTTAATTCTGGTTATTTCCAATTTCAAAGCTTGTTTTAATTTGGTATCAAAGTAATCACTCATTCCAGCTACAGTCAGAAATAGCTTTTTGTTGTCAGTAGCCTGACAGATTATTTAGATGGAACACCATTTTTTAAAGCTCACCTGCTCAGCATCTGTGATATGCTCACTAGTTCCAAGAGGTATACCTTTCAGCCATCAAAGCCAGGCTGAAAAGAACTTAGACTGCTTTTCTGCAGTTTTCTGAGCCAGCGAGTATGTTTTGTGACTCACATTATGACTGAAACTCACATACAAAGAACAGAATATGATGGGCGCAGGGCTGAGAGGATGGGGTGTCCGTGGGATTTCATCATTTGTGCCAACTTAGTCTTACAAACTTCCTTGCCTGTCTTCATCATAGGAAACATTTATCTGGATTTTGCTACAGATACGATACTGCTCTTGCAGGATTTCCTGGGGCTTTTCAAGTACTGGTCCATATTTCTTTGATTCATAATTGTAATTTATTTACAATGTCCAGGAGAATGGTCGGCTCAGTGTGTTTGGCCAGCTGCATGGAAGCTCAGCAAATGATGCTGTGCAAATATTAAACACTATTTAGAAATTAAACTTTGAGGTGCATATTGAATTATGCAATTTACAAAGTCAACTCCACCACCAGAAACTTGGACATTACTTTACATTGTTTTATCAGTGATGAAGTAATGACATAAAAGTTCTTAGTGCACAAATTGGTTTTAAAGCCATGGAGACTGAGGAACACAGGAAGCATATGGAATTTCAGTCTGTGGAGAAACTGGAAAGGCCTCAGGACCACTTCCACAGGAGAGGAAACTGCAGCCTTGCTTGATTGACATAGTCATGTTTACACAGCTTGGTAAGTTTACAGCAAGGATTAGAATCTTGATTTATAGCCAGGGTTTTCTTTACATCTGCAGAAAAACAACAGTTGAAACAGAGATGGCAGGACAAGAAGAGACAAGAAAAAGAGATTAATCTGGGGTGTGGTGGGAACAAAAGGGAAAAAGAGAACTAGGAAAGGGCATACTTGTCTCAAAGACCCCTTATTCCTTCTCAAATTTGTTATCTCTGTTGACCTCCTGGAAGCTCCAGTTTTTATTTAATTAATTAATTAATTTATGTATTTATTTTGAGATGGAGTCTCACTCTGTCTCCCATGCTGGAGTGCAGTGGCACTGTCTCGGCTCAATGCAACCTCCACCTCCCGGGTTCAAGCAATTCTCCTGCCTCAGCTCCCAAGTAGCTGGGATTACGGGTGTGTGCCACCACTTCTGGCAATTTTTTTGTATTTTTAGTAGAGATGGGGTTTCACCGTGTTAGCCAAGATGGTCTCAATCTCCTGACCTCGTGATCTGCCTGCCTCGGCCTCCCAAAGTGTTGGGATAACAGGCATGAGCCAGCGCGCCTGGCTGCTCTAGTTTTTAAAAGCAAAATATAGGAAGAAGATGGCCAGAATAGTTAAAGCTGATTGTCACTAAAACCACAACTTTAGGATATGCTTTCTGAATGTATACAGAAACACTAGCAAACCCAAAAGGCAGTCCCCTCATTGTCACTGTGTAGCTTCCAGGGATGATAATGAAGAATTGTCTCCTCTTTATTGCTTTGGCTGATGCTTGAGTCTGTGGCGCCAAGAATCTGGGTCTCTCAGAGCCAGGCAGTGGGAAAACAATATATTAACATTAAATAACGGGATCTCTGGTGTCCGGATTGCAATGGAGAAAGGGTTAACTAAGCTGGGGCTTTGTATAGCAAGAGCCTCCATAGATAATCACTTGTTTTTCTAGGCTGGGAGGGGGAGAAAGGAGCCTTGGGGGAGGAAAACACAGAATGCACTAATCTTATGATAAAAATAATGTGATTCGTATACCCGCTATCTCTCCCCACCAGGTTTCTGCTCTCTCCACAGAACACCATAATGCCCATAAATGTCAGTTAAAATAAAAATTTCTGTTCCATTAAACATGTGAAAAATATGTTGCATTGCATACTGTTGGTTTGAGAAATGCATTTTTATCCCTCCGAACCAGTCCATACAAACTGTGGCTGCCACAGGTGGCCGTGTGGTGAGCTGGGGCTGGCTTTGCAACATCGTCAGGCTTACCAGAGCCATATCGCATCCAGTGTGCACCATTTGGGTCTGCACACTACATCAGCCCTGCTCAGGTTCTAAGGTCCACAATCTGGCCAACCTGCTCTGAGAGTTTACTGTGGGTTTATGCTCTCCAGTGAAACATTCTCTGCTTTTGTTTCTATTCAAAGAAGCTTGAACCATGGTGGTGACTCCTAAGGCAGGATGGAATTATCATACACAATGTGACATCAAGAGATCACAACTGTATTGGCTTCTAATCCACTTGGCAACAGAATTGGCTGTAATAATTCACTTGAATGTAGAAGGTAAGGTGGGAACATCAGTCCACCAACCATTTAGGAAACAGTACTTCTCCATCCACCACATGCCAGGCATGGTCTGAGAATGCCACTTGGTTCCTGAGCATCTACCGCGTGCCAAGAGCTTGGCCCTTGTGATCTCCTTCATTACTATTTCCCTCATTTTTATAGTAAAGAATCTAAGTCAGGAAAGATTTTTGGCTAGGGTCATGCTCTGTGATAAAAGATGTGTCTCCAGTCTAATTTCTCACTTTACCCCTCTCCCAAGGTGTGGCCCTTCAGTCACAGCAGTGCACTAACATAGTCTTCTGTTTCTCAGCTCCAGGCCTGTGTATGAGTTGCTTCCTTTCCGTGTAACTCCCTTCCATATGCCTCCTCTTCTTCTTTCCTTAATTGCAATTCACTTCTCCAGATTCTTTTGTCAGAGACAAATATCAGATTAATAAGGAAACTGATGTTATTCAGGTTACTGCAACAGGGACAACCTTTCAGATCTGAAGATCAGAGTGCCTCAGCAGTGTGACTTTGTGTTAGACTTTTACAGAAAGGAGTGGACTAGTTACAGGTGGGATGATTTGCAATGAAAAGTCTCAATTAGTCAACCAAACAGGAAATGTTTCTCCTTTCATGGGGACAACATTTAACCTCAGCTACTAATTCATGAGAAGAATAGAAAGCTGGAAGGTCAGCATCTGGCCTTTCAGCAAGTTCAGGCAAAATAAGAAAGGTCTGTGTTTGGAGTTGTCACAGATAAACAAGAGAGTTATTTGTGAATCTTATGGGGAGTTGTGAGAAGAGTGGACCAAAAGTCTTTTCCAAGTCATAGGGGAAAGGGTGACGCTTTGGCTTCCCAGAACACGAAAGCGTGGGGAGATTTCTTAACCATTGTCTTTTTATGGCTCAGGTGAAGTTTAACATTGTCACGTTTCAGCAATTATCACTCCATACCTTCAGTCGTATCAGTCGTACCTCCCCTCCTTATTTCCAGAACACTCTGGCCCTACATCAATCATCACTCTCATTACACTATATTTACCTATGTGATAACTTGACTGGCTTTCCAGCTAACCATCAGTTTGAAGACCATGATTTTCTCCTTGCCATTGTATCCATCCCCTTAGCTCAGTACCATGGCTACTCGAGGCTTTCATTAATTGTGGATATAGATTGGGTAGATTTAGACCAGTAGGGAGGTTTCTGCGGTAAGGGGAAAGTTTGAACAAAGGCACAATGAATAAGCCTGACTGGTGTGAAGAGGATGGATGAGAAGGAAGTCTGGAGAGCAAGATGAACCCTGGACTCTGCAATGGCTCCTGGTTCCACAAGGGCCTCTTCAATGCAATCCTAAGTCAGGGCAGAGGATGCCCTTCAGCACACTGATTTTTTCTGGAGCTTGGTCTTAAGTGTTCCTGGGCTGTCACTTTCACCCTTTCCCCTGTGGCTGATTTTTCTGCCGTTCTGATGACATTGCTGTCAGAAAGTTTTTCCTGAAAGTTCAGCAAAGGGAAACGGAGGGTATTGTATTCCATCTGTAGTGCATGAATCCCTTCTCTTCTCTCTGCTTCTGCCCTACTAATATTTATAGATATCATTATGCCTGTCTTAGCTATCATTTATCCAAGCGGTAACAGCACCAGTCTTTCCATCTTGCTTCATAAATCAACCCCTCCAGCCCCTGTAATCATCTCCTTGCTCCTCTCTGAACTCTCCAGGGTCTGTCAACATCTTAATAAGGTACCCCAAACTGAAGGCTCCTCTACACCAGAGTACCAAAGCAATTACCTGATTATTAGGGGGATGGCATATGCTAAAAAGACACTTTGGCCTTGTGGATGCCATTGCGGAGTTCAAGCTCATTTCTCACGTGTGGCCACTTCTCCCCTCCAGAGGTTTTCTGTGCAATTGCTATCACCGCACCTCTTCTCTCCCTACCGCCTGCAGCCAGACAAAGGTCGGAAGCAGGCGGGATTTGCTCTCAGCCTCTCCTCCTCTCCCTCAGGGCTCTCCCTTCTGGAGTTCATCTTTGCATGTCTAGGCCTTCACAATGACCCATAAGAGGATTTTGAGGACTTTACTTTCTCTCTCCAACCGCAGGCTTTTCCCTTTTTCTGGTCATCTTTCAAAGTGTATGAATTAGGTCTTAAAGTTGGGCCTACCAGGTCTACCACACTGACCCAGTGGGTAACTTTGGGCAAGCTATTTAACATCTCTATGCCTCAGTTATCTTATTTGTAAAATGAGAATAAGAATTATATCCAACTCATGGCTTCCTATGTGAATTAAAGGAACAACTTATATGAATAACATTCAATTAATTCTAGTTGCTGTCATTGTACTCTTCCTCCACCCATCCTCCTTCTTTTCTGGTTCTTTTTTCTTTCCCCCTTTTTAAATTCATATCTTAGGTGGGAATTTAGGCCAGTGATTCATAAATGAAAGAGGAAGGAATGTATTTGCTCCAATTACCTAGGCATGTTAGGACAAAGGTGGCTTTAATGGAGACTCATATATTTTTATTTTCTTTGAGCATATGAAGGTGCGTTGTGATGATGTAGAATTTCATGAAGACACCCTTATTGACTACATTATTTACTCATTTTTATGATACTTGAAACAAAAAACTAGAAAGAAGAAGAAAGAAGACCTATATGAGAAACAAATTGACATTTCTTCTGAATGTCAGTGTGACAACCATGATACTATCTAGATAAATTAAGTAAGAAACCAATGTATTTGGTGATATTAGAGAACATTCAAATACATGAATTGATGAAGATTATGTGAGAGGTACCTTTATAGCATTATCAGTCAGAGTCCAATCAGCAAAACAGAGCTTTCTCCAGGTAGGTCAGTAGTAGAAATTTATTTCAGGCTACTAACTGTAAGAAGATGCTACTATCCCTAGAACTGGAGAGATCAAAGGGAAAGGTGGTGTTATCAGAGACTAAGGGTCAGGGCTGTCTGACCGAAATTGAACCTACACTAAGAGTTGAAACCAAGGACAGAGGCCACAATGTTGAAAATGGTTGCCTTGGGGCATGAGGCGGTGAGGCTGGGGGTGTGACCAGAATTTTTCCATTTTCCTTCCATAACATTTACCATCAATGGCTGAACTTAGTAAAAAACTGGTTGGCAAAAATTGTGAATAAGCCCCTGTGATACACCCTAGAGAAGGAGAAGGGCAGAAAATGAATCTGAGAGCAAACAGGTGAATAGACAGCATAGCTAGAATTAGCAACACAATATCTCTAATACCAGCCAATAACATGCCCAATAGGTTAGAGGATTATACTAATGGCTAAAACTTTCTCCCATTCCTCTTCATCACTACCTCTATACTTACCTCTATTTCACAGATGAAATGAAAGGTGCTCTCCCCTAAAGAAAAGCAAGTTCTGCTTATTAGTCAGGGTTCAGTTAGAAGACAGAAACCTACAAGTGATTTGACCAGACAAAACTTAATATGAAGGATTGATAAGTATGTAAAAGTGATTCACTACTAAAAGGGATGAAAAAGAGCTCTAGGGGCTAACAGAGGTGGCAACTGTAGAAAGCAACTAACTACCACCTCTCAGGTTGAAGAAAAAGTGATCAAGAAGGAACTTGGAAATTCAGAGGAGGACTCCTGAGGCTGAGACCCAGCCTTCTCTGCCCAGATGACAAGGAAATGAAGTCCTTTGCAGGGTGCCAGCTTAAATATCACATAGTAGGACAAAAACAAGTTGGGGTTGCAGCCGAGAAGCAATTAATTAATAACTGGCACACTGCTGAAGCTTAGCAATTTAGATTTTCATTGGCAAAGTTTAGGTCTTGCCATTTTACCATTTAAGCCATCATCTAGGAGTAAAATTCAACACAAATACAAATCTATACATTTGATTAAAGCTGTAACTGCAGGCAGCAATGTGTGTGGCTTTGGATATTCTATATGAGTCTTGAGAGCCTCCACCAGGTATGATTCATTACACTGAAAGGCTGCTAAATATGGAGTCTATCTTGATTGAATCAACAACAGGAAATTCCCCTGTCTGTGGGCAGAATGTTCAAGTAGAAACCTAGGAAATTGCTTTCCTCTCCTCTTTGCTTATCTAAGCCAGATCCTTGCTTTAAGGTTCAATTGAAATCCTATCCCCCTCCTCAGTTTGACATCATCTCTCCCTCAACACAACTCTTTTTTTTTTTATGGTGTTTTTATTCATTACCATCCATTTGAAAAAACGTAGTTTGCTCTCTCTCTCTCTCATTCATTCATTCTCTGTCTCTCTCTCTCTCGTGTGTGTTTGTGCACACATGTGTGTGTTCAATAAGTTTTCATACACCAATCTGTTTGCTGGTTCCTTAAAATAAAGCACCTTGTCCCGTAACTGTCATGCTCAATGGAAGTGGCAATCTGTGCTTTGCGAATTCACTGAGTCTGAGAGAAGTTTATGAAGAAGATCTGATATTTAAGTCTGAGGCACACCTTGCAAGTGATTTGAATTTTGATAGAAAGGAGTTTGTGCATGTGTGAGTGTACACACACAAGTGTGTGTGTGTGTGTGTGTGTGTGTGCTGGTTGTGATGGTAAGGTGGTTCTCATTTCTAAACAATGAAAGCAGAGTGCATAGTGGTGAGTACAAGAACTAAGTTACTGGGCTGGAGATGAGCAAACAAATAGGAAGCAGACAGGAAACTATGGTGCAAAAACCAAGTATTTGAGACATGTTCTTGTCTCATTTTCCCTCTCAAAATCATAATCCAGTGCTTTTGCATATCATACCCTTATGAGTGCACAAAAAACCGCTTTGATTAACAGTAAGCTCCATTCAGGAAATTATTCTTCTTATTCTCAGCACCCTGAGAAAATGCTCATTCTCTTTGTGCTGTTTGTTCTTGGTGAATGAGTGTGAGGAATGAAAGATCTATTAGGGCATCTCTTCACCATCTTTTCAGAGTTGCATTGTTCCCAGAATAATACAGTCTCTTCCTCTGCCTTTTGTCCATTCTGGTTTTTTATTTTGAGAGCGGAAGCTGCCTGCATTTAGTTGGACAGATTGTCCTTTACTAATAAATCTCAGCATCAGGAACTGCTTCTTTGTACTAACTCAGAATTTTAGCCTTTATTTTTCTGAGACTTATTATACCAAAATGTACTTTCTCCAGTGTTATTCATGAACTTTCCTATTTTGACTTTTGCTCAGAAGTAGTCTCTGGGAAGATGGACCACAGTGATTATTCCAGACACTGTATTCAAACACCCAACACTGCTGTGACTTAGGGACATGGTGTATTTAAAAGCCAAATAAAAGAAAGCTGAGAACCCCATTTATACACTATGACTTTGCCCTGTCTCCGCAATCCCCATTGTGAAACAAATTGAAATCTCTTTCCTCCATCTCTACCTCCCTTCCCATTTCCCCAAATATTTTCAGAGTATCTATTATGCACCATTTATTCAGAAAACAAAGGTAACTAAAATTCAATCATAAGCCTTGGGGAAACAGGAACTACTATTTATTGAATACTGACTATTTTCCAGGAGCTTTATACATTCTAACTAACTTAATTTTTGCAACTGGAACAGATTGAAATTATTGCCATTCTACAGATGAAGCTCAGAAAGTAAAATAATTGGCCTGTGACAACAAAACCTGCAAGAGTCTGACCCGGATGACAACTCAGTTACTCAGAAAGACTGTGTTTTCTACTCTTTTGTGGCCAAGGCCCCCACGTGGATATGGACATGGTCACTTCATAGCACGATGAGTGTTGGAGGGAACAACGCATGGGAAGAACACTGAGGAAAGACATGAGCTGTGTTTATTCTTTTCTTTTCTTTTTTTTTTTTTTTTTTTGAAACGGAGTCTCACTCTATTGCCCAGACTGGAGTGCAGTGGCGCTATCTCAGCTCACTGCAAGCTCCACCTCCTGGGTTCACACCATTCTCCCGCCTCAGCCTCCCGAGTAGCTGGGACTACAGGCACCTGCCACCATGCCCACCCAGCTAATTTTGTTTTTGTATTTTTAGTAGAGACGGGGTTTCACTGCATTAGCCAGGATGGTGTTGATCTCCTGACCTCATGATCTGCCCGCCTCAGCCTCCCAAAGTGCTGGGATCACAGGTGTGAGCCACTGCGCCCGGCCGAGCTGGGTCTTTTCTTCTTTGTGGCTCCTCTTGGTGTTCTTTATAACTCAACTTTCCTTTGGGGAAAAGATTGGTAAGAGGGTTGTCCACGGTCAACAAGGTATCTACTAACAAATAGGCACATGGCTGTTCTTCAGAACAAAAATAGATCCTTTGTCTGTATTTTCAGGGTGCCAGACAGGACCAAAGAACACCTGTTGGAGGAAGATTGATATGGACTTGAAGTCAAGAAGCTCTTTTGATAGTTAGAGCTGCTCTGAAAGGGAATAGACATGTGAGAAGCATCCAATTCCCTACCACCAGGAGTGTTGAGCAGAGCCCAGGCTGGAGACCACTATAGTTCCTTACAGGTCTAAGGCTCTGTGATAAATAAATTCACATTCTCCCTCAGGCTCCACTCTTGAGCTCTCAGTGGGTAGCAATAACTTTTTTAGTGATCATTTATTTCTTTTAGTTGATGGTTGAAACCAAGAGAGTGGAAACTCTAGGAGCTCCAATTCTGAGAACGATTTTGTATAGCCTAGTTTAAGAAATCAATACAATACTCTGTGCTCTCACTAGAGCAAATGTACAAGGAAGAGCCACTGACCTAGCATTTGTTAAATGAGTTGGAAGTGTGTTTCTGGTTGTATTTATTTTAAGATGGATACAGAAATTATGCAGAGTAAGTAATTGTAAACGCTGCAAATGGGCTAACATCTGAGGCTGCATCCAAGCAATACCAGCTATTAAAGAAAAATGAAAATAGTTTCTCAGATAATACCAAGTATCTTGAAATTTGGAATTGAACTTAAAAATATATTAGTATTTTACACTGTTGTCTTAGCTTGAATTTAGTTCAATTCAATTAGTTTGCAAACACTGAATTGCAATAACTAATCTAGAACTTAATTCTAAAAGATTTGGCCAAAAAGAAACAAAACCCTGCAGGAAGATTCTAGGGTGGCAATTTTTTTATCCCTGTGGAGGCAATTTTTAAATTAATACTATTGGCTTTTGGTCATTTTTGACAAAAATATATTTAACCAACTTAGGCATAAAAGAAAAAAAGTGGTAATTTATTCCTTAAATTAACCCACCACTCTTCCTAGATTCCTTTCAACTCCATTTTCTGGGGAGTAGTCAAGGATTTATTCAAAATCATGAAATGCCTAAAATAATCATTATTCCCTCTATTATAGGTGGTATTATATCCGGGGCCCTCTCACTTACAGGCATGTCTGTCAAAGGGACCATTTTTCAGGCTCACAGTTCCCAAGACTCTGTCACTTTCTTACTTACAGAGGCCCAAAATGGAAACTATTTTTCTTTTCATTATGAGCTGTCACTTTTTCATCTTGGCACTGCAATGATAGACTTTCATTCATCTTCTATATTACCTTTCCTGAAACCTCTGACACAGACTGACACAATGCAAAATGCAGGAGATCTTGGAGCATACGTTGGCAATTTTGAGGGAAGGCAGCAGCTTGTCTCACTCTGTTATTTTAAATATATATTGAAAATGCCGAGATTCCCGGTGTGGTACACTGGAAATGCTAATGTTCTGTGCTCTGTTTTTACGTGTCCTTATAATTTGGATTTGCTCCTGGCCCCAAATCAAAGTGAAGAGATGGCAAAGGGCAGCACAGTTGCCAAGACTTTACCTGAGTGGAGGACAAAAGTAAAAATTTTGCTCAAAATCCATGAGGACAAGAGGCAGACAAGGGGAATGAGTGTTTCTCAATTTTTTCTGAGACTGTTGAGGAAAATAGTAATTCCTGTATGTCTATTGGGCTGCTCCAGTTACAAAATAAGTTCTCAGGCAAGTCCACCCCTCCTCACAAGCCCAGATCTTCACCAAAAGGGCAGTAACATTTCACTAGCCATTATCAGGGTCCAGAGGCATTTCTGTGACTCTGTTCCCAATAGGGTGGGTCCAGAACATTCCTCATGGCATTGGAGGTCAAAGGCAGAGAAGGATGGGAAGAATAAGAAAAGCCAGATCCAATTTAACCTTACTGTCCTCAAACCATCCTGAATTTCAAATCTACTTTTTGTTTATAGATATAACTATCCAATGTATCAAAACTCATTGTCTTGTTTAGATTCTGAAGGTGTCAAAGGAAAAAGCATCTCACATTCTTGATATTCACATTTCTCATGGGGTGCAGGGTTAGCTATAGAAGAAATTATGAAAAAGGTAAAGTTTGGTATTTCTTGCTATACTTCCAATGAAGCCTTGATATTTATTGGATCGTGTGAGCGTGTGTGTGTGTGTGTATGTGCGCTTAGGATATTTTTATAGCAAAACAAGCAGGATAAAAACAGTCACAAGGAATGGGACGATGTCATCACAGCCCATTGTCGGCAAAGAAATTCTCATATCTGCTGTTAAGTACTAAAATCTGATTGGCTAAGTAAGTCCCAGTTACATAAAATCTCATCAAGTGTCATCTCATCTGGAAGTCTCACTTTAATTTCTCAGACAGATATTTGTCCCTCAAGTAGATTGCAAGCTATTTGTAGTTGAGCATTGGATTTTATTTAACATATATCCCTAGTGTTTGACACAGTTCTTGCTTAATAAATGCCTGCTTATTGAATGAATGTAGCGGTAAAGGTTCTGACGAGATTCATTGCCCAGCTCTTTTTGATTCTGACCTGAGACATGAGCCGTTAGAGGTGTTTTCATTTCACCAGAGGAGGGCTTTGCAACATGAAGTGAAATGCTTTTAGGCTGGGCATGCCCTCTTGAGTACTTCACAGCCCTCAACATTCCCTTTGTGTGTTTAGTATTATCTGTCTGACTCATTTAAGCTCAAAGTTTTGAATTCTTCCATTCCTTTTTGGACTGAGCTTCTAACACTCCCCATTTCATGGTATTTTCTGATCCCTTCTTGTTTCTTTTACTTGGGGTAACTTTTTTCTGAACCTGATAAAGACTAAAGACATTCTCTCACTTATATGAGGTTATGATCAATGTAAGCTTCCCCTCGCTTAGCTGCCACTAAGCCACGCATGGAGAATCTAGCTCACCCCATACCTGAATGGGCAATCATCTTCTGTGCACTTCTAAACCCAACCCTTATAGCATATTGGAGCATCATAGAAGCTGAGGGTTGAGAAGGTATGAAGGATAAACAGAAAAAAAATGAAAAATTAAGGAATATCCAGTGCAAACCTGTTAGGCTCATAATGATAGGGAAATAGTGACAAGGCCAGAGGCACAGAGAAGTGTGTCTGGAAGAGACCTCCTCCTGTGATACAAAGGCCAGGATGATCTGTCTGCAAATAGAACAAACAACCAGAGATGTGCCGCATAATTATAGAGTCTCAAATATGGAAGAACTGCCCAGTGCAAACACAAGTAGTGACCATGAACATACAAAGGGTAGATAAGGATGCAGCTTTTATGATTTTCTATACTGGACTGAGTTAAATGACACATTTCACCCACCCAGTTGAGCATGAGTTCTTCCTCTTCTGACCTTTGAGAGCAATTGCATCACTAGCTCTCATTCTGACAATGAATCATGTTATGTACTTTCACATCTCTTCATGCATTTTTAGGACTGGTACTTACATCTCTTGGTATTTTTTTTCTTTCCAAGTTTCTCTGTAAGAGGAATCATGGAGTGAGATAATTCTATATGCCTTTCCATTAACTAAATCTTTCCATAGGACACTTTTTCTTTTCTATATATAACATGTGTCTGAATGTTCTACTTCCTATTTCCAGAGCTTAAGTTATTGTTCCTTTTTCTGCTCCTCTCAAATTGTCTTTTCTACCCATCTCAATCTTTCTCTCTCACTGGGCTAATCCAACTAGACAGTCTCTAGAAACAGCAACTATGTGTTGTGTGACTCTCTGTTGTCTACTAACTGCTTCCCAAAGAAGTTCTGTGGAACATTGTCTCGTTAGATGATTAAAGCACCCATAGTCAAAGATCTTTGTAAAATGAAGCTTGATGGATCTTTTTCTTGGAGAGTCCCAACATGTGTTATCCTATTAAAGGTCCTGAGAAGTCTTTCTGCCAGGAAATATGTTTACATCACTTAACGAAGAATTTCACAATGGGTTTTGATAACAAAACTCTTCTTCATGTTATTGCTGATATTCCAAAAAAATAAGTTTCTTAAACAAATCTTTGAGCTATAATTGCTCTACATATTCATGTTTTTTTCAGTAACTTCTTAAATTTTTCTTATTAAGTTTAGTTTGGATGTTTAATTCAGCATAGCCCAAATAACTCTGAAAAAAACAATAAAGTTGGAGGACCAGTACTGTCTGGTTTCGAGACTTCTTATGAAACAACAGTGTTCAATACAGGGTGGTATTGAAGTAAAGGTAGATAAGAAGTTTAATGGACAGAATATAGATTCCAGAAATACATGTAAACACATATTAATAGGTGCTTTTCAACAAAATTACAAAAGCAATTCAGTAGAAGAAGGTTATCCTTTTTAGCAAATGGTTTTAAAACAAGTAGATATCCATTTAAAACAAGTAGATGAAGACATAATGGGATATTGCAAAATAGAAAGAAAAATAAGGAAGAAAAGAAAAAAGAAAAAAATAATTTTAATTTATACCTCTGTAGCTTATGCAAAAATTAACTCAAATGGATCTTAGACCTAATGTATAGCCTAAAACGATACAATTTCTAGAAGACAACATACTGTAAAATTGTCAAGACCTTGGGTTAGATTTGTTACTAAAAACATAATTCATGACATAAAAATATTGATAAAATAAAGTATACCCAAATTAAGAATTTCTGACCTTCAAGGACATGATAATAGAATGAAAAAGTAAGCCATGAACTGGGAGAAAATATTTTAAAATACAGATCTAATAAAGAATTTGTATTCAGAATAAAGAGATAACTCTCAACCTTCAATTGTAAGGAAAAAAACCCACCGAATAAAAAAATAAAAAGAAGATCTGGATAGATATTTTATCAAAGAAGATAAATGGATGGCAAACAAGTATGTGAAACAAATGGTCAGCATCATTAGTCGTTAGTCACCAAATCAAGTGTTTTTCAATAAGTAAATGGGTAAACAAACTGTAGTAAAACATATAATGGTATGCTACTTATTAATAAAAGAAATGAATTATTGATATTCACAGCAATGTAGATAAATCTCAAGATGCTCATGCTATGTAAAAGAAGGCAACCAAAAAATACTGTGCAATCTCATTTATGTTTTGGGAACTTGTTTATAATGCCCAAAGTCTGAATGTATTAAAATTTCCAGGTTGAACTCTTGGTGTAATGTTAGGAATGCACATGTGTGACATTTTTTCTTTCCTTTTTAACTGGAAGAGGAAGAGTTATTCTCTATCACCTAAAAAGCAGTTCAAATGAAATGGATATTTGGAAGCTATGGAGTTTTCCTGGTAACGGAAGGGTTTATTACATAAATGTGAATAGAGAGGAGGTATGCCTTTATATAACTAAATTTTAAACTATTTTCACATCTGATGTACTTTTTGCTCCCTATAACAACCCACCTAGGACTTCCCAGTAGCAGAGCAAAGGTTACAGGTATAAAATTTTGGCTCACCACAAGTTAACAAGAATGACTTAGGGACCACAGGCTTGAGAACTCTCCAACAAATCCTTTCCTTCTTTAATGTCCTAACTTTTGTAAACAGTAGCCTGTTTTCAATCTGTCCTGCCTTTTGCTGTTCTGGGGAAAAGAATGAACCCAAACAGAATCAAATGGGAGGTTTCAGAGTGGAGAAATAGTTGTGAGGCATGTTTGCACTGAAAGCCAGGGTTGCAGCCATGGAGGTGTGCCATTCAGATACCACTTCATACAGAACTGACCACTTGGCTGCAAGGAGTGCAGTTACCAAACATCCTTGAGTTGCAGCACCATCAGGATCTGCTTCCCTTTTTGAACCAAGACCACTCTCTTCATACGTAGTACCCAGCCAAGAATTGAGCCCAGCAGAGGTACTAGGGCCTTGCTATTTCTGCCCAGAGAGGGACCCCTCTAAGGGACCAACTTGCTCTGAGCTCCCCTTGGGTTGGCTGAGAATTTGTCAGATGTGTATCATGATCTGAGGCTCTCCCCCTGCCCCATTCTTCTTTCACTGCTCTTTTCTTTCACAGGCGCATCACAATCTGAAGGCTTTACCTAATTTTGTCTTCTATTTTGTTTCATCTTCCATAGGTGTTAGTCTCCCAATAAGTTGCTTGTACTCTTAGCTCAGTCTAAGTATCTGCTTCCCAGAGGATGCAACTGACACATCTGGAAATTAGGAACATATCATTGTTTAAAGTAAGGAGATAAGATTTTTCAATGATAGCTGAGAATTGAGACAAAAATTATTACATAAATGAAAGGTACATTTTAATGTGCAAATGAAAGCAACACTGACTATCAATTCTCTCCTTAAAGGCTTCTGATGTTTCATCATTGCCCACAGGATGAATACAAGCCTTGTTAATCTCTTTTTATTCTTTCTAAAATTTCTCAACAATATCTTTTTATTCTTCTTTCTAAAATTTCACTTTCACTCTCCTTTATGTACACCAGCTGCTCTGCTGAATTTACATGTTGACATAGACACAGAATTTTGGAACTGTAAGTGGCAAAGTTTATATTATTTTCTTACTTATTTTATAGATAAGAAAATAGATTCACAGAGATCCAACTCATCAAACTCTCCCTGCTCTCAACACACTCTCTCTCTCTCAGTGTGTTTTTGAGTTTAAGCCAGCTCAGCCCAATGGAACATTCTGCAATGATGGAAGTGCAAGTTCTGTATTTGCTCTCCCCAACATGGTAGCCACTAGCCACAGTAGCTATTGAGCACTTGAGGTGTGGCTCATGTGGCTGAATGAACTACATCTGACTGGTGGCTGTGGAATTGGATAGTGCAGGTCCAAGTCTTCACTCATCTTCTTTCCTCTCATCTATGCTTCCTGTTTTGGCTTGTTTTTGTTTTTTTAAATTCTACTTGTTGAAAAACTGTTCTTCTTGGGTCTAGGTAATTTTTCCTTAATGAGGCCTCCCTGGATCATTTTAGCTTACTTAGAAAAGTGATATTTTTTGCATTAGTATCTTTGTTGGTATTATCATTCAACACATATTCAATGAGTGCATGCTACGTTCAAAGAATTGTAAAAGACACTTGCTTTTAAAGCTCTTGTGTAGTCACTTAACTTTTTAATCTATAATATAATTTGTAGCTTTTAGATCACAAATTATTACTCAATTCCATTTGTATTTTTAACATGTCTCATAAGTACTCACCTGCTTTCCAACACTAAATTTTAAATCTTATGAAGTTGAAGATTGTGTGTAACCATCTCTTGATTTGCACAGAGTAGGCATCTGATAACTATTTATGTTAGTTGACGTAATAGATAAATTATGCTAATACTAGTAATTGATTATAAAGTAATATGAGTTATTGTTCTTAAAAAACTAAGACTGTAAGTTAAAATCCTATTTCCTTGCTATCTTATTGACCAGGCAATGAGGAGGGAGTGACTTCACAATGAATAGATAGAGGGAAGAAATATAATATTGACCATCTTTATGGGATTCAAGTTAAAATTCTGTAGTGGAAGGTAGTAATTTGCTAAATTCTATTCCAAAGGATCTTATAAATGTTGAAACACCTGCTGTTTTTGAAGTAGGTAGAGTGACAGAGTTTTCTAGCACTATGGAAGAGGAAGAATTTTGCCTAAATTCTTATTTGCCATTTCTAACTATATTAGTTATCAAGGAAATGTAATTTTCTCATTGTACATTGTACCAGTCATGGCATAATTGGTGGAAAGCCATGTATGGTTTCCATTCCATAAATTGTTTGCAATCCATATGGATCCACAAAATTAGGGAAATCTGGTTAACTTAGTTTTCATGCCTTCCATGTATTCATATTTCTTTCTTCAAGTCTAAGCTCATGTATTACTGTCTGAAGAGTTTTAAATATTCAGCTGTATTTTTAAATTTCACAAATGATTTAGCAGTTTGTGCAGGAATTGACAGATTCCTTAAATATATCAATGTAAACCTAATATTTTTTAAAAGGAATAGATTAATTTGCCTGCAGTAAAAATGTCCTTTCTGAAGTATCAAATCCACTGGGAGATTGGGAATAAGTGGTAATATAATTTATCTGTACATTGACAGGAGCTAAATAGTCAGGATGCTTTAAATAAAAGAGGTCTGTGCCTGCTCTCCTCATTTTCCAGCCTAATCAGAAAAGAAGAAATTATTGGAGAGGCCATTGTTTGGTAGAAAACATTTTCCTTTTGCTGCCATCTATTCTTCCTTTAGGGTCAACTCAGTTCTCAGTGCTCTAGGAAATTTTACCCATCTATTCACCTTGTGCAAAATCTTCTTTCCTTGAATTTCTTTGTTATATATAACCCTTTCTATACAATTTCTTTACTTTTTGTTTTCTTTAAGTTTCTTCTACTCGTGTCTTCCCTTCTTTCTTTCTTTCTTTCCTTCCCTTCCTTCCTTCCTCCCTCCTTTCCTTTCTTTCTTCTTTCCTTTCCTCCTTCCTGTGCCTCCCATGTCTGCACTCTCAGTTTAGATGACATGCTCCCAAAGTGACAGGGAAGAAGGTGTCTATTGTCTGCTTAACATGGGGTGAGTAGAAAAGTACTTAAACATTTTGTATCAATTAATTACTTGATCTTTTGTAGAAACTTCTCAAATCTCTCGAGCATTCTGTGCTTCACCCAGTTAATAAAAATTTGCATAACTTTAAGTAGAAACTCCTATGTTGTGTATGCTCCTATATATACCTGAATCACAGGTAAGCAGCTGAAGGCAATTGCTTCCAGGTGTTTACCAGAGGAAATCACTGCCTGTCAGTAAGCCAGTGACAGATTGGAACTAATTTCTCAAAAGAAGTAATTAACCCTCAGGAATCTTGGCGATGTATTCTAGGGGAATAAATCTTTCTCTTCACTGTCGTCCTTGATAATGTTTGTTCATGCACAAACACACAAATCTAAACCCACACATTCTCAGGGTCTTTTCAGTTTGTAACTATATTCATTATTCAGGGTCACTGGCCCTAATAGTACATCAATAAAGATTCACTGGCAGAAACCAGATAATCTGTACTTGAAAACAATAAAGGCATAAATAAATAAATAAAGTAATAAAGGCTACATGCAACTCCTCATTAGGATGAATCTAGAGAATTCAATATTTTCTGAACAATGCACTTTGATCATATATTGGGATTCTTTTATAGGTGACCACATGTTATGTCTTCTTTCCAGGGTGCTCAGGTAGGAATAAATCTCAGGATTAAAAGGAGAAGAGGAAGCATCCACCTCTCCATCTAAGTCAGTCAAGCCACCCCAGTTTCCATGCAGTAACCTATAGAATAGCATTAGATCTTGGTGGCTTTAGCCACATTCGACAGGAGAGTGAATAAAAATTAACTTCTAGCAAGATGATGTTAGTCATGTTTTCATTTATAAAAAGCAATCTTTTGGGGGAAGAAAAACCTTTACTGATTCTGTTATGTACACTCTACTGCAGGTGAGGGGCTGGGTGGCAAACATTGCATTCATATAAATAAACCTCTACCAACATAATGAATGAATTAATTAATGCAAACACAAATAAATGCATTGCATATTTGTTATAAGTAACAAAGTTGTATTGTTTTTAGTTTATTGAAGATAGACTTCTGAGACTTAGAAATTGGTCTGTGATGGTGATTCTCAAATATTGACATGCATTTAAATCATCTGGAAGAATTACTGAAACACAGAGCTGGTCACACCTCTAGAATCTCTGATTCAGTAAACCTGAGAATTTTTTCTAACAAGGTCCCAGATGATGCTGATGCTGCTGGTTCAGGAATCCCACTTTGAAAACAATATGGACAAATATTTATCTACAATTATCCCTCCCATATGGCAAAAATCATGGAGTGTCTATTAAATATTAATTGATCACTTACTATTTTCAAAGTAGAAAGAGTGCAGTATGTTGTCTGTTATCAATGCCTTCATAATCTAATGGAAAAGAATTTTTTTTTAAATGCAATATTTTGACAGTATATCAGAAGTTAAATTGCATGGTGCATGTCCTTATGCTCTAGATGAGAGCATGGAGTTCATAGAATCTTGGGGTCAGAGTGGAAGCAAACCAGGAATTCATTGGGCCTTGCATAAGGGACAGGATCTGTATTGCCAGAGGAAAGGACACAACAAGTATTAACACTCAGAAGAAGGGGCCAAGGACCAGAGTGAATTCTACTGGCTGCGAATTCCCTATAGAAGATAAGGGCAAATTTCTGTTTTAACTTCAGGAGAACCTAAGAGAGATAAAGCAGTGAAAGGAAAATTCAGCAGATACTTTGAAAATGGATAGCTATATTGGCCTTAACAAATAATGTTTTTCTTGCTTGAACACAAAGTTTCACTCTCCAAACACAAAACTTAAAATCAAAATCTCTTCAGAATATTAAAATCATCTAGCAATTAACCAATATCATTGCATCTTGGAGAATCCACCTTAGAAAACAGAGACTGACTGGGTGTTCTTGTTACTTTGCTTCAAAACCTCTGGGCCTCTGAATGAATCTCTCCATGGAAGAGGGCAAACACCTGCTGGTTCCAGCTTGTTCTTCTTGTCTACATTCAGGTGGTGAAAATATGTGAGCACTGACGTCAGAGTACTAAGCACAAAAGGGGTAGTCTACTGCTTAATCCTTCATCTGTTGCAAGCAAGCAGCACTCCCATAGAAAAATATTAATAAAAGTTGAACGGTGCTGGGTGGTTATTTATTTATTTCCCAAATGTTAGAGCTGGAAGAGAACTTTTGTATTAACTAAGCTTATAACTCTTATTATTTGCAGATTAAGGAAATGGAGTTCTGGGGAAATGGGTGAGTCACTGAAGATGGTACAACTCATTAGTGGTCCAGGTTCAGCCCATTTCTAGCTCAGCACTATTTTCACCATTGTCCTGAGTCTCAAAATCAACTCTAGTGCAAAGCCATTTCCAGCTGTTGTGTGAAACTCATGCAGTTATAAGAAAAAAAACGATAATTATGTGAGGGTTGTAGAGTTGAATAATTAAATGTTTTATTTACAGAATTATGCTTGACTACAATTTTTTCAAACATGTTCTCAAAGATTTCTACTGACAAAGACTGCCTTTAAAGCTAAATACTTATTCAGAGAGCTCCAATCATAAATTCATGCTGAAAGCCCCTAAAATTATTAACTGGCATGTTCAAGCAGAAAAGAATTCTGGGTCGCTGAGGGTTCTTGTATGTTTACAGCTCTAGCTACAGCAGAACCGGTCCTTGTAAATGTCACAGGAGATAATAATTGCAATGGAAGAGAAAGAAAATGTTTGGAGCTTATGAGAAAAGACCAAACCACTTCCAATCACAGGACTAGAGAGGTCAAGAAAACATCCCCAGGGCAAGAGCGATGAAACTTTCCAACAGTCAAGAAATTAATGCTGACACCTCGTCAGTTAAGTAAAGTGCAGGGCAGAAAGAGCCAGCCTGGCTGTATTTTGGCTTATGGATAGAGCTGTGCGTGTACAGTCCAAAGAGAAACAAGTGTAAAGATCATCTTGTCACTGTAAATAAAAATCACCCCATTGCCCAAGGGACCGAGAGCTCTGTTACACTCTGGTCAGTCCCAGCCAGGACATCACCATGCCGTTATTGATGATAACACAGGAAGAGGGTCATTTTCGCTGCTGAGTGAGAGGACGTGGCTACGGCACTAATGTCCAATTACATTAATGAACATGAAATTTGGCTCTGTGCGTACATTTCTCCTCATGCTCTGAATTAGATTTTAGAGGGTAAAATAAAAGATAATAAAAGCCTTTTCTTCAGCACTATTTTTCTTTGGCTGCAGTTATAGGAATATGACTGAAGGAAACATGACTATTCTGGTTTATTAAGCAACCCATATGCAATGAGACCAAGTGTTGTACACAAGGCCGATTTTCTGGAAGGACAGCAGGTCACTGTCATCTCTGTCCTTTGGGGTGGCTACATTCTCAAACTGAACAATTCAAAATGTATTATGTGTCTGCCTGAATTGGGGCTGCTTTTAGAAAGCCAGTGTGAAGACTTGCCTAGCTGAGATACAAAGGGAGACAGCTCTGCAAACCTAAGTAGCTGGACCAAACCAATTCTACCACTGACCATCCTCAGAATACTTCCTTTCCTAGGTGAGCAACTTTGCTCATGGTTAGAGTTATTTCAAAGGCTAATGTGATATCTCTGTGGCCCAGTGACAATGCTGGCCTCAGGAGAGGGAGGTCAGGGCTGGAAAACAACACAAAACTGTTACCAGTAGAATAATGGCCTTCAAAGATGTCCACATATCTATTTGTTTAATGGATATTTGTTAAGCGGCAGTAGAGAAAACTAGTTAACCCCTAGTCACCTTACTTGACAAAATAGACTTTGCACTTTGCAGATGTGATTAAATTAAGAATCTGGAGAAAAGATCATCTTGTATTATGTGAATGGACACATTGGAATCACAATGATCTTTATCAAGGGAAGAAAGAGGCAGGAGAGAAAAAAGCAGAGGCTAGAATGATGATCTAATTGCTGGCTTTGGCCACCAGCCAAGGAAGGTGAGCAGCCTCTAGAAGCCAGGAAAGGCAAGGAATTGATTCTCATTTAGAGGCTCTAGAAGGAACACACTCCTGCCTGCACCTTTATTTTAGATCAGTGAGACTTCTGACCTTCAGAACTATAGAAGAAAGCACAATTACATTTGGGGTGCTTTGTTACAGCAGCAACAGCAAACTAATACATAAACACTTTTAAAGAAACATGTAACTAGAACTGTGGAATCACTATACAGTGCCATCCTATAGTGTAATCTCATCAAAATTAATTCTGAAATTCTATACTAATACTTCCCTAAAGACTCTGCTGTCCTTACTATTACGTATTTAGTCTTATCTCATCCTCTTCAATGAACCCACAAAAAGAGGAAGCAAGAATGGGGAAATTTTGACTCATTCATCCTTCTGACTCTGTTAAAGTTTGAGAAAGGATAATTCATTCCACCAATGAATCTGTTATAAATGGGTGTATCTGGGATTATGTTAAACCTTGTTGACCTGGCTCTGTAGTCTGAGTAAATGTGAAAGAAACAAATTTTCAGCAATAGCTTAACTTGAAATATATTTCAACCGATGCTTAGAAACACACAGACACACACACACACACACACACACACACACACACACAGACATACACTAGGATGTATTGAGTACTTTAGTGTTTATATAACAATTTTTTATTTCTATTAGCTCACCAACCAACCACCTCCCAATTATATAGATGCTATTGCTGTCTCCATGTTAGAGATGAAAAAAATGAGCTCAGACCAGTGGAATGCCTGGACCATGGCCCCTCAGCCACTAAAGGCAGGAGTGAGATTGATCTGGTGTCAAAGTTCACTCTCTTCCCTTCACACACTACCTCATGGTCTTCTAATGCCCCACACGGTGGTCCTGGACAGGTTCATAATAAATGCTTAGTAAGTACTTCCAGACTGGATTGATGTCACTTTTCAGAAATCCTAAGGCCTTGTCTTCATAGAAAGATTTAAGGCATTTATATCATTTGGGAAGAGAAAAATTAACCTCAAAGACAAAGATGACTTTTTGGAACTTCACACATTAGAGCTAAGCTGTCTTTATAATTATGAAGAGTACATAATTATTTTCCTCTTCCGTGACTGGCGTAGACCAACCTCAAATGTCTCTATAGCCTACTCATTTCCCTCTCCCAACTCTTCAACGAATTGCAGAATAATTTTATTATCCTAGTGTAAGGAATTATTTTGATCCTGCTTTCAGGAGAAGAGGCAATTTCACACATCTTGAGGACCACCCAGGGGTTCTGTTTTACTCTCCTTTCCACACAAGGGTCACTTGCAGATTCTGCCATGTCTTACTCAAAGCTGCACAGTGCCCAGCATAGGATGACACACACTGCAGCCACATCATAACTGGTGGTCATTTCTTGATGGCTGCTGCCTGGCCATCTTTGCACATTTTGTAGGATTCAATTACAAAACAAAACCACATGTCACATTCTCCTGGTGATAGCAGAAATCTCACGTGAACCAACAGTTCCTCTTTTATGTCCTTGAGAATGTAACAACTAAGACTGTAACTTAGTTCAGTGGGTTGTGTCTACTTTCATCTGTCATTTAATCATATGATGAAAGAGTGTAATGTTTTGTTCTTCAGTGTATTAAGGCCCTTATTTATTTGATAGATATTTATTTGTTGAGAAGGAGTAGAGAAACCTAGTTGAGACTTTGGCTTATGTCCTCATTCTGTTATCTACAGGCTGCGTGACTTTGGTTAAGTTTTTAACTTAAAGACTGTATCTCAATTACTTCATCTATAAAACAGAGATAATTACATCAAAAACCTCATAAGGTTGTAGTGAGGATTAAATTAAGTTCTACATCTAAAGTATTTAGAACAGAGTCAGGCACATAATAAGAGCTCAATAAATGGAAACTATAAATGTTATTATTCTTTATTGGACATCTGCTAAGAGCATAGCTCTCTACTGAGTACTGAGATGTTTGAAAGTAAATGAAACAAGAAGCTCACATCTCAGTGCACGTCATCTTCATACTCAGAGTCCTTGAATGACTCTCCATTGTCCATTACATTTACTACAACCCCTGTATCACAGACTTCATATCCCAGGACTCCTTCTTGTAAGCTTGTGCATTGTTTGAAAATGCACCCCACTCTCTTATTTCTACAACTCTGGTTCACAAAGTTTGCTTTAATGTAACTTGTCTCCACCAGATGCCCCTATCAAAATCTGACCAGGTCATCTGGCCCATTTAAAAGCATTATTTGATGTTTCTCTTCCACCCAGTCTGCACTTGCAGAGTTAGTTTTCCCCTTCTAAGACTCCCTTGGCATTTTTTAATTTGTCTTCTCGTCGAATATATCACTTTGTATTTGGAAATAAAGTTTTGAGTCCTTGGTATATCTCTGACCCTGGGTAATAAGCTGCTTAGGGGACAGTCTATGATTAATTCATCTTCGTAGCTCCCATAGCATCTAATTCATGGCCTAGTATATCATAGATGCTCAATAAATATTTAATGAATCAGTGTTTGTTGAAATGATGAATGGTGAAAATATTTATATTGCTAAACTTCCTCTCCATATGTGAGCACATGTGTGTACTAACATTAAATTATGTGATGAATTTTTGTGTGTGGTTTATGCAAATCACACAAATACATGCAAACCTATATACCTCACCTGTCAGAAAATATTTAAACAATGGTTATGCACTGCCTGAATAAATATATTTTCACTCTAGAAATAATGTTAATGTTTTGCTAACATCCCCAGCTGTAATCAACCTCTCTGTAGCCTATAGTCCTTCAGATTGTCACAGTCATAAAAGCTTGAAGAAAGGAGATTCCTGCGGATACAGAGACCCCTCTGTGATCAACCCCAGGCAAAGCAAATCTGCAGCTCCTACCTGAAGGAGTAGGAACTAGCAAACATATTCGGACTCTGAACAACTGAAGTACAAGCTGGGGAAAAAAGGGAATAAATCCATTTATGGTATAAATCAGCAAGTAAATTAAGAGAGAAGACTGGATGGACAGGGGCCAGTAAAGTTGGTAGTTTGTGCTGGTCTCCAGCCAGTGTCAGATGCCTGAGTTATTTTGTTTTGTTTATTCTTTCACAGTCATCAAGATGCCCGCTTCTCCTCCTGAGTGCAGATAATTTTAGAAAATGAAATCTGTCCCAAAGCTCTGTTTCTGACACACTTACCATGGAGTAATCAGCAAACACTGCAGCCTTTTGCAGTGACTTGGAATATTACTCATGTCACTGTAATGTCTCCAGTTAGTCAGGATGGCAATTCATTTTAATACTTTTGTCTGAAAAGAAAAATGATTTCGATTTTTCTGATCACACATGAGCTCAACCATGTATCAATTTATTTTTAAGTTCAATATTTGTATTTCTGATTTAAGTGCAAACAGAATCAAATAGAGAAAACATAACTAAGCAAAAAAGCAAGTTGCAAATACAGCCACAAATAAAAAGTTTACAGCCTAAACAACTTGTCTTTAGAATTTGAGAAAATATTAAGGTATCATTTTGAATTATTAATGTTAATAGTTTTAACATTGATTGCTTTATAAATAACCCTACTTTTTATTTCTTGCTGTTTTTGTCCTATTATTGCTGTTTACGATTTTCTCTTGTTCTTCTCTCTCTCTTTGGAAATGACAGAAGTTTATGAATAGAAAGTAAAATAATTCTAGAAGAAGGGAATTCAGAACTGAAATGAGGGTCCATGAAGTTGAAAAGAACCAAAGTGCTATCATGCCACCACTTCAGAGATACCAAAGCATATACTCCTATTCAGGGTCCCCACTATTTAGTCAGTCTGCCCTGGCGTTTACAGATAATTATTTCACTCACTTCCCATAACTTTGTCGCGTTGATTCTGATTTCTGTGAAATGTTTCTCCTTGTTCATGATACTCTTGAAGTCTACTTTGACTGGTAGAAATGTAGCTACACCAGCTTTCTTATGCTTATTTTTTCCATGATTTCTCCCCCTATTCTTGAACTTACAACCTCTTTAGTCTTTATATTTTTCAGCTCACCTTTTCTAGACAGTATATGCTCGGCCATGCTTTGTTTTTTCCATCTGACAATGTCTACCTTTTAAATGGAGTGTTTGTGTTCTAAGGCTTCCTAACATATTTCATTAAATACTGAGTAGATAAAAATTGATATATACAAACCATTTCTTCAGCATAAAGAATAACAATCCAAGGAACACCCAGGTTGGTCACCGCCCAGTTTAAAAAATAAAACATCACAATTACCTTTGGATACACTCTGAGTGCCCTTCCTTAGTTCCATTTCCATTCCACCTGCCCAGAAGAGCCACTGTTCTGAGTTGTGTGGTTGTTGTTTCTCCTTTGATTTTCTCTTTATTGTTTAATAACATTTGGAAGTGTTCCAAAACAACATATCATTTAGTTTGCTATATTTCCAATTTTGACAACTGTAATAATGTTATTGTTCATGCTTCTATGATTTACTATGTTTATTCTAAGTGTGTTCTGAAGTTTCATTCATGTTGTTGCATGTAGTTGTGGGTTTTTTCACATTTTTATTGCTGCATGTAAATAAATTTAATAAAACAAAATATGTATCTTACTGTTGATGGACATTTCTGTTGCTTAGATTTCTGCTTTTGCAAGCGGTATAGCTATTGCACATATTAAGGTATACAATTCGATGTTTTGATACATGTATATACCCATGAAACCATGGCCACAATCCAGATTTGGAAAATATTTATCACTCCCAAAAGTTTTCTTATGGCCTTATAATTCTTCCCTCCCACTCTTTTCTGTACCTTTCTTGTTCCATTACCATGCAAACACTGATCTGCTTCTAGTCACTGTAGATTAGTTTGCATTTTCTAGAAATTTTTTTACAAATGCATTATATAGCATATACTTTTTTTGCCTCTCTTTCACTCTGCATGATTATTTTGAGATTCATTCATGTTATTGTGTGTATAAATAGTTCATTTATTTTTATTGCTGAGTAGAACAGGAATATATTAGAGATATTATGGGTTCCATTCCAGATGACCATAATAAAGCGAATATCATCACAATAAGGTGGGTCACACAAATAGTTTGGTTTCCCAGTGCATATAAAAATTATCTTTATATTATACCATAGTTTATTAATTGCACAATAGCATTATACCTCCCCCAATAATGTACATACCTTAACTTAAAATACTTCATTTCTAAAATGCTAATGATCATCTGAGCCTTGTGCAAGTCACAATCTTTTGGTGAAGGGTCTTGCCTCATTGTTGATGGTTGCTGACTGATAAGGATGATGTTTGCTGAAGGTTGGAGTGGCTGTGGAAATTTCTTAAAATAAGACAAAAATGAAATTTGCTGTGTCCATTGACTCTTCTTTTCACCAAAGATTTCTCTGTAGCATGTGACACTGTTTGATAGCACTTTACTCACAATAAAACTTCTTTCAAAATTGGAGTCAATCTTCTCAAACTCTGCTGCTGCCTTATGTAACATTGTGGATCGCTTGCTGTGATTTTAGCAATGTTCACAGCAAGTTCACCAGGAGTAGACTCCATCTAAAGAAACCACTTTCTTTGCTCATGCATAAGAAGCAACTCCGCATTCATTTAAGTTTTATCATGACATTGCAGCAATTCAGTCACATCTTCTGGTTCTATTTCTAATTCTAGTTCTGTTGCTATTTTCACTATATCCGCAGTGACCTCCTCCACTGAAGTCTTGAGCCCCCTCAAAATCATCCATGAAAATTAATATCAACTTACTTCAGTTAATGTTGATGTTTTTACCTCTTCCCATAAATCACAAATGTTCTTAATGGAACTTAGAATGCCATTAAGAATGGAGAATCCTTTCCAGGATGCTTTCAGTTTACTTTGCCCATTTCCATCAGAAGAACCACTATCTGTAACAGCTATAGCCTTATAAAATTTATTTCCTCAAAAATAAGACTTGAAAGTAAAAATTACTCTTGATCTATGGGCTACAGAATAAATGTTGTATTAGCAGGTATAAAAACAACATTAATCTCCTTGTACATCTCCATCAGAGCTATTGGGTGACCAGGTACATTCTTAATGAACAGTAATATTCTGAAAATAATCTTTTTGCTGAGCAGTGGGTGTCAACAGTAGGCTTAAAATATTTAGTAAACCATGCTGTAAACAGATCTGCTGACTTTCAGGCTTCGTTGTTCCATTTCTAGAGTATAAGCAAAGGAGATTTAGCATAATTCCTAAGGGCCACAGGATTTTCAGAATGGTAAATGTGCATTGGCTTCAACTTAAAATGACCATCTGCAATAGCCCCTACAAGATAGTTAGCCTGTCCTTTGAAGCTTTTAAGCCAAGCATTGACTTCTCCTTTCTAGCTATACAAGCCCTAGATGGCATCTTTCAGTAAGAATACTGTTTCATCTACTGGTTTTGGATTAGGATTTGGCTTAAGGGAATGTTGCAGCTAGTTGGGTATTTTCTTTTTCTTTCTCTTTCTTTTCTTTCTTTCTTTCTTCTTTCTTTCTTTCTTTCTTTCTTTCTTTTTCTCTCTCTTTCTCTTTCTTTTTCTATTTTTCCTTCCTTCCTTCCTTCCTCCCTTCCTCCTTCCCTCCCTCCTTCCTTCCTTCCCCTCCCTCCCTCTTCTTTCTTCTTTCTTTCCTTTTTTCTTTCTTTCTTCTTTCTTTCTTTCCTTTTTCTTTCTTTCTTTATTTGTTTCTTTCTTTCTTTCCTTTCTTTCTTTTTCTTTCTTCCATCCTTCCTTCCTTTCTTTCTCTCTCTTTCTTTCTTCCTCTTTCTATTTTTCCCTCCTTCCTTCCCCTCCCTCCCTCTTTTTCCTTTCTTCTTTCTTTCTTCTCTTTCTTTCTTCTTTTCCTTCCTTCCTTCCTTCCTTCCTTTTTCCCCCTTCCCTCCCCTCCCCTCCCATTCCCCCTCCCCTCCCTTTCTTTTATCTTCCCTTCCCTTCTTTCTTTATTTCCTTACTTCCTTCCTTCTTTCCTTTCCTTCCTTCCTCCCTTCTTTCCTTCCTTCCTTCTTTTTCCTGTCCCTTCCCTTCCCTTCCCTTCCCTTCCCTTCCTTTCAACAGGGTCTTGCTCTGTCACTCAGGATGGAGTGCAATGGCATGATCTTGGCCCACTGCATCCTCGACCTCCTGGGCTCAAGAGATCTACCTCAGCCTCCTGAGAAGCTGGGACTACAGGCCTGCATTAATACTCCTGGTTAATTTCTGTATTATTATTTTATTTTTAAATGGAGATGGGTTTCACAATGTTGCCCAGGCTGGTCTCAAACTCCTGAGCTCAAGCCATCCTCTCGCCTCGGCCCCCCAAAGTGCTGGGATTACAGGTGTGAGCCACTGCACCTGTCCATCTTTTCATTTTCTTTATAGTGTCTTTCAAAGAGGACAAGTTTTGAATTTTGATGAAGTCAAATTAATTTGTTTATTTTCTTTTATGAATAGTGCATTTGGTATCGCAAGCAAAAAAATCTTTGTTAAAACTAAGATCACAAGGATTTTCTCTCATGATTTTTTAATGGAAGATTTATTGTTTTATATTTTTAGATTTTACCTTTAGGTCCATAATTCATTTTTAGCTAATTTTTGTATGTGATATAATGCTCTTATTTTGGGGGTGGGGGCACATGTATTTTCAAATTGTGTCAGTACCACGTGTTGAACAGACTTCATTGAATTGTCTTTGAGACTTTGTCAAAAATCAGTTAACCACATAACTGAGGTGAGGGTTTAGTCCACTATATTTCATGTCATTGTTGATATTGTTTGGCTGTTTGTTTTCTATTTGACTAATCTATTGTTATCCCTCTGTCTTTTTTCTTGGCTTCTTTTAGTTTAATATAATCTTTTATAATATTTCTTTTTTGTTTATCTACAAGCTTTTAAGCTATACCTCTGTGTCTTTTAAGTGGTTGATGAGAGTTAAAATACATTTTCTCAACTTGTCACGGTCTACTTAGAATTAATACCATACCACTTCAAGTAAGATGTGGAAATCTTACAGAAGTATTATTTAATTTATTCTGTCCCCCAACTCTATGTTCTGTGTTATTATTGTCAAATATTTTACCTCTACATGCATTATAAACCCCACAGTAAAATACTGCTTTTTCTGTAAATAGTTGTCTTTTCAATAAATTGACAAAAGAAAAAAAGATAATATTTTATATTTACTCACATATTTACCATCTTTTACTAACTTTCTATATATCTGAGTTTCCATCCGATGTTATTTGCATTCAGGATGAATAACTCTATTGCATTACTTGTCATTCAGGTACGCTTACAATAAAATTTTTCAGCTTTTATATATCTGAAGATGTCTTTATTTCATCCTTTTTTTTTAGGGTTTTTTTTTATTATACTTGAAGTTTTACGGTACATATGCACATTGTGCAGGTTAGTTACATATGTATACATGTGCCATGCTGGTGCGCTGCACCCACTAACTCGTCATCTAGCATTAGGTATATCTCCCAATGCTATCCCTCCCCCCTCCCCCCACCCCACCACAGTCCCCAGAGTGTGATATTCCCCTTCCTGTGTCCATGTGATCTCATTGTTCAATTCCCACCTATGAGTGAGAATATGCGGTGTTTGGTTTTTTGTTCTTGTGATAGTTTACTGAGAATGATGATTTCCAATTTCATCCATGTCCCTACAAAGGACATGAACTCATCATTTTTTATGGCTGCAGAGTATTCCATGGTGTATATGTGCCACATTTTCTTAATCCAGTCTATCATTGTTGGACATTTGGGTTGGTTCCAAGTCTTTGCTATTGTGAATAATGCCGCAATAAACATACGTGTGCATGTGTCTTTATAGCAGCATGATTTACAGTCCTTTGGGTATATACCCAGTAATGGGATGGCTGGGTCAAATGGTATTTCTAGTTCTAGATCCCTGAGGAATCGCCACACTGACTTCCACAATGGTTGAACTAGTTTACAGTCCCACCAACAGTGTAAAAGTGTTCCTATTTCTCCACATCCTCTCCAGCACCTGTTGTTTCCTGGCTTTTTAATGATTGCCATTCTAACTGGTGTGAGATGGTGTCTCATTGTGGTTTTGATTTGCATTTCTCTGATGGCCAGTGATGATGAGCATTTTTTCATGTGTTTTTTGGCTGCATAAATGTCTTCTTTTGAGAAGTGTCTGTTCATGTCCTTCGCCCACTTTTTGATGGGTTTGTTTGTTTTTTTCTTGTAAATGTGTTTGAGTTCATTGTAGATTCTGGATATTAGCCCTTTGTCAGATGAGTAGGTTGCGAAAATTTTCTCCCATTTTGTAGGTTGCCTGTTCACTCTGATGGTAGTTTCTTTTGCTGTGCAGAAGCTCTTTAGTTTAATTAGATCCCATTTGTCGATTTTGTCTTTGATTGTCATTGCTTTTGGTGTTTTGGACATGAAGTCCTTGCCCATGCCTATGTCCTGAATGGTAATGCCTAGGTTTTCTTCTAGGGTTTTTATGGTTTTAGGTCTAACATTTAAGTCTTTAATCCATCTTGAATTGATTTTTGTATAAGGTGTAAGGAAGGGATCCAGTTTCAGCTTTCTACATGTGGCTAGCCAGTTTTCCCAGCACCATTTATTAAATAGGGAATCCTTTCCCCATTGCTTGTTTTTCTCAGGTTTGTCAAAGATCAGATAGTTGTAGATATGCGGCATTATTTCTGAGGGCTCTGTTCTGTTCCATTGATCTATATGTCTGTTTTGGTACCAGTACCATGCTGTTTTGGTTACTGTAGCCTTGTAGTATAGTTTGAAGTCAGGTAGTGTGATGCCTCCAGCTTTGTTCTTTTGGCTTAGGATTGACTTGGCAATGCGGGCTCTTTTTTGGTTCCATATGAACTTTAAAGTAGTTTTTTCCAATTCTGTGAAGAAAGTCATTGGTAGCTTGATGGGGATGGCATTGAATCTGTAAATTACCTTGGGCAGTATGGCCATTTTCACGATATTGATTCTTCCTACCCATGAGCATGGAATGTTCTTCCATTTGTTTGTATCCTCTTTTATTTCCTTGAGCAGTGGTTTGTAGTTCTCCTTGAAGAGGTCCTTCACATCCCTTGTAAGTTGGATTCCTAGGTATTTTATTCTCTTTGAAGCAATTATGAATGGGAGTTCACTCATGATTTGGCTCTCTGTTTGTCTGTTGTTGGTGTATAAGAATGCTTGTGATTTTTGTACATTGATTTTGTATCCTGAGACTTTGCTGAAGTTGCTTATCAGCTTAAGGAGATTTTGGGCTGAGAAAATGCGGTTTTCTAGATATACAATCATGTCGTCTGCAAACAGGGACAATTTGACTTCCTCTTTTCCTAATTGAATACCCTTTATTTCCTTCTCCTGCCTAATTGCCCTGGCCAGAACTTCCAACACTATGTTGAATAGGAGTGGTGAGAGAGGGCATCCCTGTCTTGTGCCAGTTTTCAAAGGGAATGCTTCCAGTTTTTGCCCATTTAGTATGATATTGGCTGTGGGTTTGTCATAGATAGCTCTTATTATTTTGAAATACATCCCATCAATACCTAATTTATTGAGAGTTTTTAGCATGAAGCGTTGTTGAATTTTGTCAAAGGCCTTTTCTGCATCTATTGAGATAATCATGTGGTTTTTGTCTTTGGTTCTGTTTATATGCTGGATTACATTTATTGATTTGCGTATATTGAACCAGCCTTGCATCCCAGGGATGAAGCCCACTTGATCATGGTGGATAAGCTTTTTGATGTGCTGCTGGATTCGTTTTGCCAGTATTTTATTGAGGATTTTTGCATCAGTGTTCATCAAGGATATTGGTCTAAAATTCTCTTTTTTGGTTGTGTCTCTGCCCGGCTTTGGTATCAGAATGATGCTGGCCTCATAAAATGAGTTAGGGAGGATTCCCTCTTTTTCTATTGATTGGAATAGTTTCAGAAGGAATGGTACCAGTTCCTCCTTGTACCTCTGGTAGAATTCGGCTGTGAATCCATCTGGTCCTGGACTCTTTTTGGTTGGTAAACTATTGATTATTGCCACAATTTCAGCTCCTGTTATTGGTCTATGCAGAGATTCAACTTCTTCCTGGTTTAGTCTTGGGAGATTGTATGTGTCGAGGAATTTATCCATTTCTTCTAGATTTTCTAGTTTATTTGCGTAGAGGTGTTTGTAGTATTCTCTGATGGTAGTTTGTATTTCTGTGGGATCGGTGGTGATATCCCCTTTATCATTTTTTATTGTGTCTATTTGATTCTTCTCTCTTTTTTTCTTTATTAGTCTTGCTAGCGGTCCATCAATTTTGTTGATCCTTTCAAAAAACCAGCTCCTGGATTCATTAATTTTTTGAAGGGTTTTTTGTGTCTCTATTTCCTTCAGTTCTGCTCTGATTTTAGTTATTTCTTGCCTTCTGCTAGCTTTTGAATGTGTTTGCTCTTGCTTTTCTAGTTCTTTTAATTTTGATGTTAGTGTGTCAATTTTGGATCTTTCCTGCTTTCTCTTGTGGGCATTTAGTGCTATAAATTTCCCTCTACACACTGCTTTGAATGCGTCCCAGAGATTCTGGTATGTTGTGTCTTTGTTCTCGTTGGTTTCAAAGAACATCTTTATTTCTTCCTTCATTTCGTTATGTATCCAGTAGTCATTCAGGAACAGGTTGTTCAGTTTCCATGTAGTTGAGCAGTTTTGAGTGAGATTCTTAGTTCTGAGTTCTAGTTTGATTGCACTGTGGTCTGAGAGATAGTTTGTTATAATCTCTGTTCTTTTACATTTGCTGAGGAGAGCTTTACTTCCAACTATGTGGTCAATTTTGGAATAGGTGTGGTGTGGTGCTGAAAAAAATGTATATTCTGTTGATTTAGGGTGGAGAGTTCTGTAGATGTCTATTAGGTCCGCTTGGTGCAGAGCTGAGTTCAATTCCTGGGTATCCTTGTTGACTTTCTGTCTCGTTGATCTGTCTAATGTTGACAGTGGGGTGTTAAAGTCTCCCATTATTAATGTGTGGGAGTCTAAGTCTCTTTGTAGGTCACTCAGGACTTGCTTTATGAATCTGGGTGCTCCTGTATTGGGTGCATATATATTTAGGATAGTTAGCTCTTCTTGTTGAATTGATCCCTTTACCGTTATGTAATGGCCTTCTTTGTCTCTTTTGATCTTTGTTGGTTTAAAGTCTGTTTTATCAGAGACTAGGATTGCAACCTCTGCCTTTTTTTGTTTTCCATTTGCTTGGTAGATCTTCCTCCATCCTTTTATTTTGAGCCTATGTGTGTCTCTGCTCATGAGATGGGTTTCCTGAATACAGCACACTGATGGGTCTTGACTCTTTATCCAATTTGCCAGTCTGTGTCTTTTAATTGGAGCATTTAGTCCATTTACATTTAAAGTTAATATGGTTATGTGTGAATCTGATCCTGTCATTATGATGTTAGCTGGTTATTTTGCTCGTTAGTTGATGCAGTTTCTTCCTAGTCTCGATGGTCTTTACATTTTGGCATGATTTTGCAGCAGCTGGTACCGGTTGTTCCTTTCCATGTTTAGCGCTTCCTTCAGGAGCTCTTTTAGGGCAGGCTTGGTGGTGACAAAATCTCTCAGCATTTGCTTGTCTGTAAAGGATTTTATTTCTCCTTCACTTATGAAGCTTAGTTTGGCTGGATATGAAATTCTGGGTTGAAAATTCTTTTCTTTAAGAATGTTGAATATTGGCCACCACTCTCTTCTGGCTTGTAGGGTTTCTGCTGAGAGATCCGCTGTTAGTCTGATGGGCTTCCCTTTGAGGGTAACCTGACCTTTCTCTCTGGCTGCCCTTAACATTTTTTCCTTCATTTCAACTTTGGTGAATCTGACAATTATGTGTCTTGGAGTTGCTCCTCTCGAGGAGTATCTTTGTGGCGTTCTCTGTATTTCCTGAATCTGAACGTTGGCCTGCCTTGCTAGATTGGGGAAGTTCTCCTGGATAATATCCTGCAGAATGTTTTCCAACTTGGTTCCATTCTCCCCATCACTTTCAGGTACACCAATCAGACGTAGATTTGGTCTTTTCACATAGTCCCATATTTCTTGGAGGCTTTGCTCATTTTTTTTTTATTCTTTTTTCTCTAAACTTCCCTTCTCGCTTCATTTCATTCATTTCATCTTCCATTGCTAATACCCTTTCTTCCAGTTGATCACATCGGCTCCTGAGGCTTCTGCATTCTTCACGTAGCTCTCGAGCCTTGGTTTTCAGCTCCATCAGCTCCTTTAAGCACTTCTCTGTATTGGTTATTCTAGTTATACATTCTTCTAAATTTTTTTCAAAGTTTTCAACTTCTTTGCCTTTGGTTTGAATGGCCTCCCGTAGCTCAGAGTAATTTGATCGTCTAAAGCCTTCTTCTCTCAGCTTGTCAAAGTCATTCTCCATCCAGCTTTGTTCCGTTGCTGGTGAGGAACTGCGTTCCTTTGGAGGAGGAGAAGCGCTCTGTGTTTTGGAGTTTCCCGTTTTTCTGTTCTCTTTTTCCCCCATCTTTGTGGTTTTATCTACTTTTGGTCTTTGATGATGGTGATGTACAGATGGGTTTTTGGTGTGGATGTCCTTTCTGTTTGTTAGTTTTCCTTCTAACAGACAGGACCCTCAGCTGCAGGTCTGTTGGAATACCCTGCCGTGTGAGGTGTCAGTTTGCCCCTGCTGGGGGGTGCCTCCCAGTTAGGCTGCTCGGGGGTCAGGGGTCAGGGACCCACTTGAGGAGGCAGTCTGCCGGTTCTCAGATCTCCAGCTGCGTGCTGGGAGAACCACTGCTCTCTTCAAAGCTGTCAGACAGGGACATTTAAGTCTGCAGAGGTTACTGCTGTCTTTTTGTTTGTCTGTGCCCCGCCCCCAGAGGTGGAGCCTACAGAGGCAGGCAGGCCTCCTTGAGCTGTGGTGGGCTCCACCCAGTTTGAGCTTCCCAGCTGCTTTGTTTACCTAAGCAAGCCTGGGCAATGGTGGGCGCCCCTCCCCCAGCCTTGCTGCTGCCTTGCAGTTTGATCTCAGACTGCTGTGCTAGCAATCAGCGAGACTCCGTGGGCGTAGGACCTCCGAGCCAGGTGCGGGATGTAATCTCGTGGTGCACCGTTTTTCTTAAGCCGGTCCGAAAAGCGCAATATTCGGTTGGGAGTGACCCGATTTTCCAGGTGAGTCTGTCACCCCTTTCTTTGACTTGGAAAGGGAACTCCTTGACCCCTTGCGCTTCCCAAGTGAGGCAATGCCTCGCCCTGCTTCGGCTGGCGCATGGTGCGCGCACCCACTGACCTGCGCCCACCGTCTGGCACTCCCTAGTGAGATGAACCCAGCACCTCAGATGGAAATGCAGAAATCACCCGTCTTCTGCGTGGCTCACGCTGGGAGCTGTAGACTGGAGCTGTTCGTATTCGGCCATCTTGGCTCCTCCTATTTCATCCTTATTTTTAATGGATAGAGAATTCTGCGTTGATTCTTCTGTTTTGTGTTGTTTTTAAAGCACTTTAAAGCTGCCATTTCATTGTCTTGTAGGTTTCATTGTTTCTGATAATAAGTTTGCCATCATTTTGTGTTGCTGTTCTCCTGTCTGCAGTGTGTCTTTTTTCCACTGGCAGCTTTTATGATTATTTCCAGTTTCCAGCAGTTTGATTTTGATGTGTCTAGGTGTGGTTCTTTTTGTGTTTATCCTGCTTGGGATTCACATAGATTTTAGATCTGTAATTTTGATGTTTTTCACCAACTTTACCATTATTTATTCAAATAGTTTTCTGCTCATTCTGTTTCTCTATCTTCAGAAACTTCAGTTACATGTAAGTTAGATCTCTTGCTATTGATTCACAGATCTCTGAGACTCTGTTAATTTATTTAAAAAATATTTTTGTCTTTGATTTTTATGTTTGATAATTTCTACTGAACTGTCTTTAAGTTTTTCATTCCCTTTCTTCTGCAGTTTTCAATACACCATTAAATCCATTCAGTGGCTTTTTCGTTTCACAATTTGTATTTATCATTTCTGGAATCTGGCATCTGTTTTATTTTCCATTTTCCACTCATTCACCTAAGATGACCATGTTTCATTATAATTCTTTGAACACGTTGATAATAGCTGCTCTTAAAGTTTTCGTCTGGTAATTCCAGTATGTGGGTTATATCAGGGTGTGTTTCTACTGATTTTTTTTTCTTGATCGTGTGTTTCATTTTCTGCCTCTTTGTGTGTCTATTAATCTTTTGATCGTACCATAGATGTAAGGAGGGATGATTTGTTTGGAATCTGGATTATATTTTCTGCTTCCAAAGAAAGTCAACTTTTCTTCAAGTAGACAGTTAAATTACCAGAGGATCCTTTAGATTATGTCAGGTTTGATTGTATTCATCGTTAAGGCTGTTCTTTTTTGGTTTTGTCTTTAATCTTAAGTTGTTGCCCTTACCTTAGAGTATGTTTCTCAGCCCTACCTACCACATGGCCTACTGAAGGCCTGAGGCACTCAGGCCTCTTCGCTCTTGACTTGACCAGAAATCCAGCACCTCCCAGCACTTTGTGATATGAGACATCTTCATTCAGTATTTTTCCCAATAGCAGGTGGTCTCTGCTATAAAACGTCCTTCACAGAGTCTTGTCCTATGCATTCCCAGCCCAGCCTCAGCCAGAAACCAGTAAAGAAACCCCATTCAGAATGTTGGGGCCTCTTCCCTTCTCTGGTGCTTTACCCAGCAAACCCCAGCTGCTTCAGCAGCCATGAACGGTGTTGTCTGTTGCTTCAGCTCAGCAAGATTGCTGCCGTGCCTGGGCTTTACCTCCCTGCATCACTGTAATGAAAGTACCCCCAGTCAGAGAGCCTTGGTGAATGAGGGTCTCAACTCATTTCACGTGTTCCCTTTCGCTTATGAATTACCACCTGCCTTTCCTTTGGTCCGCTACTTGAAAACAATGAGCTTATATGTCTTGACCAGTTTGATAGTAGTTTATGGTAGGTGGCATATTTGCATTCTTAAGGTAAATTTAATTGTAGGCCATAAAGATTGCTGTAAATATTAAAGATTTAAGATATTTTGTGCACCAAAGCTCAGCAACATGGTATTTATCCATGTACCCCCGGGTCTAGAATAAAACTTAGGCCAAAACAAAAATTTTCTTGAGAGAAATTAGTGAAAGCATGTTATTGTAGAAATTTCTTTGCATACAATTAAGAAGACTGTTGTTTAAGGGTGCTGACATAAAGTATTACAAAAATCTCAATGATAACTATTCACATCTGTATGGCTATAAAATTTGAAAATGGAGAAAGGATGGAAAAATGAGTGGTGCGTGAGTTGCACAAGTGTAGCTTTTAGTGATGGGACAGTGATGACAGTGCAGAAAAAAAAATGAAAACAGAAGTCAGGAAACCTGGCTTGGAGTCTGTGTTGATCTAATAATTTTGGATAAAGCAATTAACCTAAGTCCAGTCCCACAACTCTCGGATGGCTATTGTAATATTTATATATGTATCAATCAGGAATGGAAGATTCAAATGAGGTAAAGAATGTAGAGCATAGTGTAAATTCTGAAGTTGTGCAAAAGAAAATTCTTATCATGATTATAATCAACCACACTTATTGATTTTTTGATGATTTCAGATAATAATCACTACTGCATGGATTATTAAACAATTCATGAGAGTTTCCCCAACAAAGCCCTGTGGAAACACTAAATTTCCTCTTATAAATGGAGGGCTACTAGGGTTACTTCTACTTTACCAGTGTTAACTTTTTTTGGAGGAATTTATTTTTGGAGATTAAATATATATCTTGAGATAACCTTCAAACATGGGTTTACATAGAAATCAGCCTAATACTCCATGTGTGGGGAATATTTGGAAAATAAAGTTTTGCCCATGCCATACATAGCAAATAGTGGAAAAGAGAATGTTAGTCAATTATCTACCTGATGCCTACTGGTTTCATAAGTTTTACTAGACTCTCCTGTTTGAAGTGGATTAAATAGATGTTTTATCTCAAATGTGTTCAGATAAGAGCGAAAAGCAAGGAATTAGTTCCTTGGTTTATAAAGTTAACTGAACCACTTAGATGATGCCCAATAGAAATCCATGGTATAGGTGATGGCCTGGTGGGGTGGCTCATGCCTGTAATCCCAGTACTTTGGGAGGCCAAGGTGGGCAAATCACCTGAGGTCAGGAGTTCGAGACCAGCCTGGTCAACTTGGTGAAAACACGTATCTACTAAAAATACAAAAATTAGTCAACTGCCTGTAGTCCCAGCTATTCCAGGGGGCTGAGGCAGGAGAATTGTTTGAAGCTGGGAGGCAGAGTTTTCAGTGAGCCAAGATCATGCCACTGGACTCCAGCCTGGGTGAAAGAGCGAGACTCCATCTCAAAAAAAAAAAAAAAAAAGAAATCCACTGTATAGGTGATATCAATTGGATGTCTGTTGCTGTACCTTGCCATCAAGACATGTGACTTGTTGGATCCTCATGTAGAGTTTATTCACTTTATTTATCTTTGATTCTAACAACATTGAGATGAAAGAAGAAAGTCATCCTTTGTGTATAAGGAAAAAATGCAGTATCCTTGCCACTAAATCCTTAGAAAACAGAAAAAACATTAACACATTTTAAAAAGAAGGAGGATTGTTTCACCCACAACCCATACCAATAACTCTTCTTGCAAAATACCTTGCACACAGTAGATACTAAAAAAAAAAAAAATTAGATGATTGGAATAGGTTAAACTCATTTTGACTCTATAAAAATATATTTATAATAAATATTGTTTGACAATATGTTTGGCAGAAAATAAAGTAACCAATGTCTAAATGATAGAATACATGATATGATAATTGTTGTTCATCTTCACGAATAATGATGAAATTTATTTTCCTATAGAAAACGGTATGGTTAATATCAGTGGATCAAAGTGAAGTTTGGTTGTGAGAGCAAGTTATGCCTGACCCACCATGCCTAGCCCTTGGTGGGGTCTTCTGCTTTCATGAATTGGTATGCTTGAGGGGTTGTATTCAGGGACTGGAATGCACCATTTCTCCGTTTCCAGGGGTTACTTTAGCAGGATTTGAGACTGGGGAAAATAGCAGCATTGCCTGAGTATCCAGTTGAAGAAGGGCAAGCCAAGTTGGAGAAGGGTATTAGTTTAAGGGACAGCCTGGCCAAGCTTGGCAGAAACTAGGGAGTGGTGAGGCACAGTGGTAGGGAGCTGCGCTCTCTCTCAGAAGATATCATCAGTTGTGGTGTTAGAGAAATGCTGCCCCCAAATATCCCGGTCAGTGGACTTCTACAAGGCTCTTAGAGAGAAAGAACAGATGCGCACTTATTCTTGAACAAACATGAGGTGAGACTCACCCTGGGGCCTCCCAGAAATAACTGAGAGATGATCAAAGACCTTGGGGTGTAGGCCAGGAGAATGAAGAATGAGAATCTGTGGTTTTACAGGCGCGGCTGCAGGCCAATTTGATTATTAATATTAATGTGACCTTATTTTACCCACAGACTGCTGAGACTGGAAAATTCAGGTTACACATAGTATATCTCTTTTCTAAGCATTTTTGTTTCTTATTATATTCTTATTTGAGCCTTCTGATCAGGACCATTCCTGGGGTATGCGGATCTAAGGCCAAATCTCACTGTGTTGGTTCTTTGACCTTATCATTGTCAAGAGAAATCAGGTTATGAGAAGGATTTGGAGAATTTAAGTCCCAACAGGCACATCATAGAAGAGACAGATCCTCACTGCCCCCTTCCCTTTGCCTGGATGTTGCCAGGAAAGTGGGAGAGGGTTTATACGTGTGTAGGTAACAGGGAGATCAGGCTGAGCATCAGCTATGTCCACTCCGGGGTTCATGAATTGTGAGTATGATAGGGAAACCCTCGACGAGGCCCCCAAGGAGCTCATTTTTATGACAGTGGGTATCTGTTTTCCCCACTAGAATGTTAGCTCCACATTGTGGGGTGAAATATGCACCTGCACACCTCATATGTTGAAGTTCCAAACCCCAGTATTCAGACTGTAAAAGTATTTATAAAAAAGGTCTTTAGAGAGGTGACTAAGTTAAAATGAGGCCTTTAGAGGGGGTCCTAATTGAATATGACTGATGTACTTATTAAAAGATGGAGACACGCCAGGGGAGCACATGTGCAAGAAAGGACAATCGTGATGAGGCAGTAAGAAGCTTGCCATCTGCAAGACAAAGAGAGGAGTCTCAGAGCAAATCAATCCAGTTATCACCTTGACTTTGGAATTGTAGTCTCCAGAAATGTAGAAAAAAAAATACACTTCTTTTGTTTAAGCCACCCAGTCTGTGGTATTTTGCTATAGTAGCCCTAGCAAACTAATATTCTCCATAATGAACAATAAAGTTTGTATTTTGTTTCTTGCTGTGTGTCTGACAAGTAGAAAAGTTCCTGGCATATAGTGTGCACTCAAGAACCCTTTGCTGAATGAATAAACAAAAGACTGAATGAGACACATATTAGAAAAACAATCATGCCAAGGAAATAGTAGTCATTGGACAAGGGGCCACTTTGGAATGCTGTGGCTCTCATTTTCTCCTCTAGCCTAAAGTAAAAGTTCACACAATTCAAAACCTTTTGTGACTTGACTTTTCAGTACACAGTATTAATTTTCAATATTCTTCTCCATGAGCCCTCCATATCAGTTGATTTGGCCTAGATTATTCCCAGCACAGAATGACTGCCACACCACTGACCAGGTCATTCTCTGATCTTCTCTATGCATACTCATTCCTGTCTTTCAGGCCCAGCTGGTATTCCAAAAGCTCCCTGGTGTCCTGGTGTCTTTTCTTACTGTTCTGTTACTGCCCTAGAATCCCTATCTGTATTATTCATTTGAGAAACAGCATCTGCTACTTTATGTTGATATTTATCTTATTATATCACTCTCCCTGTTAGTATGCATAAAACCTAATGTAAGACTCTAAGTGTTAGAAGCCTGTAGTAAATGTTACATTCTGATGAAGTAATTATAATCATAATAGATTTTGATGATGGTGGTGATGAAGAAGGTTCTCTTGACACTGAGAACCATATTAACCTTATCTGAAAAGTAGTAGGTTTGACCATTCCATTACGCCATGTCAGCTATAGCAGGAGGTTGAGCTGAAATTTTCAGTAGTAGCAATTGTGGTCATACTACCACCAAATGTTCATACCAACCTCTTATGATGATACAGCATCATTAACTATTTCTGACCATCCCAAAGGAGTCAAACAACTCCTCCATTGTGAAGGCTTCTGAAAATACTATGTCAAGGGCTTAGGGAAAAATGGACCTCTGTCTGGAAGTAGACCAACAGTGAATATACAAAGCAGGATTTGCAAGCTATTAAGATGATAATTGCTTATAGAATTGCTAGAGCATGGCATCTTTTCAGATGAGTCTACCTGAAAAATTCAGCTCCACTACACCCGAGGAGTGACTGAAATAAATTAGGAGATGGGAAAGATTCAGAACTGCATCAAGCTTAGACGACTCAGGGGAAGTGAATCAGATAAATACATTAACACACACACACACACAGTGACGGATGAGGCAGATGACATTTTATGCTCCTTTAAACTGACTGATGAAGATCAGACAAATTAGAAATAGCTGTGGACAAGTTCAAGAACGTCTTTCTAGCGTGTACTGAAAAGGAATCTTAAGGAGCAGATGTGAAGTACTCCTGGAAAATGGAAAATGGGATAGTGGAAAGAAAATTCTAAGAGTCACATCTCTGTGCCCAATTGTTATAAACTTTAAGAAAATAATTTAAATATAGTATCTTGAAATATGATATAATATTTTAAAAGGATCTCAGAGCAAAAAAAGAGTAGCATTAAAACTAAGACCATTTTTATTTTGGATACTAAGTAATAGTATGTAACCTTACAGATGTTAGTTTCCTGTTCTTTGTCTCATTAGGAAATATAAAGTTATAAATTTAAGCCATAATTCAGATTATGAACATCAGGTCATGGGTTCTGACTCACTTTCACTGGCTCTGTATTCAGTCTATATTTTGAATGTGGCTAAAGATTACTAGTTGTCAATATTTGCAGAAAAGTTCACTGCATTTTATTGACTTTAATTTAAAGTACATTTAGCTCATAGAGGGCTCCTGATTCTAAGTTAAGTTTTTTCAACCAGTAACCAAAAGTCTTCACCGAACATTCTTTTTCCTCCATGTACGTATAGCTGAGTGTTTGCGTTTCTGATGTATATTTGTTTTATGTTATCCTGGAAATTTAGAAAGCTGGGTGATAAGATGGGTTGGCCAACAAAAAAAGAACTGGACTTGAAATAAATGGCTGGTCTCAGTGTACCCTTAGAAGGCGCATTAATTTGGGGAAACTAATGGTAAGTTTAACCCGTAAACAGAGAAGAAAAAATGAAAAGGGCAAAAGTTGTTGCTGTTCCCTCCTCCATGAATTGTTATGCTGTGACTGCTAAGCCCTTCAGGTTGCTTAGTAATAATGAACGTAACCCTTAGAGATGGTCAGATGCAGCAGAGTCATCAGCTAATGAATATGCAGTTGTTACATGCCTAAGCAATCACATGCTGGTGAGAAGGTGCACTTTGAGGTCAAAGCTGGACAAAAGTGGAATTACAAATCATCTTCAGTGTGTACTGTCTTATTTTATAGAAAAATATGAGGAGACACTGCATGAAATAAACTGGGACAGTCATGTTTCTTCTTTTCAAACTTACCGTCACTGTTTCCCAACACAATCACTCTGCTTAGTTAGATAGAGTGACGTGTCCTAAATTCATTAACCCATCCACACTCCTTTCAAAAAGGCTACCGGGGAACACTTCCTCATCTGTGATGGTGCTGTTCCTCCATTAAGGTATGCCTAAATTCTTTTCTATTTCTTCCAGTTGTACTCATTGTTTACCTGTCATCCATTTGGCACTTCAAGTTTGCCATTTTATAATGTGACAATTAATGGGAACTTTATCTCAGCTAGACTAAGCTTTTTGAGGGCACAGTCTATGGCTTTTGGTTCTGTGTTTTTCAATTTGCCTATTAAATGCATTGATTAGACAGAAGAAATAATTTTTTAATAATCTTCCAGTTGAATATTTTTTTGGTACTTTCAAACAAATCTTTCTAAAAAGCTATGAGTTGAGAAAACTCATTTTGAATTTTATATTCAAGAAATCTTTTATTAAAGGTTTACTTCTTGAATTATAAATCCATATGATATGGAAACTTGAGTTTTATATCGAAAAATAGGCCTTCAGTGTTTCTTAATGCAAACCTCATGGTGTTCCATTTCATTTTGTTTAGTAAGGGACTGTAAATTACAACACACACAATGTGCATTATCACTACCTAAAGAAAGCACACTTAGAACATTCCAGACTAAAGAGACAGTTCAACTCAGCAGAGATGTGAGAAGCAGCATGGAACATGTGAGGGTACAGGGTAAGGGTGTTTAGGGATGTTGGAGGAGCAGTGGGTTATGTGCAGTTTGGTGGTGTCAGCACACAGAGGTAGGACTGAGAAACCTTGAGCTGTAAGGCCAGAGTGGAGGCAGGAGCCAAATCAAGAGAAGCCTGGATGATTCCCCATCAAGCAGCAAAATCATTGCAACCTGCAGTGGAGGGTGTCAGCGTTAGATTCAGACCACTCTCTGTGGTGGGTATTTTTGGCTTATTTTCTTAATTGAGGTGTGTGGGCCATGACACTGTTAGTCATGAATCCACTTAGGTGCAATGTCCATCCACCTAGTCTATCAGGGCTTGTGACTAGTATCACACTTCCTGGAAAGAACTATTACTATGTGAGAAAAGGTGGTAATATTCTCAAATCATCCATATGCATTGGCTAATTACCGAAGATCATCTTGATGTTTTCTCCATCAAAATTGGCAGAGAAGTATATTGTCCAGGTGGGAGACTGCTAAAACTATAAAAGAAACTAGAATTCTAGAAGCACTCTATGCTTATATTTTAAAAATGGAAAGATAATTAGTCACAACATAAAAAAATACAAAGGGCTTTTGTTTTGTGTTCCCATTAGGAAAACAAACAAACGAACAAAGAAATCCTATATCTTTCCTAATTAAACATTAATTTTTATTTCCCTAAATCCCTGTTATTGCTGCTTAAGGCAGGAGGAATTTAAAGGAAATTTAAAATACTGACCAATGAAGGAGGATGTGGCAGCTGGCTTAGAAATAAATTAATTAAACTCTAATAATTATCTAGCCAGTGGCACCTGTCCTACAACACCTCAATCCTCTGGATGTCAAATTGGGAGATTGAGAGAAATAGTTTAGCAACTTGCTATAGATAGCTCCTTTCATTTATTGTCCATAAAGTATATGGTGTCACTATGTGATTCTAATGATTATAGAGTGTTTGGAGAAGCAGGAAAGTACAAGAGAGACTTGAGACCCAATAAAGCTGATTCACTGACCTATGAACTAGAATCTGGACCTGGAAAAATTTTCAGAGTACAAATGTGACTTTGCTTAAATGTCAAGTTGAAAATTTGGAGATTCATCAGCTGGGGAGGTCATTAAATACTCCTTCACTGGGCTGTTGTCTTTTAAGCATGCAGTGGATTGCAAACTTTACAGAACAGGTATGTTTGGTCATATTGTTGAATTAGAGGCCTGAGAACAGGAACTATAGCTCACGTACTGACCACTAGGATTATTAATTGCTTCCAGAGGGGCCTATTCTTCTCCAGTGTGTTGGAAGGTAGCAACACTATTACTCATCAAGCACTTGTATTCAAAGTGAGAAAAATGATGCTATCCAGACCAGCGTCTAATGTTTTGAATGGCAGATGAATCCTCTTACCCAGAAGTTATTTGGTGGGTAGAATATAAAGTGAAAATCAAAACCAGCCCAAACCAAGACTTGTGAGTGATAATAGTCTGTGGGGACATTTTGGCCTCAAAACACCATTGCTGAATGTTGTATGGAATTGCATGATGTCTCAACCTGCACACCACCAAGTGCCAACTGACATGTCACCTGTGAGAGGGATGACTGAACAGTCTAAGACAGGGATAAGAAAACTTCAGGTTTTAAGTATCACATTTCCTAAATTGACTAGCTAATGCAAATAGAGCATTGGTATAAGTTACATGCAATGCATTCATTTGTGCATTCATTCACCCCTTCATTTAGGCTGGTGGCCTTGTTTAACTGGAATTCACACTACTGAATTTAAGTAGCCACACTTAGAAGTCAATAAAATAATAGAAATAAAAGAGCTGACAGTCAACATCTATTATTCCAATCATCCTACTTTGCCCTACTTATTCACATTTTGGTCTTTGAGATCATTTTCATTTAACATCTAAAGATTTATTATTGAGTGGAAATGTTTATTTTTAATTAGTGATCGGCTACACAGCTTAAGTCTCTTGTCTGTCTCTCTATTCTTCTTTTTTATTCCTAAATCAGCTGATTCATGTAGAAATATCTCATGAATGGTGGAAGTCAGAGAGGAAAGACCCGCATCACTGACATAGAAATAGAAGCATAATTTTTTAGCATTCTGAGTGAGAGTCACAATAAAAAACGACTTAGAATTGCTTATTTCAGCTAACATTTAAAGTTATTTTCCCCTCAGCAAACTTTCAGAATCTATTGGAACCAACTAACATCATCTCATTGTAGGCAGTGATATTCCATTCTTGTTCTAATGTGGCCAAAATATTTTTGCATGAAGAATTCTCCAAGAAGGTACATACCCTTCTCAATATCTTCTTGCCTCTTCTGAGAAAATCGGAGGTGCCTAGCTGCCTCCCTGAGGTGTATGCAAATCAGTAACTTTGACAATGAAGTGCTGTACTCTCTAGCTTGTATTCTCTCTCTCTCTCTCTCCTCTTTCTCTTTCCCACTCTCTTGTGGTTGGTATATGGTGTCTGTACAAGTTTTCCTAGAAATAACCAGTGCCATAAATAACTTCTTGCTTCTTTGCAGGAATTGGTGTCTGGATACTTTTCTGTCCTATACATACAACTTCATAAAGCTGTCTGAGGAAGGCGTTCAAATCCCCTCTGTTTTATTGCAGGCTGAATCCATCTTACATTGATAAGTGATGACAAATAGGATAGAAAAAATCTCTTAAATATTTCAACAGAAAAATCAAACAAGTATTTGTCTTGGCTTTACTGTTTTGGATTTCAGGAATGTGACATGAACCTTGTCTGCCAACTTTTCATTTCAAATGCATTTTTGTTAACTCTTAATGCCATTGTTTCATTCCTGTCTTACTCCATTTGGCCATCCACTTTCTGCTTGAATTCTAACTGTTTGTCAAATGTGATAATGGGCAGAAAGATGCAGCATGAGAAGCTAGCCTTCTTGTCTTTCAGCATTTTCCCATGGATGTAATTTTCTTCATATTAATGCAACTTTGCATTTGACTCACAAATCCCAAAGCCCTTCAGAAAGGGCAATTGTATTTTCATCACAAGCACATTGTTTTATTCCGTAGTTCCAGTAATCTTCATTTTATGCGCTCAGACTCATTCTGAACATGTAAAGGAAAAAAAAGCTTAACCACCTTATTTCTGAGAGGAGACTGCTGTATGTATTCTATTTATAAACATTGCTGCTAAACCTAGGAAGCCCGAACATGAACCTGGACCTTGTCTCAGCTATCTCTGAGGCATTGGGCTATGTCACATTACATCTTTCAAGCCGTTTCCCTTTTGGCGTTGTTACCTCTGCCATCTCTCTCCCTGGCATTGTCACAAACCACCTTCATCCTTTATTTATTTTTTTTGTTTTTTTTTGTTAAATGTCAAAACTTCTTTAAAGATTGTGGACCATCTAGAAGTCTGAGGATAAAGCTGGGGTTTCTGAGGTCCCAGGCCCTCTCTCTCTTTTTGTAGCAGATACACTGTTTGGCCTTGTGCAGGTCATTCCAGTTTTCTCTACTTCTGCTTTCCCATCTGTTAAAAAGTGGATAATAATATTTGCCTCACTGGGGTGTATTTATGGTTAATTACTGTAATTGCTTGTAAACAATTTGCTATCCTGGGATAAAACATATGACTGAAGAACAAAAATTAGAGGAGACAATTTAATACCTCTTTATTTTTAAAGTTTATTACATGGTTGCCTTTTCCCAGGTAGTTTATTTCAACACTGTGCATAGCAGCCTATAAAGAAAAGGGACAACATGGTATCACGAAAAACACCTTGCTCTGAAAGTCAGATTTCTTCTCTAGTTCCAGCCCTAAATTGCTGTGTGATTTTTCAACTTCTCTGGGTTTAATGGATTCATTTCAAAAGGGGTAGTTATACCAGCCCAATTTATTTCACAGGGGTGAGAAGACTATTGCATGCAACAACTCATGAGGAGAATAATTTGGGAAATCTTTTAGTCAGCTATTTAATGGCAAGATAAATCTTAGGATTAATGCATTAATGAGAAAGCAAGATGTTGGGTAAATATCCAGAAACATTATATAGATTTTAAAAAAAAGTACATTTCTCACAAAGTTAAAACAGTGTCCTACACAGGGTAAGTCCTAATAAATATGAGCTGTTACTATGATTTCTAGGTCACTCAGAAGACTTCATATATACCCCAGGAGCCAATGGTACCAAAAGTTATAGGACAAGATTCCCTTGAATCTGTCTGTCCCATCCACAGAGGCTTGACCTTACATGGAAAGAGGAACATGTGTGATGTTATTAAAAGATGCAGGAAAGCTCTATCCTAGGCCCCTAATATCTCCCCTATTCACCTTGAATTTTTCAGGAAACTTCACCATTAGAGATTTACTTTTTTTCAGTTTCCTTACAAAAGAAAACAAAACCTTAAAAGAGTTCATTGAAGTTGCTATTGACTTTCAGACTCACAACTTCCAGAGGCAGAAATGGTCTGTACGTATGAGGAGATACATGGGGAGTTCTGAGGAAGGATGAGATAATGAGGGTCCCATAAAGGAGATGGATATGGGAATTGGGTAAAGGTGGGATTGGAAGAGATATTGTGATGTAAAAGGAGTAGAGTATGGTAAGGTATATAGGAGAATACTGCAGGAAAGAAAACCTAACATGAAAACCTTTAAAAAAATATATAATATACATGTGTATGTTAGATACATAGATATAAATATAGATTTTTCTATACTGTCCTTCTAGAGTCAATGGGGTTTAACTCAGCTTGTCAAAACCAGTTTGATTTATAATCATGTTGGAGAAGGGGATGGGGGCTGGTTTAGGGAAAAAAAAAATACTCCAAACTCATTGAAACCTCCTTTGATACAGGAATCCCTCACCTCAGGGATTATAGATAGAGATTCCACGTTTGTAAGTGCATAGCACGTGCCACACAGTACAGGTTTGCTTTCTCAGCTCTCAGAGCAGGTAGAATTAGGCCATATGGGGCTGAAGAATTCTGTAGAAATGTTCCAGTAAAGTCACCTGCATTCACTTTTAAAGCCCAGCATTGGAATGATGCATGGATGCAAGGCTGCTGGTGCTGAGAGAGCACTTTCTTTTCACTGAAGTCACACTGGAGTGTAGGAAAACAGAAACTCTTAGGGGACATCCTTGAAAAGGGTCTGTTCCTAACGTAAATGATGAGTTAATGTGTGCAGCACACCAACATGGCACATGTATACATATGTAACAAACCTGCATGTTGTGCACATGTACACTAGAACTTAAAGTATAATAAAAAAAAAAAAAGAAAAAGAAAAGAGTCTGTTCATATGTCCAGCAGGGAACTGCAAAGTCTCATGGACCATAAGAGGGATGTAGCATGCACATGGATGTGTGTGGTCTCTGTATGCAAAATGTGTTCAAAAAACATCTCCAGTGCTTACCTCTAACTTGTGGATATGAGTCAACATGAAAATGTTGATTTGTATGATTACAGCCCAGATGAGCCAACAAGGGTGAGTTGAGTAAACCTGAGTGGAGTTAATCTCCTGTACCTATTATGTGTTTTATTGTATGACTGAAAGCTCTTGGATAGGTCCAGACAAAGCCACGTATTGATTCCTCAACTCCCCTTCATGATTTTGCATGCTCTTCCCTGAAACCGTTAACTAAAACACTGTCTGCAATTAATCTTCAAGGCAGCATGTAATCAGCCAAGGGTTACAAGACTAGGGTTTCAAATAGTCTCAAATGCTGAGATTTGGGACATATGATGGGGAAGATGAGGTAGAGAGTAAACTAAATAGTCAAGCTTCCTTGGGCAAAGTAGATTCTTATATGTGATGAGTTGGCACATGAAAACATGAGGATATGGGCTGTGAGTGAATGTATGTCTTTATAATGTATCTGTCTGTGGAGGTGGGGGAAGGAGGAGGGGGACTGGAAGGTGAAAGCGTCCAGATGCTGGAGTGCAGTAAAGCATTCCTGGCTGTTAGTTCCAGTAGGTCATTACTGCATTAATTTGGTGTTTAATTAAATGCCTGTGCAACAGACCGTTTATTTGTTATCTAATATTAGCTTTAGTTCTTATCAATTAAATGCTAGCTGAGGGCTTGATTCACTTACATTTTATGTCCCCTTATACTCTATTCAGAAACAACAGCCAAACCCAACAAGGCCTCACTGTGCCTGCAAAGATTTATACACCCAGATTTCAGTGTGGGGAATATAATATGCTAGTGTAATTAGGTGAGAGTGAGGGAAATAAAAAGAAGATGCCATTTCATTTTGAGAAAGCAATTACCCAAATACATGGTCTGTGGTTTCCCTCTCCCCTCCCTCTGTCCCCCTGTGCAATAGGAGACATTAAGGGGCAGGGTGGTGGGGAGGCTACAAGGGGCATATATATCCCATCGTGTGTTGACATGCTTTTTCCCTTATGCCTGTTCTATCATCCCCCGTGCCGATGGCAAAGGATGCTGGCTTTCCCTTCGCTAAATTTCTCATTCCCTTGTCTACATCTGAGTTTTTAGTGAGACTTGTAGTGCCACCACGAAATGAATGAACACTAGAAGTTTGTATGCTTGCTGTCCAGTCAATCAAGGTGCACTTCAACTAAAATATTATGTTGGGCAAATGCACTTCAACTAAAATATTATGTTGGGCAAAAGGATAGCAAAAAGGAAAGGGATTACGAGAAAGAGGAATTCTGCAGCCCAGTGAAGATGTTGGGAGTATGACCCAAGCTGATGTTGACTACTAGTCATTTGCATATCACCATTAACATTGTTCCAGTATCTGTTGTCACATAACACCAGTACTATCAGCTATTAAATGTTTTTCCTAAATATATTCACTCCTTTTAACTTAGAAACTTATTTTTAAAAGAAATCTCAATTTCATTATCTCAAATATATGACCAATATTATTTTCCATTAAAGGACAGTAAGTATGAAAATACATACAATAGAACTAGACATTATTAATTTCTGGAAACATATTACCTGTCAAAGGCTCTGAGCTTCAAACATGTACTTTCTTTGCTAAAAAAGAAGAAAAGCAAGCATTAGAGAGGTGTTAAAGATGTACAATTCCAGACTGAGAATTTATCTTTGGTGTCATCAGAAGGATCAAAAGAGAATTGAAAAGGGAATAACTTTCTCGCTGTGTGATTCAGTTTTATTTGCCGAACTCGTGCACCACCTAAAATTATCTGTAGCATTTCACACTTGGGAAAATACTGCTCTAAGTCACTAGAGTTCAGTTCTAAACTTATCAGAAGTTCCAAGAAAAAATTCTTTTTTTCTTTTTTTTTTTTTAAGATGGAGTGTCACTCTTTCACCCAGACTGTGCAGTGGTGCTATCTCAGCTCATTGCAACCTCTAACTCCCTGGTTCAAGAGATTCTCCTGCCTCAGCCTCCTGAGTAGCTGGGACTACAGGCATGTGCCACCACACCCAGCTAAATTTTTGTATTTTTAGTAGAAGCAAGGTTTCACCATATTGGACACGTTGGTCTCAAACTCTTGACCTTAGGTGACCACCTGCCTTGACCTTCCAAAGTTTTGGGATTACAGGTGTGAGCCACTGCGCCCAGCCAGAAATTATTTTGAATGAAGCAACTGGAGGGAATAAATAGTACACTTTGGAAATCAAGAGGCCCTTCTGTTTCAGCGAGGATGTCTTGTGAAAGGGTATCACAGAGTGGAGCTTCTAATGGTTATAGTCATTTCTGTGGAAGGTTCAATTATAGCCCCTCCGTGCTAAATATTTTTTCTCTCCATCCTCTTGCCTTATCATGGGTGCAACCCCATGCATATAATCTCTCCTTTGTCATCATTCCATAGCCTTCAGCACCTTGCAAAATGCTTCATTAAAGAATTATTCCCTTTGGGCCCTTTCCATAGCAAGTTGTCAAATATCTTTAGTATCAGTAGTGCATCAAACTACAATTAGTCATAAGTTTTATTATGTACAACTGGAGGGGAGCATGTGTGATAATACAACCAATACATTTCAAAGAAGCAAAATGTTAACAGCTTGAAGAAGTCTGCTGCTATAGATTGAATGCTTTTATGTCCGTGCAAAATTCAATCTGAAATCCTAACCCCCAATACAATGTTATTAGAAGGTGGGGCCTTTGGGAGGTGATTAGGTCATGGGAGTGGAGCCCTCATTAATGGGATTAGTGTCCTTATAAAAGAGACTTCAGAGAGCTCCTCCCTCCCTTCCACCATGAGGGCATAGCAAGAAGATAGCTAAATGAGCAAAGAAGCAAGCTCTCACAGGAGGACACCTTGACATTGGAATTCCCAGAACTGTGAGTAATATATTTCTGTTGTTTATAAGTCACCCAGTCTATAGTGTTTTTATTATAGTAGCCACATGGACTGAGACTTCTGGAAACTGTAGGCATGGAAGGATATCCCAGTGAGCCCCATGTCACACCCTTGGCCAGGCTTTACCCATCTGTACCTGTAGGGTTAGTTTCTCAAGGCTCTATGAATACGGATTCTTTTTTTGTGTTTTGAGGTGGAGTCTTGCTCTGTTGCCCAGGCTGGAGTGCAGTGGTGTGATCTCAGCTTACTGCAAGCTCAGCCTCCAGGGTTCACACCATTCTCCTGCCTCAGCCTCCCAAGTAGCTGGGACTACAGGCGCCCACCACCACGCCTAGCTATTTTTTTGTATTGTTAGTAGAGACAGAGTTTCACCGTGTTGGCCAGGATAGTCCCGATCTCCTGACCTCATGATCTGCCTGCCTCGGTCTCCCAAAGTGCTGGAATTACAGGCATGAGCCACCATGCCCAGCCGAATATGGATTCTTAATGGGTAATTTTTTCAGGTCTTACTTGTTTCTTGCTCGTGGTCTAACCTATTTAGTGGCACATGTTCTCTGAAATGTTAACTTTCTTCCAATCACTCTGGTGATGGTCTCTAATCTTCATATCACATAACGAAGCTTAAGTCCAAGAGCCTGGGCAGACTAGAAGTAAGATCAAAACTTAGATCCCCAGGTCCCATTTAGGTTAGATAATTGCTGGTAATGATTTTTGGTACAGGTTCCACTAGAGTAGGTAAAATTAGATCATCAAAAACATAGGGCAATGGGTTATAATCCAAGCAAGACATCTATTTTACAGAGATTTAAAACAAATGGGAAGGTCTCCCAACAAGCTGGAGAAACACCAGGTTGGAGAAGACAAGCAGATGACATGTAAAGTTTCGGTGGATGAGGTGATTGGCAGGCAGGCAGCCAGCACCAGGACATCATTTCTTGGTAGTTAGTGAATCCCAGATCCCTAGGCTACAGGTTCACATGGTTACTCCTGGGAGTGTTGGGAATTATGCAGAGCCACAGCCCTAAAGGATTCAGAGGTATGGGTATATAATAATGACTGGGATCCAATGATCTGACTGAGGCATATCATTGAATAGCAACCTTAAAACAAGGTTAGAATTATCACTAGATATGGGAGCAAGATTGTGTTTCTGGGGAGGAGCAGTGATGGGAGGATGAAGAGATGTGGTTGTCAAGACTGGGACTAGGCAAGACCCCATACCACCTCCTCTCACTCTGTTTTTACAGTCTTGAGGCAGTGAGAATCTCCAACCAAAAGAACTCTGACCAAGGGGAAAGTAATTTCCAGAGGAGGAGGGGGAGAGTGAATGGCACCTAGAAGCCAATGAAAGATGTGTTAGGATCCAGCCTGGAGGAGCCAACTCTAGGAAATGGCATCAGAGAAGAATAGGCTGGGACAGTCCACTGCCATCAACTTCCTGTCCTTCCTCGTAATGCATGCCTCCAACAATTCCTAAGTAATGTGCTTTGTCTTCCTTTCCCTCATTTTTAATTATTTTCTTCTGTTCTTTAGCTTTCTCCATTCTGAGAGTCATATTATAGCTAAATCACAGCAGTTCGCTGTTCTTTTCTTCCTGCCTCATGGCAACCATTTACCTTTCCTTGCACATCTTTGGCCTGACTTCTTCACCACTGACTCACTGACTCCATTACTTATCCTTGAATTGCACCCCCCAGCTTAGGCATTTCAAAATTCAGGGGATGTGGAAAACATGATCTCCACTCAAGTGCAAATGGGCATAATCGTACAAGCCCAGTTGTCTTACAGGCTGTTCTGAAAATCCAGTGAAATATAGATGGGAAAGTTCTCCATAAAATGGAAAGTGCTTTACAAATCTAAGAATGTTTCTCTGGTAAAAATTATTTAGTTAATCAGTGAGTGTTTCCACTTTGCTCTGCATATGGAGACCTCATCATGGACTTGATTTGCTCTGGCCCAGAGGGAGCTTCTCAGCTCCTCTGGAAGGAATCACTCTCCTCCTGGAGCTGCTGACAGAGCCTCAGCTGCAACGGTGGTAGCAGGTGGTGCTCTGATAACGTCGGCTCCAGTTGAGGTACAGGAAAACAGAGCAGCTGAAGACCAAAATCTGAGAGATAACAGGAAATGAAAAATGAAGCAAAGTTATATCTTCTGTTCCCTCATAAAGGCTCCTGTGACAAATGGAATCACAGGCATTACGCAAACTGCCTTGCTGAGCTTCCAAAAGCCTGAGCTATCTTGACGGCAAATATCTGTCCTCTGGTTATCTGTGGGAAAATAATAGGCAAATGATGTATGTATGCATGTGTGTGTGTGTGTGTGTGTGTGTGTGTGTGTTTGCATGTGTGTGTGTTTATGTGTGTGTGAAACAGAGAGAGAGAGGAAGCGTGCAGTTAATCACCAAATACAACTACTAGCTACAGCCTGAAAAAATATCAATCTATATCTCTGTGCTGAAATTTAAATATTTAAATATTTGTTTCATTACCTCATTGCTGAGATAGTGCTACTAACACATGGTAACATTTCCTAAGTTAGTTGTTTGAGTGAAATACAAAAAACTGTGGTATGAATTCAACCACAGGGCCATAAAAGCACACTTTCATTTTTTAACGTCCATTGTGAAGGTAGACACTTTTAATTAAAGATGCTAATATCTAGCATTTTGAAGAACTCTGTGAACTATACTTCATCCATACATTTGATAGCTAACATTAAGTTTGAAATTAATCTTTTCTATCCATATGTATTAATAGAAATATAAATACATAAATGTATAGCCAAGAAAAAATAAACTCTCTGGCTTTCAATTTATTTGAAGGTAAATCATGAAGCAGTTGTATTCTTGAAAGATGCTAGGTGTTCAACTAATATTTGCTAAGTAAATGAATGAAAGTATTCTTAGAAGGGTATGTATGGTGTCAAAGTAAATTCTGTGTGCCTCTTGCCATATGTGTAGGCCAGAATAAATCAAATCAAAATGATGATTTAGAATTTTGAAAGAGAAGTAATTTAGATAGGTCATCATATATAATAAGCAGACTGCTTCTTGATGGGAGGTAGTGGAGGGAAATGGAGGATGCTCTTCCATGCCCTTGCCAGGGGAGTGAGGAGAGTCACCATCAGATCTCTTCAAGCACCATTTAGTAAACTGCTTACCCAGCTGGATGTAAACTTAAATCGACATACAGGAATTTGCATTATGGAATACTTCCAAAATAGCCTATGTATACATTTATTCACTCTACAGCATAGAGAACCTACCTGTGTCTCTGCAGGCACAACTTCACCTGAGCTCTGTGAAGCAACTGAAATATGTGTGTTATTCCATTTTTTTAGTGGTTTATTATGGACTTTCCATCATTGTCTGAACTAGAGCCTATGAGCAGAGGTACCACTGGAGGGGCTGGAAAAACAGGCTGTAACAATTTGGAAAGCAATCTTTAGGTTGAATGAAATTCTGACATCTTTGTGGGGATTTAATAAACCTAAAGAGTTATTTCTCCAAACTAGTTAATCCCTAATTTATCTGCAATTATAAAAGCAAACAAATGTATACAAAAACGGATTATCTCATTTATATGTTTTTAATTTTTTAAGCTCCTTTATTTCCTTTTTGAAAATAGACATACAATACAATTTTAAAGGTGTTAAGCAAGTACCTTACCTTAGACAAGATCATACACCCATTTTACCTGCATGGAGAGAAAAGGTTGTTATTCCAAGAAAAATTATTAGGATGATGTTTCACAGAGCATTAGTGTACCAGTGTAAAATTCTTGAAGACAGACACTTGAAAAACCACTTGATACTGTGTCCACTTACACAATCAAATAAAATAATGTATTTGGCTGAATGACACAAATGATATTGTCTTTACCTAATAGCACAAAATTTATCTTTACAATTCTTAGAAGCTGTGCCCTTCATCTTACATGTAGGTCTGTAAATGCACCTGAGATTTGCAACCTGATGGGAGAAGAAAAAAGGAAAGTTCCTAAGAGAGGCCTCATAGAAAGTTGAGAAGAATACATTCTCATTGGTTATACTCTAGAAAAAATGAAATAAGCCGTCAGTGTGTCCCCAAAGAAACAAAGTGCTTCAGGTATCTGAGAGATGGGAGCCTTTTCAGATTCTGCTCAGGATACAAGTCTTTACTTCCTGAAGAGTTAGTTAGAATGTCTGGGCACTATTGATCTTACAGTAAAAGACTTGACGTCATCTGTAGAGATCTCTGTCTGAATCTATCTTACATTTTTTCTCTTGGGCACTGTCCACAAGGTGTGATCTTCAGTACCAAAATCACCTGAGTATTTCTTATAATGCAATGCCAAACAGACAACTGTGGAGTTAGAATCTTTGGGTACAAAGTTCACCAATCAAAACTTTAAATAAACTTTTAAATGATATTTGAATACATTGGAGTTTGAGACCACTTCTCCAATAGCTTCAAAAGTGAATCTGGGTTTTGATAGGATCTGAACTTGTTTCCAACAATGTAGGCAGTTGAGGAAACAGGACTGTAATACCTCACTGGGAGATAATCCTTTACAAGAGCAGATGGACCTATATTTTTTCAAGTAGGCTGAATGGTGGTTCCAAAAAAGATATGTCCACATCCTACTCCCTAGAACCTGTGAATACCTCATATGGCAAAATAGGTAATTAAGTTGAGGTCTTGAGATGATGATATTAGCTGAATTATTCAGGTGGGTCCTAATGCCATCACAGGCGTCATTCTAAGAGAGAGGCAAGAGGGGAACACAGAAACACAGAGGAGAAGGTGACATGAACGCTGAGCTGGGCGCGATGTGGCCACAAGCCAAGGAATGCAGATAGCCACCCAAAGCTGGAAGATGCAAGAACTGGATTCTTCCTTAGTGTCTCCAGAGGACGTGCAGTCCTGCTTATATCTTGATTGCAGGCTTCTTGACTCCAGAGGTGTGAGAGACTCTATTTATGCCTTAAGCTACGTAGTTTGTGGTAATTTGTTATGGCAGCCACAGAAAACTAATACACTCTTTCTGCTATTTAAACAAAACAAAGACTTCCTCAAAGCTCACATTTTAATAAAAATATCATTAAGCACTTGTCTCTCCAGTAATACAGTGGGCACATGAATCTCAAAGCATGTTCCTGGCCTCACAAATTTTATAAATTTGTTTCTTTGGCTACTGTCAGTCATCCCCATTTAAACACAGTTCCCAAAATGTGGGATATCTTGCCTTTTCTACCTAGGACAGGACCTGACACATAGTAGGTCCTTATAAATTTTAGCTGTATGAATAAATGAAGCAAATGAATTAATGCTTACTTACACATTATAAAATGTGGGGAATAAGAGGAGGAAACATAAATTAATATACTACAGTGGTTAAGATTTTGTTAGTTTTGAATCCTAGAGCTTTGTTTATAAATTATGTTGTCTTTGAGTAAGTTATTTCACATCTCTGCCTTAATTTTTTTATATAATGCATTACTTATAGGTTTGTTAAAAATATTAAATAGGATAATCAATTTAAAGTACTTAGTTGTGTATTGGCTGCACAATGTACAGTTAACTATTACTGTCATGTTATATATGATGGTGAAGGAAGACTTCCAAGGAGGCAATGATTATAGCTCAATGGATGAAAAAGGCAGCCATTTAGAAGAGATATCCAGTTGAGAAAATGGCAGATGTGGAGATCTTAAAGAAGAATTGCATATTTGGGAAACTGGGTGGAGGGCTCCATGAATGAAACACTTAAGATAAAGTGGAAGGTAGCATGAAATAAGATTTGGACAATAAAAAGGATAGCGTGGGTCATGATAGAGAATTTGCATTTGATTCAAAGTGGAATGGGAAATTATTGGAAAGCTTTTGATCTTGAGAGTGACATGATACAATTAATATTGTTTTAAAGAGCAACTTTAAAATATGTGTGGAGAAAATGTGTATTTGAAATACCGCAAAGGAATTGGGAGACCTGTGAGATGGTTCTTATGGTAGCTCTGGGAGAAGTGATGGTGTCTGGGATGAGGATACTGGGTGAGGAAATAAGGAAAGCTCAAAGGATTTAATGTATAGTTTTGTGGAAGGAAGATCAGATGTAAATTCAGAGGGGGGCGGGATGAGGAATGCCACACTCTAAGATTTCTGGCTTGAGAAAATGTGTGGATAGTGATGCCATTTACTGAGATGGGAAAGACTGGGGAAAGAACAATTTTTAGGATAAAACGAAAAATTCTGTCTCAAACACGTTAAGTAGGCAGCAGGATATATGGGTGTGAAACAGAGAAGCCCATACTGAGGATGTAAATTTGGGAAGTATCAAAATATAAATGTCAATTAAAACTGTGAGAATAAAGGAAGAGGGTCTAGAAAAAATAGAAAAGGGGGGTGAAGTGCCAAAGGAACTCCAACACTCTTCTCTTAGGGAGAGGAGGAGAAAACTATAAAAGATAGACAGAACAGCTAGGGAGGAGGGAGGAAAACAATGGGAGGATGATGTCTTGAAGGTCAAGAGAGAAAAAACACAGGAATAAGGAGCTGTGTTCAATGCTGCCACCATAAGGAGCAGTTTCAGTGGAATCAGGGAGAGAAGTCACGCTGGAGTGGATTATAAAATGAAAAAGAGCTCAAAAAAATGGAGACATGACCAGGTGTGATGGCTCACACCTGTAGTTCCAACATTTTTGGAGGTTGAAGTTGAAGTATCAGTTGAGTCCCAGAGTTCAAGTCCACCTTGGGCAACATATGGAGACCCTGTCTTTATGGAAAAAAAAAAAAAAAAAAAAAAAAAAGGGAAAAAATTAGCCAGGCATGGTGGTGCATGCCTGTAGTTCCAGCTACTTGGGAGACTGGGCTGGGAGGGTTACTTGAGCCCATGAGTTCGAGGCTGCAGTGGCTATGATCAATGATTGTGCCACCACACTCCAGCCTGGGTGACAGAGTGAAGCCCTGTCTCTAAAAATCATAAAAAAGAAGTAGAGACAGCATGTCAGACAATTCTTTTCACAGGTTTAGCTGAGAAGAAAAGCAAAGAAAATGTACTGTAGTTTGTAGGAAACTCTAAAGTTATGGGAGGCAGATTTTATTTAATTTTAATTTTATTTTTATTTTTATTTTATTTATTTATTTATTTTTTTTTTTTTGAGACGGAGTCTCGCTCTGTCGCCCAGGCCGGACTGCGGACTGCAGTGGCGCAATCTCGGCTCACTGCAAGCTCCGCTTCCCGGGTTCACGCCATTCTCCTGCCTCAGCCTCCCGAGTAGCTGGGACTACAGGCGCCTGCCACCGCGCCCGGCTAATTTTTTGTATTTTTAGTAGAGACGGGGTTTCACCTTGTTAGCCAGGATGGTCTCGATCTCCTGACCTCATGATCCACCCGCCTCGGCCTCCCAAAGTGCTGGGATTACAGGCGTGAGCCACCGCGCCCGGCCTAATTTTATTTTTAAATGTACGAAGGATTATCTTTATGTGCCCCATACCCCCACCCCACCCCCACACACACACCCAGAGGTGGTGAAGAAGGCAGGGAAAATATGAACAATTTGGTGAAAAGAGAGAAGTTGATGTAGGAGAGAAAGGGGGCAATTGAGAAAGCAAAGCCCTTGAGAAGGTGAGGGGATTTGTGATGCAGAGCACATATGACGAGTCCCCTTGGTAGAGGAGAGAAACTTAATCACCTGAGTTAGAGGAAAAAAATGGCGAGAAGAATATTTATGTAGGAAGGTTGAAAGATTTGGATGTGGGAATGTATGAAAATTCCAGGCTGATGGACCCTAATTTGCTCAACAAAATATAGGGGAGGTTAAAAATAAGAGAGAAATACAAAATAATCTCTCTTTTTCTTTTCTTTTCTTCTTTTCTCTGTCTCTCTCTCTCTTTCTCTCATTTTTTTAAAAAGAGATTAGGTTTTGCTCTGTTACCGAGGCTGGACTGCAGTGGCATGATCACAGCTCACTGCAGCCTTAAACTCCTGGGCTCAAGAGATCCTCCTGCCTCCTGAGTAGCTGGGGCTATAGGCATGTACCACCATGTCCCGCTAATTGTTTCTTTAGTTTTTGTAGAGATGATGTCTCACTATGTTGCCCAGGTGGTCTCCAACTGATGGCTTCAAGCAGTCCTCCCACTTCTCCCTCCCAAGTAGCAAAGAAATCTTTGATGAGAATGAAAGAGTGAGCATTGTAGAGCAGTGAGAATGGCAGATGAGGATGGATATGTGTTTGAAGTTGGTTATCATGATTTCATAGTGAATTGTCTTTCAAGTTATATGACTTATGAGAGTAAAAGGGGAGAGAAGACCATTCAGTTTATCTAGGGTTGGGATTTGGGGAGAAAAATGTGAATTAGGGAAAAAGAAGTGATGGAGTTGGGGCTGTTTGCAAGGAGGTCAGCACAATGAGGAACGATGGACTCTAGGAAGTTTTGGGGGAAAGTAGAAACAGGACGGGTCAGACAGAAAGAAAGCCAAGAGATCAGAAAACTGAATAAAGCAGACTTATTGTTTTTAAGGAACAGTTCAACAGGTGAGTTAGTTTATCAGGAAAGCAGGATATTCCAGGTTGTGATTTAGAAGATTGTTGCCATTTTTGTTGATGACCACTTTTTCTAAGGCCCGATGACCCTCTTTTACTGCTGCCTCTTATACAGGCTGATATGGTTTGGCTGTGTCCTCACCCAAATCTCATCTTGAATTGTAGCTCCCATAATCCTCACCTGTACTGAGAGAAGCCTGGTGGGAGATAATTTAATCATGGGGACAGTTGCCCTCATGCTGTTCTCATGATAGTGAGTTCTCATAAGATCTGATGGTTTTATAAGGGACTTTTCCCCCTTTTGCTTGGCACTTTTCCTTGTTGCCACCCTGTGAAGAAGGTCATGTTTGCTTTCCCCTTTGCCATGTTTGTAAGTTTTCTGAGGCCTCCTCAGCCATGCTGAACTATGAGCCAATTAAACCTCCTTCCTTTATAAATTACCTAGTCTTGGGTGTGTCTTTATTAGCACTATGAGATCGGACTAATACAGATGGTCCCAGGTGTTTGAGGTTTGAGGGGCATCTCTTACAGATTTCATGATGCCGCATTAGAACTTACTGTGCAACCTCCAATGGATGATTCACAATTGCCATCTGACCAGGAGAATATCCCAGAGCCACTTCCTTGGGAAAATGCAAAGGCTACTGGATAAACCATCAACAGAGTCCTCAAGATAGTCTTGAAGGAAGTCTGGTCAAGCATAGAAAATAGAACTTTTATTTTCACTTTCTACCAGCATCACACAAGTGGCTATCACATAGTTGCATCTCTGATCAGGGGAGAATGTTTGTGTAGAGAGTTAGAGTCAATTATGGTTGTGCACGGTCAACATGTTTTCTGCTTCTGGACCTACCTTTATTTCACAGATTGTTTCAGAAATATCCTACCCAAGTCTTCTCCCATCGCCATTTTCTGGCCTTTCCCTTAATTCTCTGGTTCCCAAAACATGCTGTCCACATCCAGGGATAATGCTTGCCTATACATTTCAGAAGAGGGTCTCATTGTCCTGAAAGACCATCCCTCTTCAGTCATTCAGAAGAAACCCATTGCTTGACATTGAATGCAATTTAGTCATATTGGAGCGGAATGGGAGTGGGCTCCAGGCAGAGGAAATGTCTTAAATAAAGCAGAAAGGTGAGAATGGGTAGAGTTAACATGAAAAACTAATGAAATCTCAGAGGTTGGGGTTTCGCATGGGGGCACTATGTGACAAAGGTCTAGTGCGATTGGTTGGAGAGAAATTTTACAGTACCTCGTAAAACTTATAGAGGTCTTATGCTTTATTCTAAGGGTGACAGGAAGCCCCTCCAATTTTCTCTACAAACATCACAAGGAAAAGTGAGGAAGAATTGTCTTACAGTGTCACTTGATACTTTGCTTTTAAATAAAGGCAGCTAAAAAAAAACTGAGATAGAATTTTGACCCATTTATAAAGCTATTCTACCCTTCCTCCCCCCATTCTTCTCATTTCCTCCTTCCACTTTCTCTCCCTTCCCTTTCTTTTCTTTTCTTTTCTTTTCTCTTTTCTTTTCTTTTCTTTTCTTTTCTTTTCTTTTCTTTTCTTTCTCCCTCCGGCTTTCCTTCTCTCTTTCTCTCTGTCTCTCTTTTGTCTTACCTTCTTTCTCCTGCACCACACCAACCCTTCTTTCCTTTTATTCTTTATCACTGCCAGCTACTAAATATCAACCTTCCCCGCCTCCATGGGGAATGTGAGCGGCTGCTCTCTGCTGTCCCCAGAGCCTCAGTGTCCATTCCTCTTTCCCTGCTGACTGAAGTCTGCGTTTTATCGGCCCTGCTATTCTTGGCAAAGAGGCCAATAAAATGGAGATAACAAGTCCCAAATCCCAGTCTGCAGGGAAGCTTTGCCTTGTCAATGAGAGATTAAAAAATAATGGCTGGGTCCTCAGCAATGCTGTCTGCAGCCAACTTTTAAAAGTCCAGATCAGACCATCTGGGCTTTTCTTCTTTATTTTTAAGGCTTTGTTTTCTTTCTTTCCTTTTTCTTTTTCTCTAATCCTCCATAAGGTCTTGAATTTACCTCATTAAGTTGTATGGTTTGGAAATGAAAAGGAAAAAGTAGGTACATGGTTCTTGACTCCTGAATTCAATCATCGAAGAGTCCCCTTTGAGGTCATCAGATTTCAATTAGATTGCACTTTGTCAAAAGCAAATAGAGTAGTTATGTCTTAGAGTTCAAACCTTATGAAAGCTACCTGTTCCCCAGTTCCTTTCCAAGGGCTTGACAGAGGGGTACACACCTGCTGGCCATTTTCCCCACTGTGAATCTAAATTTCTCCAGGGTGCCAGGTCTCATTATTAGCATTTTCTACCCAACCATTTACTCTCTGGATGGGTGAATGCCATCTCCTTTAACAATGCCTGTACCCTTCACTTACGCAGGTGCGTAGAGGATGGCAAATCCTAGAACACATTTCCATAAGCATTTCTATTTCTTTTTGAATTCTTAAAGTTATAAGCTCTGAAAGAGACAGTTGCTCTGTCATCCAGGCTGGAGAGCAGTGGTGCAGTCATGGCTCACTGCAGCCTCAACCTCAACCACCTGGGTTCAAGTGATCCTCCTGCCTCAGCCTCCTGAGAAGCTGAGACTACAGGCATACACCACCACTCCCAGCTAATTTTAAAATTTCGTATAGAAATGGGATCTTGCTATGTTTTCCAGGCTGATCTCAAACTCCTGGGCTCAAATGATCCCTCCTGTCTCAGCTTCCCAAAGTGCTGGGATTACACGCATGAGCAACCAAAACTGGCCTAGGTTTTATTTTTTAATGACTAATCCTCCTGATATGAGTTCAAGAAGAAATAGGGTAGGTGAAAGAAACATTTTCTTATTTGGGGATGAGGATATTAAGGTCTATTTCTTTGCATTGACCAAAAGTCCAGATACACAGATCCTTACTCTCTTTCAGGGCCTAGATTCCTGTCCTTCCCTTTCCTCTCAATTGGTGTAGCCAGGCACAGAGACACAAATACCTACAGAGGCTAGGCAAGAAACAAGAATGATTTAGGAAGGTGGGATCGGACAGCATGAAAGAGTAGTGGAGACTATGGCCAATAGGATACTCTAAGCTTGGCTAATGAGCTGCCACCACCACTCAGCTCCTCTGTGACCATGCAAGATGGCAGACCCCAGCATGAGGCCAGAGCCCCCAAAGTTTTCAAGAGAAGTTAAAAATTCTTGATCAATAGGTGAAATCTCCCAAGTTTTAAATATTCATTTTTTATTTTTAAAACATCATACAGGCTAAACAAAACATGTGTGAATGAGATTTACAGGCTACCATTTTATGATCTTTGATATAGAGCAATACTGATAACCATTCACTGTGTCATTCAGTCACTTATATTATTATTTAAATATTTCATATAGTAAAATTTTCTGTCCCATTTCTAAGTTTCTTAAGGCAGGAAGTGTGTTTTTTCCTTTATACTCTTTAGACTTTTGTTGTAGGATTTTGTATGATTGGACCTAGGACTGATTCCCTGTTTTAAAAAATGTGAAATTAGATGCCTGGAATATACCAGTTTGTATTTGATATTTGTATGGTACATTGAAGGACAGAAAGATGGTGAGATATGGTTTTCCATAGCATCTGACTTTCTCTTGCTTTGTGAATTTTGAAAATTCAGCTCCTAAATATCGCCTGTTTCCAACCAAAGCTCCTTTAAGAGGCATTCCAATGAGTACAAGTTCTGATTTCTTGTCTTGCGGGTCTTCAGGCTTCTATGGCATACTTTCCACTATTGTTTCATAGAACAGCACTTTCCTAGAGCTGTGGTCATTGGGATCTTCCAAAAATCTATTTCATATTCCCAGGCTCATCTTTTTAAGCCCGAGGTGGAATACAGGAAGCTATATCTGGAAAAAGCTCCCTAGGTGATTTTGATGCACCTCTGGTGAGTTGAAAGACAACTGCCCTGATGTACAAACCACAGAGTGGCTTTACCTCCCTCCATTTCCTGCCTTCACTCTGAACTTTTAAACCCTGCTAAATACATTTGTATGCAATAGGATAGTTTAATAATTCAAATAGTAAATAAGACAACATGGGCAGCCTGTGCATGTGTGTGTGTGTGTGTGTGTGTGTGTGTGTGTGTGCATGCGTATACTTTGAATTATTTTCTGGGTCTCAGTCACCTGACAACAGAAATCTGAACATTATATATATATATATATATATTCTTCTTTTCTTCAATTAAGGAAATTAGAATTTGCTTTCCTCCACGCTTGTTTGAGACCTGTTCATTTTTTCCAGGCTCAGCCCTGTTGCTATTTCCACTGCATATCCCGGGTAGCATTATTTTCTGTCTCTTTTGATCTTCTATATCTCTCCTCATTGCTATCCCTCATCCTGCTTTATATCATCAACTATGCCAATTACTTTGCAAGTCGTTTGGGACACATGGAATGTCTTCTAAGTTACTGACATGTCTCTCCCTGCGTTTAACAAAGTGTTTGGCATTATGCAAAATACTCACTAAATACTTGATTGGTGAATGTTTGTATATGATTTTTCTCTTCCCTCCCAAATATGCAGAGACAGCCCATAGTTGCTCACAGGTGCCCGATACGTACTATGAAGACACATCTCCAAGTCACTGGGAAATGGAGATGAGCAGAATTTTTTATGTTCTTTATAAAGAGCTGTGGGGTGCATGACGTTGTGTTACATGGTGAGTCAGCAGCACTGCCCTTGGAACTGAAGTCTCCCAACTTTTAGTTCCATGCTGTTTCCTTATTGCTGGTTATACAAACAATGGCTCTAGTATCAGACTCTCTGGTTCAAATCCTGGCTCCACTATCTTTTTACTTTGAACATTTTACATCTCCTTTCTGTGCCACGGTTTTCTCTTCAGCAAAACATGGCTTGAAAAGTTTCTTATAGAATTTTAGGAAGGATTAAATAAGTTGATGCATATAAAGTGTATAGCATAGAGCCTAGCACTTAGTAAGCACTCAATCAGTGCTTTCCTGGCTTTATCATGCTGTTAGCCAAATTCCCAGTCTCTGAAGTTTCTTCTTTTATTATTATCTCTAACCCTGGGTTCTATCTCAATGCAACTTTCCCTGACAATTCCAAAGCTTAAAATGATAACTGATTACCCCAGAGAGGAAGCCAGATTTCATGGGGTTAAAAGGGTTTAGCCATCAGGATTAGGTGTCCTGAATTAAGTGGCTAATAATGAGGGAGAACGATTCGGGGAAGGGATACCCTTGCTAAAACATTAGACAAGGCTGGCCGCGATGGCTCCATGCCTGTAATCCTAGCACTTTGGGATGCCGAGGCAGGCAGAGCTCTTGAGGTCAGGAGTTTGAGACCAGCCTGACCAACATGGTGCAACCCAGTCTCTACTAAAAATACAAAATCTGCCAGGCGTGGTGGCCCATGCCTGTAATCCCAGCTGCTCGGGAGGCTGAGGTTCAAGAATCGCTTGAACCTGGAAGGTAGAGGTTACAGTGAGCTGAGATTGTGCCACTGCACTCCAGCCTGGGCAACAAGAGTGAAACTTTATTTCAACAAAACAAAACAAAACAAAAACAATTAGACAAAGAGAATGAAATGCAAGATCCAACAGAGACATTGATCAAGTTTAGGGGTCACGTTAAGCAGAAGGGCGGCATATCAAGCCAGGTCAAAGATCAAGATCTCAGATAAATAAAGGAGCTGTATAGACTCAGCAGTCTTCACCTAACCCCTGTGGTCATTCCCTAGTGGGACCACACCCAGAGAACCTCAGAAGGGTCAGATGCGTGGTTTGCTCTGCAGTCTGGTCAATTGTTCCCACAGAAACCTGCCTGTATTGTCAGTACTTATTTAGTAACTGTTAACTTGCTAAATAGTGGCCTCAAGAGTTAAACATTTCCATTGCATGAAAATACAATTCAAACTTTCTCTCATGGCATATAAGACTATATATAGGCCTTGCCTAAATCACTGAAACTCATGTCATGTTGCTTCTTCACAGACAATGCTCTTGTCAGATGTGTGGTTGCCCAGTTCTGGAGCATGCCAACCTCATTGCAACCTCACAGCCCAGCCCTTGCTTCTCTCTGCTGGAGCTCACCCTTCACTATTGCAGTATTTCTGTTTAAACATCTAAAGTAGTTAAAGCCCTCTCCTGGCTGCCAATTTTTTTTTTTTATTTCAATGCCTTCTTTGTTTCTATTATGCAATTGTATTCTGATTTGTAAATATATATATTTTTAATTTGTCTCTTCACATTTATTTTTCAGGTCATCATACTATAATAGAAACCCTGTAACTACAAGCATAGGATCTGTTTTCTTCACCATTGTACTTCCAGGGTCTAGCCTAGCTCTTCGTGCTTATTTATTTATTTATTTATTTATTTATTTTTTGAGACAGAGTTTTGCCCTGTTGCCCAGGCTGGAGTGCATTGGTATGATCCCTGCTGACTGCAGCCTCTGCCTCCCGGGTTCAAGCTATTCTCCTGTCTCAGCCTCCCAAGCAGCTGGGACCACAGGCACGCACCACCACACCCAGCTAATTTTTGTATTTCTTTTTTTAGTAAAGATGGGATTTCACTATTTTGGCCAGGCTGGTCTCGAACTCCTGGCCTCAAGTGATCTGCCTGCCTCGGGCTTCCAAAGTGCTGAGATTACAAGCATGAGCCACTGTCCCTGGCCTGTGTGCTCAATTTTTAATGAAGAGTAAATGAATGAATAATTTGCTCTTCTTTCATCAAGACTGGAAATATAAGCATTGTGTCAGCCAGGAAGCTAAAGAGAAACCATTCAGCTCCAAATCTTAACTACTTTGCCTATTCTAGCTGGCCTGTTTATGATGCACAGACAGTTAGCTGAAGATATCAGCTTTGTTTAAGGGAACACATCCAAGTAAGGCAGAATGAAAAGAGTATTTCTCTTAAAAAAAAAAAAAGCCTAAGAATAAAATAAATATTTTAGAAGAAATGGTAGCAAATTATCTCAATGTTCAACTTTAAAGATCCCTGAAGATCTTTCCCCCTTTGCTAATGGATTAACTCTAATGGCCCACCATAATGTGATAGCAGCAAACTTGTTGGGTGGTAAATATCCAGCCTTCTTTTCTAAAGACACCAGGGGAAGGAAATCATGATCTGAAATGGAGCCGGCAGTTACACTTGCCAGGCTAAGTTTTACAAGGGCCGTCAGGCCTTCTGCTTCAGGGCAGAAGCTGGTCACCAGCTGGGCTCAGTAGAGATTGCTCCAAGCCCCCTGCTCTGACATTGCACAATTATGTGCATTTCAGTAAGGACTTTTACTTTTTTTTTTTTTTTAATACTATTCCACACTGGCTACTCTCAGAGGCAAGATCCTGGGCTGGATGGGCCATTGGTCCGGTTCCACTGGGGCAGTTCTTGTGCCTTGATGGTCTTAAACAACCTTGCTGAGAGATAAATGTGATTCCAAGAGGATTTTGAGATAAATTCCCACAGCTATGAAGATAAAAACATTTGACTCCAGTTTTGATGTAAGCAGCAGCCCCAAATATTTAAAGTCATTTGCTTCATTTATTTTCTCAACTGGATCAGCACATTCTAAAGGATATGACCTGCTTGCCCTAAAGTAATTTTTTTGTTTGGTCTCAGAGAATCTTTACCAAGGTCCTGCAAGAAAATTCCTCTGTAGAAGTGGCCATAGTTAAATTTTCTTCTTTTGTATTTTTATTTTACCCATGAATCTGCTCCCTCCTCCAAATTGTACTGTGTGTTTAAGTTCAAATATCCCTCTGAACACATGATTCTCAGGACGTGCTGATTAATGTGAAAACTAGCATGGAAAAACTAGCTTTTCATTGAATTTTTTTTTTTTTGAGGTGGAGTCTCACTCTGTCGCCCAGGCTGGAGTGCAATGGCAACCTCACTGCAACCTCTGTCTCCAGGGTTCAAGCAATTCTCCTGCCTCAGCCTCCCAAGTAGCTGGGATTACAGGCACCTGCCATCATGCCCGGATAATTTTTGTATTTCTGTATAGACGGGGTTTCACCATGTTGCCCAGGCTAGTCACCTGACCTCGGGTGATCCACCCACCTCAGACTCCCAAAGTGCTGGGATTACAGGCATGAGCCACCATGCCTGGCCCATTTTTATTAGGCAGTTGAGGCCTAAGTGATAACATATTATTAAAATAAACTATAAAAGGTAATTAGTTCTGGATAATCCTGCTTTGAGATCCTAGGTTAATTCAGCAAAATGTGTTGGGTACCTCCTATATGCTAGTGCCAGCAGTGTCTACTACCAGAGATGAGATGTTATTCTAATGTCAAAAGACAGTCATCCACACCTGGATGAAACATACATTCACAGAAAAATGTATACAAAATCATTCATGGCAGCATTATGTAGAATAGCCAGAAAAGGAAATAACTCAAATGTCCATCTAATGAAAAATGGTTGAATAAAATGTGATATATATGTCCAAAAGGAATATTATTTGGCAAAAGAAAAAAATGAAGTACTGTTATGTGCTACAGCATGATGAACCTTGAAAATGTAATGCTAAGTGAAAGAAGTCAGACACAAAGGCACATATTGTATAATTCTGTTTATATAAAATGTCCAGAATAGTCAATCTCATAGTAATAGAAAGTAGGTTAGTGGTTGCCAGGCGCTGAGGGGAAGGAGAATGGTGACTGCTAATGGGTACAGAGTTTCTTTTGAGGAGATAGGAATGTACTGAAATTAAATAGTGATGATGCTTGTACAACTTTGTGAATATACTAAAACCCACTGAATTGTACACTTTAAAAGGGTGAATTTTATGGTAGTATGTAAATTACATCTCAATAAAACTGTTATAAACAATAGGAGAGTCAGTAAGCAAGGAAATAGATAACAGACACATTAGGCAGAGAAATGAGCTCCATTTAACCAGATGGAAAATGACCTAGAGGGAGGTGCTGTTTTAGATTGGCGGGAGGGGTCAGGGAAGGTCTCTCTAAGGAGATAACATTGATAAGAGTCCTGAATGAAGGAAAAGATTTTGCTGTGTGAAAATTCTAGGGCAGATGCATTAGAAAGAAGAAACACGTTTAGCCTATTTGATTCCTGCAAGAAAGCCAGCGTGGCTGGAGAAGAGTGAAGAGGAGAGAGAGAATGATTCAAAATATTCAAAATCCATCTGGAGATGTAGGCAGAGGTCATTCAAATAGAGCCTTGTAGGACATGCTAGGGAGTGTTTCTTTTATTTTAATAAATATATATAAACCACTGGTGAGTTTTAAGCAGTCATGGGATATGAACTTATTTACATTATTTAAAAAATAACAATGTCTGGCTGTGTAGAACAGATTACATGGATTATGAAAGCAGAGATGAGTTAGGATTTATTGCCATATTCTGCAATCAGAGGTGAGGTTGTTGAGGCTAACTTGGGAGCAGGGAAGCCAGAGGTGGATAGATTTGAAAATGTTTGGAGGTGGAGCTGGTAAGACTGAAATAGATTTATGATTCAAAAAGCTATTGGGTGTAATAGAATACTAAGCATATATCCACAAAAATCTGCACAAGATGTTTATAGCACACTATTGCTACTGGCACCAAATGAGAAACTACCCAAACATTCATCAACACTAGCATGACTAACTGCATTATAGGGTATTCACACAATGGAATACTATACCAGCAATGAGAATAAAAGGTGGTGGTGAAGAGTGACAAAAAAAAAAGGGGGAATAAAAGAAGACATCAGAATTCACTCAATATTATTTCATGGGTACACCTTTTGAAAACTGGCTGAGCTAATGCACAATGTTAGAATACGGGTTGCATTTGCACTTGCTGGGATGGTGACAGGAAGAAGGCAAAAAGATGAGCTTCTAGGGTGCTGGTAATGTTTATTCTTTTTTTAACTTGGGTACTAGTTACAGGGGTTGTTCTATTGGAAATTCATCAAGTTGGACACCTGATTTTTTACTTTTATCTATGTGTGTCATTCATCAATATAAAGTTAAATATGGGACCAAGTTGACATATTAGTGTTTGTTACGGACTCATAGACACTTCTGCTTCTGGACTCAAAAGGTACCTGAACTGATATGAATTCATAGCATGTGGAAAATATTGGAGCGTCTGGCTGACATTACCTAATTTTGGTATGACAATAGGATGTGACTACCAATAACCAGTATATCCGCCCCAGCCATCCTGGTCATCTTCTTTGGTACATGTGTTTCAAGGCTTGGGGACCATTTTGTGGATATTTTATAAAAACTCTGATGTGTGAGTGGAATTTTAAATGGCTCAATACCTTTATTTATTAATCTATGCATTAATTTATTTTCTTCTTTCATTCATTTAACAAACAACAATTAGTAATAAATGAGTCTCTAAGATATGTGATGCTATCTTTGTGCTGTGGAGACAGAGATGATTAAGGCATTGCCCTGAATCTCAGCAGAGTCCTGTTTTAATAGGGGTGAGACAGGTAAGTGGATAACTATAATACACAGTGGTGGAGAATAATAAAAATCTGGTGTTGATGCTAATTTGAGATCACAAAGTAATGGTATCTAAATAATTTGAGGCCCTTTTGTCTTCTATAACTCTAGATTTTATATTTGACCTAACTCTGGGTTCAGAAAATGGGCCAACTATTATCCCACTTTACAGATTGAAAACTTTTGAACAAAGAGTGAAAAAATCATCCAAGGACACCAAGCACAGCCAGTGGTTTTTCTCAAAGCTTTTGTCTTATAGTCCTTGCTCCTCTCTGGAGACCAGGAAGCCTTCCCTATAACCCTGAGCACATCATTATCTCCTTGGAAACAAATACACACACACACACACGAAAACCTCTATTGATTGTTTTATCAGTTTCTAGAAGATAAGAATTGGTGCTGACAGTAATTCAAAGTATTAGTGCTTTGTGAGGCAATTCATTGTGCTTGTGGCAAGGCAGTGCTTAGGGAACCCAGGGATTCAGTGAGTTTTATTGTAAACTCTTGGAGTCAATGCAGTGTCCTGTTCTTTATTGGAAACAGATCAGGGCTTTTGGCATTATAAACTATTGCATGCAGTGGAGGTATAGTTTGAGATTCCAATTCCATTTATTATTAAATAAAATAGGAAAGAAATTATGGGTAAGATTGACAACAGCTCTGGGTTTTAAAGCTGCTTGTGTTTGGTATGTATCTTAGAATATTACTACTTTTCTTACTGGAGTCCTAGTGAATTTTTTATCTTCGAGAACAATACTTTTCATATGCTTTCTTAGTTGAGAAACTTTCATCAAACAAATTATAGTAAGAAGTAGAATCATCAACAGGATGGTGAAGTAGAGGTGAAGTGGATGATGAGAAGTCTCTCCTAGAGTTTCATCCTCCCACAGTGGACAAAAAAGTGATAGGAAGGGGCTTCAGAGAAACTGCTAGGGTTTATGAAGCTCAATTCTGAAATCACTGTAAATGTCGTAGATGAACAACAATTTTAAATTTTCTTGGAACTACAAACTTCTCTCTATTAATTCTATATGTTTCATTTGTTCAGTTTATGGAGTCCCAAAGCACTTTCACATACTTTATACTATTAGCTAACTTTTAAAATAGCACATTGATAAATACTTTATACACATTATCTCATTTTATCTGTCTTGGTCTCAGCTGCCCGGGTAGGAGATGATGCCTCAAACCAGGATAGGCTTAGGGCAAAGCCACTGCTCTCCATTCAGTTGCCTTCTATGCCCGCCCTCACAGGCAAAAAGGAAACTCAGGGCACCATTCCACAGGCTGACCCTGTTCCCTCTGACTTACCCTATCATGTTGCTGAGTAGATCTGATAATGGCCATTATAAGTTATTCAGGTTTCCTGATGATCTCTTGCCAGAGCCCCATATACAGGGTGGGGCCCAAGTTGCCTGGCCTCAAAATCATTCTCCTGGAATCAAGCAGCTCGCCTCTTCCCTGGGGAGGAATCCCAGGAGGGGGAGAGCTGATCAAAGGGTTTAACCCTGCTCTTCCTCTTCTCTTCCTTTCACCATCCCCTCTCCCAAAGACACAAGCTTCCCTGGGCCCATGTTCCTATCCCGGAAGGGCTCGCCTTTCACAGGCTCCAGTATCCTGTGCCAGCTGTTACACCAGAGACAACACAACTGAGGAATTCTTGCCAGGAGGCCTTTCCTTCTCCCTCTTCCACTGTGGCTGCTGTGGCCTTCCCTCTCCTTTGACTCTCTGTGCTCCACAGACGTCTAGCTTTCCTAGGAACCTGGCCAGTGATTCTCAAACTGTAATATAAAACCATCACTTATGGAGTGTGTTACAAATGTTGATGACAGGGTGTTCCCATAAAGGGAACACCAGGTTGGAGTGCAGTGGCACAATCATAACTCACTGCAGCCTGGAACTCCCAGGCTTAAGCGATCCTCCTATCTCAGCTTCCTGAGTAGCTGGGACTACAGGTGTCTGCCACCACACCTGACTAATTTTTTTTTTTTTTTTTTTTTTTTATAGAGATGAGGTCTCACAATATTGCCCAGGCTGGTCTCAAGTCCCTGGACTCAAGTGACCCTCCTGCGTTGACCTCCCAAAGTGCTGTTATTACAAGCATGAGCCACGGTGCCCAGCCACCACCAGGTGATTCTTATGTAAATGTTTTTAGGGACACACTTTGAGAAATACTGTTAGGCCCTAAAGAGCCATTGCCATTACATCTATAAATAGCTCTCTCTTTTTTTCTTGTTTGTTTTTTTAATGGAATTTTATTGAATGATGTTATTAACAGAAAAGTATAAACAAACACTGAATTTCATCTAAGAAAAAATAGCCAATTCTGTAAGTGAATTTATATCATACCACTAGACTCACCATTCCAATTTTTGTATTTGGTCCAGGGAGTTGAGATAATTTGATATAATTTATTAAATAATTTCCTTTCTCCTCTCTTCTCTTTGGTGCTATGTAGATGAATTTCATATTTTGGAGCAATCTCGGACTACTTTATAGACAATGTACAAACTAGCACTTTACAGCCTGTGGTTTAACTGTACAAAAAGTATCTTCCATAAGAACAAGTCAAAGTACAGAACAGATTGTAACATTGCACAACTGGGAGGAGGCTCCTGATCAGAATCTAAACCTTCTCTATTAACCACTTCTTCAAATTTGAACATAGACCTAGACCAGCACGTCACCTGGCAATTTGGTTAAATATGTTGACTTGATTTTTAAAGTAGGAAATATAAATCGAATTCAGCTTTCTCTTCTTTAACCAAATGTATGTACTGGAAAAAGGAAAGCTATTCTATGAAGAAGAATAATCATCATAATTAAGGAAATGACCAGATCTTAACATTGTTGCCATGTCTAAATACTTTGGAGTAGAACTCTAAAATCTGAGTGTGCTTGGGTTCACATCCATTCATTGTCATATTCTAAGAGGTTACCAGAAGAAATGTACCCTGTAGCTGCTGCTCAGAGTGACTCACTCTGCTAATAACATAGGAGGATCAAAATTTCAGCCTTAGATTGGAATTTACCCTGTGCTCACACTGTATGTTCTTTTGCCAGAAGTTGGAAAGGCTAAAATTACCATAAGCTTAGTGGATACCATTAAATCCATTGCATTTCTTGTAGATAGAATGTCTTGAAACCATCCAATAGAGCCATAGGAAATTTCCACTGTAAGCAGAGTCTGCAGCTGAGGAACAGTGTTTGCTGAAGTTTTGGTACAGGATCAAGTGTACCTTAACATTCTGCTCCTTAGCCAAATTGCCTGCATTTTCATAAATATCAAGGTAGTGTTGAAAGTGCATTTGATAAGAACTTAGATCCAGAAGGAGTCCATATCCTGCCACTTAGGAAATACGATCTTGAGAACAATTACGTCTGTACTTTAAGACTTCTTTAGAATAGCAGTATTTAAGATAATTGAGTTTTGATTCAATGGAACTAGATTCAAGTGACAATTTCTGCCACCTACTGCCTGTGTGATCTTTAGAAAGTAGCTCAAATTCTTAAAGCTATAGTTTTCTCCTTCATAAAATGGGAATAATAATAGTAGCTACATCACAGCACTGTTGAAATTATTAAGTTAGTTAATATTATCATGTACTCAAAAGATTGCCTAAGAGAGTGCCTAACATAGTGTAATTTTCTATGAAAGTTAGCTAGTGGTGGCTCTTATTTCAATGGTTATTTCTTCCTCTGTTAACCTGGGATAGTAATACCTTCTTGCTTAATTTCTTTCTTAGTTTATATAAGTAAACAATTACAGAAATAAATGGTTTCTGGAAACTAAAGCACTGTATCCTTTTTTTTTCGTTTTAGTATTATTAATATTGAATCTGCTTAGTAGGAGTAGCTTTGTTGCAGATGCTATAGGGCTCTCAAAGACAGATGCACTCATTAGCTCTTCAGTTACACTGGGGCCCAGAACAAAAATATACTGAATACCCAGAAAACAATGGCAAGGGAACATATGACATAAGAATGGCACATAGGTGAATGTCTACATGCTACTGGTGCTAAAGGAACTCACTGTGATCCAAAGCGTATCAGAATGATGTTCTTGGGATGAGGAAAAGGCATGACAGGAGGTCTCAAGACAGACACACAGAAAATAACTAATGCTTCTTATAGGGATTGCTAGAATCCATCTTCTTGGCCTATCCCGGGTCCTGGTGGCAAAATTGTGACATCACTGTCTTAGGGCTTTCCCCCAAAGTTGTTCTCTTTTTTTTTTTTTTTTTCAAGACAGAGTCTCACTCTGTCGCCCAGGTTGTAGTGCAGTGCAGTAGCGCTATCTCGGCTCATGCAACCTTCACCTTCCAGGTTCAAGCGATTCTCCTGCCTCAGCCTCAGGAGTAGCTGAGATTACAGGTGTTTGCCACCACACCCAGCTAATGTTTGTATTTTTAGTAGACATGGGGTTTTACCATGTTGGCCAGGCTGGTCTCGAATTCCTGACCTCAAGTGATCCATCTGCTTTGGCTTCCCAAAATGCTGGGACTACAGGCGTGAGCCACTGCACCTGGCCCAAAGGTGTTCTCTTTTTGTTGGCCCAACCTCCCTGAATCCTCTTACTTTGATGCTTAGAGGGAGTTACCTCGCATTACTAGGAGTTAGTGTGGTGTATCTGGGAGTATTCACAATTTAGACAGTTATCTTTGGGTAAAAAAATTCCAAGGACTGAATAGTTTATAATAACATTTTAGGAAACAATAATAAACAGCACAGAGTATTTTATTGATGCCGTTCAAAATCATAGGCATCCAGTGAGAAATGTGTTGCTAAGGCCACCTTTCCTTAGAATGGAAAGAAAATAAGAACAGGAAGCTTTAGCACTAAGTGGGATTTTACTTTGGGGCCTTTTCTTATTAGTAATCAATAAAGAAGGCAAAATAAGGTTAAAGTTACTCTGTTAAACACACACACACACACACACACACACACACACACACTCACACACACAAAACTGTCATGTAAACTCCAGAAAGCCTTTAGCCATGTGACTCATTGCATTCTGCCTCAGTCAGAATTCATTTTCTTCCGCACCTATATTTGATTTCAATTAAAAAGAAGACAGCTTGCTTAGTCTTTCCCACAAACTGATATGGTGTATACCTGAGTGAACGGGACAATTTTCCTTATAAATTATGTATAAAAATCCTCAACTGCCGCCTCTCTCTTAGAGACTCAAAAGAAAATTCAATTTCTTTTAGCTTAGTTTTTCATGGTTCTTGGGATATTCATTTCAGATTTTCCACTCATTTTTATAAATGTCTTATTTATTCAAGCTCTTCATAGAGGGAAGTAGTGCTGTGCATTGCTGACTTTATTACTCTGGACAGGTTACAATATCTTCTCAGAAGCCAACACACTAATTGATTTTAAAGTTTCTGTAAATGTTGGGAGGACTTCTTGCCACACACTTAAGATGGGGAAGTGTGCATTCTGGGAAGTCTTTCTGGCCTCTGCTGAGTGGTGGGATGTTCTGATTCTAGTCTGTTCTCCATCCTTCATCCTGTGAGTATCTCTGGGTCTTAGCTGGTGTCAGCTATAACATGGTAACTCCTTAACTGCTGGAGCAAGGGATCCCAATACCTCTTTTAGTCCTATAGTATAAACTTTGTTCTAGAAAATGCTTCTGTGGTTCTGTGGAACTCTTTTAGATGTCCATCATGACTCTGTTCATAGCGTTCCTTGACAGACATGCTTTAGTCAGAAAGTTCAGCCACTAAAGTCAGAGATAAGAAGTGTAGCAAATTTCTATCCTTAGCCTGGTGATCAAGTGTCCTTAACCATGATTCCAGGTCATGAGATACTTGAGCAACCTGGAGGAGGGGAGGAACCTTGGGTGGTTGGAGGGCTCTTGTCATGAACATGGGGAACCATACATAGCTCAGTACTTACTGGCCTCTCTTTACCTTAGTCTGTGGTCATAACTGACTTTGCTTCTATTTTCCTCATCACAATACCTTATTTTATTATATTTTCTCCCATTACCAAGCTCCTTAAACATTTTTTAAAACATTCTTATAATTAAGACCCTTTCCTGTTTTTCTTTTCAATATGTTTTAATTTTTTAGGAATTTATGAGATTGATCTTTATATTCGGATGAGTGACAATCTTTGGCTCTGCTATTGCCTAGGTCTCCAGATCTTCTAAACATTTCCAGTCTCAAACATTCATCTTGGGTGACCACTACCACTATTTTTCACTTCAGGACCTTTCATATTTGAACTTCACTGCTACTTAGACCCAAGCCCAATGGAGATGCTGTGCTCCATCTCTATATACATTTTTGGTCTAGAGGTTTCAGAAAACATGACTGATAATTTCACCAAGGTAGCCATGTTATGAATTCCTTTGCTTCCACCTACAACCCTCCGCAAAAACAAACAGATGTAGAGTAGTGGAAATTGAAATACATGTAAATAAGTCTCAGAGAAAATTAAAAATCTGTTCAGTGTGACATTGTTTTTGCCTTTCATGAGAGACGACTCATAATCGTCTTAGCTTACTGGCTAAGAGTCTTTTGTAAACTGCTCAAAATGGAACAAGAGGAAAAGAAACTAATGTAGGGTCTGTGGGGCCAACCTTTCTCTACTGTCAGAATGCCGTAGAGGAAGGGAGAACTGGACGCTGTGCAGATGACCCCAACTTCCGGTCATCAAGTGGGAAACAGCAGGAAGCTGAGCGGAAAGGGAGCCACTCTGCAATCCCTTGAGCACTGATGTTCTCTCATTCTTTTACCTTCTGGTGCTCACTGTGTGGAGAAATTCTGCAGTTATATTCCATAGATTCAGAAGTATGATTCCATATGTCTAAGTCTGTGAATATAAACAGAGTCATAAAAAGAAAACGGGTTATTCTCTTTCCTATGAATGAAAGGAAGAGAAGAAACAATGGGAAATTCAGCATGGAGGCAGTTCGGTCATGTTTCAGGGAAGATTTTCTTGGCAGTGGGGATTTCATGGTGTGAAACCGGGTCTTGCAAGAGCTTTTGGAAAACAACAGAGTACATGGTTCTTCTGCCGGAAGCACTTCATATTTAAAGTCGCTGAAGGCAGAAAAGTAGAGAGATGGATTTCCAAGTGAAGGGCACATCATCTGCAGGCACAAGCAACAGGAACATCACAAACAAAAGCCAGCTCCTGGAATATTCCATTTTGATGGGACCGTCTTTTCTTCTGTTTGTGAGGTTCTATACAGTCTTTCCCGGGTATTGACATGCAAATAATAGTATTTTTAAAAGATTTCTTGGATTTGAATTTGTAAGATTCTCAGAAACAGCCAATGATGAATTATACCCTATTAAAAAAAGAATCCAATGAGACATGCAACTGATATTTGAGGTTAGATGCAGGCCCATTTTGGTTTGCAGGGCCCTCTTCCACAGGGACGCTGTCACAAGGCTCTAGCTTAAACATCTTCCAGCCATTTCCCCAAGTTTCAGCTTCTGTAACATCTCTGATGGATGCATTTTGACTGGAGCAGGAGGCTCAGCAGCATAATGGCACTAACATTTCTCTGCCGCCTTTTGAGTTATAGCTCGGTGGGCTTGCCCTTTCCTATTTCATGGATTTGCTTTCTCCGTTTGTTCTTACTTGATTAGGAAATTGCTGTACACAGAACTTCTCCCTGTCCATAAATATCACCCAAGTTACACAGCATGGGGAGAGAGCTGCTATTGTTTGGTTCACTGACTTTGGGACTTTTTGCAAATTAAAGGATTTGAAAGGATCTAATATGGCTATACTGTCAGATAAATCGTTAGGGTCAAGTTCCCCCTTGGGGATTTTCATTTAAGTTAGTGTAATAGGAGGTGGACTCAGGCATCCAAGGACAGAAATTAGTCCTCTGTTAGTAACCAGATGCCACAGTGTGGGGGATGAACCTCATTTTTGGGTGTGCAACCTTGCTTTGTATTTCAGGATTTCAAATTGTTATGCTCTACTGTGCAACATGGTTTCACTTCCTAGAGGAGTTTAGAAAAGGAATTGCTGTTTGTAGTGGCACTCTGTCATGTGTTTCCTTACTGAAAGATAGCAGGCTTTTGAGATGTAGTTGGATTTCACAGTGATATTTGGAATGGATGAAATTTAGTGAGTCTAATGAAAAAAATGTGTTGCATGTCGTCTGTATTCTCAGGTATGTATTAGGTTTTTTGAAGATGGAAAACATCTCTCTCTCTGAAAGAAAGTTAAAATTTAGTTAGAAACAAAATCATACACACAGGAAACCACAAAGAAGGCAGAAGTATCCACAGAAGTGCTTATCTATATGGTCACAGATGGAAGGGATCACAGGAACACAAGAAACAACACAATTAGGCTGGGGAAGTGGACCCTAAGGAATTAATCATATTTTACACATTTTCTGGCTGATTGGTAGACCATATATTATAGGAAAATAACATTATCCAATCTCTGCAAGCTTTTTTTAATGTATCCTTGACACTAGAACCATTTGAATTTCTCCAGAAATTATATCTTTTCTACAAAAGCTTTTTCTGGAGAAATTTAAATAATTCAATGATCTCTCCTTCCTGAGTATATGATTAGTTTTGAAAAACATACATTTAGGCCTTTGTTTCAGTAAGATAATATGTGCAAAATGTTTTGGAAGACTATTTGATTCCTACCAAATTTTTGTAGCCTTTCTGTTATAATTGATCATTTTCTGCTTGGTACATTATTGATTGTGGCATCATTTTTGTCTATGTTATCAACGCCTATTTATGTTGTTTCTACTAATAGGCCAGTACTTCGCTACTTATAAGGAGGCACACAAAAAAGGCAAAAAAAAAAAAAAAAAAAAAAAAATGTAACCCCTGCTATCAAGGAGCTTGATGGGAATGAGAAAATAATAAATATGAAAATTGTAATAAGTACTTGGCTATTGGGATAAAGTAAAAAGGGCTCTTGGAGACAACAGAAAATAGTAAAAGTTAGAACAGTTAGACAATGAGAAAATTAGGACTTGAGTTGGACTTTGAAATGCTGGTAGAATTTGAGAGGCAGAAAGGATATGACGTGTGTCTCCAGGTGTTGGAAGAACAGCTGGACCTGTCAACAATAATCATTAAGGATCCAGAAGGTACACCAATGAGCATGAAGAAAATAAAAGGAAAAGGAAAAAGAACAGCATGAAAGAAACAAACATTTACTCTTTTGTTTTAACTCTAACAATTAGGAGTTAGGTAGTTATCCTTATTTTACAGAAGGAGCAAACTGTGGCACAAAAATAATAGTGGCAGAGTTGGTTTCATGCCTGAAACTCTATGGCTTCAAAACACTGCTTGCTGATCCCCCAACTCCTCATATTGCCTCCCAAGACATTTTACTGTGCTCTGGAGAATGAAAATCAAAGGTGGTCTCTGACTCAGAGAAATCTTTACTCATTCAACTTGAGAGAAAAGATGCAGACATGGAAAATGAACACACAGGCAACCCATCATGGTCACAACAGGAGGGAAGACAGAATCATGTGCTCAGGGGTCATCAAAAGAGGTGGGAATTGGGTTGGGCAGTAGGGATATGGAGCTTAAAGGATGACATAGGACCAGACTAGATTTTGACAGGTTTTATATCAGACTGAAACTGTGCCCAACACTGGAATTTACGAACCTTAGTAATCTAAGTGTCCTGTCCAAAACAGTAGGTCTTGGCCCCTGCTTCTGGTCTCCCAGTTATGAATCTCAGATAAAACCCAAACAAGTAAGTTTGGGTGTTGTGGAAGATGTGGTAAACTTAGGAAAAATGCACATGCGCAGAAAACAGAAGCTTGAGAGCCTGTTTATCTGTCCTAATCAGGTCTGGGAGAGGAGGGGAATTGCTGTAATGGAAATAAGTAAAATAGGCAGTTTTATGCCCTAAGTATTTATATCATCTATTAAAGATATTGCTATAGTCCCTTTTCAGTGATTTGCTGGGCAGTTAAATTCAGACTTCAGTTCAGTTTAACACCCTGAAGTGGTTGTTTTACACAATTTATGTCGCCAGGATTTCTTTTGAGCTTCAATCCGACCTTCACAGGGTGAGGAAGAGGCTGCAATCTGAGGCCAACTTTGGTCTAGCAGGACCCGTACAGGAAGCTCACTAGACCTGGTTTCTTCATATTGAAGTGTCAACCCCAAGCCTGGGGGCTGCCTTGTAAAGGTTGATTTATTTTGGAGTATTAGACTTGGTTGTGTGTTAATCTGTGAGCATCCACTGTTAGACAGCTTTCTATATGTATATATATATTTTCTCTACAGTTGGTATGTGAACTCACAAAGTTTGGCATCGCATCTTATATCAGATCAACTAGATTAGTTTTTGTTCTCATCGGGCATTCCACAAACAGTTGCTTGGTTTACCCTGTAAAGAGAGGAGAAGTGGAAAGTGGGAGAAAGAAGAAATGTTATGATATCCATGCTTAGATTTTCTTTTGTAATCAATATATTCTGCACATACTATACCACATCCTCCTTTCCTCTCCAAACGCAGGTACCATGCTAATTTCCTTCTATAAAACTTAATTCATATATTATCAATACACTTTTATAGCTTTCCACCTCTTCTCTCTGCCTAGACATTATTTTTCAGTTGTTGAAGATGCATGGACAGCCATTGCTCATGTCTACCTACCTACTCTCATTTCTATTAGGTGATTGCCCTTCCCCATCTCATGGATTATGAGAGGACTGTCACTCATATTACCTCACCACTCCTGGCCTCAGGGATGGGCATTTGATACTTGTGGCAACTCTGTCCATGGTACTCTGCCTACAAGGTGAGTTCCCAGCCATGCAGAGCCAATAGGTGTCCTACGGAGATTCCATTAGACAGACAGAAACCAGAGAGGAAAAATGCTTTGCCGCTGGGATACCAAATAGTGAGGACTGATAGAAACCAGAAGCTGGAAGTGGCCCTCTTTCTTCTGTGAAAAGAGTTGCCTGAGAAAGAAAATAAACTCCCAGGAAAGGAGTGCTGAGACCAGGTGGGAGACAGTGTGACACAAAATGAGAAAAACATTATTTGAGCATTTGGACTGAGGCATGCTTAAAATCAGCACTATACCTGGAGTTTTCATCAACCAATAAATTCCTGGTTTTGTTGGTTGACTGAAAGACTCCTGACCATTTCAAATGTCAGTGTCAAATTTCATCTGCCTTCTCTCTGTAGCCTTCCCTTACCCACTGCCCAGCTTATAAGGTTCCATTCCTTTTCTGGCTTGCTCTTTTGATGTAATTATTATCTATTTATATTGAATATGTTGGTGTTTTCTACATCGTCCTCAAGTTCTTGGACAGTGTTTTCTCAACTTGTCTCTGGCCTGGTTCCTGACATGGGACAGGGTTATATAATAAATGTCCAATAGAGATTTGGCTGCTTAAGTGGTTACGCCATTTCCTGAGAGTGAGGACTAGAAAAGTTAATACTAATTCTGGAGGGTGGGGCTCTGAAATTCTTTCTATGATATGAGGATGGCAAAATCTATCCCCTGTAAGCTCTGGGACATAAACTATGTGAGGCTGTATGATGACAATAGCAATGGTTCCTTACTTTGTATCTTGTGTTCTAGATTTCTTTTTCTCTCCTACACTTTTGCTAATGGGATTCAATGCCCATGACTTTATTATGTACCTAGATCAGATGAGAACACTCTGGTGGCATGCTTCACCCATGGTGACCAAACCCAGTCTCCTAATGGAGTTTTTTAAATCTGGTTCCAGTTGAATCACACTCAGATGAGGTGATTCTAAAATTTAAACATGAATAAAATAAAAACTTGACCCTGTAAACTTATTTGTTTATAATCTAAGGAAAATAATTTTGAAACAGGCATATATTTAGGAGAATATTACAATCTATGTTTGGAAGAGAATTAAAGGCAATAATAAATAAAGACAAAGGCAAGAAGTCCTTTAACAGTACAATCTGAACTGTTTAATTTATTTCTGGTTCATGCACCCTCTGTTTTGTGCATTGATTAATTTGTGTGCAGTTGCAGCTTCAAGTAGATGGTGATCTGCATAGGACAAGAGCCCTGTCTTAGGGTATGTATGCTCCATTGCTGTCTCCTTGCTGTGGTAAACACTCACTGAGTACCTAGCCCAGATCTAGGTATATAGTGGGGACTGGGTGGGGGGCTTGGTCCCAATACACATTTTTAAACTTGCATTTATGTATTTAAAAAAAAAGGGAAAGTTTGAATCAAAGCAATATGGCTGAGTTCTCTAAATTACCTGGGCATCTGTGTCTCTCTTTTCCACACATCCGGAATCTTTTACTTACCCTTTTGAAATGAATTTTTAAAATTCTCCTGTCTATCTCTGCTACATTGCAGGGTGAATGGACCTTAGTTCCCAGGTGGATCCGTGATACTACAGAAGCCCTTTCAATTCTGGTTCCATGTCCCCGGCAAGGTGCACTGTAATTCATCTCATATTTCCAGAAACATGCTTATCCAATGAGCAACCAAAGCTCTTCCTGGGAGCATCATCACATTTGAATGCTCCTTCATGCAAGGCGGATTCAATGGGATGGAAACCAATGTTGAGAATCAGGGTGCCATTCATTTCCTTCTGCCTCATATCCAGTCCAGAAACACCCACAGAGCTAATGCCTTACTTTACTTCCTCTATGCTATGATGCTTATTAATCTTTAAGTGCTAGATTTTGGAGGATAGAAGTGTTGCAGTGGTAGAGTTACCCAAGGTAATCCTGAGGACCTATAAATGAGGTCTTTCATTTGTTTTTCTTTTCCAGGCGGCTCTTGGAAAGACTTTTTAAAATGGTGGGTTGAAATGTCTCTCTTTTTTTGTTTACATCATTGATATATGTTGAACAGAAAGTGGGGCATGGACAAATGCTTTGGAGGCATTTAAAGGCCCCAGAAATGCAGACAGAACTATTTATATAATTCATAGGAAAAAGCAACAATATCATCTAGATTAATTCTTTTTAAGATGGAGTCTTGCTCTGTTGCCCAGAATGTAGTACAGTGGCATGATCTTGGCTCACTGCAACATCTGCGTCCTGGGTTCAAGCAATTCTCCTGCCTCAACCTCCAGAGTATCTGGGATTATAGGCACCCACTACCACGCCCAGCTAATTTTTGTATTTTTAGTAGAGATGGGGTTTCGCCATATTGGTCAGGCTGATCTCGAACTCCTGACCTGAAGTGATCTGCCTGCCTCGGCCTCCAAAAATGCTAGGATTACAGGCATGGGCCACTGCGCCTGACTAGATTAATTCCTTTTTATAATGCATTTTTACTTTTTAATGCATTTTTTTCACTGTAGTTCACCATCATTCTTCCATGTAGTTATATGTTTCAGTAATTTATCTTAAAATTTATTGTTTCAGAGTGCTATCAAGAATGTATATGAATTAGGAGTAATTGTTAGATTATTATATATTGATTAAAACACGAATAAAGAGGTAAGATGGTAAAATAATATAGCATAGTAAGATGGGGTCGAGTAAGTGGACTTTAAGTCAAAGAAGCCACACACAAAAGGCCACATGTTATATAATTTAATTTTTATGAAATGTCTAGAATAGTCAAATCTACAGAGATAGAAAGTAGACTGGCGATTGCCAGGGGCAGGGTGTGGGGAACCTCAGCCAATGAGTATGGAGTTTTCAGGAGGTGACGTATGTTTTAAAATTGATTGTGGTGTTGGTTGCAGAACTTTGTGAATATACTAAAAACCACTTTATTGTCCATGTTAAATAGGCAAAGTTAAGTAGGTAAAGTGTATGGTATGTGTACTAGTTTGTTAAGGCTGCTTTAATAAAATGATGCAGAATGAATGGCTTAAACAACAGAAATTAATTTTCTCACAGTTCTGGAGGCTGGAAGTCCAAAATCAAAGTGTCAACAGGGTTGGTTCCTTCTGAGGCTATGAGGAAAGGATCTGTTCCAGGCTTCTCTCCTTGCCTTGTAGATGGATATATTATTCCAGTATCTTCACATCCTCTTTCCTCTGTAGTTATGTGTGTCCAAATCACTTCTTCTTCTTCTTTTTTTTTTTTTTTTTTAGATGGAGTCTTGCTCTGCCACCCAGGCTGGAGTGCAGTGGTGTGAACTCAGCTCACTGCAACCTCTGCCTCCCGAGTTCAAGCGATTCTCCTGCCTCAGCCTCCTGAGTAGCTGGGGCTACATGTGGGTGCCACCACGCCCAGCTAATTTTTTGTATTTTTAGTAGAGACTGGGTTTCACCATGTTAGCCAGGATGGTCTCGATCTCCTGACATAGTGATCCGCCCACCTTGGCCTCTCAAAGTGCTGGGATTACAGGTGTGAACCACCACGCCTGGCATCTCTTCTTTTTATAAAGACACTAGTCATATTGAATTTTGGCTGTCCCTAATGACCTAAGTTTTAACTTAATCACCTCAGCAAATATCTTATCTCCAAATATGCTCACATTCTAAGGTACTAGGGGTTAGAACTTCAACACATGAATTTGGGAGGAAGGCACAATGAAGCCCAGAGCAGTGTGTGAATTACATCTCAATGAAGTTAGAAAGAAAGAGATGAAAGAAAGAAAGAAAGAAAGAAAGAAAGAAAGAAAGAAAGAAAGAAAGAAAGAAAGAAAGAAAAAAGAAAGGAAGGAAGGAAGGAAAACAAGAAAGAAAGAAAAAAGAAAGAAAGAAGGAAGGAAGGAAGGAAGGGAAAGAGGAAAGAAAGAAAAAGAGAGAAAGAGAGACAAGGAGGGATGTAGGGAAGAAGAAAAGAAGGAAGGAAGGAAAAGAAGGAAGGAAGGGAAGGAAAAAAGAAATTACAGATGTTTTCTTGTGGAAAAAAAAGAAGGAAAAGTAAAGAAAAACAAAAGAAAGAATAAAAGGGAAAGAACGCAAGCAAGGTGTGGAACCAGGCTTCTGGGGTTCAAATCCTGATCCTTTTAATGACTAGTGACATTGGGGATGTTATCAAGACTCTCTATGCCTTATTTTCTACAATAGTAAAATAATGGTAATATTAATATTAGCATCATAGGGTGATTGGGAGGATTAAATGAGTGAATACACATGTTTACAGTATTGCTTGGCACACAGGAAACATTGAGATTATTTTATGCACAATGATATGAAAAGGAAAGTCCGATGGCTAGGACATGGATGTACTTCTTTCCTGGTGGTTAGAAGTTGCTGCTTAGGAAGAGTACTTTTCTTAACCTACTGTTGAAGGACAGAAAATCTAATATCTTCCAAGACCAGTGTAGGGGTGGTAATGCTTTGGGACAATCTATTCATTTATTCAGTCCATATATATTGAGCATCTACTGAGTGAAGACTAAAGACTGCATTCATAACATTTTAAATAGCTTACATTTATAAGATGAGATACTGTACTATTAGTTTTATTTTCTTTTACTCATTAATATTGTTTTGGGATTTACTTTTCTCAGGTTTCAATGGAACACTTAAAGAGTGTTTTGTTTTGTTACAGATAATACGCATAAAGAGGAATCGTTTGTAGTTTTCTGCCTGCATATGTTTTTTAATTAAAATTTAAAAGTTCCTTTCTGATTCTTGACCAGAAGTTTTTCTCTTATGTCTACCAAGTCCTACTTCCTTCCCACAGAAGAACTATGAGGGTTAACAGGGAGGTTTGATATATAAAAACCTCAAGGCAGCCTCTTTGAGTTTACATTCATCAACTCCTTTCCTCAAAACCCAGAGCTATATAGTCCTCACTCTCTTTGTTACAGAAGACCTGCCGTTGTGGCATTGTGCCATTGTAGCATATAGATAAGCTGGCCTCTCCTCACTCCACAAAAGCCATCTGAATCCAGCTTAAAAGTTGAATTCAATTTCTCCTCATTTCCATATATCTTTCCTAAAAGCTTACTGCAAAAATGTCTCTTCTTTCCACCCTCATTTCTGACTCCGATTTTTATTTCAAACACACTCTTATTTCCTTTTTAACAAATTACTCCTAGGTCAAATTTCATAAGAACATATTTTTTGGAATTGTGAAAATGTATATAATGTGGCTACATATACTCTAAGATTTGATTTAAAGAGAATTTCTACTGGATGTTTGACACTATCTGATATTACTCCATACTTATATCTGTTATGTATGTATATATTTTCATTCATTAGTAAATATAAACTAAGTGTCTAATGCTTTGCTTGATATTAGTAGGGGAAGCGAAGGCACATAAAACACTTCCAACTCTTCAGGAGTTTACACTTCAGTAGGTAAAATATGAGAAATATATGTAGTATAGAAGGCAGGTGTGAGAGAGGTACCTTAAATGAGGGATACACACATTTATTTGGAACAAAAAAGAAAACCCGATTTTGTACACAGAATAAAAGCTTATTATGGACTGATCCATCTGATTGTACTTTTGTAAAAATCACTCCTACATCTTCTCTAATTTCCTATTATCTGGAGCATCATCATGGAAGTAATAGGGATGTTAAACCAAACTGTAGGTCTAATGAGAATAGAGATGAAATTATTCTATGGAGTAAAATAAATAAACTAAAATAAACCCGTCTCCTATAAGAGAATGCCCCAGCAGGTAGCTTACTAATGAAAACAATGATTTCCAAGGGGTTATGCATTTTGCAAGTTTTGGCAAAATGCTAGCTTCTCAGAGGGTTTTCATCCGAAGAAGCAAACAATATGATTAGATGACTCCTGCCTTGACTTCACCATCTGAACTTAAAAGAAATGATGAGGACAATTACCCACTCCCCTTGGCACCCCTCCCCAAAAGTGAAAACTTGGTTGGAGTGTGGCACAAGCTTGACATAACTAATTGGGGCAAATATTCAGCACAAGACATGGGAAATTAACCACCAAAGTCTCATTAGCATTAATGGGAATTGCACACAGCTAATTCCCTCCCCATTGTGCGAAATATTTACTTCATAATGTTTATCCTGACATTCTACAACTTCCAGCAGGAAGCAATGATTTAGGTGCATAGGGCTGAAAATTCTGTTGAGTTCTTTGTCAACTCCTTTTATCCTTGCTCATAGATTCAGAGGATGACCTCTGGGTGTCCTCATCAGCTGGACAGCAGCCATGTATATCTCTTAACCCCCACCCCCTTCATGCTCTTTGCTCCAACACTCCCACACAGATACACACTGCAAGAACACATATGGACTTTGTCTTGATATTTTTACCCAGAAGTCAGAATTCCAAACCCAAAATACGAGCCAACTGGAAGGATTGGCTTGCCTGGATTACAGAAATAGGATCTACCAGTACTCTTTCTGCCCCCCCTCTCCATTTTTCACAGACCACCCTACTGAAGTAAGAATGCCTCCTGGCCACAACCTGCCTAAACAATACCAAAGTATCTGTCTTTCTCATTGCAATGGTGTTTCAGGGATCTGTGGAGTGAAATTATCCAGATCTTTAATTTTTTAATTTACCATTTTCCCAGAAAGTGCAAAGACCTTAGATTTAACTCCGTTTACCCCCACCTGTGTGATAACAGTGTTTTGTATATGTGAGACTTCAGGCTACACCATGTTGTTGATGCTAACAATGTGATTTATGGCAAACACCTATTTTGGTATGCCTGAAATTTTGAGCTATATTGTATCCCTTTGGCTTCTGGAAGAACTGAAGACAGAGTGGCTAAGGGAACTTATACAGGCCTTCCATGCATACAGAATAATTTCAGTTACATGAATTTCAAAACTCAAATGAACCCAAATTATAGTATTCAGGGATGCATGCTTGGGAAAAATACTAGAAAAAATATACTAATATGATTACTTTTAAACCAGGCTAGTGGTTACTAGAAGAGGAGGGTAATGGTTGGAAGGGGTCAGAGAGGGCTTTCTTTACCTAGGAGGTGGTAACACATTAATTTTGTGATAAATCATTGATTATTGATAAATCTTATACACTTATTTGGATATTTATTTTTACAATAAAAATTTAAAATGCATACAGTGAAATGCATGGATTCATAGAATTCCCCCTTTCTAGATATTTTATGAAACATGCATTATGAGCATATTACTTTTTGTAACCAGGTATATGCCATATAGAGACTCTCTCTTCGTCTCTTTCCATGTTTGTATGTTATTCTTACATGAGGCAGTGGTGACAGGAACCATTTAATTGTTGAAATAATTATATTTTTAAAAATTATGGTTAAATCAATGGATAGAAACAAACATAAATGACAACTTTTATTCAGTTTTAGAAAAGTTAGTAACAGCAAATTTGTCTTGCCTGGTAGTGGGTTCACCAGAAGCATTAGATACCTCACCCTGCCTTGACTGAAGGAATCCCGCCTTTGCAATGATATGCTGCTTACCACTGTTTCTCTTCCAGATTAGTAAAGGGAGACTTGCTGGCTACAGCCCTGCCAGAAGCACTTATTCTGAAATTGCAATATGAGAAACTATGTCAACACACTGAAAACTTAGACTGGAAAAGGCTCATCTTATTAAAAACATGTTTTCCAACCTTGCTTGGGGGTTATCTAATGAAAAGTCTGACCTTTCACCTATCAGACCCTTGGTGGAATCTCTAGACGGAGTTTACTAAGAGAACACGCCTTCAGCAAGGCTGTGTTACTCAGTAGGCATCAGAATAAGAAGAACAATAATATTTATGCCCTGGCCTCATAAACTGTCTTTACTAAAAAACACCAAAAGACTTTTAAAATTCACTATCTCATCATTCCTCCTCTGGACTCTGGAAAGCAAAAATGGCTTGTTTACCTCATATTTACATGTAAGCAAGGAGAGTGTGGCTCCCAGCAGCCTGTGTGACAGTTTAGACCTTTGTTTAACTGGACTGTGTCACAATCTCCTCAGATAACTGGCAGCTCAGCTCTGAACCAGCCCTTAATGTAAAAGTACTATTTATTCATATATGTATGTATGTATGTATGTATGTGTGTGTGTGTATATATATATTTATATATATAAATATATATAAATATATATAAATATATATAAATATATATATAAATATATATAAATATATATATAAATATATATAAATATATATATAAATATATATATAAATATATATATAAATATATATATAAATATATATAAATATATATATAAATATATATATAAATATATATATCGATATATATATAAATATATATAAATATATATATAAATATATATATCAATATATATCGATATATATAAATATATATATCGATATATATATATGTATAAAACCAACTGTACCCACCTCAAGTTTTAGAAATAAAAAATTATCAAACAAATTAGTTACCGGCAAATGAATGAGAAAACCATTTTTTGCTAAAACACTTTCCAAATAGCTTAGGCCATGTGTTTCCCCTCAACAGTCCTTTGTTTTGACCATTCAGTTTCTGATCTTAAGTTGATGATCTTTCAGGGGGCACTTAAGCTCCATTCAACAAATTTGATTGCATCAGAACACCACACTGAACATTAAATGTCATACCCCCAACCTGTAGATAGCAATGGGGAAGGATTAGAAGATGAGTTCAAATTATAAAATTTCCAGTTTTCATTGTCTTTCTCTTCCAAACCGAGTGAAGAAAACTGCAGTCTCAGTATTGGAGGCAATCTGAGAATCAACCAAATCCCTTTCTTCCCTTCAAAGACCCCTCTGCAGCTCTCTCCTCTGACTTGGCGGCTGCCTCCTTTGTCTGCAGGAGGATACATGCTGCTTTATGAGCCACTAAAAGGATCAAAGTGACCCTGGGCTCATGGAAGATTTATATCATTCAAGCACACATTTATTAAAGGCAGGGATTTGATAAGTTCTTGACTATTCTAGATTAACTATTGCATCAGGTATGTTTGGACTTAACGAAATAAAATAGAAAATGTTGTCATTGACCTTTACACGTACCAGTTTCTACTATTTGATCTGAATTTGGATGATTTGTTACTTACTGTGATATACATTAAGGGTTATTCCTCATTCATCACTTCATATGTATTTCATGTATTGCACTGAAACACATGAGGTGATGAATGAGCAATATGTAATAAAGCATGTATGTATTTATTAAAGTGTGTAGACATGTGGGTGTTCAGACATTTATACATGAACTCTTGTTTATGATATACTAGAATCTAAGTTTTAGAATCAAATACCTGGAACTGGAAGAGAAATCTATTCAATTTTCAATAAATGCTGATCTTATTGTTATTTCACTGGAGACTACATTACCAGTATTCGCTTTTTATGTATTATGAAACTGATGAATAGAGAAGTACGATTATTTATCTAGGGGTTAGGATGTCCTCCCACTGATCTTCCAGGTAGTTTCTTAGGAACAACTGAACTAAAAATGTCCCAGATGATTCCGAGTATCCCTAAGTCAAAGCAGTTTCAGAAACGGGTGAATTAGTGTCTTCTCAGTAAAAGTGGACAGTAATCTGCTTACTAATTTCTAATCCTCCCCATACCTGGGAGCTAGGTCTATGAGCAACCCTTAGGTACCAAATTCATTCAGCAGAATGCCTTTCCCATATCTCTTTTCTGCTACTTGTTGTGTCTTCTGAGCAAGTGGATATGCAGATCAGTGGCAAAACTTGGCCATCATCAGTAGCTCTTGAAAGGGATCAGATCACCCTGCCAGAGAGGCTCTCTAATTGGAGAGTTATGGTAATGCAATTCCTCCCCACCTGCAAGGCAGCTCTTAGCACTCCAAGAAGTGCAGGAGAAAAGAAAGCCAGATTGATGGACAGCCAGTCCCAGCCCAACCTTGCCTGTGTTGGAAAGGCCGAGGTCAGTCATCTGGTGATCCCGTGGCTCCAAATTGGTATCAGTTGCAATCAGTGGTGTTTCAAGACTTTGCCAATTCATGGACTCTGTTGTATTCTTGAAATTTAGGCTCAAGATCTTTCTCAGATAACAAGGATGAAAACAAAAGAAAGGTCATGTTCCACTCAGGACCTGCTGAAGTTACAGTTTTTCTTTGAAATCACAAGGGGTATGAGTATAAGAGGAATTACTCAGGCCTGAGAAGAAAGTGAGACCTGGAAGTGTCCAGACACTTGGAGGGAGGGATTCAGGTCAGTTTTAAGTCGCACTTCTGCTACTGAATAGCTATGAACCAATATATTGAGGGGTCTCAGCTCAGTGGAGTTTCAAATACTAAATAGGCTTTGTTTTTCCAAATGCCGGTTGAATATCCTTCATCCGAAATGCTTGGAACCAAAAGTGTTTAGAATTTTGAATTTTTTTTGTATTTTGGAAAATTTGTATTACACCTACTGGTTGAGCATTCCTAATCTGATAATCCAAACATCAGAAATTTGAAATGCCTCATTGAGCTTCTCCTTTGAGTGTCGTGTTGGCACTCAAAATGTTTAAGATTTTGGAGCATTTCAGATTTCGAATTTTCACTTGAGTGGTACCCAACTTGTACTTCTTTCAACTCTTCTCTGTTTCAACTCCCTTCCCGCTGGGAAGCAGATTCCAAAACTTCATGGTCACTTTGTTATTAAAATTAAATCAGAGCCATTTTAATCCACAGTCTTGACTTTTTTCCCCCACCTTCCCATTAGTAGAGACTTGAACTGTGGCTCTGAGGGACTTTCCTTCTGAGCATGGTCTCCAATTTCATTTCTTGACCAACTCTGGGTCTACCTCTTTTTGGAGTGGGACCTGAGTAAAGGGAATGGAGAAACTGAGATCTTTCAAAGTTGGTCACATACTCAGAGGTGTGGATATCACAGCAGTCTCTCTATAGTTTGTTCTGTGTCTGTAAGTGGCTGTTTGTCTCCGCCAGTGAGGAGACTTATGCACAGATGGCTTATGAGTTTCCTTGGTGCAGGGTCCAGTTCACCCTAGCCCTCCCTATTACTGAATCTGTATCACAGAGTATTATCTTGTTTTTACTTTATTATGACAACGATCCATGTCCCCAGTAGCACTCCTGCTGGGTCTTAGTTTTGGTTGGCCTATGGCTCCCCGGGCAGCCCCACCACTCCCAACTTTTTGTTTTTTGAGATCTGCCTCCCTTTAGAATCAGCTCCAGGAACCACAGAGGAATTCTTTTGAATGCATTACAGGCAAATGGAAACTGGAATGGCACCCTCCACCCTCTTTTTTCCATCTTCAGACTGCTGCAGAAAAGAAGGCACAGGTTGTAATCCCAGCTACTAGGGAGGCTGAGGCAGGAGAATCACTTGAACCCAGGAGGCGTAGGATGTAGTGAGCTAAGATCGTACCATTGCACTCCAGACTGGGCAACAAGAGCAACACTCCATCACACACACAAAAAAGGCACAGCTTTCAATATTCACAGGCCCCAACATTTAAAGCTCTCCAGGAACTGATTCCCTAAATAGACTCCTTTTACTCTGCTCTTCAGCAATGCTAGAGTGAGCCTAGCATGTCACCAGGTTAGGGCTGAAGATGCACACCTCCCTTCTTAAAGTAAGCCATTCTCTATAGCTGATTCTCTCTACACTCCACATACTTCACTTTTTTGAGAGAAGCCACCGCTCTTGATTTAAATTGGGAAATACATCATATCAGAATAAATGTGCTAAGTATCTTCAGAAAAGTCTTTTAAAGGAGTAGTCCTAAGTTTTGCCTGCATCAAAATTCTCGGTTGACCTTATAAAATGAAGACTTCTGCTTAAGTCTCCAGATTAATCAAATCAGAATCTCTGTGTAGCACCTAAGATCTCCATTTTAACAAATCTTATACTAAGAAACTTTGTGGCATAAAGTTTTAAGTAAAAATTGTATAGTTAGGATACCAGTGCACAATTATTTTCCAACTTGAGAACAGGAAACATTGACCGTAGTCTCTCACATTGTATTAGAAACATTTTTGTGCCATTTAAAAAATACTTATGACTAATCAGGGTATATATATATATTACAAAAAATAAGAGTGACCTTTATTTTTTTAAATCTCACTTGCAATTGTTTTCATTACCTTTGTATGGCACTTGTTCTCTATTCTATTTCAATGATTTTTGGCTGTGATTTATTGCTTCCAGACTTGAGTCTCTTTGAATGCAAGAGTAATGCTTTCTTTTATGTATGTATTTAACCATCATTTGTGAAACTTTATAAGAAATTAAGTGATCTCTCTCTCTCTCTCTGTCTTTCTCTTTCTTGTTGTGTAATTATCAACTGAAAAATGAAAATCAAATTTTCTTATTTATTTTGCAAGACAAGCAAGAAGCCCTTTGAGTTCTTGATTTCTAGGGCTTTCTTGACCCTGACGGCAGTTACCAACATTTCTCTCATACATTTCTCATACAGTTACCAACATTTCTCTCTTACATTTCTATCTTTCTTTGTGTGTAATGTACATATGTACATACATGTATATACATATATATACATGTACATTTCTCTCTGTGTGTTTACATATATGTTTACATATATACATATATGTGTATATGTGTGTATATATGTATACATCTATGTATATATGTATATATGCATACATGTATATATGTATATATGTGTGCATGCATGCGTGTATACATGTGTATATATGTATATGCATACATATACAAATGTGTATACATATGTGTATATGTATATATGTATGTATATGTACATGTATTTATGCATATATACACGTGTATATATATGTATATATGTACATACACACAGAGAGATAAATGTACATGTATATATGTATAGACATATAAATACATATATGTATATATGTATATGCATATATGTATATATACATGTACATGTATATATCTGTATGTGTGTGTGCAAATATATTTATATATTTGCAACTCAAGTCAATTTGACTGCAAGCTTTCATCTGCCAAGTTTGGTGGGATCCATTAACAGCCATGTTCTATGCATCAGTTTTACTCTCTGAGGTCCTGATAGGACTGGGTGTTACAAAGTCTGGTAAATGAGGGAAATGTTCTGGTCATCAACCCAAGACCTACATACTGTATATTATGTACAATACATATTATACAAATATATATACACGTATACACACACAGAAAAGAAATTTTATATATATATTATGTATATTTCCCATATTTCCCACATATTTAAGCTGTCTGATGTTTTGCACTTTTTCTTGTAAGGTGGATTATTTTCCTTCTGCTTTTAATATTTTATTTATGAGGAGAATGCCAGTGACAAACTCTTTTAGCTATCGGTTCTCTGAAAATTTATTTACTTGGTCATCATTTCTGGGGCATTATTTGTTCCTCAATGGATATAGAATTATGAATTATTAGGATTTGTTTCACCACCTCGAAGATATCATTTCACTCTCTTTTGACTTTTCTCTGAGAGGGAGAGAGATCAGCTGTTGCTCCTTTGAAGGTAATAGAGTTTGTTTGGCTAGATATTTTAAGATTTTTCTTTTTCTTTTTTTATTTCTTTAACAGTTTACTATGATGTTTTTAGGGTTTATTTCTTTTACTTATCCTTATTGAGGTTTGTAGTAATTGTTGAATTTTATGTGATGTGTTTTTTTGTGTGTTTTTCAGTATTAGAAAATTCTCAGCTATTTTCTCCACAAGTGTTGCTTCTTGTCAATATTATTTCTCTTCTTCCAGGACTCAAGTTGAAAGCATGCATGCCTATCACTGTGTCTTCTATGTCTTTTGTGTTCTATGCTATATTTCCATTTTTTCACCACAGTTTAGTATAATCAAGGTATTTTCTCCTGAGTTATCTTTCATTGCTCTAAATCTCTATCCAACAAAGTCTAACCTTTTGTCAATGCAAATCTTTGAATTATTAATTTTATTATGGGTTTATGTGAAATCACATAAACAAGTAGGCTATGAATTTTATTTCAGTATAAAAATGATGCATTATAAAATATTTGTTACAAATATAATGTATTATTTTTTATAAATAGATGCGTTGGGTTTGATAAGGTTGAGAACCAACATTTAGGTAATTTTTGGAATGAATAAGTAGGGACTGGATTACTGGGGAGATATTAGAGTATCAGAGGAGAGTATGACTTTCTTAAGATTGAGAAAAAAAAACTGGTATTTATTTGTTTTACTAGAGGCATTTGGCCTGCTTACATGCAGCATTTACAGGGTGGAGCAGGTTATTGGATGGGAAATGCTTGGGTCTGATGAGTGCATATGGAGCATGATCACAAGTACTAGAATTATTAGAACAGTATAAGGGGGCCTATAGCCAGCCTTGCGGTGAGGGTTCCAGCTAGCAACAGAACCTTCAGTGAGTACTGAGAGCTTAGGGTGATGACCAGAGCATTTCCCCCATTTCCAAAACTTTGTAATCCCCATGGTCCTATGAGGACCTCAGAGAGTAAAATTGATGCATAGAACATGGCTGCTAATGGAGCTCACTAAACTTGGCAAATGAAAGCTTGAAGCCAAATTGAATTGAGTTGCAAAAATATATAAATGTAATGAAATGTTATAGAATTATTTGATTATTTGTGCCTGCTATATATCCAAACTGTATTTGGGAGGCATGCAGGAGGTATGTAAAATGTGCAGGAATTACCTCTTCTTTCAATGGAACCTAAAGTCCAGTAGGAAGCAGAACTGTCTCTCTTTCTCTCTCTCTCTCTCTCACACACACACACAGACACACACACACGTACACTTACCGTATACACACACTCCATGCAGTTAGTAAGAAACCAGCATGAAACATAGGATAGAGTTGAATATGGGTTGGTTATGGGAAAAAGAAAGCCTCAAGTTTACAAATTGGACTTTGATGTTGTGTTAAAATCCAGTTTGAAATCTTTGTCCAACACCTATGTCATGAGAAGAAAGTGCAGATAGACCTGTTTTTATTAATCTCTGTTTCTATTTCAACACACTTAGTACAGTAGATCCTGACTGAGGGATGAGTAAATGAATGCAGGACTCATCAGACTTCCCATGTTCATGTGGCATAAAGCAATGATCTCTGTTGTAATCTCCATGTTTTATTTAAATTAATAAAGGTAATGATCTAGAATCTTTTTCTTAACCGTAATCAAAGAAAACTTCAGATATTTATAATTGAGGCGAACAAGTAAAAAGGGAAGGAGGAGAATTTAGGCAGTATGGGCAGAAATCACCCCTAATGCCGGGAGAAAAAAACAAATCAAAAGAGAAAGCTTATACATTTATGAGGTTTTCTGGATGTCACACCTAGGCAAGTAATGCTGTATAAAATATTGAACAGCTCTAATGCTGACTGAGGAAATTTATGGAGTCTGAAGTACCTGTCTTAAATCATATCCACCACTTACCTCTGTTTCTCATCCTTTAACCAAGCTTCTCTGAGGCCTTAAGTTGTGCCTGTTTGTTTCTTTGGATTTTGTGCAAAGGCTAAAACGATAAAGAAATAAGGAACACTGGGGGAGAATATTAAATGAAGAAGAAGATAGTAGCCATGAGCAGATGTGTTCAAGCTGCTGTTGGCTAGAGCTGTTTATTTTGGATGCTGAGTTTGTTATCATATGAAGAGAAAGGTACTTTGTTCCTTCATTCCCTCCCATTTGACTCTTCCACTTATTCATTCAACAAATATTTACTTAGCAACACTTAGGCTGCAAATAATGTGCTGAAAGCCATGAGGACTGAAACTTATATAAAACATTCTCCAGCCTTCAAAATCTTTCATTGTATTTGGGAAAAATAAATATTTTATATGAGCAACTAATATATTAAGTTATTATAGATAGGTGCTTAATTAATTGAATTAAAGAAATACTAGAGAAAGAACTTCCTTTTATTCCTGACTTATTTTATTCATTCATTTACTAATTTCAGAATAAAACATATTTATTTATTCAGGAACTGTTATGCACCAGCCTTTACTTAGGCAGTGAAGACTGATTATTTCTAGGGATTCTCATTCTAGTGGAGAAGATTTTTAACAGATAATTGTATAATTTCAGTTAGTGACAAGGCTCTGAAAGAATGAAACTGACTTACCTAGTAGCTCTTGTTGATTGTCTCACATACATCTCAGAACTCATTTTTGCAAATAAGCTACTTCTTCATTTTTTTCCTAACTCATTTAACAATAGCTCTAGTGAGGGAATTTTCCAAGTCAGAAGCAGGGGTCATATGGTCCCCTTCCTCCTCTTTATCCTCCACCTGTAAATTCTGCCAAATCCTGCAAACCCTCTCTTGCCCAGAGGATACATAATTTCCTCTATTCCAAAACAGTCATTTTCTCATGTAGGAGATTTAAGAGTCAACAGGATGGAGATTTATTTTACATGAGACAATCAGTAAATGTATTTTCTGAAAAGGTAACATTGAACTGCAACCTATAACGTTCTTCAGGAAGAACATTCAGCACCTATAATGAAGGTTCTCCGAGAGGAATGAGTTTGGTAGGTCAAAGAGTGATGGAAGAGTAGAGTGTTAGGGGGTCATTCAGGCTGGTTAGTCTGTAGAGAAAGGCAGAGCCTGTTCATGGATTATGTAGGGTCTTGTAGACCAGAGGAAGGAATTTGGATTTGATTTCAAGTGCATGGGGAAGCCAGTAAAGGGCATTAAGAAGAATACAGAATTGGATTAGCCCTTTAACATGCACATTTTGCCAGCAGTGAGGATAGTGATTTGCAGAGAACAAAGAGAAGAAGCAGAAAGATAGGTCAGTTGGTAGTTCAGTAGAGATGGTGGTTGTTTGGATGAGAAAATGGCTTTGTTAGAATAGAAAAAAATATGTATCCTCTGGGCAAGGGAGAGTTTGCAGAATTTGGCATAGTTTCCAGGTGGGAGATAGAGGAGGAAGGAGATAATATGACCCCCACTTCTGGCTTGGACAGCTCCCTGGCTAGAGCTACTGTTAAATGAGTTAGGAAAAAATGAAGAATCAGTTTATTTGCAAAGATGAGTCCTGAGATATATGTGAGACATTCAACAAAAGCTACTAGGTCAGGAGCTTTATATACTTGCTTCAAATTTACCAGAAAGGTCTGATTTGAGATTTAAAATTTTTCCATGGTATAAGCATATCCATTGTATTAAAGTCATGGCAACTGAGTGCTCTTTTAGTAAGAAAGTGTAGCATGGTACAGTAGCTCGAGTCTGTAATCCCAGCACTTTGGGAAGTCAAGGTGGGAGGATCCCTTGAGCCCAGGAGTTTGAGACCAGCCTGGACAATACGATGAAACCCAATGTCTGCAAAAAGTACAAAACATTAGCAGGGCATGGTGGCACACAACTGTAGTCCCAGCTACTCGGGAGGCTGAGGTGGGAGGATTACTTGAGCCTGGGAGATAGAAGCTGCAGTGAGCCATGATTGTGCCACTGCACTATAGCCTGGATGGTGGGAGTGAGACTCTGTCTCCAAAAACAAAAGAAAAAAAAAAGGTGTAGAATAAAAAAACTAAACAACAACAACAAAAGCCAGAAGAGCCCAAAGAGAATGCATGAAGGAGAAGGAACTAGCAGAAGAGCCCAGGAGTTGCAGTGAGGAAAGAGAAAAAATGGAAGGCAGCTTTGTGGAAACTAAGAGAAAGAGCATCTTAAAGATAGAAGACATGCAGAGTATTGTTCCCTGGCCTTTGTGTTTGCTACTTTAAATCCTTGATAGACCCTTAGTTCCTTTTGCTCTTTTTGCTAAATGTCAGTCAATGAAGAGATCATTTGGGAGGCCAAGATGGGAGGATTACTTGAGGTCAGGAGTTTGAGATCAGCCTGGGCAACTTAGTGAGACTCCCATCTCTACAAAAATTCTTTAGAAATGGCTGGATGTGGTGGCACATACCTAAAATCCCAGCCTAGGGAAAAGAGCAAGACCCTTTCCCTAAAAATAGAAAAAGGAAAGAGAGTCATGTCAAAATATGGTGTTGCTGGGAGAACTTCTGCTGTGCTTCTTTAAGGTATCCAGGCAGACAGAGGATGTAAAGATGCACTGGGGTATGACAACCATAGAATAGAGTCTATCTGGATTTGGGAAGTTTCTATAGGCCTCTGGATCCATGACTCAGAGATTGTTTATTAAACTATTCTCTGTGATACTGTACTTCCAGAGCTGCTCTCTGCCTTCTCTCTGTCCTAGGGGCTGACCTCTACGAACTCATCAGTGGGCTTACTTGCCCATGGTTCCATGTTTGATTCATCCAATGGCAAGCCCTAGTGAGAAATTAGAGAATGGGTTTGAGATCATCATTCCCTTATCCCCTTTTGTGGTATTACCTGGGGTTAATTCCATTTCTCTAGCAGAAATCACAGCTGCTTTAAAGGAGTCCATCTCTGTACAACTCTCTTTGTCCAGGTCTGGCACTAGCTCCTTCCTCCATCTCTTCAGGCCTAGGAATGGTAACAGGACCATTGCTAGCCTTGGTGTCCTTTTGGTTTTCTTGTACCTGATCACCACTTTTGAAAATAATTTTTCTATTAAATCTTCCTCAATTTATTCTGACTTAAATGTGCCATCTATTACTAATTTGACATCAAACAAGACAGAAGTTATGATTCAACTGGGACAATCCAACATGAATGAAGCTTATGTCACAGATTCCAGGTAACATAGGAACTCAGAAAAGGGGAAGGGAGGTAAAGGTGGTAAGGTTTGGGAGGTCAGGAAAAGAAGGCTTGGGTGAAGGGTGAGCTGAAACTGAACACTAGGAGATGGTTGGTAGGGAGATGGTATTAAACAGATATGGAAAAAAAGGATCTGGCTTAATGGCAAGGAGACAAACAGGAGCATGAACAGCAGGTGGATTTAAGTGCACTATTTTAAGAAGTAAAATTTTAGGCCCATTCAAGATAACATTTCTAACCTGGCTTTTTCAGACTGCACAGACTGTGGTAAAATAAAATATTTATTTAATTTTATTTCCCAACCTCTAATCCTTTTCACTACATATAAGTTTATACTCCTGAGTAGAGTCAGGTAGTGGGGTTGAGGGAGGTGCTGCTATATAGCTTCAGGATGGTTCTGGTCACCAGAAACACCAAACAGGTGATTAGAGTTTGGGAAATTTCAGCTTCATGCCCTGACCTCCAGAGAGGAGAAGGGAGCTGGAGATTGGGTTATAAAAACTCTTAACAATGGAATTTAAGGAGTTTCTAGGTTGGTGAACATATTGAGGTGCTGAGAGGGTGGCATACCTAGAGAGGGAATGGCAGCTCTGTGCCCCCCAGCCCTATATTTTGCCCTATGTGTCTTTCCATTTGGTTGTTTCTGAGTTGTGTCCTTTATAATAAACCAGTAAACATAAGTAAAGCACTTCCCCAAATTCTGTGAGTCATTAGCGAACTACTGAACCTGTGGAAGGATCATGAGAACCCCCAAATTTGTAGTCAGCTGGGGGAAAGTATTGGTCACCTGGGCTTGTGGCTGGCAGTAAGGGCAGTGTTGTGGGACTTCTCTCTTAAACTTGTGGGACCTAACAGTAACTGACGTTATCTGACATTAGATAATGTCAGAATTAAATTGAATTATTGGACACCCAATTGGTGTTGGGGAATTGGTTGTTAATATTGGAAAAAGCCACACACCAAGACAAACCAATCACAACACCTTTCGGTTTGCAGCAAAGTACTCTGGATCGAAAACAGTCACAAGGCCCAATGGTGTGGAGTTTGCCCATGCATCTTCCCAGTGGCTCTTAATAAGAAATCCATTTCCAGAATCAGCAGCATGACCCAGCCTACATTACTCTGGTCAGGCCAGTTATGGTCCAGCCCTCCTTGGGACACCCTACAATGAAGGGACAAGACTGCCTTGTGGGTCAGTCACTGCATGGCACAGGAATACAGTAGGGAGTCTCTGGAAGTTTAATGAGGACAAACATTGCAAGTTTTCTCTCTTCTTTCTTTCTTTGTAAACTGAAAGGACTTTCACTAATGCTCCATAAAAACTGGTTTAATATACAGTTATTACAAAACTTCAGATTTTTGACAGATTAAGTGCTATTAAATCACCCTAGTGTGAAGGCACTAAAAGGTCACAAGATGAATTAGTTCAGGCCATCTTCTCTCAGTCTTCAGCAAGTAGCTTCTTTCAGAACTGCCTCCTCCCGCCAAGAAAAAGAAAGAAGAATAAGAGAAAAAAGAACTGAAAATTATGACCCTCTAAATGTCTTCAGGATGAGAGGTGGTGAAGAATGGCTCTGCCTTGTTATGGGAGGCAGGTGGGTTTTTATCAGCTTGGAGGACAATTTTCTACTTTATTTTTTCCCCTTTTGGTTGACTGTGATCCATAATGTTGCATTTTGCCCTTTAGGAAGGATTTTCCAGTTGACAGACTCAACAGCCATATCCTATCCCAGTGTTTGGGAAAAAAAGGCAGAAGAAAGGATGTCAACTGGATTCAATATTTTTAACAATACTGTCACAATTGTATTTTAGGATTTATTTTTTTCCTGTGTTTTTGCCAGAACTAAACCTCAAATTCATATAGCAGATTTCTTCTCTCATGAATGCAGTTTTGAAGGTTCTGATAAAAATTATGTATACATATATATGCATCCCATACTTTAAGGATTCCTGGTAAGAAGGAAGTATATGGGATACTGTTACTGAAGTGTGGCAGCACTGATCAAGGATTACTACAGCCATGGTAGTTGCTGTAATTTGAAAACAGTAGCAGTGTTTGTTTATTTATTTATTTATTTGTTTATTTTGCTTTTTCACTTGCCTTTTTCACTTGCCTGAATAATCCATTTACAGAAAAACATCAGAGAGAAAAAAAGAAACAAAAGCCAGTCTGAAGAAATGGTTACATTATTTTCTACAATGGCAATTTCAGAAGTTGTTTTTCTTCATGCAGGTAAAAATGATACACAATTTTAGGTTTTCTCTTTGTCTTTAACTAACCTAGCTGATCTCTCGGTCAGTCGGCATTCCTGTATGGGTCTAGGCAGGGCTCTGTTAACACTGAGGCCCTGGCTTAATAGCTTAGCAATAACTACACTGGTGGTTGTGGGAGACCTTCGGCATACTGTGATCATGCATACACGTTTCATAATTGACCTGCTCCCATTAGGCTGTCCACATTTAACAGTGATGATTCTAAGAAAGTCACAACTTAGAAGTGGTGAATCTAGTGCCCAGATCTGTGTCTTCTGATGTACTTAGTGATGCTCGACTGAATGGATTGCTCAGATTCTTCTTAATTTTTATTTCTTTTGCACTTAGTGTCCATGTAGTAACTGTTTCTCTGACATTACAGTGGGGGGGGGGGGGAATAACAGTGTCACATTTATTTACATGAGTTCTTCACTTTTTTTTTTTATTCTGAATGTCTTATCAATAACATAAGAGGTGAGACCATCTGAGGGTTTCTCTTCAAAGAAAGTTTCAGTGAGTAATTGTCCCTGATGGTGAGCTATAGCTATAGACTATTCCTTTTCTTCAAAGCATTGCTTTAGCCAGTTCAGTAAGAGAAGTTCAAGAAGTATAACTATCATTTTTTAACTTTGAACAAAAGTGGTTCAATGAAACCTAATATACTTAACCTTAATTATTTGGCCAAACCTTCAAGAACCATCAAAGAAAATTAAAGAGGATAAAGGAAAAATACAGAAGGCTGAAGAAATGTACTTATACTTGAGGCTTTATATCAATTTCATCTTCATTATTTGCTGTCAGTTCCCAGATATTCTTAAACCTCTGTTTTGACCTTGACTAGAATCTGAAGAGCAGCATCTTCTGGACCCAGGTAAGTGTGATCAAGTGTGTGGCCTGGAGGACACAGTGGGTTCAATGTGTCTGGCCTTCCCAGGGAGTTCTGACTGGTGAGGACAGGAGCCTCACAGAGGCCTCAGCTCTGCTCCTAGCTGCAGCATCCTTGGGATCTTGTCACAAGCAGAGTCCTCAGGACTCGCCCCTGTGGCTAGGGCCACGGGAGGACCTGTGCTGTAATTTCCTCTGCTCGGTGTTGACACTTGCTTCTGGATTCCTGCAGTGCTCACTCCTGGTGGGCTGTGCATTGTGACCTTTCTTCCTTACATTGTCGCAAAGGCAGAGAGATGAAGACCCTGCTGGGCTCAGTGACTGGATAGTACTTGCTACCAAAAGGAAGGCACCCTGCTTTACACATGGAAGACTTTCTTCTTTCATTTTTTTTTCTTTCTTCCATCAGAAATCCCCTTATTCCGTGTCTTCTCTTGCTGACTCCTAATGATGTTCTAAATCAGCTCAGATACCTCATCCAGGATCCCCACCTACCTGCCCTGGAGATTTCCTGCTTCCTACTTTGTCAGTGGGACTATCATTTCTGCAATGAACAGATCATGTCACTTATTTGGAGGTAGCGTTTTGTAGCAGGGAAGTCAATATATTTGGGTTCTAACTGGTTAGCTTTGTAATCCTTGAAAATTCACATTGTTCTCCTTGTGAAAAGTAAGCCCTCAACTAATAAAACACCTTAATACATTGTTAAAAACATAGACTCACACTTTTATCCTTGTATCACCTTTCCTTCAAATATTAACCCACAACCCAATTCTTCTATAATTCTTCTATTTAGCCTATCTTCTTCCAAATGCTTACATGTTCATAATTTGGATTTCTCAGTGGGCACTTACTTATATTAATTTACTTACAATTATTCTGTTATTGAAGTGTTCTATCTTTTCATTTGTGCTCTGAGCACAAATATAGGGTGTCAGAGTAGGGTGTCAGTTGTAAGCCTAAAACCTGGACTGTTTCTTGATGATAACAGGCGTATGATGAATGCTTGTTCTTGCTGTTAAACTCTACTTTTATCTTAGATATGCTTCCGATGCTCATTTCATTATAGTTTCCCTCAAGGAGATAATATCTATCTATTTTTACATGTGTCCTCTTTCTCAAATTGTGAATTATTCTTTGTATCTTTCCTAGTGCATAATCTGTTGCCTAGTCCTGAGTAAAGGATCAAATAAACTTGCTAATAAACTTATCTCCATGGGTTTTTGTTTCAAGCATCAAACAAGATAATGCTTGTGAAAGTGATTTGCAACAAAAGAAGTAAAATGTAAATGTATGGGATTAATTCTGTGATTCAATGAGCCCAGTCCCAGACCAGCGTGTGATTTGGTGGCGATGATTTAAATCTCATAGGTCAATATGCAACAAATCCTTCTTAGATGCACTCTCCTTTAAAATGCACAATATTACAGTGGTTTGTAATCTGAAGTTTCCTGGTTTTAAAAAAAGTACATTTTTAGTTGAGTGTGTGTCATGCTCTGGGGCCCTACACATCTAAATATTTAACAGGATTGCTTTATATGCTCTTTTGCTGATTTTGCCGATATGTGATTTGGTTTTTGCCCAGTGGGTCCCTGGGCTTTTCATCATCCAGTGCATATATTGGCTGCAGAGTGCCTGGGCAGCAAGAATAGAGGGGTTGCTGAGGCATCCAATGCAATCAGAATGTTATTTAGAAAAGCTGGCTTGCTAGCCAAGCCTTGCACGCATCTTTTATTACACTGTATCTTTGTGACATATTATTTCTGCTTCACAAGGTCACCTGACCCTGAATGGGACCTGTGGTCCATTAATAACACAGCTGGGTGATGGCTGCAGCATGAGTTAGGACTAGACACAGAGAAGGATGAGTCTTCAAAAGTCCCAGCTCACCTGGGCTGAGTTCTCACATTCCTTTTCTATTCCTTAGCTCCCCCTGTTCCCTGTTAATTGGTGTGCGAGGAGAGAAAGAATGGGCAGGGGATGGTATAATCAAAAGCTTCTTTCCATAATTGAGAAGGTGGGAGTGGGGTTGAGACTTATAAAAAGTAGGTAGAATCCGTTACTTGCCTGTGAATCCTAAGACAAGATTTCATGTCCTAGCCTCACCTCTGGTGCAAAGTTTGTTAGAGAGTGTTCCTTGTCCTCTTCATCTGGCTGTTTCTTCTCACTGGCCAGCTCTCAGCCCAAAGCTCAGAATTCAATGAAGCATGTATGTATTCTTGATGTTTGATTCCCATCTGTATTAGTCTATTTTTATGCTGGTATAAAAAACTGTCCAAGACTGGGTAATTTATAAAGGAAAGAGGTTTAATTGACTCACAGTTCAGCCTGGCTGGGGAGGCCTCAGGAAACTTAGAATCATGGTGGAAGGCAAAGGGGGAGCAAGTCACCTTCTTCACAAAGCAGCAGGAAGGAGAAGTGCCAAGCGAAGTGGGGAGAGCCCCTTATAAAACCATCAGATCTTGTGAGAACTCACTCACTATAATGAGAATAGCATGGGGGAAACAACATCCATGATTCAGTTACCTCCACCTGGTCTCTCCCTTGACATGTGGAGATTATGGGGATTACACGGATTATAATTCAAGATGAGATTTGGGTGGGGACATAAAGCCTAACCTATGGCAGTCTAAACAGGGGACAATTTATTCTTTGACTGTTCACTCAACGGGCATTATTCAGCATCTACTACGGGTCAGGCAATGTTTTTGTTGCTAAAAAAAACAGCATCAGACAAGACAGAGGTGGTCCTTCTCTCATGAAAATTATGTTCTAGTGGAGTCACACAGACATAATCCAAAAAATAGGTAAAGACCAAAACACAAAATATTAAGTAATGATAAATGCTATGATGAAAATATGGGAAGGTGAATAGAAGGTAATTTAGATGGGAGGTGGAGGGAGAGGACCCCTCTTAGGAAGAGACATTAAACTGAGAACTGAGTGACAGGTACCAACAACGTGAAGGTCCTCAGAATGTGGCTGGGAAAGGCGCTAGGCCCCAGTGAGTTTGCTCTGTTTTTGGAACAGTCTGAAGTTGTTTCTGGAAAGCAAAGGCTAGAGAGGGAGCATGCATTGAGGTCAAGTCAGAGAAGTGGGCAGCACCAGATTTCACACACATTTCTGGGTTAGAGTAACGAAATAGAATTTTATTTTATGGTAAAGAAAAGTTGCTGATGAACTGTAGCAGAGAGAGGACATGTTTTGATTTACATTATTTTAAAAATCACTTCTTATTTTTCTTTGTAGTTTTGCCACCCTTGTATATGCTTCTAAGCCAGATAGTTTTATCTTTTGACTTTTATGAATAGAATTGTATTGTACAAGTATTTTGGTGTGTTGTCTGTTCAACATTAGGTTTGTGAGAAAAAATAGGGGGAATTATTTGATATGTCAGGATAGTGGTTACCTTTATCAGGAAAGGAAAGAGTGGCATGGGAACTTTTGAGGTGCTGTAAAAGACTTACTGTATTTTCTTAACTGGAGTTGCAGTTACAATGGTGCTTGTTTCATATCTACATGCTAAATAGCATAATAGGTGTATAAATATTTCTGAATGTGTTTTCCAAATAAATATCCTGAAAATCACTACATTTAGTAACTTTTTCAGCCAAGTTTAAATATGAAATTAAAAACAATTTTCCAGGAAGGACTAATTATCCTTCCTCTCACAGTATGCTTATCAGAGAAACAAAGAGGAAAGATAGAGAAAGGAGAAAGGTTTCTAATTGGTTGGCAGATGTGCAGAAAGTTTAGGTGTGGTGTAGGGGACAAAACCCTGAGACACAGTGACAATTATGCTGAGAAGTCAGGAGAACATGGACTCAGCCTTAGCTTGGTCACTAGCTAGCTTAGTGACTTGAACAACTCATCTCCTCCTTCTGAGCTGTTTCAACATTTCTGAATGGAGAGATGACCTGTCACATTGCTTGGCACTTGGTAGGTAATGAATACACATTTGTCTACTTGGATACCTTGATTCTAATAGACCCAAACACTAAATTCCTCTCCACATATCCAGCCTCTAGATTCATTTACTCAGCAGTCTAGGCTGGGATACCTCACTTTTAGTGCATTTCGTTTCTACCTCAAGAATAACAGTTATTACAATCTGACCTGATAATCAACTGTGTACACATCCACAAAATCCCAATAACCCAGCACAGCCATCTGCTCATGCTCAGCAAATAATTTCTAATGCAAGGGCCCTCTCTTTCAGAAGTAAAGATTCTATTAGGTGAGTTCAGCTGAAATAAAAGTAAATATCATTGATACATGCTTATTGCTTATTTTCATACATATATGAAAATATATATGAAATATGAATATATAGGAAAATGTGAATACATATATATATATATATATATTTAACATGATTTAGAGTGATTTAGATAGAAGTGGGTTCAAATCCTGGCTGTAGCTGGTAGCTGAGCAATCTGGGTCTAACTCACCTCTCAAGGTTTCTATTTCTTCAGTTATGTAACTAGAGCAGAAGTACCCACCTTGTGGCTTTGTGACAATCAGTGAGCCCAGCACAGTGGTAGGCACATAGCAGGCCCTCAGCCCCCAGTGGTTTACTCTCTGATCTATATCTCTACAGGTATCCTGAAATCAAATCAAGGGTTACAAGTTGATCAGGCCAAACATCTTGACTGTCAGATCATTTTCATCATCAGCATCGTGGTGATAAACCAAAATGTCATTTGCACCTCGGGATAGGATGCACAGAGAGGACCAGTGCATAAAAATAATATGATATGACTTTCCTTTCAGAATTTGTTTCACTAGGTGACAATATCATGCTTCTTTCATAGCACTGGGCTGAAAAGTAACAGTACTTTTTTTTTTTTTCAAAATTATATTTTCCTGACCAAGTGGCTGCATTCTGTCAGGCAGGGCAGCTGCTGACAGTTAGACAAGGAAAAGAGAGGAATTATGCAGACGTTTGGCAGTGTAAATGTTAGAACAACTCAACTGTATGTGTGTTCAGGAGAGTTCAGCAGCTTAGGTGAATGCAACTCCAGGAAATAAAATGACAGTTTCTCTTAACCATTATGCTAATGGACAGGGTAGGTGGGGGATTTCTCTGTGTTAGAGCAGGCACTTGGGAGACAAAATGCCTGGGCTCAGATCCCACTCCCAACAATGTCTCCCACTGTGATCTTGGGCAAGTTGCTGAACTTCACTGTACTTTAGTTCTATTTCTCCATCTAAAAACCCAAGCTAATAATAGTTGCCTTCGCTGCAGGGGTGGTAAAAAGATTAATGAATTAATGAGCAGAATGTGCCGTGGAGGGAAGGAGAGCGGTAGAAATGTGATCATTTCCCCAAATCTTTGATTTGCACGGAGTCTGCCACAGTAGCTTTTCTAAATGTTGTGCTCATTCCCCTCTTCTTCTCAGATAATGGACCGTCCAACCCAGTTCTGCTGCCAAGAGATAGGGATGCTCTTGTCCAGGACGCGATGAGGTTTTTCATGGCCCGTAAGCCTGGGTGCCATGTTAAAGTGATAAGGAGAAAGATCCTGAGTCATAGAATGATGGAAATTGGGGAAAGATATGAATGATGAGAGAGTCTTAGCTTTAAAATAAATAGCTTAACCACCTTTCCAATTTTACAGTTTTATTTTAGAGAACAATAAACAGTGACGAGTGGGAATATTTTTTACAAAATGAATGTTACAATTCAGAAAATAGAAAATAATTTAAATAAAATCTCATTTTCAAATTTATTCATGACGTATTATACCAAAAGGCAGTATGTTTTTATATATATTAAGGTGCAGGATAAGACGACTCCCCTACTCCAGTGCTTTGCCTGGCTTCCTGCCCCCAGCAGAGGTCAGTGATAGAAAAAAAAAAAAAATAGCAACACAACATTATGTGTAGATAAAAGCATCAGATACTTTAATACAATCTTAGATTTGGGAAAACAAAAATAAAGTCCAACCACCAACAAACAAAAGTCCAATTTTAAGACCAAGGAGTAAAAAAATCCTGTCAAAATAGCCAGGAAAAGAAAAGTAATGTATGTTATATACAGTATCTCATTTATTGGTCTTAACAGAAGAAAGTAAATGTATGATCTTACTTTTTAAAAATAGAGAGACCGAGATTCATGGATATTGATGGTCTTGTTCAGGATCTCAAACCTAGCAGTGGTGAGCAGGCATTAAACCCAAGCCTCAAGTCATTCCAATATCTATGTTTCAACTATTCCCCAGATTTCTAAAGTAAAGCGGGATTGTAGCTTAGGAAAAAAATTATCTGACAGATACCATATGTATTTATAGGCCAGGTTGCAAATAAATCCAAGCATTCCTTCATTCATCTAACCACCCACATATTTGATGAACACCATTGATACATAATACTGTGAAAAGTGCTGGTTCATAGAACTGAGCCAAAGTAAAGAAGACTATGTATTAGGTTGGTGTAATGGCAAAAACTGCAATCACTTTTGTACCAAGCTATGTTTTACCTGGATCTAGCAGGCAGGACACAGAATTGCAAAGGTGAAAGGGTCATCAGAACCCAAGCCAGCAGAATTGGGCCCTGACCCTACAGTTGTGGATGCTTGTCCTTTGCCGGATATAGTGTTTCGGGGACCTGAAGCTTTGATCTCTGACAGAAGCTTCCAGAGCAACCCAGCCCCATTTGTGATAGACATGCCAAGATAATATTGGAGGAAAGGGCTAAAATATTATACTCTACTGTATCTCTGTTACTATTTCTTTATCACATGTGAAGTATAACCAACTGCAGTCTAGTGGAAGAAAGCTGTAAGGAGACTTAGTTTTACTCATACTCTAGCTAGGAAATCATTCTGGTCTCATTCACACTGTTAATTGATCACCTACAATTAAACACATCTGAATACCTTAGTCCTTCTGTCATTTGCAAATGGACCAGGAGATAGCAAACCCCAAAAGGTAATGTAAGAGCCATAAAACACACAGATTGCCAATGTCTCAGTTTTTTCACAAACAAGCTCTGTGTCCTGTACCTACATGGTTTCCACTGTCATTTTGGATAATCGTAGGATATATTTGTGTATGGTGAAATAAAGGGAAATGGACACTTCTGCTTCTATGTATCTGAATAAAATAAGTATCAGGAGGTCCCAACAGCCCTTATTTCCCAAAATGATGAATGCAGATGACTTAATAGCCTTCCTTCAAAATAAAACCTTATCAGTGTGCAAGTTGGTAACACTTCTCAAATTCAGAGCAACTATTAGCTGTTCCATCTGACTCACTCTCACACAATTTGTTTTACATTTATACTTTATATCACAAAACAAATTTGAAATTTATGTCAAAGGGTGTGTCTTATGTATGAAATTTATGTCAAAGGGTGTGTCTTATGTATCTTTTTTTCTTTTTAACTCTCCTGTATGCTATTTACATAGAAAATAGTGCTTGAAATATTTTTATTTTTCATACAATTAATGACTACCTGATACTGAGGCCTAGTTTCCTGTGAAATTCTGATTCCAGTGACGTTTGTCTTTGGTGTTCTTTCATCTTGCAATCAAGTGCCAATCCTTCTTCACAGAATTCTTCCAACACAGTCCTGGTTGCCAAAGTGTTTTGATCAGGTCAGTATTGCATTCTACTGTGAAAGCAATCCTAATCATCATCTTAGCCTCTTTCATATCAAAAGTGACAGTGGCGGACTCATTTATCTATTCATTCATCCATTCATTGTTTCATTCAACAACTAATTATTAAGTACCTCCTATTATATGTAGTTAGTGCTGGCTAGTCTAGCTAAATACTGGGGATTCAATGGTGTATAAGAAACAGAATAATTGCTGCCCTAATAAAGCTTATGTTCCAGTGGCTGAGGCTGATCTGAAACATGCAAAATATCCATAAACAAGACCATTCCTTATGGGCTGAGCACCATGAGTGAAATAGGGAGAAACAGGTAAGAGACTGAGGCAGTCACACATTTCTCTTTAAGGAGATGACACTTAAGCTGACAAAAGGTTTGCCATACAATGATATAAGGAAAAATCACAGCCCAAACCTCAGATTTTGGAGGAAAATGAAAAAGGTGGGTAGAGTCAAAGTGTAATTCATGAAGAAGGTGTTTCATTAGAGATGAATTTGTCTAAACCAGTAGGAATTACAGCATGTAAACCTTGCAAGAGATGGTGAGGGGTTTTTATAATAAGGACCAGCGAAGGTCAATAGAAAGATTTAAGCAAGAGTATGAGAGGATTGGATTTATAGCTTTAAAAGATGTCTCCGGCTGCTGTTCCCATGGGATCATTTTTTTCTAATTTGTGTTATAAGAACTAATGGTAAACAGAAAATTCAGTTTACAGAAATTTTCTTTAAGGCCAGATTTTAGAAACAGTCAGAGAATCTTAGCGGAAATATTTAACAAGCTCACAATAGCCTGCATTCCAGATATATGTATCCTAAAAATATCTGTATTCCATGCATGTCGATGTTTGACTTTGAGCACGCCACAAACTCTGTGGTCCTTAAAAATGAAGAAGTTTGAATGAGATGATGTCTAAGATCTCATTCAGCTCTAGTATTTTATGACCATGAAATTAGTGCATTAGAAACTGATTACAATCTAAGAAACTATGAAATAACCCTTCTCTTCAATCTTGTGAGTGAAATGATCAGAGATATTACTACTATTCATGATGATCAACGTGTGTCCAGCATTTTATAGTCTGCTAAAGATACACACATTGTACCATTTGAAATCACATAACTCTAAGAAACAGGTATTATTATTTCTATTTTACCAATGAGGAAATTGACATTCAGAGGAATTGTTTTCCATAAAGAAGATCAACATCTAGCTAGTGACAGAATCAAGACAAGATTAGAAATGTACTGTATAGGCAAATCGAGAAAATGACACTTTATATTTTTATTGTGGATTTTGATGGCTACATAGGTTTATTTAGAAGTTCACTCTTAATAGTTTTTAGCAATTATACAATGGCCTCTTTCTCTGCTTACTTATTAACATTTATTCAGAAGGTTCTTAGGATTAGAACCTCTGCCCTTTCTTAAAATTCAAAACATAAAAAAACATGAAATTAAGACAGCTTTAATAAACCTACACTGTTGATCAAGGTCTAATATACTCATTCCCTGCTGTTAATATTAAAGTTATTCATGAAATTATTTAGACACTTGCCAAGTATTTATTGCTTACTCTTTAGAGATATAGCCTTGAGTGTAGAAAAGAGGTGCATATGTATCTTTTTTGAAACTTTATTTTGTTTGAGGGGCTCTCCAGGCCCTCTCTGCCTGTATATGTTGGCATGTGCATGCACAGACACACCCTCCTGCCATCCTCCTCCTCACAGACTCTGTAAGCCAAATGATAACAAAGGCCTACCATCATCTTCTCTGTGACAGTGGCATTGCCAGTTGAGGTTGGAGGAATTTTTCTGTATATTTTTCTATTATCCCTTCCCATTTCTTCCTTCTAGTTGTGCTTTTAAAATTTTGACTGTATATCTTAGCTGCTCTTTGGATACTAATGTGTTGTGTTCTAATTACTGCATAAATGCAAAATTGCTTTTATCATGTATATCACATATATCATTATGTATATGATAAATTCAAACTTTCAGAAATCAAGCAAACAAGCAGCTTCATATAAAATCATATAAGGATTGGGTCCAATTATACTAGAATCACTCAGAAGAAATATTTCAAAGACAAACCTGTTGAAATGGCTTACTTTTTGACAGCCCTTTCTGGAACTTCAGCGATTTCTCCCCCACCCCTTTTCCCTTTCCTTCCTTTATGTCAGACTGGGCCATGTTTGAAATTCCTGAACCCACCACGTGCATGCTGTCTTTATATATACACTCATCTCTCCTGAGGAAAGATTTCAACTTCATGGCAAGACTGAAGAAAGCATGTCAGAATGCTGTCGGAGAGAGAACCTTCTTTTCTACAACTGTTTTTGGATGCCGGCCAAAATTTTCCCTTTCTGGCTTTAACTCATGACACTATCTCCCCATGGAGTAGAAGGGATATTTTAGCAACTGGCAGGTTTTAACAGTGCCCCTCAATGCCAGCATGGGCAGTCCAGAATTCAGAGCACTGACTCTGTCTTCATGCCGATATTAGATAAGCATGCCGTTTTAAGACAACGGTGGGCATCTTTTCTTTTGAGACTATCTGGGGAGATTTTTTTTTTATTTTATAAAGGGTTTTATATAAGACATCAAATAGTTATGAGGAACGTGGCTGTGCTTTTTATAACACAAGAAAGGTTAAGAGCAGAAATTTTTATAGACACTGTAAGAACTTTCAAGGGACTAAAAGGCTCAGTGGACTCTGAAGACAGATTTCACCTTCAGGAAGAGAATTCAAGTTCACCTGAGGAATCAACAAGTTACAAGGGTTGGGATGCCCAGCTCCGTCCCTGTTGTTGCTTGGATTCTACCTCTGAAATCTACTTAGCAACTAATTGAAAGAGGATTGTTTCAGGGGAAAAGGTTTTGTAACAGCATAGCATACAGTGTACTCGTGTCTGGGAATGGGCAAACAGTAAGGTTTAGGCTCTGGATTTACTGGAAATAAAAGTGTTATTTTATTTTGGCATTTCTGTGTCCCAAACCAAAGGGAAATGTGCCATGTGTCTGCATAGAGATACTTCCTTGAAGAAGACTTTTTCCCTGGATTATCTATTCTAATGTAGGCTGAAGACTGCTTAGGTTGCATTGTGGGTCACATTTAGGAGATAAATACTAGACAGATACAATTTCCTGAGGCAAGTGAAAGAGCTAGGTACAAAGAGAAAACTAGCTCCAAGAGGAAGAATTGATTGGGAAAGCAAGTGGTATAGAAATGAAAGAGAGGGAATGGACACCTGCCATATGAAAATAAAGATTGAGATAAGTCAAATCAAATTGTGTACAACTGACTGGAATGTCTATTTCAATAAGAACACATTCTTAGAAGTTGAGAAGTAAATATTAATCGTATAATTTGAACTCAGCCTCTGTCCAGGAAGAAGTCAATTAAAGTATAATAATTATTTAGCCTGAGACTTTGGCCAAATAAGTAATCTGTGTGTTTGGCTAAGACTCAAGCAAAGAATGAATTAAATGAACTAAACTGAAATTACTGCTTATTTTATTCTTAGAAGTTTTATTCTAGAGGATGATTCATTTATTGAGAGATACCAGAGTCTCTAAACTACAAGTCTAAGAGTTTGATACGATTTGTCTTCCACTACCCAACCTTAGATACAAAGACATCCAGACTAAAAAAACAAAACAAAACAAACAAGAAAAAACAAACAAAAAAACAATCCTGCATGGCTTGGATTTCTCTTTGGAAGGTGGAGAGCTTGTAGAAAGGATACATTTCCTGCACCTGTATGAAAGAAACTCTCTGCACACAAGCATTGCTTTATGATTTTGACTTTACCAATGATGTTCCACAATCCCAAGTCTTTAACCTTCTTCTCTGTGTGTGTGTGTGTTGTTTTTTCACAAGCTCTTCAAGGACATGGACGACTTTAATTTCCAGCATAAGACAAACCCTAATAATTCCTACTCATATTGATCCCTTCCTACTTTTCAAGGTTCTTTTAGTTAACCAATCTATATGTATTCTGTCCCTGGATGTTGTACTGTAGCAACTCTTTTCATCTGAACCAGAAGTTACTTATTTAGTTTGATATCTCCAGCAATAGAAACCCCACAAACTTTGTTGGTAGACATCTCACTCGCTTGTCCCATATTAAACATATTGCCTACTAATATTTGGAATTTTCAAAATTTTTAATAAGATTACTATATAACTATTTAGAACAATAAAATATAGAAAAATAACAATTTATAACTATTTCCACTTATAACTATTTAAAAATGAATATATGTATTCAAGCTTTTTCCTATATATGTGTTTTCCGAAGGTTTGTCTCAGTTTCTGTATATGTGTGTATACACACATGTAATTAATCTATTTATAGAACCACATATATAAGCATTCTTAATAAAATCTAATCTTTATTTTTTATTACAATATAAACAAATATTTTAACAAAGATAAATTTATATGTGTAGATGAGTTTATACTCCATTTTTAAAATTCAAATTAAATCAAATAAATACTTGTAGACTAAATTTTCTTCTGTCACTACAAATTTAAAGCATATCAGTAAATATTCTAAAAGAATGTATTTTTAATGTAATTTAACTAGTTTTTCTCTTAGCACATAGGATGCTTCCATTTTTTTGTGTTTTGCTACTGTGTATAATGCTATGATAACCACCTTTTAGATGGATTTGACATGTAAAGTGCCTTTTGCATTAGGTTTCATTTTATTATGGCTGAGACTGAATATTGTAATTCAGTTTTCAGTTTATTTGAATTCTTTTAGGCTATTGTCTGTTTATGTCCTTCATTTCCTTCATCTACTTTTCTATTCTTTTCTTTTGTGAAATGTCTGTAAATGTCTTTTACTCATTTTAAAAAATTACAATTGGTTTGTAAAACCACAATTTATATTAAATATTTTCTTATTTATTTATTTATTTATTTATTTATTTATTTATTTATTTTAGACAGAGTCTTGGTCTGCCCCCAGGCTGGAGCATGCAGTGGCACAATCTTGGCTTACTGCAACCTCTGCCTCCTGGGTTCAAGCCATTCCCTTGCCTCAGCCTCCTGCGTAGCTGGGACTACAGGCGCATGACACCACACCTGGCTAATTTTTTGTATTTTTTAGTAGATGTGGGATTTCACCATGTTGATCAGGATGGTTTCGATCTCCTGACCTCATGATCCACCTGCTTCGGCTTCCCAAAGTGCTGGGATTACAGGTGTGAGCCACCGTGCCCGGCCTATCATTTGTTTTTAATTTGGTTTAGGATGTTTGTTGAGTTTCAGAGCTGTTCTATTTTTGATACAAACATATTGATTATTTCTCACACCCCCAAATGGATTTCTTTCATAAATTTGATGTTTAGAAACATTTTTCCTATCATGGGAAAATATTGATATTTTGTTCTGGCTTGTTGTTTTATTAAAAAGAAAAGTTTAACACTTTGATATACATAGAGTTTTTCTAATTCACATTCTTAATGCCATTTTTTAAAAAAATATTTTATTTTGCTACTGATTTATAGTGTTCTTTTTATTCTAAAATTATTGCTATTACTGTTTATGTGCAAATTATTGCTATTATTGTTTCTGTGCAGTTTTTTTGTTTTGTTGTTTTGCTTTCTGGAAAGAAATCTTTGCCACCCAAAATACTTGTCAACCAAAGGTATGGCTTTATCAACTTGAGCAGGGGGCAAATCTTTTGGGATCTACACTTCAGCCTCAAGTGCATGTGCCTAGCTCCTGCTCTGTTATTCTTGGAGACAGGTTGTCATTCAAGGCTCTTTGACTTTCTCCGCTGCTAGTTCACTGATACTCTTAGGTATATGAAAATCTGCACATTATAAGAAGCCTTGGTTCCAAGATTTCTCATTTTCTCTCCCCCACTCACCCATCCATGTCAACATTTTACTTGTAAATGGACTATTTCTGTCCATTAAGTTGCCAATTGCCATTGCCTGTAGTTATTCTTGAAACTTCTCCCCAGCCCCTTCTACTTCTCTTCCACTCCCCAGTTTTCTAATTAGTCTGGATCTTTTACTCATAAGCCAAGGACCAATTAGGAAAAAAATAAATAGCATTCTGACCCATCTATCTCTTTTTCATGGCACATAGTGAAGAGCTGTGCTTTTCAATGGTAGCCAGTAGCTCAATGTGGCTACTGAGAACTTGAAATGTGCCTAGTCTGAATTGAGATGTCTTTAAAGTATAAAATACCAACTAGATTTATTTTTAAATGTAAAATATTTTATTCAACTTATATATTGATTATGTCTTGAGGTTTATAGTATTTTAGACATATTAAACTAATAAAAGCATATTCTTAAAATTAATTTTACTTGTTTCTTTTTAATTTTTTAATGTGACTACTACAAAATCTAAAATTTTATTTGTGACTTGCATTTGTGGATTATATTGGATAGCAGTGAATAGAAGTTGTACTGTTTTCAGTTTTATTACCATGGCTGTGCCCTTGCAATTAAGAAAATGTCTTTCCATGTTCTGAAAATAGATTGGCTGTCAGGTTTTTGTTAGTATGTGTCCTGATTTTTTATAAATTGATGCTTACAGAAAACTTTTTCTTCAATTATACTCTCTTTAATGCTAATTTCTGTTGCATTAGTTATACAGTGTGGCTATGCGATGCTGCTTCTCTCTGTTACTAACCTGGTAGTTAGTATATTTGTTGTGGTGTGTGTGTGTGTGTGAATGCATTCTTTCAGCATACATTGGCAGTGAAGAGGAGGGTGTCTTTAAATCTTTTTCAACTGGATGTCAAGCAATTGTGTAAAAATGTAGATTTCTTGACATGACATTTACTCTGAACAATGTATATATTCTCTTCCTACACATCACTAGGTGGACATAAGATAGTCTTTGAAGCCAGAGAGTCCTGATATGAAACATGACACTTTCGAGTTTTGTGGTCATTAAGTAAATTATTTACTTTTTCTTAGCCTCAGTTAACCCATCTCTAATATGGGTTAATCTTAATTTTATTGGAGGGTCCCATAACTCTCATGATGCCTAGCCTAGACCTCTCTCCTTTCTTGCTTTTCTTCTCTGTATTCATGCATTTAGACATGCTTAGTACAAGACGAGTTGACAGCAATGATGTATTAGATGGTGGGGGTGGAAGTTGAGTGACTTACTTAGGAGTGCTCTAGTGCCTGTTAGACTACGACCCAATTCCAAATGCAACTGTCAGAATTTTACATATTTTAATGCAATAGATTACAGAAAATAACGATTCAGCATGCCAACCTTGGCATCAGAAATCCCTACAGCCCTGAGGGTGATGCCAATCCCTTCAGAAGATATGAGGAATGGATTTGCCTTAAGCTTCCTTCTCGAAAGAGGCCAAATTTCAAAGCTTTTAATTTTCGCCAAATAGAGAAAAGATGCTATGAGTCTTTTATATACCCTCATAGAAAATAGAATTTCAGCAAGACATTTGATAAATTGTCGCAAATGTGAGACCAATAAGTGCCTTAAACAAAAATGGCAGTCTCCCTGCCAAAGGTGCAATGTGTATGGAAACGATTGTCAGGCTGCTCATGGCAGGCTGTCATGGCAAGTGGCCATGTTGGAATGAGGAAATAAGTAATGACGGATGAACGGTAAAATGTTCTGACTGGGTGGATAACACCCCAGAAGGTCTAATATTCTTCTTGCCCATCCAAAACCCAGTACTTTAAGTCCTGCCAAGTTTTCTGGAAATCTCTGAGTTAATAATTTTGGGCTATTTATTAATGTCTATCAAGTTACAGAATGTCAGCAAAATGAACATAGGGGTGGGGAGACTGTTCTTTATGTCAGGTTGAAAAAAAAACTTATTAATTTTGAGTTCTAAAAATCTCCTTGCTGATTAATACTTTAAAGGAGAGTAATGCTTCCAATATCGGATGGTGTTAATGCAGAAGCAGAAATTGCTGCTTTCTTGTATTGAAATATTTTTGTTCTTTCTTTATTTACTATTGTTTATTATCTCTTTCTCACTATTTTAGCTCTAGGCTCTCAGGATTAAATCCCACACCAAGTCCAAAGTCTAAGGGATTTACACAGGAAGATAACTAATCTAGGTAGCTCAACGGTCTGCACACGCTGCATTCAGTGTGAAAGCAATAAAAAGTTAGGAAAAAGTGAAGGAAATTTTGGGGTTGGGGTTTAAATATGCTACAAAACAGCCCCAAATTATTATCTATTAAGTGAATAATAAAGTTTAATATATGCAATGCACTCATGGATTTGCAGTATTTACATGCATACACACCTACATATGGGTACACACCCTCTTCTCCAGGGCTAGTCTTACACATAAGGCAGTTTATACAATTGTCACTTTGGTCTGATTTGAGGGCCACTTTTTCCAAATGATGTTCTCCACTAGTCTGTTACTGAGGTTAGAAATTGTGCTTTATTGTGAGAAGCAACCAGCATAGTAGACGCAGCATGAGCTTTTGAGCTGAGCAGAACTGGCTGTGAATCCTATCTGTGGATTATTAGCTGGGTGATCCTGTGACTCAGTTACCTCTCTTGTAAAATGGGGGAAATAACTGACCTGGCAAGGTTTGAGTTTAAACAATTCATTAAAAGGACTATTCCTACTGTATGGTAGTAGCTCAAAAAATTATAGTTTATAGTTCTGTTTTCACTGATAGATTGTAAACAGCTATGCAAAGGGTCCATTGAGCCCCGCCAGTCATTCACCATATGTGAATAGATGTATTTGATTCCTTTAGCCTTCTGTGTTGCTGAGCCTGAGTTTGGCCATGTGCAAAGGAGGATAAAGAAAGGGCATCAGCACAGATGTCCTTGTGAGACCAGACCCAAGATAGTCACTATAGGATTGGACACACGACACTGGTCTCTGTATATCAGCATGACAGATGTGAGATTAGTAACTTACTTTCTGCATGTGTTCCCACCCATGTCAGAAATCAGATTTCTTATACTGTGGCTGACATAGGTGAAGACTGGGATGCAAATTAATGGTCAACATCCTCAAACTTCTGAAGTCCTATCCCTTTGGTAATACTTGCCCCTGCCTAGTTACCTGGGATAGTTATATTTATTTTTCCTTCCACCATTCAAATTTGTTTATAGATAAAAGTCTGAGAGTTTTATATTTACCCTTAGCATGCATAAAAATTGCATGTTATAAAAGATGCTCTTCTTTAATTCCAAAACAGAATAATCTTTCTGAGAAAATTCAGACACATACAACATGTAGACTTTGTTGGATTGCAGGAGACTTCACAATATCTCCTAGCATGCTGCTGAAATCCTCCACCCAATGTAGTTTATGTGTGACACTGCCTTTGTCACTGATAAATTCTCAACAGGTAATAATTTTTATTCCGATTTTTCATAGAAATTTTGAAGGATAGTTCTTAGTAGACAAGAAGGATGTGGATAAATGCAGAAATGGGCCCCACTTTACAAGAAGACCAAAAGATTTTAAATATGACAGCTAAGTGGAGAAAGAGTACTTATCAAGGGAGTATTTTATTGTATTAAAACACAGGAAACATGAATATCAATAACATATATATATAAAAGAAAGGTACATTTTGAGGGTTGCTATGTATGCTCATGAATATTTGGAGATAATTTTTATCTAGTGTTTTTGCAGGCAAAAAAAGAATACATTAAATATATAGAATTAGAGGAACATCTTAGGTAACAAGTTTTTTGAATATGCATAAATGGTGTAATAAGGATAAAGGGAAAGAGATTTTATAACATTACATTCTTGTTACCATAGGAGAGTTATGAGGATGCGTGATAGAGTTTGGGAGGAAGCTGAGGTAATAACTAAAGATATAAGGGGAAGAGTTTACCTTTTGGATGATAGGAAGGGTTTTGTATTTATGTTTTAATCTGGGTCATGGGCCTGGCACTTGCCTATCACTTCTTGCACTGGCCTGGTCTCAATCAGTGTCACTATACCCAGTGTTCACGATTGTACAGTGCTTTTCTCTCCAGATTGACAATGTCCCAGAAGTTTCAGTCATTTTCTGGGGGCATCTAAACCTGTAAGGAACTTCTCCTGACTGGTAAGTTAGTCTTTGGGAAAATCAAGAGAGACCCGGGGATAAGCCAACAAAACTTTCAGTTTCTGTGTTTGAAACTGCCCACATCAGTTCAGGTGTGAAAACCTTTGGTTGCACATGTCCCACATAGTTCAAGCTATCACTGTCCTGCTCCTGTACTACAGGACATGTGTTTACCTTATGTAAATCTTTAATAAGCAGATTAATTCATTTCCTTAATGTACCCTTTAGACATCTTTTCACTTTCTAAAACACATTTAAAAAATCATTTTCACTAAAGATATATATTTACCTAGTTTAAAAAGCCAAGGAGCCAGGTGTGATGGCTGGCACCTACAGATTGAGGCAGGAGGATCAATGCACTCTAGAGACTGAGGCAGGAGGATGGCTTGAGGCCTGGAGTTTGAAACCAGCCTGGGCAACATAGCAAGACCTCATCTGTAAAATAATTTTTGTTTTAAATTAGCTGGGCATGGTGGCACATGCTTGTAGTACCAGCTACTCAGGTGGCTGAGGCAGGAGGTTGGCTTTGGCCCAGGAGTTAGAGGCTGCAGTGAGCTATGATTGCACTGTTGCACTCCAGCCTGAGCAGCAGAGTGAGGCCTTGTTTCTTAACACATGAATAAATAAATAAACTTTAAAAAAGTCAAATAGGTTTTTTTCTTACTTAATAAAGTATCTCCTCATCTCCAATTTCTGCTTCCCCAAAGTAATATTTTTAACAGTTTTAACTGTATCTTTTAATGTTCATTTTAACTTTTAGAGATGTCATTTTTATTCTGTTATTTCTAAAATCTCCAGCTAAATATATTATTTTCTGATGTCTCCTTTGGAAAATGAACTTTTTTTATGTACTTCTCTTTGTATACACACATCAGCCCAGACTATTCTCTTTTCCAATTCTCCCAGTATAAGTAAGCCATATTTTTGAAATCATTATGTAATAGTTACTTCGTTATGACTTTGTAAACATTACTCATTGCTGAGCCATGTGGTATACTAGTTTTGTTTCCTTTCTTCGACATCTTCTTTCAATTTTTGTTTGTTTCTACTTAATAATTTTTTATTGGCTTCATTTTTATGTATCAATGAATCATTGCCAAATTATCTGAAAGTTGTGGAAATCTTTCAGTCAATTCAACTGAGTCAGGTAGTCCTTTTTCTGTTTGGTAGTTTTTTGTCTGTTTGTTTTTAAATATTTGTGCTTCTGGATTGATACTGAAATTTTCATTTTGTTATGATATTTAAAATGTTTAAGATCTCTTTTCCTCTTTTTTCTCCCTCCTTTCCCCCTCTGTTCTTCATTGCTAGGAGATATTCCATGTGGGCCTTCATCCTACTCTACTATTCAGGCTCCTAGTTTTCTATGCTTGCTATCATTCTGAAATCTGTCTTCATGAGAACTTGTGTTTGAATATTTCCTTATTCTCCTCCTTACACTTGATCAATAATATATTCTAGATTGACAATCATTCTCCTCAAGATTTAGCAAAGGTGTGTTACTGTAGAGAAGTTGAATGTCATTGTAACTCCTGAACTTATGTATTAATTAGCACATTTGCCTCTGCATAAGCACTTGTAGGGTCATCACTTTGTCCATGGTGTTGTGAAATTTTGTTATAATATGCTTCGATGGGAGTCTTTTATTTTTAGTCCATTGTACTGGCATGCAATGGTTCCTATGGTTCCTTTTAATTGCTTTTTAGAAACTAGTATTCTTTGTCTAAGACATTCTAAAACCCTTTTGTATAATTCTGTATTATCAGATTTTTTGTTTGTTTCATTGTGTTTAGATATCTGTGCTTCCAGATTTATATCTAAATGTTTCATTTTGTTATGATACCTAAATTTTTTGAGATCTCTTTTTCTGACCTTTCTGTGTTCCCTTTTAATAAGCTTCCCATGTGTTTTATTTAGGCACTATTTATTCATTTATTCAACACTCACTTCTTTGCACTCTGTACAATCAGGGAACTATTCATTGAGAAGCTCAATTTTAAGCAAAGCCTTTACAGAATTAGGAAAATAAGCCATGCAAATAACCAGAGGAAACACTTGCCAATGAATGGATTTAGCAAAGGTCCCAGTATGAGTTGGTATGAATAGTGGGCTAGGTTATTTGGGCCAATCCTCTCTCTCAAATAACCAAACATTCTGGATAAACACATTTTTAAATATCCTTGAGAAGCAAAAAAAGAGCTGACATGAGGAAAAAGAATTACGGTTTTGAAATACCACTTTCCAGTAAAAAGAACCAGATGGCTTTGGAGAGTGAAAAGAATATAGGTCTAAGGCTGGGAATGTGTAAGATGAGCCTGGAACACCTTACCAAATCAAAAAGCAGAGACTTCCACCTTATGTCAGATAAAGTCAAAGGCCAACTGGAAGAGGTTTTGAGCACTGATAACAATAGCAATTGTGACTGAGGGTAACAAATTAATGACATATAATTCTATGTGTTTATAATGATATTTGAAAAAAAAAAACCTCATGGATTATTTTGGAGAATGCTAGAGAACCAACTTATTATTGTAAAAATTGCTTGGTAGAGGTAAAAGTGAAATACTTATTATGCCTTTCTTCTACAAAGGTATCTCAGGGAATGAATATTTGATAAAAAGAAGTTTCTCTTCATAGAAGTATTCCAGTTAATAAAATGATGAAGAAATTGCAGAATTAGAATATTCTGTAACCCTAAATGAAATATACACTTAGTTCTAGTGATTAAGCAGTGATTTTCAAGGCTTAAAATGTCACGAAAAGATAGACAACCAGACAATATGTCCCTGCTGATGGAAGTACTTGTAACCCACTACAGAAAATTCTTGCCTAAATATTGAGCCTAAGTTTTAGTAACTCTCTAAATACAATTAGCAATTAATAAGAATTATCAGGAATAAATAAATATGTTTAATGATACCACAGAGGTACAAAATCCAGACTGTGAAATACTCTATAGGAAAATAAACCAATAGCTGCCAAAATACATTGCAAGGGAGGTAAAAAGGGAGAGAAAGAGAGAAAGGAAAGGAACCCTATAGATGAAGGGTTTAGTCAATATGATGAAAATAATAATATCACAATTTGAATCCTTACTTGAGCAACCCATAAATAAACTGAAATGAAATAAATGATACAATTAGGAAAATTCAAAATCTGACTGAATTTTGATGATATAAATGATAATAATTTTTTGGTGTGATAGTTATACAGTAGTTATGTACTTTTTAAAGTAGTAAGTTTTTAGAGACTTGTCGTAAAATATTTACAGATGACATGCTATTAATCTAGGAATTATTTCAAATAATCTGGAATAGAGAGTAGGTGATGTTTTAGAGGTAAAAAAATGGCAATATATTGATAATTTTTAAAGCTAGCTGGTAAGTACACAAGGTTCACTATATTACTGTCTTTACTTTGATATGTGTCTCTGTTTTGTTTTTGTTTTTTGTTTTTGTTTTTTTTGAGACAAGCTTTTGTTCTGTCACCCAGGCTGAAGTGCAGTGGAGTGATCATAGTTCACTGCAGCCATGGCCTCTCAGGGTCAAGTGACCTGCCTGCCTCAGCCTTCCATGTAGTTGGGCTTACAGGCAAGTATCACCATGCCTGGCTACTTTTTTTACTTTGTAGAGATGAGGGTCTTTCTATGTTGCCCAGGCTGGTCTTGAACTCCTGAGCTCAAGGAATTCTCTCTCCTCAGCCTCCCAAAGTGCTGAGATTACAGGCTTGAGCTACCATGCCTGGACAATGTCTCTAATTTTTCATAATCATTGTTTTTCTTTCAAAGGGTGTTCAACTTTATTTTTTTTAACCTCTGAGAATGTTAATTATAATGATTTTTAAAGAAAGTTTTATTCTCCCAGAAGTTTTCTGCTATCTTCTATTTCCTTTAATTATTTCTGTTTGAGTGTTGGTTTTGGCCTTTACCTTTTCCGGTGAAGGCTGTGCTCTGCTTGCTGGTAACTCCAGGCTATCTGCTCATATCTAGAGCTGTCAAGACTGTGTGTAGATGGAGCTTACTAGTAGTGAACTCTACTGTAAGTTCCAAAGCAGGTCTTGAGCCCTATCTGCCAAAATCTATATATATGCATATATATTTCCTCTGGGATTTGTGAATTTCCTCCAAAAGTATCTTCCAATCTCTTTTTCTGAAGGTAGTAAAAGAGATGAGTTTGAGGGGATATAACCCTGATTGCCAGTGTTCTGGAAGCTAGGATAGGGACCTCAGTTTTCAGTATATAGACTTTCACTTACTCTGTCTTTGTTTTCAACATGAACCCTCACTCTTAGCTGGGACTGGTATTCCTGAATACAAAGCACACAGCTTCCACCGCTTTAGAGTTAGTTTTTAGTCTTTTTTTCTAAGAGCCAGGAGGCAGAAGTCTCTGAATGTTATTTCTAGCAAAGAAAATGCTCTTAGAATTTTAGAATCTTAGGACTAGAAATGTTTTTATATCTAGTCGAGCAAACCCTCTCATTATATTTCTTTTCTAACCAACTAGAATGTTCATAGCCCGTGTTTAGCAATTAAGCCTCACTTCACTGTTTTTTATATTCTCATCCTTTCTTTCTGGCATCCACAAGGGCAGAATTTCCCAGATTTTCCTTCTCTTGTCTCCCCCAAACCTAATGCATAAGTCATTTATTAAATGATTAGTTTTGCTTGGACCTGAGGGTAGTTATCTTCTGAAATTATTGCTCAGGCGTTGGAAGGATGGACCTCCTAAAGGCCTGGTTTTTCACAACCTGTTGTTCTATTGCTCCCCTTCTTTGGGCAGGAAGGAGTACTTCTTAGTAATTGTCCTTTTAAGCTCAACTTGTAGCTTTGAATTTACCCTAAACCTCTATCTTTTCTTCTTTGTAATGTTAAGTCTTTTGTATGCTTATTAATTTTTGATACTCATTATGTAAGTCACCAATTTTATTTTGTCAGTACGTTTCTGCAATTTACCTTGGCACACAGTTCATCCCCTGCACACTGTCATCTATTTCTCTCTCATCTCAGATCTGTGTTTTTATGTGAGGATTGGCTGGTGTCTAGAAGATCGAATGCCAGCTTCTGCAATATCTCTTGAAAGCAGCCCTCCCAATATGTCTCTTATCTTTTCAAATATGTAATTTAATAATATGTTCCTTCTTTTTTATCTCTCTCACTGAAATGATACCTTTAGAACATAATTAATACTTTACATTTGCACGGTGCTTTTGAGCTCTTCAAAGCATAGTTCATCTATTATCACATTGTGTTTTATTTTTTATAACATCCCAGAGAGTAGTGGAACATGCTCTTGTTATTCTCATTCAGAGATGCAAAAGTACAGGCAGAGAAAGGTAAGGTGATTTCCCTCAAGGTCATGCAAGAAATTAGTAGGAGACTTGGAACAAAAATTCTACCTTTCTGATTCCTAGTGTCATCCTCTTTTCTTTATCTGCCTCTTCTACCTCACAACATAGTTGCTCACCTTCAGCATTCAGATTCCACTCAGAGACTGAGTGGTACAGCCGTCACTACCCCAGAGTCCACTGCCTTGTTGCTTTCCTGTTGAGTTATTTCTTCATTTATCATCCTATTGTGGCACCTACTGTGGCTCTAGACTCACATGTGGGAAGAAGACCTTTTAAACCTGCCATAAATCAGACACATTTTACCTTGCTGTTGTCTGTGGTCTTTGAAAAATCTATGTTTTAGTTAAGACATTTTTCTTAGGCAAGTAAAGGTCTCTTCTCACTTTAATGAAAACATTAGGCTCTATTCTGTGTCATCTGATTTTTCCTGTGTGACGAGGTCCATTTGCAGAGTTAAGTGGGTCTGCCCAACTACTGATAAGATGCATCAACTTCTATTACATCACCCCTCACTCAATTAGGACCCCACCCTCTCTTCTTCTAAAGTGTTACATTTCCAGAAATGTATGGAATCAGCCTGCATCAGCAATAAAACACTGCATAGATTCATCGAAGCTCCCTCTATGTTTTTCTTCATCTGTCTCTGTCCCATTTACCTGGAAGAAAAGCAAGAGTCAACACACCGATTCTGTTACCTCAATGAGAGAAAAATAACTGTATTTCTCAAGAGAAGGTCAGTCTGGCAGTAAGACAAATACCCAGGATTTTGAGAGGGTGTAGTGCCATCAGATACTCATGTCTATCCTTAGGCAGTTCACTCCTCGTTCCCTAATGGTACTCAGTCTGGGCACTGGTGATATTTAAGTTTCCCAGTGAGCTGTGGTAGCTATATCTAGGTTGTCAAGGGCAGCTCAGGTTTGAGAAAATGCTTTTAGGGAGTGTGAGTTTAATTAGGTGGGGGGTAATTTAGGCCCAAATGTTGCTTTGTGCTGAAATGCTCATATAAGTTCTGCTCTTGATTATTTGATTACTTGCCTTCATTCCCTGCCTCTGTAACCCATCAACTTAGAAAAAAATAACAGCTGTGTAAGTTTATCCTTAAAGGCAACGAGCCCATGGAAATTTCTGTACTTTTTGAGGACAACAGGAGATGAAATAGAAGTAGTATTGTATGTTGGAACATCTCTTGTATGAACAGCTTTGTGGTAAACAATACGAATGGTAGAATAAAATTGGGTTTTTACTTAAAGAGTTTACAAACAAGTAGTAAGACAAGAGAAATGGGTACAGTGTAGTATATGCAAACATTTTGTAGACCAGTGCTAGTCTAAACCAGGACCAACTGGTGCAGGGTTCAAATGCAGGTGGTCAGGTTGCAGAGTGGAAAGATTGTGTATGGCAGAAGAAGTCAAGACTGCTTTGTGGAGGAAGTACCTTAGTGTTGTCTTTGAGAAATTGTCACATTTGGATAGACAGAGAGCAAAGAGAGAGCATTCATGGGCGGGGTAGTGACAAAATCAACGGCATGGAGGCAGGGAGAACTGCGACATTGCAGACTATGGGGAAATGACTTATATGAGGAAGCAGTCAGCTCATGTGGGACCTTAAAAACCTCTGGAAATGAAGCCTCCCAGGACCTTTTCAAAGATCTTTCCTTTAAGTCTCAGCGGATGACAGCCAATTTTCAGAGAGCCCTATTTGAGTGCCAAACTTGGAAAATGACATTCAGCTGACATTTAACAATTTGCACACATTTTGCAAGGGCTTTCTTTTTCATGTGTGAAACCAAACTGAGAGAAGACAAAATAAGATTGTATGGCAACCCCTGATATGAGATTAAATCAGAGCATTGTTTCAGTTAAAACATCCTTCCTTCTAATGTTATGGCTGAGAGCAATTGACTCTGATTAATTTTAGGGCCAGAGATAGCATCCTCTGAATTCTGATCTAGATTAGACATCAGACTTCCTGTGTGGTTATGGAGTGGACATTCCTCCTGCTGTTTTTACAGTCTCATGGGTAAGGGCCATCCATGGGACCTAAGGGTTCTACCAGAGAGTTTACTAGGTATACTTTTTAAAAAATGTTTACGTGTTCGACATTAGGCAGTTGTTTAAATGGTGTGCATTTGCATATAACTCACAGATCTAAAACCAGAAAATAATGTAGACATCATCTTTTTCAGTGTCCCAGTTACAACGATAAGGAGACACCCATTCATGAAGGCAAGGTGCTTCACCAATGAGTCAGGTTGAGATGTGGAGCCAGTGTTGGCTTCTGACTGAATGTTCCCTGCTCTTTCCAGAGTATGTGTGCATGTGTGTGTGTATGCATGTGTCTGTGTGTTCATGCATGCAGGCTTACACATACATACAAAATAACCAAAAGTATTTAAAATTACTCAAAATAGCAGAAATTTCAAACCTCACATTTGTTATGTATCTGTAAAGGCCCACAGGGAATAGCTGCTGTGGAAGTTTGATGCAATGTTTCAAACCAGTAAAGAGATAAGGAACTTAAGTACATTCAGAAAGAAAAGATTTCTTCTTGACTTTTAATTACATTATATGGATGTTACTTTGGAGACATTATTTGTTGACCATGATTACTTCTCCTCTACTCTGTTTCATTTTCTTCTTCCTTTATTTAACCTGAAAAAAATCATTACGTGCATCCAAATCCATAATAAATTGTGATTTGACCATGCTAAGGTAGCAGATGGTAACTTCTAGGCAGTCCTGATCTAGTTTACTGGTAATTGTTAAATAGTGGTTCTCAAATATTGGCAACTGGCTTGGAGACAACCTGGAGACTACATTTTTTTCCCCATGTACAAATTAATTTCACCTTAATGACATTAATTTCATTTAACAAAATGACTCTTGCCATTCACTTAGGAGATTACAGAATGTAAGTTGGGTAAGATAAGGCCAGGTCATTCGAGGGAATAAACTTTGTTTAGGTTCATACTTGTTTCAAGGGGCCCTTAATGGATTTTACAGAGGCTTTAGATAAATAAAGCTGCATCCGTTTTCATGAGGAATTCAGAAGCTGGTGGGGAAAGACAGGCATTTCACAAATAGCGCTACTAAGTGCCACAAGTCTCTTTTGAATGAGATGAAGAATACATAAGCCTGTAATGGAGGGGCACAGTGTGGATAGCCACACAAGAGAGAGAATTTGATTTGACTGGGGCACTAGATGCAGCTTCAAAAAAGGCATGGTATTTAAGGCAAACTATTAAGAACTGGAAAATGGCAGAAGGGTATTCCAAGGGAATATTTTGGGGCAATGATGTGGGAGTGTGCAGGTCAAGTTCTGAGAATAGCAAGAATTTCAGAGAGCTGCAAGAACGAAGTTTATATTGCATGGTTAGGCTGACAGGTTGGTGAATTGGAGTGATGGATGATCTTTGATGAAAGTAGGTTGCTTTTGGATTTACATTGCAGAGATTGGGAAGCACTGAGGCACGAGGGGCAGAGTCAGTGGCTTAGAATCATAGAACACTGGGGCTGGGGGGTGTCAGACAAGCTTGGACACTCTGAGCGGCATGTGGTAATTCCCTTCTCTTTTTGTTCCTTGTGCCTCTACCATAGCCCAAGAGTTGATGGAGAGAGAAAGATTTAAACGTTTCATTCCTTATTATGAGTATTTTTTCCCTTTAATACTTTCATGAGGGAATATAATAAAGATTAAATTGTTTTCTTAAGTTATTTTGCTTGCCAGATGCTATTGTGTGTGTGTTTTTTTTTGTGTGTGTGTTTGTCTTTGTTTTTGTTTTCTTTTTGCACAGTACCACATCAGAATTGAGCCATCAATTGGCTGGGCACTATATAGGCATCACATATAATTATGTTTGGTTTCCTACTGCTTTTTCTATTTTCCTCATTAAAAATATCTCCCATGCACAAGTATGTTTATTGCAGCACTGTTCACAATAGCAAAGACTTGGAACCAACCCAAATGCCCATTGATGATAGACTGGATAAAGAAAATGTGGCACATATACACCATGGAATACTATGCAGCCATAAAAAGGATGAGTTCATGCCTTTTGCAGGGACATGGATGAAGCTGGAAACCATCATTCTCAGCAAACTTACACAAGAACAGAAAACCAAACACCACATGTTCTCTCACTCACAAGTGGGAGTTGGACAATGAGAACACTTGGACACAGGGAGGGGAACGTCATACACAGGGGCCTGTCAGGGGTTGCGGGGCTAGGGGAGGGATAGCATTAGGAGAAATACCTAATGTAGATGAAGGGTTGATGGGTGCAGCAAACCACCATGGCACATGTATACCTATGTAACAAACCTACATGTTCTACATATGTACCCCAGAACATAAAGTATAGCAATAAAAAAAGTAGCAAAAAGAAAAATGTCTGCAGGCTTTCAAGATGCTATCCTGTGTAAGAATTCTTACTTTCATCTTCACTTATAAGTAACTTTAGGAACTTGATATTCTACAATTTCATCTTACATTTTTGAAATACTGTAGGCAACACAGCACACCATAATACTTTTTTTATATTTCCCATAATTTGATTCATATTTTTGTTAAACTTCCACTTACTTTTCTGAAGTTGTCCAGAAAATGAAGTGATTAGTAACTTTTCAAATGATGGGGAGCAAGATCTGGCTTGTTACAATTGGCCACAAGTGCACAAAGCCACACTAGACAGAATTGGTCACTTTGCTATAGCAACTGTGGGTATATTTTTGTTCTCTGTTTATGTACCTGTTTTCTTTGGGTCCTAATTCGTGGCCTTCATTCTCAGTCATAATTGGGAACATCCCCACTTTGTTTGATGATATCTTCTCTAGTGCTTCCAGGTGTGTTGCTCTTGGATCTTTTCATTTGGAGAATGAATCTTGGTATGTATTTCTTGTTTCACTGTTTGACTCTGCTCCACTTCCTGCTATGCCAGGAAACACTACATTATCTAAATACTTCTTCTTTGCTTCAAGAATGCAGAATACATTATCTTCCTTCTTTACTTCCTCCCTCAATCTCTGCTTTCCTGGTTTACTACCTTCAATATATATAGAGTCCCTTTAATGCACAAAATAGTACAAAGATCCCTGGAGAACTGGGGAAGAAAAGCACTCTGGTCTTTAATTTAGGACACTTTAGGTTTAATTTCAGTTTTGTCACTAATTCACTATATAAACTTCACTAATTCTCTTGACTTTAGGGGCTAAATATCAATACCTATAAAATAAAACATTTGGACCAGATTAAATTAGGGCCCTTCTAAGGGTAACTATCTTTGGAGATATATATATATATATGTAGTCTTTATACTTGTCTACCCTGAAGTCACTTACTGCCAGTGTTGCCACTTAATTGCTTGAGAGGTCTCTTTAATCCTATTGACTTATCTCTTTTCTATCATTTCATATAGCTTCTTTCTCTTTTCGTCCGGCAGAATGTCTCCATGGTAGGTGACAGGAAAATCCTTTTTGGGATACTAATAGACAAGCCAATCACATAGGTGATTGTGAATTTAGGGGATAGTTTCTCAGACCTAGAAGTAGGAAGAGTCAAAGGATGAATATGGTATTCACAGAGCTCTTAGGGCCAGTAAAATTACCTGCCAGATAACGTTGGTAGAGGGAATAAAGACAGGGCTGTAAGCAGTAGGAACTAGGTAAGTGTGAACAACTGAACAAAGAAGGTACAAGGTGAGAGAGCTTGATATAATTGCTGCACATTTGTCGGTGAGCTGGACACACCTTTTATTGTTGCTGATTTATTAGGTAGTTATGATAATGGATGTTTCTTAGACAGAATTTGTTTGTTTAGGCTGTAGCCAGACTGATAGGACTCTGAAATAAAAGCAAAGCATGGTAGTAGATTTTTTTTCTTTTGATCATATTGTAGGCTATACCTTAAATCTATCTGATTTCCCTTCATCCTCCTACACGCTGTGAAAGCAGAAAGTTAAATTGAAATATCACAAGTTTCCTTTGATTTTCTCTTCCAATTGGCTTGGCTGGAAAGCTTTAGGTTATAATCCGTAACACTTAGCTCTTATTTTGTATGCATGTTTGTGACACAATTTGAAAAAATAAAATGCCACTTAAGACTGGGATGGGCGACTGTGTTTTTCCAGTCGACCTTCATGGGTTCTGAGTTTAGAGCTAAACTCGAGCCTGTCTGTGTTCCAGTCCAATTATGCCAGTGAAACGTGATTTCATTGTTCAAAAGGAAATGGCTTCTTTTTTTTAAAGGCCCTTAGACATCAAATAATTTCCTCAAAAAATAAATTGCAAATAAGTCACACCAATACAGAATTAACTCTCCCTGAAATAAATTTGAGTTCCACAATTAAAGAAGAAAGAATTCGTCAACAAATTTAGCAAAGAATTTAAGAAGTCAATCAATAGCATGTATTGACTTCTTATTGTATGCCCCATCCTGTCATAACATCATGTGAGAGGCAAGAGGGCTAGAAGCCTGCAGTCTTTCTCTAAACCATCTTATGACCATTATGTTTATACATAAAACCCTTCAAGGTATCATCCCGCCTACTCCAAAATTCTGTATCTTGAGGATTCTCCGAGCACAACTCTCAACAGTAAAAATAAAAATTCTGACACAGATAGCCCAGTTCCAAATGTAAGGCATTATTCTCAAATCAGAATACTTTGTTTCATATTTGGGAAAATAATTAATAGGATGGGAAAACAAGAAAACTGGCTTTCAAGAGGGAGAGAGGCAGGTAGTTAAATATCAGTTAGGAAATTGGCCAATGCATGTGAAGATAAGGACTAAATTTATTCTTCAGTCCAATGGAACAGGTGTGGAAACAATACAAAATGCCAACAGGGCCTCTAAGGAGATGGCAGAGCAGTTGGTTCTACACATTCTAGCCTGACATGTTTATGTCTATGGAAGGGTAAGGAGACGAGTAGGGAAGTAAAAAATCCAATAAAGGCAGTCTTTCTCTTGCCTTTCATCTTCCAGGCACACCTAGGCGAAGACTCATGGATAATGCCAGAGTAGCAGTTCTCCATGTAAGCTACGCTTAAAATAACAAAGAGGCAGAATGAAGGAGAAGTGAAGTGGGTGGGATCTGGAGCCAGGCTGTCTAAATTTAAACCCTAGATTTGCATCATACTAATCACACAACCTTGGGACATTTACTTAACCAATTTGTAACAAGGACCAAATATTGCAATGTATTCCATCGAATAGTTTGCAGAATTGAATACATTATTTCACTGGACATACCCTGAAGAGTGCCCAGCACATAGTCAGTACTCAGGAATGTTGTTAGTAATTGTTATGACTGTGGTGTCCACTGGTTGGTGTAGTTTGAGAAAATCTTAATTACTTATATGTTGGATAAAGCAATTCTAGTATATGATTTCAGAGATAAGAAGCAAGTTTGTCCAACAACACTTAAAATTTCATCTCTACCAGATCATCCATCTTTTAGAGCATTGAAATGGTAACAGAACTCATCAAGTCATGATTTCAGGAAAGATTCAAAATGTAAATTATCTGCCATTATATTTTAAGCCATGAATAACGTATTTGTTCCTGGATTAGATTTTGATAAAGGAAGAGCAGAAGATACTAGGAGAAACAGAGAGTAGAAATGGGGCATAGAGTTTGGAGAAAGCAGTTTTATGGAAATGGAGAAACAGTTCCTACTGCCAAGGCTTGAGGCCATAACACGAACCTTACTGACCTTGCGACTTTGCCATCAGGTGCTCTGAACTCAGATGTGACTATTAATAACACTTACAGTAACACATAAAAGAAAGTGTTTTATGGAATTGAAAGCTGAAAGTGTTGAAAAATAAATTGTTTACCCCCATTTTTTCTTTCCTTAAATCTTCAGTTTCCAAATGTGTTTGGCAATTTTTCTTTTTATGCTGTTGTTGCTTTACATTTTGCCAGTGGTTTGTGCATGTACTGAATATTTATAGAGAAACTCAATACACCATAGATCTTGTAAGTGCCTCGAGGGCAGGACCTGGGTTAATAAAGTCATAAAATTATTCATAACCATTCTGGGTGAGAGCCATATACTATTACAAAACTATATGAATGTTAATAAAAGGCATAGAAAAAGACCTAAATCACAGATCACTGAAGCCAAAATCGTGGTCATAGGAGGTTTTAGAGTTCAGATCAACCTGAAATCTTGTTTCAGAAGATAAGATTGTTTTATATACTGGTCAGGCTAGGTTACTCTATGGGAAGCAAAAATCTCTGTGGTTTAGAACAAAGTTAACTTTTCATTTACATTAAAAGTCCATCAGGTGTCAGCCAAGAGCTCTGCTTCATATCATTTTATCCTGGGACGCAGGCTCCTAGGGAGCCCACATTGGCAGCATCGTCATTGCCAGAGTGGAGCAAAAGAGATAGTCACAGATCCTGCACTGGCTTTTAAGCCTGGAAGTGACACACATCACTTCCGCTCATATTTGTTGAAGCAAGTGCTATACATATGCTTAATTTAAAATAGGGTAGACAAGTGCAATTCTACCATGGCGCCTGTATGGTGGACTCTAAAATATTTGGGGAGTACTACTAATGGCCATCAGAGCTGAGATCACAAAAACATTTTCTTGCTGGATTATCCGTGTGTACTCAGGGTTTTGGCAAAATAATTAAGCCTGCATTGGTTGGATGTTAACAGCTTCATAAAGAGTATAATATGACATAAAGAACGTTGATATTCATCTACTGAGCATCTACTACATGCCAGGAAAAAGTAAGTCCCAGCCACTATTGGTAAGCAAGACATATAAAATACTTCATTTAATAGTTTTATGGCACATTGTCAATTGAGCATGCTTTCATGAAAGTGGCTGAAACCAAAAAAGTGTGATTTTCTTCAAGTAACAAGAAGTCTGGAAATTGGTGTTTGTTGGTATTAATTTGGCTGTCAATCATGTCATCAAGGACTCATGCACTTATAGTCTTTGTGCTCTGTGCCATTCTTAGCATGTTGGCCATTTTTTTCTCACCCTTGATCCTTCTGGGTCATAAGATAGTTACTGTAGTTGTATGAACACTTTACTGAAAACCAGAGGAAGAGGGAGGGTGGTAGTATTAGCCACATCTGTCTCCCTTGTCAGAAAAACAAAAGCCTCCCTAGAAATCCTCCATGTTTCACCCTTATATCCTACCTATCATATAGGGTTCACATTCTCTCTCTAGTCAAATCACTGGCAAATAAAAAAGAACTTATTAAAAATGAGTTAATTGGGAGGCTGAGGCAGGTGGATCACCTGAGGTCAGGAGTTTGAGACCAGCCTGACCAACATGGAGAAACCCTGTCTCTACTAAAAATACAAAATTAGCTGGGCGTGGTGAAATATGCCTGTAATCTCAGCTACTCAGGAGGCTGAGGCAGGAGAATTGATTGAACCCAGGAGGCGGAGGTTGCGGTAAGCTGAGATCGTGCCATTGGACTCCAGCCTGGGCAACAAGAGTGAAACTCTGCCTCAAAAAAAAAATGGGTTAAACATTTACAATTAATTTTCTGGAATCAGTGAAACACTTTCTGCATTTAAAATAAAATTGAGGATTATTGTAAGCAGAGATGAAGGGGTACGGCTTTTGTATTATTAAAACATAGAGTGAATGGTATCAGCCTCCATGATTAAATGTCATAATAGTGGTACAGCTGTTAGGCACTGTGAAAAGGCAGAGAAGAGAAGTCAGTGTCAGCTTGTGTGGTCTGGAACAACTTCTTCATTATGTCCTCAGTTTGAGTACAACACTCAGCATTTGCAGAGGGACAATTACTTGAAGGAGTGATGTAATAATTTGCTATGGCTTTCATAACAAAGTGCAATAGACTGGGTAGCTTTAACAATAGAAATTTATTCTCTCACAGTTCTGGAGGTTAGAAGTCCAAGATCCAGGTCAGCAGGATTGATTCCTTCTGAACACTGTGAGGGAAATCTGCTCTATGTCTGTCTTTTAGCTTCTGGTGTTTGCTGGACATCTTTGGTGTTCCTTGGCTCATAGATGCATCACCCTATTTTTGCGTTGATGATCACATGGTGTTCTTTCTCTATGGATGTCTGTCTCTAAATTTCCCTTTTTGATAAGGACAATAGTTATGTTGGACTAAGGCCCACCTTAATTACTTCATTTTTACTTGGTTACCTCCGTTAAGGCCCTATCTCCAAATATGGTTACAATCAGAGGTACTGGGGATTAGAACTTCAAAGGGTAAATTATGGAGGAAGAGATTTCAACCCACAACAGCAGAGAACAGCATAAACAAAGCATCTGAGGCACAAAAATACACTTCATGTGAAATTGCCACCAAGTGATATCAAAGTATACAAGGTGAAGAGGAAACACGGGGACAAATACAAAAGGGTCTTGAAAGCAGGTACACTGGTTTACTTACTGGATGCAGCAGGCAATAAAACTTGAACAGAAGAATAAGTTGGTGGAAGAAGAAGGAAAATGAGAGGGATCAGGTGTCAAAGAGATAGATTTTTAGGTTAATATGTGATGATGAAGACCTAGAGCAGTGTCAATAGAATGGAAACTGAGGACAAGCAACAGACATGAGAGGCATTTGCAAAGTATAAAAGTTAGGATTTAGTGATAAATAGCATAAACTGGAAAAATGAAAGAGCAGTAAAACATGACATCGAGGAAACATACCAAACTGTTACCATGCTTAGCTGTGGGCATTTGAGGAAGGAATGGGAGAGGAGCCTACGGAAGGGAGAAATTTTCACTTTTAATTCCACACATTCTTTATTAGTGCTTTAAAAAATTAAACAGGGAGTATCTAGTATCTACATTTTTTTAATTTCAGGAAATTTGTGGATTTTTTAAATCTGATGATGTTTTATATTGCACATATTGAATTGAGATAATTCTGAGACATCTGAGTGGAGGTGCCTCATTGGAATTAAAAGACTTGGGGTCACATAGGAATCATTCACGTAGAAGTGATAGGTACAGTAAAATACTCATAGCAGCGTGGTGGTGATTATTTAGATGCTCGAATAATAATGGCAATTATTGAGTGCCTACCAGGTGCCAGAAACTTTATATGTATTGTCTTATCTAATCCTCACAATTACTTTACGAGAGATATATTATTTCTGCTTTATAAATGAGAAATCTGAATCTTTGAGACATTAAGCAATTTTCCGGGGATCATATAGCATGTAAGGGTTGGGAGAGCCAGCTTTCAAACCCATCCCTATCAGACTGAAAAGTTTATGTGCTGCAACTCCACTCTTCTTGAGGATAATTACTTCATCTGTGGATAATGAATTCCTGCCATGGGGCAGCGTATTAGGAATCACATAGGAGATAAAACTTAGCTGTTTTCTACAGGTGGGTGGAAAATTACATTCCCTCCTCTTTATGTGACACAGGCCAGATGAGGGGCATGCAGAATATGAGATGTCTGACAGGAGGAAATTATCACCCATTAAGCTACAAAAGTTCCACTCAAATCAAAGATGAAATTACTCTAGAATGATGAGAGGGACTTCCCTGACAGACATAGTAAAGTTACTGGGCACAACCTCTAAATTCTCCACACTGGATCTGTTAATTCAGCATTTCCTGATATTTGGGGAGAAATATTGCGCAATACTATGCCAAAGCTATTTTGAGCAAGAATAAGCACTTTGTAATGAGCATGTAAATTTCTCATTTCAATAAAAATACCATTGCTCTATACAAAGAGATGGAGAGCTAGGCTAAATTTGCTACTCTTTTGGAATGGACATAGTAGAAAGGAACTAAAGAATTATTCTGTTTTGGAGTTTCGAACAAAGTAGAAACTTCACGTCCTATCAATAAATGGATCAGTGTTGACTAAAGAAATGAAAAATAAAATGAAGTTTAAAATTCTCTGTAGTCATAAATTTTAATTTTGCCTAAATGTGTAGATGAAATTCTTAAAGAATTATTATTTTGAGGTAAATAATTCTTGTCCATTTTTGTCTACATTGAACAAATCCCTTGAAATTTCCTTGTCAGACACATTTATATTCATTGTGGGTTGAAGGGAAAAAGCAGACCCACACGTAACACTTGCAGGGCTGGTGAACACACACTAATGGAAGTTTTCATACCACATATCTGAATATTAAAAAACTATAACTCAATAAAAAAACTGGTAAATAAATTAAAGACCAGGAGGAGCTTCAGATCTGAATGCGGAATTCACAGGTTCTTAGGATCCATGCAGAATGTGATGCGTGGGAGACCTGGCCATGGGCCCTGGTTTTCAGTCTTTGACCAAGGATCTGTTCTTCCCATCCCCAGCTCTATTCAGCATTACAGTTGTTTGCATTACACATGTTCGTGCTTACATGTGTGGACACTTCATTCTGCATATCCAAGCCCCATTCACAGCATTTGGCCAGTGGGGACATGAGGTGCACCCTGGAATTACGGTTGGCTCTTGGAAGAAGAGACCTGAGGAAGAGGCATTTGCAAACCTTGGAAATGCGTTCGGAGAAATTAGGTTAACAAATTTCTGGGTTCTGTGTATCCCAAGGTGGTGTTAGAAGGGATGTTACTAGGATGAGAATTAGAAACCAGATACCCGGTTAGCCTGATTCTCCCAATTATTTGCTTGTCACCTTTAAACATTTACAGGCAACCTAAACAGGATTATTTGTTCCACTAAACCATTGGTACAATGTGGAAGAAGAAATTATAGAAATTCACTTGAAATTGTATAGATAATGATACTTTTCAAATGCAAGAGAGCAGGGTTGCTTTAGGGGATTTATGGTAGAGAATTATCTCAATTCTCAGTCTTGAGTGTATGGACACAGTGGAAATGAATATTCTGTAGTTAAACATTCTACAATAAAAGAAAGGATGTAACCACAATGCTACTATTTTCAAGCTATATATTTATTTCTTTTCATCATGATTTTATAGAAAAGGATGTGAATAAAAGAATACATTTATGCTCAATTAGTTTTTATTTTTCAGCCACAGTTTTTGCTGAAATAAAGAACAAAACCACAATGAGATACCATCTCACACCATTTGGAACAGCTATTATTAAAAAGTCAAAAAATAACAGATGCTGGCGAGGCTGGGGAGAAAAGGGAACACTTACACACTGTTGATGGGAATGTAAATTAGTTCAACCACTGTAGAAAGCAACTTAGAGATTTCTCAAAGAACTTAAAACAGAGCTACCATTTAACCCATCAATCCCACTACTGGGTATATTCTCAATGAAAATAAATAGTAGTACCAAAAAGACACATGTACTCAGATATTCATCACAGCAATATTCACAATAGCAAAGATATTGAATCAACCTAGGTGCCCGTCAATGATGGCCTGAATAAAGAATGTGGTATATACACATCATGGAATACTATGCAGCCATAAAAAAGAATGAAATCATGTCCTTTGCAGCAACATGGATGCAGCTAGAGGCCATTATCCTAAGTGAACTAACAGGAATGGAAAACCAAATACCACAAGTTCTCACTTACAAGTGGGAGCTAAGCACTGGTTACACATGGACAAAAAGATAAAAACAATAGAAACTGGGGATTACAAGAGGAAAAAGAGTTGGAGGAGGAGATAGGAAGGGCTAAAAAATTACCTTTGGGGTACTATGCTTACGATTTGGGTGGTGGGATCATTCAGACTCCACACTTCAGCATTGCAAAATTTGCCCATGTAACCAACGTGCACATGTACCCCCAGAAAACTAAAAGAAACATTGAAATTCTTTTTAAAAAGAACACCTTTCTAGTCTGCCTTAGCAAACACATATTGTGCTGCTGTCTGCATCTGGGAAGTTCTTGGAAGAATGGGATTTTTTGAGTCAAATATTCATCCTTGTTCTGCCATTGAGTCACTCATGGCTTTTGGAAGATCGTTTACCTTCTTTGTGACTGGTTTTCATTTTAAAATGAGACTGTACATCTTATTTTCACATAAGTAGGTAGAATGCCAGGTCTGTGTTAAACATAAGGGAGACCCTGGGACTGGAGATATGCTAGAAATACTCACAGAAGAGGAATCAGCTCAGGAGAAGTTGAAAGATAGTGGAGTCAAAGATACAGCGGAATTTTATGTTACAGGGTACGTGCCATATTTACAATCCTCATCCTTTTTCTTGTGTTGATAAGTGTGGGCAGAGGCAGAAGATATACATCAAGTTAGAATGTGAGGCTTGAAGGAGGATATTAGTAGACACTTGCTACATGAAAATGAGGAGCAAAGGTAGATGCAAGGAATCCTAGAAAGAAATTGGAAATTCCCAAGATAAGAAATTTTCTTGGCTCTATCTGTGTAGATTAAATTAATGATTAACATGTATTTTAATAATTGTGCATACTAGTAATTTACCATTCTTTATCATATTTGATGTTCCTAAGCCAAATAAAAGCCAGTTTAGATGAATACTAAGCATGTAGTTTAGAAATGTTAAAGTTTGGTGGAGAGGACAGTGTTAAAAAGCTTAATCTGAAAAGTTTCAGAGTTGTCTCTAGGACAATAGACAACACAGTCTGTGGCTCTAACAACTGAGAAAGAATACTTGATGCTTCCAAAAATAATGTAAAATTGCTTTTGAAGGTCCTGTGATTTTGTTCAGCCTTGATTTGGGTCCTGTTGAATGCAGGCCAGATGGGACAAACTGATAAAAACTAAACAGCAGATGTCGGTAGATATCCTGGCAGCTGTTTGATATCCAACCACATGAATTATCAAAATAAAGCCTTATCTTCAGGGATACTGACAAGAATGGAAATATTTTGGAATAGTGCTATAACAGTGGATTCTGCTGTGAAGAAGGATTGAAGTTAAAAGTTTCCTAGGGCAAAACATGGATTTATTTGTTGGGAAAAAAGAATTTTAAGGGCTCCAATGTGGTACTGAATATAACTACTGTAAGAATTTAATGTGTTTTGGCTAAAGAAAGATTTAAATTTTCTTTTCCCAGAGTAATTTTGTGCTGCAGGGATTTCCTGTGATCTGCAGAGCTGTCTATAAACAAATTTTGTATTTTTCACTTCAAAATATTTTTAAATAACAATTGTTGCAATCATCAAATTGATTTTTGAATTAAAATGGGTTTGATATTTTTCAATATTCATTTTTCTTCCTTGACACAGATATCGTTCACTTCTTTGGAAAGGCAAACTTACAAGATACAATCTGAATCACTGAAGAGTTCTTTCCTATTTTTTTTTTTACATACTATCTAAAATCATTCTCAGTAAATGCTCTGATGGACGTATTTCTATTCTTGAAGGCTCTCTTGGTCATAGGACACTTAGACCATTGCTTACATCATCTCTTTCAGGAATGTTTTCACATCAACTCTCCCCTATTTATCCCATTGTCCTTCAGAGATATGGATATGAGAGGCATTCCTCCACAGAAGAGGCTTAACCACTTTGGCCCTTGAGATCTTTACTTGATCAAAACTTCTACAAGCGTGCTGGCATGCTGGAGTCAGCTAGAATTGGATTGCCAGAGCCTGTTGTGTGCACCTGTCCCCAACTCTGTCCAGTGACCTCAGGTTGGTGGCTTGAAATTGACCAGTGTAGGAATATTTACACCATGAAAATTGGCAAATGCTGCTAATCTGGTTATTCCACCCCTGCCTCAGCCCCTGCCAAAGAGTCAGTTGTTAAACATTTATCAGCACATGATTTGACAGTAAACATACCAATAATTTGTTATTTATTATTTACTTCTTTGAGTTGCCAGAAAATTGCTCACATCTATATGTTTTACTTCCTAGCAAGATTGTTGAGCATTTGAGAGCAGGATCCTTTCCTTATATTTATATTTCTAAGCATGCCTCAGATAGTGTTATAGAGCATTGCATATGGACTTAATACATATCAACTTATCAAGACACTGTCAAACTTTAACGAGGAATGGGGATTTCTTTTTCTCAGTAGCACTAGATTGAACTTGCCATATGTCTCCAGGAAACATGACTTCTTAAACAAACAATATAATCACCAGTTAGCTCTTTAAATATGCATAAATAGATGAACCAAGCAATTAAACTATAAGCCAGGTAAACAATACTGGGAACTCAAAATAAATACTGCCTCAATTCAAATTCTGCTCAAATATTGTATCATGCCAAGGCCCAAATAATAGAGTAGACATGGATCACAGAGTTGAATAGTAAAGAAGCTACTCCTAATTATCAGTGTTACAGAGAGGTCAATCATAAGTATTAGGCTAGAAGGGATGCTTGAAATTAACTCCTTATTTTCTTTGAGATTATGGAGGCCCAGAGTGGAGATGTACAGAATTGAGACTAATTCTCTTACTTCTGCCTCCCAACTGAATTTTCTGTCAGTAATTCTACTTTAACCCTGTGTGTAGCCATTTCCTTTTTCAGTTACGAATTTGAGGGGAACATTTTCTGGTGTCTGCCAAACTTAATGGAAACTCTTTTTTTCCATTACATTTTAGTAACACTGTCTTAATGATGCCATTATCTGGCAGAACCTAAGGCACAATTTTTCCTAAATGGGCAGTAAGTCATGCCACTGTTACTCAGGACTACTTTTTTTAAAGAGACAGGGTCACACTCTGTCATTCAGGTTGAAGGACAGTGGCATAATCATAGCTCACTGCAGACTTGAACTCCTGGGCTCAAGCTATCTTCCTTCCTCAGCCTCCCAAGTAGCTGAGATCACAGGAATGAGCCACTGCACCCGGCTCTATGCCAATGTTATTTAGAGTCAAGCACATCAGTTGGGAATTACGAGTCTTGAGTTCTAGACTCTGCCACTTACTCTTAGTATGAACACATGCTCATATATACTTGGACACCAATTCCGTTTATCTTTGAGATATTATGAGGATCAATCATAAGAGTGAATATAAATTGCTTTGAAAAGCAAAAATATATGATTAATATTAGAAAGAAAATTATCTAACTTTGTAAGAGAAAGCAGGGACCTAACAATATTTATATTTTATTTTCTTATCTGTCTGCTTTTAAACCCAATCTGCAGTTAGGTCATAAGTCGATTAAAAGAATTGGATGAAGAGCATATATACCATGTTCCATTCATGTAATAAGAAAGAGATGTGGTCATTCAGATTAATTTCCTTGACCTCTAGCTAGAGGCAAAACCAATGATGCAATAACAAGAAATATATAATTAAATAATGAAATGTACAGTAGAGATTATAAGAACTTTAGGAGTTTAAAGAAAGTGGAGATGTATGAATACAGCAACAGAGATGGGGGCAAGTCTCCATGGATTAGGAGGAATGTAACTGGGACCTTAAAGATGGTGCACACTTTTGACATCTGAGTGGAAGGTCTTTCAAAAGGGAGAAGCACAAATTCTGACCTTCTCAGATGGGCTCCTTCTCAAGAGACTTCAATTTAAAACCAAACTGTTTTGGAAAAGTTTACACTTGCTTTTGTGAAGTCACTTTGGGCTCACCCTAAATGAGCATCTGAGCCATATGTGGCTTATGCCTTTTTCAATATGTCTTGACTCCCAGCTGTGTCAGAAGAAAATAAATAAATAGTGGAAGAAGTAGACTTCCCTTTCAGTTAATTCCTTGGCTAAAATGATGACATTGGAAACTCGGTAAGACAATCTTCCCTTATCCTGAAATTGCAGAGGCCGCCAAAGCAAACCAAAATAGAAAAACAAAGGGCACATCAACATAATGTACATATTGTGGGGATTCTTGAAGGTCAGAGCCTGATCTTTTACTTTTTAGTGACATATAATGCCAATATTTGTTAGATTTTACTGAAGACTAAAGCTCAGACAAAAAAAATTGCATTGCATGACATTTGTTTTCTGTCCTATAGCATTAAATATCCTATTGTTATAAACAACCAACTTTGATGATTAAATGGTTGGGATTATTTTTTTTCATAAAGCACTGTCTGGAACATATTTATAATGAATCACAAGGAGACAGTCCAACATTCCGAACTACAATGAGTCTTCTTTCAAACTCTACCATTAAATAATTAGATAAACAACTAAGTTACAATTATTATTTTTTCTCTTTGTAATATCACATGACATTTGATCCAAAAAGGAACTCTGTTCTCTCTGAAAAGATGTGTTCTTTAGCTCTCACAAATATCAAAGTTGTAAGATTCTCAGTTGTACTGGACATTTGTTTCTCAGTCAGAACAGAGTGTGCTGTAATGATTCGTAAGGAGATGGTGCTAAACCTGAAGCCAATAGGGAGACTCTGTTAGCCAAATGCCCATTTTCTATTTATCATTATTATTATTATTATTATTATTATTATTATTATTTTCCTTGAGATAGGATCTCACTCTGTTACCCAGGCTGGAGTGCAATGGCATGATCTTGGCTCACTGCAACCTCAGCCTCCCACGTTCAAGTGATTCTCATGCCTCAGCCTCCTGAGTAGCTGGGATTACAGGTGTGTACCACTATGTCCAGCTAATTTATGTTATTTTTAGTTGGTCTCAAACTCCTGGCCTCAAGTGTTCCGCCTGCCTCGGCCTCCCAATGTGCTGGGATTACAGGCATGAGCCACCGCATTCAGCCCTTTGCAAATACCCATATTCTGAAACCAAGTATTGACTTGGGTTTGTTTATGGCTGGTATCTTTATTCAAAGAAATCCAAACATATGGATGGAATTGTATCAGGAATCTATAGGCAGTAAGCCCATTCAGTTGGAAACTAGCTTTGAGTGCTAACTTGCAATGCAGTTAGAATGCTGGGGATAAGGTAACACTGGCTGGGGGAAACTGACAAAATTTGGGCATAGACAATGAAAAATGTGGTCAATAGCTGTGGGTACATCCAGACTTATACCAGTGGATGAAGACAGGCTTCCTAATCTTCTCCCTCCTGTTTAGCTTCCAGTCCTTGTTGACTCCAACTGACCACCACTAGTAACTAAGTATCACTGGCAGACTACCACCAGGAGTGGAGTGAGTGCTGTTAACCCAGCAGAACAAGCTGTATTCATGCAGCACCAACTGTGCTGATGACATGGTGAAGACGATGGGGCTGACAGGCACATAACACACACACACACACACACACACACACACACACACACACAAAATATTGTAAAACACTCCCTGAATGTAAAAGCATAATGCTCCCTGAACTTAAAGAAAAATAAGACATTGGCCTAAATGTTTTCAGACTGTGAGTATACCAAATTAGCAAAAAATAAACAATCTAGGAAGATATTTTCAGCTTTTTCTTTGATTTCTCATGCTTCTGTCTACACTGCTGTTTTTCCCTGAGACTCTCTGCATATCCCAGTTTGGGAAAAAAACCTTGCCAGAGTTTATTTGGAAAACCCATGCTGTACCCATCTGAATTTTATTTTGGTGTAGTGTAAGATGTCAACCTAACTTTATATTTCTTTTGTATGTTCAGCCTCCTTTCACAGAGACTGAATTTCAATCAGCTGCTCTCAGTTGACAATGATAAAATTATCTCTATATGGGCAAATGCGTGCTCTTTGTCGAAAAAGAAAGCTTCAGCTTCATGTTCCAGGTGAGTTAATTAGGCAATGTATGAATGCTAATATCTCTTTCACATATTTTGCTTAAGATCTGTCTTAGGACTCTCGTCTGGCCCATATGGTTTTCCAAGGGCAGAAGGGCCTCTTTTTGATGAGAGGCAGTTTTCAGTAACTCTTAAAGTGATAACAGCAAAGGAGAGGAGAGAGAAGAGTAAGACAAATCGAAACATTCTTCAATTGCTTCTTGGCCTTTTGGCTAAGCTCAAGCTCAAAACAGGTCTTCAAGGAGAAAATACATCACAAAGAAAAGGATGTTTTATTTCTTACCTTGTCCTAGAAAAATTTCCATAAACTCTATTGGCTTAATTCTGTAAACTTGACCAATATCAGAGTGCTTCCTACCAAGGAGGGTAGCTGATGAGCGTGACCATGGTACATCCTAGAAGAATGTGTGATGAAGAAGCTTTCACCGTGTAAAAGAGTTGAAAATTATTCAAGGAGACATTATGGTCTTGGCCATAATTTAAGAACCAGTTTAAAATAATTTTTATATAGAACTTAGAGTCTAATTTCTCAGCACAATTCTTCTTCCCTCCTGAGTGTGGGCTGCTGGAGTGTCAGTTCCAAATTCTTATGCATGAGTAATCTTAGCATATTCAGTAATATATTCCTCTTATGAGAAAGTAATCAAGTACAATATAACTGATGACTTTCTTGATTCAGTAATCAGTAATTTGTGATCAATTTTACCTGATGGTGACAGCTTGGTGTATAAGTTAGTGCTAATGTATATTACTGCATTTCATTTCTGTGGAGCCTGTCAGCTGAGCAAAGGAGGGAAACTCAGGATGGAGAACTCCTCCCCCTCCATCCATAAGTGGCACACCACTGGCCTCCTGGTGTTATTAAAGGAAAATTGGAAAAGTTTCCAGAAGATTAAGCAGAAAGCTTACAACTTGCACAAGACTCTCAATTTTCCAGTGGCTCTGACAGAAGGATAAATCTTCGGCTGTTTTAACTAAAATGTAAGCAAACCCAATGTCTAACTACAGTAAACAAAATTTATTATGATTCGGACGTGGCAGTGGTGTTTACATCTAGGTTGACAAAATTGCCAATGTGTGAGACCCTTAGTTAAGAAAAATGTAGCACACTGTTTCTTATCCATCAGGCAAAGGAAAGAGGGATTTTTTTTTCAGCTGTGGACATACAAAGTGACTTTGAAGAGTATGCTTTGGTTATGTATGCACATGTAACCTAACCCAACTTTAAACATAAGCAATGTAAATATCTGACTATATGGTAGGATTTGCATGAAACTCTGCCCTAAAATAAATTCTCAAATTACATACAGCTAATGTATTTTCCCCCTTTTATTCTATTATTGGGCTGGAAATTATTATCAGGGTGAGGTTTATTAAACCATTTTTACCCATAATGCCTGGCCTGAAAATAGTTACTCATATATTTTCTGTCACAGGAAGAAGAACCTTAAGGAGACAGGTCAAATAATAGGTTTAAAATATCGGTTAAAAAAAAAAAAAAAGGCAGCCAGACTACCAGGCTGTTTGGACCATGCTTCTGTGCAGTGGAAAGGCCTCTGCAGACTCGGGGAGATCAGGGTGTAAAGGAATTAATGTTAATTGGAAGCCCTTCTATGTATTTCACATTTTGACTGATCTACAAATAGTATTTGATTGAATTCAAAAATTCGTCAGGCACACCAAACTAGCAACATTTAAACCTGAGTTTCAAGGATGCTCCTTGCACATGGCTCTTGTGCCACTGTGGCACGGAACTTTTAGCCATGTAGCCATTTGTATTGTAGAACAATGTCTAATGGATCAAGGAGTGGTTGGAGAATCCGAGAGTTCTTTAGTGTGGTTCAAATGCGAAGATTTCTTGGGCAATGTAAAGCCCTTATTCTCTCCGGTAAAACCTCAAGTTTTTGCTGGTGATGGATGAGATCTTTTCACAAGGAAAGTTTAATTTTGTAATTAGAAAAATGTTAAAAATCCCACTTGAGAGCTTTATTATCATAATTTAAGGTAATAATTATGTATATTTTTCTAATATGAGAAACTTTGCTAAGAAGTGTTTGAGGGAAGAGACTTCGAAATTAGAAAGAGGAAAAATATTTTAAAAAGGTAGACCGAAAAGATAAAATGGGAGTAGATATTTCATTTTTCTCACCAGACCTTATACTGGCACTAACGGCAAGTGGTGTTTCATGTCTCCAAACTCATCTTACTTTGAATTGGAGCCCAAATCCCTATGGGCAAAAAATTTGATTCTGGATGGAACTTTCTCTAGTCCTGGCTCCAAGCTCTCAGTCACCAGAAAGTTTCTAATCTTTGTTTGGAAAGATAATGTTTATAAACAATCAGAGGAAGTTCTACCATATGCAATGGAGAATATATTGTTATACCAAAGAGAAAATAACAAGGTACGGAACTTGTACAATGCAGGCAGCATACTTCCAAACACATATTTTAGTTCTTAGAATTCAATCACAGATTAGGACTGAGCTTTCCATTCACTTGACTTCTTCCTGTTGGCTACTTCAATATTTACATTATCATAATTTTACTCGTGTACATTCTGTATTACCATAACTGTATACACCGGTGTTGTGTAATGTAGAACATATACCTACTTGCCCTAAAGACTAATAACTGCTCAGTCACAGCATAATTTCACGAGAATTTATTTATGTATTAGATATATGTGTGAAATATTCTATTTTTGATTAGGAATCTATTTATTTCATCTTACTCTAGATTGCTTTTCCTAAAATGTGTCTTATTTTATATGTATATACATTATTTCCCCTATTTTTGCTATCAAGTCATGAACTTTAACAAAGGAATTGTCTAAACAACTGTTGTGTGCTATATATAATTTGTTGCATTTTTGTGTTAACTTATACTTAATATTTTTCTTTTTGTTTTTGTATACTAATTTTCGATTTTGGTTTCTCTTTCTATGTAGGCTTCCAATTCACATATTTACTTATCTTCCTAGGCTATAACTCACTCTTCCAATGGTTACAATTACTTCCCAACATTTTTATTTACTAATTTTTCTAGAGTTGTGGTTTTATTTTATTACTAAAACAGGGCACTTATTTAAATATCTTAAAAAATTAATGATTTCAGCCTACTCCCTTTAGCTCCTACCTTTATCTCTCCTTCAATATCAAAGATCATTGTTCTACTTTTAGATTCATCATTTATGGAGCTAACTTATTGACAATTTAGTTAACTTAAATTTTATGAAATCTTAGACCTCATATTAAAAATGAAGTAGACCTTTTACCAGATTGAGCTGCTTACAATAATCCACATTGTTAATTTCTTTGAACTGCCTACCTGGAATATTTTTACCTATCTGTAGTCTTGGCTCCAACTTGCAAGATTTAAAATTAACAACAGCTTAAACACATGTACCAAATTCCCTCAACTCTGTTACCATTGATAATAAAACACATATTGATTTGATAATAGTTTTTCTGTAAAATACATAAACACACACACACTGCATATCTTCAGAATATACACACACTACACATACCCATATTCACACAGAAGAGTCTATTTTTTACACAAATAGCTTTTTCCTCATTATCTCAAACAGAATGTAAGCCTTTTTCACATTCTGATTCTTAATATTTTTCTGAAGCACTTCTGGTCAATTGCAAATATGCTATCAATATGACAAGCTAATTTCCAAAACCCAAACTTAAAATATTAATCTTATTATCATTTTTAAAGACATATCAAATGATTTAATGCACATTTACTATTTACCATATTTAAATGTTCACTTTCAATTTTCTCTAATTAAAATAATACTACTTGAAGTTAAATAGCTACTCTTAAATATCAACTGAAAGTTTTTGATTGATAGATGGTTAATGCCTCAGGGAGAGTTCTTTAAAATACTTTGTCAGTTCACAGTAACCTTTCCTAAATCTGAAAAACTTCTGATGTAAGTCAAGTGATTTGGCAATTTTCATTGTCTGAAGTTGAATTGTCTATCTTGTGATATGCAATAATTTTCAAATTCAGTATTGCATCATTATAAATTTCATAAAAGGTTTTGTAAGCAACTTCACATAGCACAACTATTGTAACAACTAATGCAGATAATTCAGATAATAACAAAATCTGTTCAATTTTTCTATGTGTTCTGCTTGTTATAAAGAAATGCCTAGGCACTCTGGCTATGCAGATAGGGTAGGCTATAAACTCTGGGTTGGTAGTCAAATTTCTAACATTTTCTTACATGTGTAATTGGGACAATAAGACCTATTCTACAGGGAATAAATGGAAAAATGAAAAGTGCTCTCAGCATGGTGCATGCTATAAAGTAAGTTCTTACTACATGATAGATTTGAAAGAATAATAGCAATAGTGCCAAAATAATCTTGAATATTTGTAAACACTAGAGATTTATATATTTTTTCAAGGTGTATTGGTTTTACGTGTAATAATAGCTAATCTCTACAGTAGCTGTATAAGCAGGAGAAGAATGGACACCATCCATTGAATAAAGTAGAATCTGAAACTCACAAAATTACTGATTTACTCATGCCCCAAGGGCTGATACATTGAGAGCTGGGAATAGACCCCATATCCCATGTCTGGGGCCGAGCTTTACACTGCCCTGTTGCCCCTCCAGTTAGCCCTAAAGAACCTAATCACATTCATATGAAACGAAGACTTTTCCTTACATTTTCCTAACTAAAGGGAAAACACGGGCTGTTTAGAAATATTTTATGCAATTTGAACTGGAACCCACAGGAGTAGACTGAAACTCATGTCAATGTTTGCTGCTTTTAACCTTGATAGGGACGGTCAAGTTGGTATCCATCGTGAAGCTAAATGAATATCTGGACAGGAGTCAGACAAAGGGAAGGAGAATCCAGGGGAAGATGAAGCAGCTGCAGGCCTGTCTGCTACCCTATATCCGGGGAAGAGCCAGAAAGTAAGTGACAACATGGATAAGGTACAAAGTAGCTACTCCTTTACTTTCACACTGAAATATTGCCCCCTCCACTTAAAAAAAAAAGTAGAAGAAGAAAAAGAAAGAACGTTTCTTTTGGCTCACTCTAACCAGAGACATACGAGAAAACTATTTATGGCAAATGAAGTTCAGCCTATCCAAGTTGGCACATTACAAAGCTGCCACAGAGAGCATAGAAAATGGTGAATATTTATAAATGTACCCTTATATGGGTACAAATGCAATGGCAGGGCAGGAAAGTTATGTACACAGGAGAAAGTGCAAGCTGAGCTTCGAAAATCCCTCTGATTCATTGTTTTATTTATTCAGTAATACTTTCTTAGGTACCTACTCCGTATAAGGCACTGTGCTAGATAGAAATTTTAAATATATAATTAATTAAGTCATCATTAATTCACTAAACAAATATTTAAGCTCAACATTAGATGGTTCTGGGAATAGTGGAACAAGATACCGTTCTTTTCCTTCTCATACATTACAACATTACATCAAATAATGTTCATGTGAGATACGTGACACTGTTATCTTCATTTTCCTGGTTGGAAGACTGAAGCTTTCGAGTGATTAAATAACTTACTTTTGATCATCCAGCCAACAAGTGGCAACATCAAAACTTGAACCCAGCTCTGTCCGAGACCAAAATCATTGTTCTAAATATTTATGTGGGGCTGCCTCCATTTTGTAATTTATGAACATTTCTGTCTCATCCACTAAACTTTAAACTCCTTTAAGGCCAATGCATATCTTATATTTATTGTGTTATACTCTTTCCCCAGTGCCTGCCAGAGTACAATATATAACCATCAAACCGACTTTTTCTGTATAATAACTGTTAGACATGAATATACTGTGAACTTCCTCAACGTTCTTATCCCAGGTATTTCTTGAGCCCTTCCTAGTCAGGCTCTGTTCTAGGTGCTATGGTGGATACTATACATGAAGAACTTCTTTTGTCAAAGAAGCTGTCAAAATGCTGGAGAGATAAAGTTAAACAGGTTTCTTCACAACAAGACTTCTTAGACCCTTGAATATGTTAGTAAGTTTTGGGGCTATAAGGGATATAGTGTGCAATATTTTTTCAACTTGCTTGATCAAAGGCCACTTTCCCTTCTTAGTATGCACCATGAATTGTCAGTGCCACTCTAAATATACAATTTCCATAACTTTGCACAGAATCCATATGTAAAGAATCTGGCAGAAAATATAGTGAAACTTCTAACAATGAAATAGATGTCTAAATATAGTTCACTTAGAATCACATCTTCAACCCTGATCTTGATGCCTCCACACTGGGAAGAGATTTTGTCCCTAAAATGATACCTCCCTTTTCAGGACCCGATATCCCAACAATTTCTCAAATACTTAGTTTTTTATGTTGTCAAATAATTCCTTTAGCTAATAAAGATGGAGAAGTCATAAACCCTACCCCAAAACAATTTTTTTCTAAAATCTAAAATAATGTAATTTTAATAAGTTTAATGTACCTTAACAAATGTTGTTGGAGCAATGTGTGGACAAGTTTCACTTAATCACCTAAGTGACTATATGCAAGGCAACCCTCTTGCAACACAACCCACTGTAAGAAGACAGCACTATATATTTGATCCAGCATGCTACCAGTGCTACAGCTAAAAAAAAAAAAAAAACTGGAAGAATATTCTCTGCTGCTGAAGAACCGGAAACATTATCACCACAAGGAGCAAAACAGCCCATGGCTTTGGAGCCACACCAATAAAACCCTACCCCTTACTGGGTATATGACCTTAGCAAGATTTATGATTTCCCTAAACTGCATTAACCAAAGTAACGTTAGCGAGTTATGTTTGTCCAGGGGATGGTCCTTTTTCTGAGATAAAGTGATGGGGATCACTAAGGCCGAAGAAAAATAAGAAATTCAGCTTGAGTCTTTACAGTAGATTTGTGTGTATGTGTGTGTGTGTGTGTGTGTATGCTACATACTAAGCACACAGCAGCATTTTTTCTTGGCAAACACTGATATGATATCCTAATTGTCTCAATTTTAGTAAGGAACATAGCTGCTATGTAAGAGTTATTTTACATATAGTTTTGTTCCCCTAATCCTTCCTTAACTGTGATATATATGAAATATATTATATACATGTAATATGATATATGTGATTGGCATTTATCAATGGATATTGATGTATGTGATATATGTAGTATAATTATCCCCATTTTGAAGGTGAGGAGACAAAGGCTAAGGAATTTTCCCATGATGACACAATTAGTAGGTTGAAGAATCAGGATCGAAAACCACGTTATTTTTTTTTCCTCCAAAGAACATGATTTCTATTGTATCCCCATTCTCTTCACATTAACTAACATTAGTGACTCACTTTACTTGAGTTTGTTTTTTGTTGTTGTTAAAGAAAACGCACCAACTAGATGATTTCTACAATGTCCTTTCTACAATGTCCTTTCAGTTTAAACACTCGTTGAAGAGAAAAGTAATTCCCTTTAGTCACAGCATCTCCTGTGAGGCTGAAAAAAAATATTTTTATTATCTATCAATTCACTCCCCCACTTTTATGATTATTATTTTTTTCCGTATGCCTAGGCCTCCTGGGTCCAGCATCCCTGTCTTCTTGTCAACTTTTCAAGTAAAGTAATGCATTTCATTACATTTTGGATGCCACACCAGTTTAATCCCATTGATAGAGGGCTATGCAATCAAGCTGACAGTTGGATGATGATTTGAATCGTCCTGACTCATTACTTTGTGAAGGATTTGGCATGCCAATCAATGGGGAATGATGTGCCGTGCCTTGAAGAATGACAGTAATCCATTTTCCACCAATTGACCTGATGAGTCCTTGACAGACTCACAAGTTATAGGGCCAAAGCCAAACATGATTTGGCACATGCCTCCCAGCACTGCCATTTTGCAGACCCTTGGGGTATTTATCAAAACTGTAGCCTTCTTGTCTTCTGCTGTCATCGGCCACACATCTTCAGGAGGTAGTCCAGCTTAATAGGCTTTTGCAGGTGAGTAATGGGCAACTTTCTTGACCTCACCTGATATACTTATCCAAAGTATATCTGTAAAGAAATAAATTGAACCTCCTAATTACTCCCACCCATGCTGGCACATGTAAATTTATACATCTGAGTGAGAGCTGTCTTTCAAAGTAGTCATCCTGGGAGTAGATATATCTATTCTAATGAGGTTGTCAACATTCAACAGGCATTTGAAATTTCTCTTTTAAAATTTTCTTCAGAACCGGTGTTTAATTACCAGTACTTTCAAAGGACACCTGTTTCGAGGTCACAGTTGTAGTCTCAGCTTGATCATGTTCATGTTCGTCTAATTCTCCTTTTCCTGTTTCTCAAAACGAGTCATTTTTAGGGCATTAAGAATATTCCTAAGAAGTATTTTTTGGTCCAAATGCAAGTCCAAAAGGAGCTTCAGAAATTTTTCTAATACCCGCCCTTTGGATTAAGAGTCTGTGTTTCTAAGGTAGTTAGTTTGAAAGCATTGATATGACCAATTTAATGTATAATTTTCATATTTTTAAGTCATAGTAACTTTTTTGATATAGGATGTTAAGCATTGTCAAATTGCCTAAAAAACTTTATAAGCTACATATTTCCTGTGTCCCATTGCCTTATTTGCAGAATACTCTGGAACATATTACCTTGCCATGAACAATAACATCTACATGTTTTCTACAAAGCCATTGACAGCTATCCCTGCACACTACAGATGTAAGATTTGAGTGTTGCTTTCTAGATATACTCACCAGCCAAAGACAATGGGATTTCTCATAAGAAAAAGCTGAGATTTACTAAAAAAACAAAAACAAACAAATAAAAACAGTATCTCTGACCAAATAGCCTAAAGAAAATTTCACCATTTCTCAAACTGTGTCTATGTCTGCTGGACTTTCAATATGAATAAATGATTAGGAATCACTTGACATTTGAAGATCTTAAAATAAAAGAGACCAAAACAGAGAAGAAACAGATACAAAGAAACATTGAGAAACTGGTAATAATGGTTACTTCAGGAGAAAGGAACGGTTGCTAAGAGAAAAAGATAGGAGGGTAACATTTCACTACATAGATTTTTTGTATTTTGTTTAGACTGACAGCTTTATACAATTGACATACAATAAACCTGCACATATTTCAAGTATGCAGTTTGGCATTTGTATGAATCCATTAAACTATCACCTCAATCACGATAAGAAACATATCTATCACCCTTAAAAGTTTCCTCATGCCCTTTTATAATTCTTCTCCTCTACGCTCATATCATTCCCAAGCAATCACTGGTCTGTTTTTTTTTCACTATTAATTACTTTTTAATTTTTAGAGTTTTATCTAAATAGAATTATATAGTAGGAACTCTTCCTCATCTAACTTCCTTCAGTCGGTATAATTATGCTGCTATTTATGTAGGTGTTGTATTTATCAATTGTTTACTCATTTTTATTGTGGAATGGTATTTTATAATATAGCTATACCACAATTTTTTTATCCAATCACCTGTTGATGGATATTTGGGTTGTTTCACATTTTGGGCTCTTAAAAATAGAGCTTTTGTGAAGATTGATGTACAAATCTTTGTATGGACATATGCTTTTATTTTTCCTAGCATAAATACCAAGAGGCAGAATGGCTAAACTAAATGGTAGATGTATGTTTAACTCTTCAGAAAATACTAAATTATTTTTTAAGGTGGTAATACCATTTTAGACTTCTACCGATGGTGTATGAGAGTTCTACTTGCTCCATATCCATACAACACTGGAAATGATAAGTCCTTTTAATATTAGCATTTCTAATAAGCATGTAGAAATACATTAAAAAATTTTATTTTCATAATAACTAATGATGCAGAGCATTTTTCATGTGTTTATTTATCATCCGCATATCTTTTTTGAAGTACCTCCTTAAATATTTTGTTTATTTTAAAAAATAACATTTTTTGTTTTCTTCTTACAATTTTCTCAGAGTTCTGTATATATTTTCGGTATGAGCCTTTATCAGGGATAAGATTTAAAAATATTTTCTCCCAGTTTTTAAAACAGCAAAAGTTTTTAACTTTGATGAAGTTGAATTTATTAACTTTTCCTGATTGTGCTTTTGCTGTCATGTTTAAGAAACTGTCCCGTAAGCCAGGATCACAAAGGCTTTTTTCTGTGTTTACTTCAGGAAGTTTTAAAACTTTAAGTTGCACATTTAAGTTTATAATACATTTTTAGCTAATTAGAGTTATGGATCCAAGTACATCATTTTATTTTTGCATATAAATATCCATTTGTTCCACCCTGATTTGTTGAAAAGACAATCTCTTTCTAAAGTATGATCTTTGCACCTTTGTCAAAAAGTTCGTTTTATAGATATGTGAAGTTTGAATTTTAGGCTGTGTTCCTTTGGACTATTTAGCTCTGTTGTTGCCAAAACCCCACTGTCTTGACTATTGTGGTTTTATAACATGTTTTAAAGTTAAGAAACGTTAAAACCCCACTGTCTTGATTATTGTGGCTTTATAACATGTTTTAAAATCAAGAAATGTTAGTCCTCTAAGTTAAGTCTTCTTTTAAAAGTTTTTTTGGGCATTCTAGGTCTTTTGCATTTCTACATGAATTTTAGGTCAGCTTTCTATTTTCTAAAAATCCCTGCTGGGATTTTGATTGGGATTGCATTGAATCTATAGAACAATTTTAGGAAAATTTACATCCTAATATTATTCATTCATCTGACCCATAAACATGGTATATATTTCCACTTATTTAGGTTAATTTCTCTTAGTAATTTTTTTTTAATTTTCAGCATACATGTTTTGTCAGCTTTATTTCTAAGTATTCATATTTTATGTTATAATAAATGTTATTGCTTTATATTTCAATGTTGATGGTTTGTAACTAGTACATGAAAACACAATTGATTTGTACATATTGATGTTGTATCATTCAACATTGCTAAACTCACTTATTCTAGTTGCTCTTTTGAGATATCACTGAAGTTTCTATGTAAATGATAATGTTGTGTGCAAATAAAAACAGTTTTATGTCTTCCGTGTCAATCTGGATGTCTTTCATACCTTATTCTTGCTGTATTAAACTAGCTAGAACCTTCAGTATAATGTTGAATAAAGGTGGTGAGAGGGAACTTCCTTATCATATTCCTAATCTTAGGGAGAAGTATTTAGTCTTTTACCACTATCGTGTTAGCTGTAGGCTTATAGTAGATGTTTTTTATTAGCTTCAGGAAATTCCATTCTATTCCTAGTTTGCTGACAGTTTTAATCAGAAATAGATTTTGCCACATGCTTTTTTCGGTGGCTACTCATATGATCATGTTATTTTTCTTATTTTCTTAATATGGTGGATTACAGTAATTGATTCTTTGGTGCTAAAACAAATGTGGAATTTCTGAAATAAACCCCACTTGGTCATGATAATATTGTGTATGTGTGTACGTGTGTGTGTGTATGGTGTGTGTATATAACTTACAGTATGCTATATGTAGTATAGTACTACATATATATGCGTACGTGTGTATATATATATGGTGTGTGTATCTATATTATATATATAAATATGGTATGTGTATACACACCATATACACACAAACACACAATATTATCATAGCCAAATGAGGGTTATTTCAGGAATTCCAAATTTGTTTTAACACTAAACAAATGTGTGTGTGAGAGAGACAAAGAGAGAGATGAATTTTATTTGCTGAAATTGTGTTTAGCGATAACCCTATGATCCTATTTGTGTGTGTGTGTGTGTGTGTGTGTGTGTGTGTGTGTGTGTGTGTGTGTCTATAGTATTCTTTCATGCAATCTCTTTGTCAGATTTTGGTATCTATACAAACTCTTGTGAAATCACTTCTATCATTCCTGGTATTTGTAATAGTTTGCCTGTACTTTTTCCTGTTGAATCTGGACAAAGTTATAAGTTTTTATATATCTCAAAATACACACACACAATAGTTTTTAGTTTCATTTATTTCTCTAGTTTTTCTCTTTCACTGCTTTCTGCTCTGATCTTTATTATTTCCTTTATTCTTTTTAATCTGCATTTATTTTTACTTCTTTTTCTGCTTTTTTTAAGGAGGGGGATGAGATCATTGATCTGATGTTTTTCTCTTTTCTCATGTAGGCGTGTAGTGCTACAAATTTTCCCCTAAGTACTGCTTTACTGGCATTATACAAATTCCATGTCTTTCTATTTTCATTCAATTCAAAATACTTCCTCATTTCCCCTTTGATTTTTTCTCTGATACATAGGTTATTTAGATGTATATTAATTAGTTTTCAAGTATTTGAAAAGATTTTCCAGATATCATTCTGTTATTTAATTCTAATTTAATTTCATTGTAATCTGAGAACATTTTTGTGTGTGACTTAAATCCTTTTAAATGTATTAAGATTAGAATAATATACATCTTAGTAAATGTTCCATGTGCACTGGAAAATAATGCTTATTCTTCTGTTGTTCAGTAGAGTGTCTTATAAATATCATTTGGTCAGGTGGATTGACTGTGCTGTTCTATATACTTACTGGTTTTCTGTCCACTTGTTTTACCAATCAGGACAGAGAGGTATTAAAATTTCTAATTATATGGAGATTTTTATATTTCTCCTTGTGATTGTATTAGTTCTGCTCCATGAATTTTCTAAGCTCTGTTTTCAGTTACATAAATATTTACAATTGTTATTTTTTTGATGACTTAACTCTGTCATTATAAATATGATATTAAACCCTAGTAATACTCTTTGCCCTAAAATCTAATTTATTTTATGTAAATATAACTACTCTAGAGTATTTTTTAATAGTGTTAGTTTGTATATCTTATCCCATCCTTTTACTTTTAACCTATTTCCTTCTTTTATTTAGAATACACTTACAAGCAGCATATAGATGAGTCTTTCCTTCTTTCTTTTAAATCTAATCACAATCTCTGACTTCCAATTTGTGTGTTTAGAACATTTACATGTAATATGATTATTGATCTCTAATTTTGCTTTTTGCGTTCTATTTGTCCCATGTGTTCTTTCTTTCCTTTTCCTCTTTGTCTGACTTCTTTTCCATTATGTAAAGATGATTTACTTTATTGTCATTGTTGGCTTGTTATTTATTATTCTTTGTTCTGTTATTTTGGTGGTTGTGCTAGTTTTCAGAGAATATATTTTAATCTATCACAGATGCTCTTCAAATGGTATTTTACAATTCACAAATAGTACTAGAATGTTTCAATAATATACCTGTGTTTCTCACATCTCAGTTTCTGTGTTATGGTCATGGACTTTATATTGTTATAAACCTCTCAGTTTTGGTACTAGGGTTATGCATTATGCTTTATTTTACATTATTGTTATTTTTGTTTGTACAACAAACTTCATTCTATCTTATAAAATGATTTAAATATTAAGAAAAAATTTTGCATATTGATTTATGTAGTTAGATTTCTGATGCTATTCATTCCTATTTAGAGATTAGTATTTCTGTTTGACATCATTTTCCCTCCTTCTGGGTAAGTTTTCTTAACATTGCTTATAATAAAGGTCTGTTGGTGATAAATTATTTCAGCTTTTATGTGACTTAAAAAGATTTTAATTTAGTCTGGGAGACCTATACTTTGACTATTTGGTTCAGAAAAAGAGAAAAATAATGGAAGATAAAAAATTATCACATACACTGTTTGATTTTATGTTGAGTGGGTTCATCATGTGTTTATTGCATTAGAAAAACAAGTGTTCATACCAAGAACAAGGAGAAGGTTTCAGAAGCTTCCAAAAACAAACAAAATAACAGTTTTTATATAAAGGATTAGGAATCAGAATGTTGTAAGGCTATTAAACATTCACTCTGGAAGCTAGAAGATAAAAAAAAAGCCCTTTAAAATTCTATATCTAGCAAAATTAACAATTTTGTGTGAACATAGAATAAAGCAAGTGTTAGCAAATATTTGCTTCGTAAAGGTCCAGATAATAAATGTTGTAGATTTTATCATCTAAATGTTCTTTATTGCAATTTCTCAAATCTTCCATTGTGGCATAATATATAATAAGTAAACAAATGGATGTGGCTGTATTCTAATAAAACCTTATTCACTAAAATGGGAGGATTTTAGCCTACAGCCTATAGTTGGCTGACCCATGGAATAAAGATATTTTCAAGTAAGCAAAATCACAGGAAAAAAAATGTTGCTTTTTTTGTATCTTTTTCTGAAAAGTTATTGCATAAATATACCCATGAAAATTAGGGTTGACACCAAGTTTTTAAAAATAACAGGAAATAGAGGATTCCATACAGGAGAAAAACCAACAGAACTCCCAGGCTGATGGTGAAGGAGAATATCAGGATGATAACATTGCCACTGGCCTAGAGAACAACCAGTTTAGACTAGAGCAGGAAGATGGAAAGCCCTAGGAGAATTATACATAAATAAGAAAAGAAACTTGTAGAATACCCAATGTGTTTAAACATAGTAAGACAAGATTTCAGTTTCTGTTGGAGAGTTCAGCATAAATTAATAACAGGTGTATAGGACATTAAGCAACTGAAAATAATCAGATAAGTATTAACTCCTGGATAAACATAAAGTTCTACAAGAAAGAATATCTAATCATACACAAAATGGGTTCCACTGTAAGTAATATTTATCCAATAATAATATACAAACACTGACTATTGATTTAACCAAAGTTATGATAGCCTGTTGAGAGGATGAGAAAAGTAGAAATATGTGTGTTTCTGTGCATGTGGGGAAATGACAAAGAGAGCGAGAGTCTCATCTTCCGCAGCAGGAACTAAACAGATAACAATAAAACCTGAAAAAAATAGAATAAACACGTTATTTAGGCATAGGGAGGGAAGAATATTCAGAAAAAAATGTAACATTGGAAAATAAAGATAATTACTTCTGGAAATGAGAATTTAGAGTGCAAATGGATAAGGCTAAACACTGTTATTTTCTTCACAATTTTTGAGAAACCTTGCTTATTAAACTTTGTACGTATATACTCTGATTATTAAACTTTGTACATATATGTTTTATACAAATAAAAATTAAATCAAAATAAGAACTTGCTAAACTTTCATGAAAGAAGAGAACACAGAGCTCTAAATGGATAATTGTCTTTATGAGAGTAAATATTTAACGTGGAAATTGTTATTCTTGTACCCAATAAAAATAAGAAAAACCATAATGTTGATGATAATGACTAACATGTTTGAACATATATTACGTTTCAGAGTGGTGCTAAGCACTTTACTTAAATTATCTTAATTCAGCTACCCTAGTATTATTTTCTATTTTGTTTTGTTAAGTAAACCAAGACTTAGAGATGATAAATAAGTCTTCAGGACCTATAGCCAGAAATAACAGGGGAGGGTTGAAGCGAAGTCCCTCTGATCCATAATTTGAGGCCTCTCTGATCCCATAGTGAGCACCTCAATCTGTGAGCTAATAGTCTTTTTTAGAATTATTCAACTTCAATTATTGATCAAAATTGCATCAGTTGCTTAAAACCAGTTTCTTCATCCATTCCCTACAGTAATAATATTTTAAAATATTCCAAGAACTTGACAATATTTCTTTTTCTCATCTCTGTTCTAATTTGTACCACTTTATTGCAATTTTTCCCTTGAGTTTGGATTGAAATTCTTGATTTTGTTCGGAGTTTTCGGAAAGTACATTAGAAGGAAATGCAAACTAAACATCCAAGCAAAGGCTTGCATTTTCCTTTTTCATGTTAGGAAAAGTATGAAGACATAGGACAGCAAACGGGGAAGTGTCTATTGAGGTCGGAATGTGGAGAAGGAGATGAACTGGAGAAGAGGGAAACCAACACAAAGAAAGACACAGAGAAGGCAGAGGGAGACAAAAATAGCAGGCACAGAGACAAACGAAAAAAAGGCAGATAGAGATAGGGTTGCCAACACGAAGAGAGTAAGGGGGCCAAGAGGTTGCAGCAATTCATACATTTTAGGTATTTTGGCTGAAAACAGCTCTAAGTCTATGGACTATTGTGTTATCAGTGTTACTATATTCTGAAACAATGAAAATAATACCATATGTTTTTCTCCCCTGATTTGGAGTTTATTATACAACTTTGTCTTTGCAAAGTGGTGAAACCAGGACTACATTATATACTCTGACTGCACGTCTTAAAATGTTCTGCAAAGCAAATATAGGATTACCTTCCATTGTGTCATTTGAATATTATAACATTCTCATGAATAAGATAAATTGGGAATGACAGAAGAATTTACTAAAATCTTTGCATAGCCAGTTAACCAGGCAAAGATCTGTCACTTGTCAAATTTTATAGATTTATTCATTTTTCCCCCATATCCCTCCTCCTACCCAAGATCTAAATTGTAAAGATTCATCTGGCACTAGAACCTTCAATGACAGGAGCCACAAGCTTCTATCCTTTTATTAAAAAATCTTGGTGTTATATTTTTAACTGAATTTCATATACTAGGAATGGGACAGTCAGACCCTTTTATTGCTTTACTGATCTCTTGCATTATATTCTCTCTCCAAAAAGACTCCTGTGGCCTAAACTCCTCTTCTTTCAACTCTTTAGATACAGCATCAGAGACAACACAGGATGTCTGATTTTATATAAAAGATATTAAATGGGTACAAAAAGATTGCAAGGTTATAAATCAATCTAGACTTTAGGATATATTGGCTATGGGTATATTACCAAGGTTTCATGTAATCAGCATGTGGATGGAATCGTGAAACTTTTAGCCCATTGAGGATTCAAATAATATGTTATTGTTACTACTGAGATTTTATGAGATCACAAAATAATTTTATAGAAATACTAGCTGCAGGCTACATAAATATGCTGTGTGTCATCATCCACATTCACATAGTCTGTCCAAGTATCCTGTTTTGTTTCCGTAAACCCACTTTAATCACACGACTCTCTTACTAAAATTTTCCTTGAATTCCCTTTGTTTATCAAAAAAAGTAAAACTCCCAGGCTTCTGTCCTCTGACCTACCTATTCCCACTTTATTCTTCTCTTCCTTAACTTTCTACTCCAAGGAGACTTTATTACTACTCAATTTCCAAACTGAAAAATTTAAAACAGTATCCAAAACAATCACTAACAAACAATAGAAACAAAGCCCCTTTATGCTCTTACACTTACACATGTGTTCATCTTACCATGTCTTTTCACCAGTCCCCACACACTCTCCAGAGCTTGGACCTGAATTTCACCTGGGCCATGAGTCATCTCTCTGTAGGATGGATATAAAAGAGTTTCATGAGCGATAAGGAAACCTGGACAATTTTCCACGTAATCAAACAGCCCATGTTTGGATTCTGACACAGTTTGGATATTTTGGCCCTTCCAAATCTCATGTTGAAATGTGATCCCCAGTGTTGGAGGTAGAGCCTACTGGGAGTGTTTGGGTTATGGGGATGGATCTCTCATGAATGGATTGATGCCCTCCCCATGGTAATGAGTTACCATAAAATCTGGTTGTTAAAAAGAGCGTGGCACCCCTTCCCTCTCTCTCTCTTGTTTCCTCTGGCCATGTGACACTCCTGGCTCTCCCTCTACCTTTTGTTATGATTGTAAACTTTCTAAGGCCCAACCAGAAGCAGATGCTGGTGTCATGCTTCTTGTGCAGTCTGCAAAACTTTAGGCCACATACAGCTCTTTTCTTTATAAATTACCCAGACTCAGGTATTTCTTTATAACAATGCAAAATGGACTAACAGATTCTGAAAGAGTGAGATAGATTATTGAGAATATTTGTTGTCGGGAAACTTGGGCACCTAACCTTCTTGACATAAGAAACTCTCCCACATCACACTGATCACAATCCATGCTAAGATTTCTTTATTTAGGGTTTCTCATCTTAACAGTGTCAACAAATTTCAGAAGGCATCTTCAATTAGAAATAAAACTTGAGAAAGCATACACACACCTCCTGGGTCCCTCCTGGGACAACCTCCTGGGTCACTTAACAGATCCATTTGTTTAATATTAGTCATATTTATCAGCTTCTGACAACTCTGTGAGGGCAATATTTGTTAAGATTTCTTTGTTAGATTTTTAATGGGCTTAATCTCCCAACAGTATTTAAACAACTAGAGGGACCAGGCTATGTTGATCACATGGCATTTTGAAGCCTCTGTTTTCACTCCAGGTACATTTTAGTTTGGCTTAAAAGCAAATATTAAACCCTAGGGAGGCAGTTTGAGATAGAAAGTGGCCTAGGATTGGGATAAACAATGATCACTTTCAGGGATGGTATGAGGTTCAAGAATAGTATGAGGGATGGTGACAGGGATTAGGAACAGGTGTGATTTAAACATGAGGCAAGGGTCATAAGTACATGTCACACACAAGGTTAATTAGGTAATTACACATATTTTACTTTTATTATTTGACTATTTTAAATGAAATACAAAAAAAATTATATCAATAACAATGTCTAGCTTTGGAACATGTCCCAGCTTCTTTAACTCCCCTTGAAAATAACTACTTCTAATAACCTGTATTACATGCGTATTAACTGGCTGACTGAAAGACCGTAGAGAAGAACCAATTCTTCTGTCATATACATAGCTAAGGATTCATTGCTTTGAATTACCTTTGTATTCTGGTTGAATGGTGTAATTGCTCAGCTATAGTTAATGCATCGCAGCATCATTCATACACTATTCTCAAACTACTCTGAGGCCAGGTGCAAAGGTAACAGTAACTGTGAAAATAATTAAGGAAACCCTAATGGAATAATCTTCCTAGGCCATTAAGACATCTGAAAATGGGGCAACCATATGATGTACATAATGAGAACATTGTGCCTCTCCATTGACATGCAGGTTGGTAGGTGCAGGCCTGGCTTTCTCCACGTCTCTTAGCTCATTGTTTCATTTGTTTCTGAGCATTTATTTGTGGATCTGTTCCAATCTTTATCCCCTCCTTAAGAAATCCAAGTAAAAATTGTCTTGCATGGCTTGATTTCATTTGGTGTCAGTGGGATCTAGGGTCTGGGAACTATTTTCAGGAAATCTAAAATTTCTCAGATTGTAGCTTCTGTTGCTTTGTAGAAACTGAATTAAAGATCAGTTGGGATTCAGCATGTAGGAGGTTCTTAGCGGAATTTCAAGATCATTTGCTTTACTAGTTACTGGTATGTTTTTGACCCCTTTGTGTGAATTGAAAAATATGGCTTCTCCCTGTGGGTACATGGCTGGTAGAGTGGTAAATGCTTTCTTGAGAATAAAAAGGCGCTATGTCTTTCTGATAGTTACTCACGTACACCAGGTGCACAGCTTGGTGACTCACCACTCACTGTTCTGGCTTTACTCTGGTGTGGCACACAACCTGCACAATCATATATGGCACCCCTGTTTGGTTAGTACAAAGTTATAGTCATTAGTCACAGAATCTTGGTAATTTATTACCGTATACAATGTATGTAACTTGATTTATACAAACACTAATATATTGTTTAGTCACATAAATATGTGTTCATTTTGGTAAGGCATGCCCCCAAGCTTCTAGAAATACTTGTAACAGAGTTATAATTATTAGCTCCAGCAGGGGGGTTGTAATGCCATGGAAAAGGCAGCCATCAGTGGTTCTTTGGGGAAATACCAGAATCAACCTAAAGAGAAGCAAACAAATATGAAATTTACTTTTAAAAAAGTGGATTTATGGTGATAGTCTAATGGGAATAGAAATTGAAGACATAGTTTTAAACATGTCTGCCTACTATCCTCTAGCAAACAGTTTGCTTAATCTAGTATGCTTGATCATATAAGCCAACTGATGGTTTCTTCATGTTCTGTCAACCACTTACCATTAACCACTGAGTTCTGAAGTCACTTATGAGTGACTGCTTAGTGTTGAGCAATAAAGGGTATTCAAACAAAGTAGAAAATAGGTCTTTTTCCTTGAAGTATTTGTATCTGATTGAACACAAGATAACACAAGTCCTATTATAACTGAGAGTTAGATTGCACTTTATTCTTGATGCAGTTGTTAGAAACTAGGGAGAGAAAATTCCTGTGTGCTAAGTTTTTGGGTGTCTGAAAGAACATTTGAATGATTATTTAATCTGTTTTTATTGTTGCTAGTTGCTGACCATAGAGAGTTACATTGTCCAGCTTTTCCTCCACGAAATGGAGCAGCAACAAAAGGCCAGATCATTCAACCTATGCTTCCTCAAGTCTGATAACATTAGCGTTTCTCTCAGATATCAGTTCAAGTAAGGAGTTGCCAATAGAAGCAAAGGTAAGATATCAAGTTATTTCTCCAGGTGTGTGTGTGTGTGTGTGTAAGGTGCCTTAGAGACTGCAGCATTTTATACCATCATTTCAGAAATAAGGACACAGAGGCCTTGGAGAGAGGAATTGATTTGCCCAAGGTCGCACATTTTAGCCTTCAACTTATGGAAATTATTATTACTATTGATAAAATGCAACTCAGGACTGTATCAAAGGGCCTGAACTCTGCACTAAACTTTCTTCTTTTCCGTTTCAATATCATCATAATCTGCCACTCTTTACTGTGGTGCCTCAGGAAGAAGCAAGGGAGTCTTAAAAACCACCTAGCTCTCCAGATTCAATTGGCAGGTTAATCGAAAACAATTTTTTTATAGCACAATAAAGGACCTGGGAACAGTGGAACATTAATATTTGTTTCCCAAAGAGTGGACCCTAAGAGAATAAAGCTGCAAGCAATCGAATTACGGTACTCATAGTGTGAGGGATGCATTTTGCATTGCTTCATTTTATGCTACCATTAATCAGACAGCCAAGAGCAAAGGCTGCCTCACCAACCACTGTCAGGGCACCCCGAGAGGAACGCCACCCCCACATCCTGAGGAAGGGAAGCAGCTTTCCTAAGTATCTTCTGTGATTACAATATAGTTTTCATGATGCATTCTTAATAAAACAAAAGGTGGCCTTCTGACAAAAATATCATCTGGTTTTTATAATGTAAAATACAGCAATTTTATCAGCATTAACACTGATTGGCTGCCATTAGCCCCTTGCCTTCTAATAAAATTTATGATACCTTTCAGGAGCCCAATTTGATAGAAACTGAAGTGATTGCACCCTGCTTAGATATCTCTTTGGCATCTATTCCAACAATAATGCGGTAATTTTATGCATGAAATAGCACAATTGGCATAAATAGTTATAATACTAGGTGCTGTCTAAGGAAACTGGCTGGTGGAAAATTAGAAAGCGCTTCACACTTTTGAAACAGGTAATTAGGATTTTTCTTCGTGCTCATACAAGGCAGACTGGAGTTTCATTTTATATTTCATGTTTCATTAAAATATAGGTGTTAAAAATAAATGTTGAATTTAAGACTGCATATATTATGAAATTAAAGGTATAGTACATGGTAGGGGGTGTGAAGTGTGCAACGGGACCTTGGAGTGTTGTATTTAGTTACAGTGGGAATATTTTTAAAAATAGTTTGGACAGGTAATAGAGCCTAGTTTCAAGCATGTTACTGTGAAAAGGATTGATTTAGAAGTAAGTTGCATTAAATCACCAGATCTGTAGCCCAAGAAGCAGTATGCTGCCTTAATTTAAACTCTAACTGAGGATGATCTTTTAATTGGCAGGCAAAGGTAGGCTTTGGGTCATGGGGGATTCACTGTGCAGTTTTGAACTTTGCAATGGGCTCAACAGTTCCCTGTCTATTCCACATTTCCATTCTGACCTTGGCTGCTCATTCAGACCTGAGCCAACCCCCAGTGGAACCTTTTTGATTCTCTTGAACTGTGCTGTGGTTTTGGGAGGCGGGCAAAACTCTGTAATGACACCATTGTATTAACCTCCACTTATGACCCAGCCAAGGGCAGACTTTTAAGTTTTCCCAGCTGTGTCATTAAGTTTGTTGCTCTGGCTCCACTGACATGACACCATCACAATCCCAGCCACAGACTAATGACTGCAGTTGTGAAGGCAGCATGTTATAGAAGAGAGTACATAGGGCTAAGGGTCCAGAACACCAGATTTTGTCTTCTTGTTTTCCCATAATTACCCATGTGGCATTAGGCATGGCCTTGAACCTTTGTGTGTCTCAGTTTCCCCACCCATAAAATGGGAATTGTGCCCTCATTCCTTTTCTTAGAAGTTTGTTGTGGAAAAAAAAAAAAAAAACAGATTGCAAAACAAATAGAAAAGAAAAGGCAAAATATGGCACTCCACAGATGTAGAGTGTATTGCAATGTTTTGATGAAACTCTACTTTGTCCAGAAATCATTCATTGACTACTCAGGAACAAATGGGTTTCATGGAAAGAAAGGCCAGTTTGTGGGGCAAATTAGACTAAACTCTGTGCTGGTAGAACTGCTTTCCAAGAATGCTGTCACTGCTATAGTTTTTAATGCTTCAAATCTCAACTCCCTCCCTCCATTCGCCATAGCTCAACCATGTTCCAGGAGTGTATTCCAATCAGCTTGTTTTTTCTTAACTGGTTAAAGGAATGTTGCTCATTCACCTGCCCCAACTCACATATTAACAATTGTTTAACTGGGATTAGATAAAAGGAAAGCTGACTTACAGATGAACCAAGAGGGAGCTATTTATGCCACAGCCCCCAGCCCAGTAACTTTATGTTTCTGATCTCCTGCAAAATTTTTTTATAAAAAAAGCTTAGCCAGGAACTAGTAGAAAGAATAAAGTAAAGATGGTGTAAGAAATATATGGATAGGCAAGTACCAAGGCTGAGACCTTAGGAAGAATGGTGAGGTGTGGGTAAATGGAGGAGATAATCAGCAGATAAAAGCTCAGATGGTCAGAAACATATAGAACTATAATGCCATCTCCAAAGTATTGCATGCATACAAATGACGTTCAATCCGTTGAATATAATGGAGACACACTATTTCAAAAATTAAGTTCTTCTTTCTTGAGCTTTAAAAGTATACACATTTACCCAAATGAATTAAAAACATGCACACAAATATTTATATCAAAAGTGTACATGATTTCCAAAACTTGGAAGTAACCAAGATTTACTTCCATGGGTTAGTGCATAAATTAACTGTGATACATATATACTATGGAATATTATTCAGCAACAGAAATAAATGAGCTATCAAACCACAGAAAGACATGGAGGAAACTTAAATCCAGGTGGCTAAGTGAAAGAAGCCAATATGAAAAGGCTACATTCTATATGATTTCAAATATATGACATTCAGGAAAAGGCAAGGCTGCAGAGACAGTAAAAAGATCAGCTAGGTGCAGTGGCTCACGCCACTTTGGGAGGCTGAGGCAGGTGGATTATCTGAGGTCAGGAGTTCAAGACCAGCCTGGGCAACATGGTGAAACCCCATCTCTCCTAAAAGTACAAAAAATTAACTGGGCGTGGTGGCACGTGCCTGTAGTCCCAGCTACTCAGGAGGCTAAGGCAGGAGAATTGCTTGAACCCAGGAGGCAGAGGTTGCAGTGAGCCAAGATTGCACCACTGCACTCCAGCCTGGGTGGTAGAGCGAGACTCAGTCTCAAAAAAAAAAAAAAAAAAAAAAAAAGAAAGGAAGAAAGAAAGGAAAAAAAAAAAAAAGATCAGTGGTTGCCAGAGGTCTGGGGAGAGGGAGGGAGAGATAGGCAGATTGAAGGAGATGTTTAGGGCAATGAAAGTATACTATATGATACCACAAAGTTGGATACATGTCATCATACTATATGTTTGTCAAAATCCATAGAATGTAAAATGCAGAAAGTGAATTAAGTAAATGATAGACTTGAGTTAATAATAGTGTACCAATATCAATTTATCAATTATAACATATGTACCACAACGATGTGTGATATTAATACTAGAAGCAGAAGAAGCAGGGGAAGAGATTAGAGACTATAAGGAAACTGTACATTCTACCCAATTTTTCCATAAACCTAAAACATCTAAAAAAGTTAAAGCCTATTATTTGTTTATTTGTTTAGAGACAGGGTGTCTGTATGTTGCCCAGGCTGGAGTGCAGTGGCTATTCATAGGAGCCATCACAGCGCACTGCAGCCTTAAATTCCTGGGCTCAATAATCCTCCTGCCTCAACCTCCTGACTAACTGACACTAGGGGTGCACAGCACCAGGCCTGAATATTTTTTTAAAGTCCATGCAAATTAAAGAGAATGGTGGTTTTATATAAGAAAAATATTTTCCTTACAATTTTTGCAGATATGAGAGCAAACTGTGTCAGTGATTTAGAAAGGTATTACAAAATACTCTCACAATTTAAGATGTATGAGAATGATACCACAGAAAGAGCAACTGCATTTATTGTGAGTAAGTAAAATTGCAAGGTCTCTGGCAGTTATTCTAATTTTCAATAGAAAATCATAAAGCAGGGGAAAAATTCAGCATTGATATAAAATCTCACTGCAAATTCTGTTCATTATTTCTATCATATATTCTAGTGATTGCAGTGTAAAGACATGGCCTCTTAATGTAATAATATATTCACATTCTCAAGCAATTCTAGAAACAATGTCTAGTCTACCAGAAAGGTGATTATGCAAAGGGAATTGGGGACAATGCTATATTTCTTAATCTTTATTTCAACACTATGTTCTAGATAGGCATTTCTTCATGTTATACTTATTGTGCATCCATCATTAAGGCAACTTGCCCAAAAAAATTTAAGAGAATTTTTACAAAAGGCATTGAGACTAACATGTCCCTCTTCTCTTTATCTTTTATACTTCCAATAGGACTATCTTTCTAAATCACAAAGCCGATCATATACCTTCTCCCATGTTGTGGAAGGAATTTATGGTCGCCAGGAGGGAATGTCATATAAGAAACATGTCAGCCTTTTTTCCTCACATCCTTTCACTCACTCCTCCCTGAAGGTGGATAGGGAATGGTTCAATGACTGGTGAAAGTGAGAGCTGGCCAGGCGCGGTGGCTCATGCCTGTAATGCCGGCACTTTGGGAGGCCGAGGTGGGTGAATCACCTGAGGTCAGAGTTTGAGACCAGCGTGGCCAACGTGGTAAAACTTTGTCTGTACTAAAAAACAAACAAACAACAACAACAAAAAACCTTAGCCTGGCATGGTGGCACACACCTGTAATCCCAGCTACTTGGAAGGCTGAGGCAGGAGAGTCGCTTGAACCCAGGAGGTGGAGGTTTCAGTGAGCTGAGATCATGCCACTGCACTCCAGCCTGGGCAACAGAGTAAGACTCTGTCAAAAAAAAAAAAAAAAGAAAGAAAGAAAGAAAGAAGGAAAGAAAAAGAAAGAAAGGAAGGAAGGAAGGAGGAGAAAAGAAAAAAAGAATAGAAAAGAAAAGAAAAGAAAAAAGAGAGAGCCTACATCTCAGATCTTTCTTTTTCCCATTTTAGGATCTGGCTGGCTGCAGGATTGCATAGACTTATCAGTTTCTGTTCTCCTGCATTAAGAAACTTTAAGTGGAATTAGTTTGTTTGATTCACACAGTATCTACAGCATCTGGAACCTGGCACATAGTAGGTTCTCAATATTTGTTAGATAAATAAATGGGTAATCACACCAGTGTGAAGGACAGTAATTTTAGATAAGTGTATCAAATCCTGAAGACAAATATTCCTCCTGGGGTGGGCTGAGTTGAGCTCTAGACAAAAAGGGAAAGTAGTAGGAAGCCTGCTTATGACCATCCATGTGAGCCACATTCTCTCATCCAATCTTGTCAAATGTAAAATGGATACTGGTTCATCTATAATACTTGACTCCTTTCTTTTTTTTTCAATTTGATTTATAACTTGCAGAAGAGAGGATCATGATATACTTGTGTTCCCACATACCAACATTAATTTCCTGCTTGAAACAATAATCTATAGCAAAAAGTTTAAATTTGTTAGGGTGATAATCAATGAATTTTGTAACATTTACATAATTATTATGTAGGAAAAAAACTAGAGCTAGGTTGGGTAACTGAGAAACTCAAACAATTAAGGATAAGTGAATAAACAGAAGAAGATTCATAAGAAATATATAGAGAGTTGACACATTTCAACTAAACATACACGATAAAACCTTTTGATCAAAAATATTTATATGATATAGCAAAATATTGACATAAAATTTCAATTATATATGCTATTCTTACATATTTTGCATAGACTTTTCACCTTTTATGAATTTTAAACATCATTATGTCTGACTTATTTTTTACAGTTTCAAAACAGTTCAGTTTAAGCCCAGATATCTGGTGACCTGTCCACATGGTTGTATCTACAACATGAATTTTAGCTCTAGCGAAGAAACATACTTTCATAATTCCAATAAATTAGTGCAGAATATGCTTTTTGAAGAAGCAGACTCATTCCATTGGGAAATGCTTTCTAGATATCTCAAATCCAGAAAGTTACTACACACACTCTAAAGTATACATTAAGGAACATAAGAGTTTACTAAAGATTGTCTGTTTTATTTCATCTAGATGTAGTCATCACACTGGTTCACTTTAAAAATTAGCGATGTGCCTTGCCTTATGCTTTGAAGAAAGATAAATTGATCAAAAGAAGAAGGAATTTCCACAGCAAAAATCAGAAATTCTTGCCACATAAATTTCAGAGAGCAAGCAACATACAGATTTGCTTTAGGAGTCAGTTTTTGCCAAAGAGCAAAGTTCCCATGTATGACTGGAGAGAGAGAAAGAGAGAGAGAGACAACCACAATAACAACTTCATTTTAGCTTGAAAAATCATTAGTTCATTTATTTAATGAATGCTTTGCATGCTTATTGGGAGGAACAGTGTGACCAGGAAAAGAATCTAAAACAAACTTACTTAGGTTTGAGAATTTGCTTTGTAAATGGTTTATTTGACAACTTATTTACCCTTTTTTCAACATACCGTTTCCCCATTATATAAACTGGGGATAATAATGACTATATCATCTATGGTAAACATTAAATATGATACTATACAAAGAATCCAATGTACATTGTGTACCTTGAATACAATGTATGCAGAAAATCATGTTTTATCTTCTTTCCTCATTTAACTCTTTCCTATCTTCATGTTCTGAGTGTTAGGGGACCAGAGATGAGCCAGATATTTTATTGGCCTTAAGAGTTGACAATTTAGTGAAAGAGTCAGGTAATTCAAAAGCAAAACACACTCATCAATGTCGTAGGTGCTATGTATAGGATCTGGTATGAAAATATGACTCTGCCTGGAGCTTCCAGAGACGAATTCACACAGGAGGTATTGCAGAGGTAATGAAATACACTGAGGCAGGGGAGAGAGAACATGCTAAGGCCAAGAAACTACAAGTGGGTTAATATAATTAGATCATAAGTCATTACGGATGAGTAGTAGTTCATTAGTTCATTAGATGGAGCTGGGAAGATAGACTTGAGCCATGCCATGTGATGACCTACAGTGTCATGCTAGAGGCCACAGAATTTTCTCTGTGAGTGATGGAGATTCACAAAAGCCTGTAAACGGAGATTAGCTGGGTCAGATGCATTTTAAAAAGAGCACTTTAGTGACTGTGTGAAAAGTAGAATAATAACTGATTAGGAATCAATTGAATTAGTTTAGGAAACTTTCTTAACAAGAGAAATGAAGATAAGGACCAAAAAAATGGAAAGACATTTAAAAGACATAAGAAACAGCTATATGAATTGGAAATACCATGAGGGGTGACACACAAATACACTCTTCATCAAAGCAAAAAATAAAAAGTCTTGAGGATTGGATGTGATGATGGAAGCACATGGACATTGTACTTCAGTGCTCCACCTCCCAACAATTACCAAAGCCACAAGCAGAGATGGTTATACTTCTGCAACAGCTGCCTCTTTTGCTAAAGGGGAAGCTTTGGTATTATTCATGCTTCACTAGGAGACTTCTATGTGGAATGCCATCAGACAAACCCTACCAAGTTAAAAAAAAAGTGGGGGTGGTGGGGAGGTTATGAAGAGAAAAGTTTTCAGACTGTTCTCTAGAAATATACGGTGATACAGGTCTGAACATTCATGGAAGCAGAGTGTACACATGATTTGGTTTCTTCTTCTAATATAATTAATGTATACTGGGGACTGGTTAATTAGTTTTTCTCTGTCATGTCTTCCTTGGTGATATCTAGAGGAGTTTGCTACTTGACATAAATCCACTGGTGTAGACAATCGTGACTCTTCTCTCCATATGACTGGACTTCCCTCTGCCTTGGTCCTCCCTTTTTTGATCTGTCACACAAAATGATCTAACTTCCCCTTCTACTCACCCAGTTGGCCTGAAGATTGGATGAAAAGGTGCACTCAGCATATTAAGAAGACCCTCACACATTAGCTATCCAGAACAGATATTTTTCTCTCAGAATGACTTCCAGTTGTTATTTTCTATAATCTCAAATGTTAAATTCGTATATTTCACTTATAATCAGAATTCAACATCCTAGAAGTACTAATGAGATGTGCAAATACTCCTATTTAATGTTACACTTCACTCAATCTTTTCTTATCAGAATAACTTTTGAGGCATTGTTGTTGTTTGTGGCTGGTGCCTTTTATGGCCTCCATGTACATAAGCTTTGCCCCAGAAACAAGTAAAGGAAAGTTATTCCTTTACTTTGTTCTAGGGCAAAGTAAAATGCTAAAGTAAAATACTACTAATATTTTACTAAAGTAAAATACTACTAATATTTCAAATAATATTAGAGTCTTTCTAACTCTAGGATCAGAAATAATCATAAGTAGTTTTTAATGCCTTAGAAGAACTGTGCTTCTTCAGTTTTTAGGTTCTAAACACAATGTGAGAAACTAAGAGACATAGGAATGTAGGTGTGGTTTCTGCCCACAAGGAACTTTATATTTTAGATGGGATAAAACTCCATATATGTAAAGCACCTATATAATAACACTCAACACTGCATGATCAACTGCTGGATTATGTGGATATATGCTAAATAAAAACACATACAGTGAAAATTAATACATCTTGAACTACTCTATAACAGAAGGATGTTCAACTACAACTTGCAAAACAAAACTGTTCAGAGATTAGAAGAAACCATTCATTCACTCATTCATTGAAAAAACCAATATTTACTACCAGGTGACAAAGACTGTTCTATGCACTGACATGCAATGATAAATGAGCTAGAAAAATCTCCTGACCTATTGGGGTTTATAGACTACAAAGAAGAAAATAAACAAATGATTGTGTAATGTTGTTTGCGATGATGATGTGAGGTAAAGAGGGAAGTCATGAATGACACTTAACTTTAGAACTAACTGAATTCTGGAACCATTTGTGAAAATGGGGAAGAACCAGATTTAGATTGGAGCACAAGGTGGTAAAAAGAGGTCTCAAAACTTCTGTATTCAACTATTAGTTTAGCTTGATGTTTATTTGTCATTCAACTCCAGAGCTGAATGGAAAAGCTAAGGTAAGAAATACCAGTGTGAAAGTGTTAGTGGACAGATGATGCTTTTTTTTTTTTTTTGAGATGGAGTCTCGCTCTGTCACCCAGGCTGGAGTACAGTGGCGGGATCTTGGCTCACTGTAAGCTCCACCTCCTGGGTTCACACCATTCTCCTGCCTCAGCCTCCTGAGTAGCTGGGACTACAGATGCCGGCCACCACGCCCAGCTAGTTTTTTGTATTTTTAGTAGAGACGGGGTTTCACCATGTTAGCCAGGATGGTCTTGATCTCCTGACCTTGTGATCCTCCTCCTCGGCCTCCAAAAGTGCTGGGATTACAGGCGTGAGCCACCACACCCAGCCCAGATGATTCTTAAAACCATGAACTTGGTGGCACTCCAATGCACAAAGTGATAATTCAGAAAAGATGACAAGACAAGATAAGTCAAGACAAGACAAGACAAGAGAAAAGTCAAGATAATAGAAGTCTAACACCAGTTGGGACGATGAAGACAAATCATCTTCTGTCTGGGAAAGCAGCCAGTGAGTTAGGATGTATAACTGGAGGGGAAGGTATCTCCAAAGCCAAGTTAATACAGTGTTTCAAGGATGAGGGAATGATTAACTGTGCCAAATGCTGCTACAGAGTAGAGGAAGATTAGAACTGAGAATTCACTAATGGGTTCAACTACATGGAGGTTTTTGGTGACTTCACAAGAACAGTGTTATTGGAGTGACTGGATGAAAACTTGACTGGAATGGCTTCAAAAATAAAATTGGAGTTTAAGAAATGAAAAGAATGGGTATAAGCAACTATTTCCAGCAGTTTTCCTACAATGAGAAGAAGAAATATGTATGAGTGAAATGAAGGGCCACAGAAATTGTTAAAATGAGAGGTATTACAACTAGTACTTAGACTGACAAGAACAAACAGTGGAGTGATTGATGATGCAGTTAAAGAGGGATAAGTAAAGTTGCAGGAACAAAGCCCTTTGAGTATTTTAGAGACAATGGGATCCAGTGTGGGAGAGGAATATTTGGATTTCAGTGAAGGTAAGAAAAATGTAGCCACTGTAACAAAAGAAAAGCATTGTAAAATGAGAGTGGAGATATATTGGTGGGTTTGGTAATGGGAGATGAGGATGTTACTCTCTTCCGATTTCTTTGTTTTCTCACAGAAATGAAAGTTGAAGTCATCAACGGAGAAAGGAGGGTGAAGATATGTTAAAAGTTTGAGAAAAAAGGAAAAGTTTTTAAGGTGTTCTAGAAGAGATTTGGAGAGTGGAGGAACTAGGAATATATAGAAAGACTGCAGAAACATTTTAAGAGCCCACAGGAGATGGAGTGTTATAAACTTAAAGTGAAAGCAATCAGCATTATCATATTTTTCCCAATCCATGTTCCCTAGCTTTAGGGGACACGTGGGATAGTTGAGAAAAGGAGTTTCACCAAGGAGAGACCGGAGGGCAAGAGAATGAGTAAGTAATTGACTCTGGAGTCAAAGCTGGGAAAGGAGAGAAGAAAAAAAATGGCTCTTTGATAATGAAAGAGTGATGGGCTATGAATTAGGGACCAATGTTGATGGACTGTTGGCTGGAGATAGTGGCATAAATGTGTGAGGGATTTGTTAAATAGGAATACAAGTGAAATTTTGGAGGAAATGACATTACTGGTGGGTCAAAGTTTAGGGTGTGATATGAGAGTGGGAGGCTTTATTGAAGTGGGAAACTCATATAAACAGTTTTTGTGTAGTTTTAGAATGGTTATAATTTGCAAACGTAGGTGTGAGTAAACATGGGACTCCATTGATTAAGCCAAAATCTTTATTTGAAGAAGAAGAAAAAAATATTTTAATGGAGGCAGTTACACTTGACCTTAACACCCGAGTAATAACACTGGCATAAAAAGAATGGTTATTTCTATTCCCAATTTCTTAGTAAAACCAGTAGACAAAAAGTACCTGACATCAAATAATATATAAACTTGATGAAACATATTTTAAATAATTGCTTTGTTTTCTACTGTGACTTGCTAGTCTAATGTCATTTTAAGTATTAGAAAGCATCTGGTTTGCTACATATTGCTGTAAGTGAATACACCCTTGTTTCTAGTAATACTCTTGTTTTTGAAGTTCTATTGCCAATGCAAAATCATAAATAAGAATACTTATGTGCTAGTTAGGAAGATGCACCAAAGCCCTGAATTTCAAAGAAAAATGTAACAAATCAACAGTGAGAGGAAATACTTCAGGAATGAGCAAGAAAGTTATCAACTTGTATATCTAATTCTTTCTTTAAAAAATATTTTAATATGTTGACATATTTAGTTATATTATTAAAAAGGTCTTGCTTGAGAGAGGATTTTCACATAAACCCAAGGACTCCTCCCCTTCTTTATGCCCATTTTAAAATCTGGGCCATTGTGTCATAAGATTTCAACACAGATTCTCCCTCGCCCCCTTTACCTGCTGGCACGGCAATGGAAGAACTCCAGAGTATCAGACTGGTGCTCATGCATTATAAAGTAAGGACAGGTGAAGTTACCCAGATGTGGAATCTCTACTTGCCAGAGGCTACTGATGACATTTTATCCCAGACGAGTCTTGAGTACAGTTCCATAAAAACAAGAACATATGCTGGAGATAAAATAATATTAATTAATAGAATTTAAAAATAGCTAACAATTGTGATAATTCAAATATTGTATCCTTGTAAGGTTATTTTAAAATGTCATTTCTCTATTCACTTAAAGAAATTAGTTTTAGTCGTTTGAGAAACCGTAATGAATCTGAAAGAGCTAGTTTGGCTGCCAGGGTAAATACTTAATTAGGCTGTCCTGCCAGGTGTTTCTGAGCAGACTTACTCTGGCGAATTGCAATGAGACAAGCTCCACTGATCTCAAAGGTGATGGTGGCCCAAGTGAGGACAGTTGATTATCTTGGTCTACATTCCTCAAATGTGTCAAGATTGCATGATGAGACTAGCCTACTGATGGAATTAGACTCCCAGGAGTTGCTATCCTTAAATCAAGGGGCATCTTATTTGAAGAGAAGGAATATGTGCCTGAGACCAGGTCTTTCACCATCTGTTCAGTTCCTAGTTATACACAGGATTTTAAGGCAAACACAATTCTTAATTTCACTAAATATATGTTTGAATTTAACTATAGAAAGGCTAGGTTTTTGTTTGTTTAGCCAAAAGTGTTTTTTTAAGGTAAAAGAAGGGAGAGGTAAATAATGTAATGTAATGTATGTGTCTGTGTGTGTGTAAACACATTCTATATACCAGCCACTCATAAGTGGTTCCCACACATTATCTCATTTAAGAAGCTTCTTCATAGTTTGTGCTAGAAATAATCAGAAATATTGATAACTCTCTGCATTTCCATTCACTGAGAAACTTTTATCAGGAAGTAAGACATAAACACATTTGAGTTTTGTCAGAAAGTGAAACATAACACATTTACCAGAGAAAAGCATGATAGAATTAATCAAGTATAAGAATCATCTATAGGCTATAAGTCATGTATGTATGGCAAATTCAAAGAAGAAATATATATTTGGGTTGTAACTGATAAGGACTTACATTAAGAAAAACATGAGTCTTGAACTAGCGGAATTTTTTTATAAATTTAAAAGGTGGTTCCCGGCTATGTGGAGGGGAGGAATACATGTACAAGAACTGAAATCATGAAGATTTGAATCCAAGGATAAAGAAATAATCTATTTCAGCCTCTGGAGCTTCTGGGCAACTCAGAAGAGGACCTACCACTCTAGTCCTGTGATCCATAGAGGTTACATTTGTTCTAGTATAATTCACAGGCTGATTAAGAAGACGGGTCTTCATTTGACCCAGCAATCTCATTAGTGGGTATATACCCAAAAGATTATAATAATTATTCTGCTATAAAAACACATGCACACATATGTTTATTTCAGCACTATTTACTATAGCAAAGACTTGGAACTAACCCAAATGCCCATCAATGATAGACTGGGTAAAGAAAATATGGCACATACACCATGGAATATTATGCAGCCATAAAAAATGAGTTCATGTCCTTTGCAGGGACATGGATAAAGCTGGAAACCATCGTCCTCAGCAAACAAACACAGGAGCAGAAATTCAAACGCCTCATGTTCTCACTCATAAGTAGGAGTTGAACAATGAGAACACACGGACACAGGGAGGTAAACATTACACACTGGGGCCTGTTGGGTGGGAGGGGGGCAAGGAGAGGGAGAGCATTAGGACAAATACCTAATGCATGTGGGGCTTAAAACATAGATGATGAGTTCATAGGTGCAGCAAACCACCATGGCACATATATACCTATATAACAAACCTGCACGTTCAGCTCATGTATCCCAGAACTTAAAGTTAAAAAAAGTAAAAAAGACTAGTCTTATACAAAGAAAAATCTTATCTACCGTTGGGATGACATTTTACTAGACACACATGCAATGTTTCTATTCTGAGATTTTTTAAAATATGAGCAACCTTGGGAAGGGGATTGGTTAAGTCTGTAATCTCAGAGTAAACTAGTTTCTAAAACCACATTCCTTCTTGGTGGAAAAATAGCTGCATGAGTGAATTGGGTGTATGCTTTATGTGGGTGCCGAAACTCAGGACTCAGGTGGCCCTGCCTGGCTTTACAACCCAGTTCTGCCATTTAACTAGTTCCGTGTGTCTGGGAAAATTTGTCAACAACTTCAGGTCAAGGTAAAAATTGTAGCCAATTTCAAGGTGGATTTGTAAGAATCAAAGAGGTGTTCTGTGAAAAGTGTAGTTCCTAGAACATAATAAGCAATCTCTAGATATTTGCTATTATTATTATTTTGAGAAGCAATAGAGTGTTAGAGAAAGAACAGTGAGGAGCATAAGGACTTCAGGCATCAGAAGTGTACCAAGGATGCTGGAACAAAAGGAAAAAAAAAAGCACCTTGGCTAATTTTGTAATTTTTCACTGACTGATCCTGCAGAGTAACTCAGGTAAGTGTTTTTGCAAATAGGCCATAAGATTTCCTACTGGCATAATCTTTTGCAAATTAGTGACTGTAATATTCTTCACTGTCTGTATTCTAGAATGCCTCCTGTTCCTTTAGTGCCTTCTTTCTCCATCATGGCTCTCTGATCATTTTTGGAAAGTGATGTGCCCAGTGCCTATTTCATCAGGCCCAAAGCCACCACTCCATGAAGCCAGGGCTTGCATGCTGCCCTGGGCCTGGGGACAATGGGAGTAGATTGCTGGCTATCTGAGTAGTACTTACTGAGTTATTTCCCCATGTAGAATCATCAGTCACATGCTGGCAGATGACCTCAGCATGGCCAGGGAAGTTCACACCAATTTATTAGCAAAAGGAATGAAGCCAGAATGAAGCTGATGGTTTAGGTATTGTTCAGCCTCGTCAGGAATTTCAATACATTATTGTTGGGGCAATATAGTCAACATGTCTATTTTGAGATCAGTTTCCTTCTTGTTCCCCCCAAATAAGTTTCTAGTGAATTTGAGACTACAGAACATCCCTGGGGTTCTTCCTGGTTTTTCTGGCCCAGGCAGCAGGATATTGTGTTTTTCCCATTACAGGTGTGAGGAAAATGTTGGAGTTTACTTTTCCTCATCACAAGGTGAGACAACTCAAACCAGTTGGATATATTTCTTTAAAAAGCAAGAGTATTTTATTTTAAGATAATTGTTTTAGTATGTGTCCATTTACTTAAATAAAAATCTTATTTCGAAGTGTCTTAATAATGCTACTAGGAATATCTCATTTTTTGGTAGAAAAAAATATTAAACAATTAACAATCTTTTTAGGGCGTTTTTTTTAATATGAATTTTAGATGAGTTATTTAATCTCTTAACTGAGTTTGTTAAAAAAAAATGTCTAAACAATATTTATCTGGCCAAATTTCAAGTTAAATTTTGTTCTAGGAGGTCCCCTGTCTTTGAAGGATTTGCATACAGGTTAAGGAGAGAAGAATAACAAACATAAAATCATTAGAGAACTGAAAAGGAAAATTTTAATTTATTACAAATTTGTGTACCATACGAACGATAATTAGGCTAAGAGGATACAGGTGGGAGGGATTAATGTCAACTGAGTAGCCAGCTATGGTTTCACAGAGGGTACGAAATTAAACTGGGCTTTGCCAGATGGACTGACCATGGATCGACACGAAAAACACAGAAGGGCAATCAATTTAGAGACAACAGCATAAGCAAAGATGGAAGGGTGGGAAGGAGTTGGGTAATGTTAATTCAGCCATTCAGCAGTATGGGGGAGACCACATCCAGACTAGGAGAACATTCCATCCGTTGTAATCCTAAATATTCTTTATGTGCTTTACAAAGTACTTTAAAAATGTAAGGAGATGGGCCGGGCACAGCGACTCACACCTGTAATCCTCGCACTTTGGGAGGCCGAGGCGAGCAGATCACCTGAGGTCAGGAGTTCGAGACCAGCCTGGCCAACATGGTGAAACCTCCTCTCTACTAAAAATACAAAAATTAGCCAGGCATGAGGACAGGTGCCTGTAGTCCCATCTACTTGGGAGGCAGAGGCAGGAGAATCGTTTGAATCTGGGAGGCAGAGGTTGCAGTGAGCCGAGACCGCGGCACTGCACTCCAGCCTGGGCAACAAGAGCGAAACTCCATCTCAACAACAACAACAACAACAACAACAACAACGACAACAAAGTAAGGAGATGGTTTGGCAAACAGTGGTAAGCACAGGGTCAAACTCTCCTGGACTTAAATTCCAGGGGTGCCATTTACCAGCTGCATGACCTTGGCCAAGTATTTAAACCTCTTTATTTCAGTTTACCCACTTGTAAAATGGCAAAAATGGCACCCTGATCTCATAAGAATGTGGAAAGTGAAAAAGTAAATGTCACTGAGACATAGTGCTTGCTATACAGAAGAGAACTCATGAGTGGTTGCTAGCATTATGGTTGCCTTTGCTGCTATTATTTTTAGTATTGCAGTAGTGCTCTGACCTTTGGAATAAGATTAGGTTGATAAGTAGTATGGAAACATAGTCTCAAACACAAGGTAGGGAGATTATGTTTAAGGTGACCATATATCCCTGTTACATGAAGCATTTTCCATTTACACCTGTGGTCTTGACATAAATATTAAGTGCACCTTTTTTTACTCTCAAATATGTCCTGGTTTGGGCAATAAATTATATGGTCATGCCTTTTATAACTGATGCAGGAACATAAGGAGCAGCGTAGGTTTTTGAGCAGGGGAAATGCTGGGATGGAAGTGGTGCTTTAGTGAGATTTCTATGGCCACGACATCCAGGGGGCTTAGAGGGTGAATGCCAGGAGAGCAGCAAAGATGCTCTTATGGATAGCAATGGAGACCCACAACACAAAGATAGTTATAGGAGAAGAGAGTTCCTGATAAATCCTAGTAAGAAAAGCAGGAGGAAAGGAGTACCCTCTTCCTAAATCTGACCCTTGACCCCTCATATTCCTCACTTAGTTCTCAAGCCCTTCTTAGCAAAATTCCTGTGCAGACCCACAACCCATGATTGATGGAAACCCCTATGATCAGGGGGCCAATCTAGTCCATCCTGAGGAGGGGAGGTGAGGCTCCCAATCACTCTGACTTGATCTGGCGTAAACTACTCAGACAGTGTAAGAAACAGTTGTGCAATGTAAACAGTTGTGCTTTCCTGGGCATTTATAATTGCCCCTTGTTCAAACTGTTCTGATGATTTATGGTAGATGGCCCTGTGTCATGCTCCAAACTTGGGCTTGTCCTCTTTTATATGTGGCAGCAGGCCAGTCTCAAAGAGAGTAAACCTTTCTAGTGAAGGTGAATAATTTAGCTAAAACAAACAAACAAATGAAACCATTATATAAAAGAAAAAGAGCAGAAGGCATATACTGGGAGTTTCTGGTAGTTGGGGAGATGGTTTTTAGCTAACCACAGTGATGACTGACAGTAGGGGAGCAGAAACTGGACTGAGCAGGGCAGAATTCTCTGCACAGCGGGGACAAACTCCAAGAGGGTGAAGAACAGGTCCTGAGTTTGGGCACTTGCTGAGGCAGACAGACAGGAGAGGACCTGTGATTCTTGGAGAGGGACTTTAGGAATGATGTAACTATGTCTGGGTATCTATGTGGTTTTGTGCTACGGGACTGCACTGTAAACCTTCCTCTGTCTCCCAAATGTAATTACTAGAACAGAACGTTCTGCACTGTTGCCTGATGTTTTTGGTGCCTGGGCATTTTATCTGGCACTATGGGGAGTAACTGGGTCATGTGTCTAAGTGAGACAGTGAGAATTTGGGGTCAGTTGTGTTCAAATCAGGTGCAGCCGACTCTAAGCTACACTTATATGTACCAGACTGTGATGAAATCTAGACCAAAAGAAAATATGAAGTAAAAGTTCTGTTTTGAATATTATGTTTCAAATATTTTTTGCACAGACTTTTGACCAGTCAAGTCTGAAGGAGAGTCATCTTGTCTGAATAAGGCAGTTCTTTGGGAGTGTTATCATGAAAGCGCCAAACAAATTAAGCCTATAAACATTTAATTGCTGAAAACGAGCTCTTAATTTAAAGAAGATCCAAAGTGAACCATTTGGTAAATCAGGGAATCTTTTGTAATGCAAATAAACCCTCCCCTGTGCCATTATCTTATCTTGTAAGTTTCTGAATTGGGAAAATGCTGGGCCCACCTGTACTGCATAGTGAGAAAACCCAGCATAATAGATAGTAAGCCTTAGGAATATTTCAACCCTAGCAGCATGGTTCACTGTTGTCTATGACATGTTGTTAAATTATTGATACCCAACCAGGCTTTGGGACATAGGCTTTGTTGTTCTGAGCTAACAAAGCCACCTGAGAGAAAGCCATAATGGAGAGCAGGGACTTAGCTGTGATGGGGTGATGCTTCCGGGCAGCGAATCCTTCCCATAACAGGAGAGGGCTACAAATTATTTGGACTGACCACTCTTGCAAAAAGGAAGAGAAAATAGGTGCATTAATGAAATTCTTACAACAGATGGCAAACTGTCCTTGGATTCTCCGGTGGGGGAAAAGGGAAAAAAGAAAACTTTCAAAAAATATTTTATATGAGTTTATCACACTGAATCCACTTACTCTGAGGACTCACAGAGAGCTGTGTAAGAGACATTCACTTAAATTATTTAACAGAAGATGACAGAAAAGAATTAAAGAAAGAAATTTTCCTATCTCAAGTTAAAACAACAATCTACTCTCAATCCACGGGTAAATCTCTGGGTCCAGATGGCTGCCCAACAGAATTTTAGCAAACATTTGGAGAGATAATAAGGCCTGTAACAGTAGATAATTACTCACTTATATATGGCTCAGTGCCCCCTCATCTACATTAGTTTCTATAGCAGGTTTTTTGCCAAAAGAAAGAAAGCAGACCCCAGCTCTATTTTCTCATTTGTAACATTCTCTTGCTTCACTCTGTGCAGATGCCAGGAATCATCGTTTTTATTTCAGTGTCCTTACGAAGACCTTTGAGCACAATGGAACGATGAGGCAACATTAAATATTACTGGAATGGGGTATGAAAGCAGCTACTAGAAAATCCTGCAAGAAAAATAGGTAAAGATCCAGTTTAGTTGTCAAACACATCATCCAACTGATGGATAGGTTTAAGTGGGGGGAGGTCCCATTTGCCCTTCTTCTTCACTTCCACCACTGTCTTTCCCAAGAGAAGACATAAAAGATGGCATTTGGGGAACATGTAGGATTGAACATTCACTCAGAGTATAAAGAGCAAAGGTTGTGGACATTTTCGACAGCAACAAGTTTATAGTCATTTTCCCGGGGGCTAAGTGAAGCCCAGTTAGTTTAACCAGAGTCTGTGTTCTAAAGCTTTGAAGCAAAAGTAAGGCTCCAAACTATAGGCTTCACTGACCAGATGGGCTATGAAAGTCTCTACAAATTATAGATGCTTCAGAGAGACTATAATCCTTAGCTCTTATAGATTTTTTTTTTTGCCCCTCTGTGGAGCATTTTACAAAGATGAGCTAATTAATCCTCTAACCAACCCCGTAATTCAGAATAAGTGATTTTTCCCATTTTACAGATGGAGAAACTGAGTGCTAAGAGTCTTGCCTTTTAGCTGTCAACAGTTTGAAGATGAAACAAATCTGGAACAGCTGGTAAATACTAAGTCATTTCCACCTCAGTCAGGCAAATATGTCTACCAGTTTTCTGTTAACTAGATTGTGACACCCATGCACTCAAAGCACACTCGTATTTATTGATTAATGCAATGGTAATAGCCATTTATTGAGTTCTTAATATGTCCTGCACTGCACATAATGTTGGAGTGATCAGTCTTATCGTTCTTCAGAATGGCAGCTCTCATTCTTGGCTCATTCATATTAGAATATACCCGGGAGACTTTAAAAATCCTGATGCCTACTTCCCAGATCAAATAAACAGAATTTCTGTGGAGTGGGTTCCAGGCATGAGTCCCCTTCCCCAGGTAATTAGAATATGCAACCTAATTTAAGAACATTTTTGCTAAGAAGGCTATAAAGGAGAAATACAAAAATGGAAGGATATCCAGAGTTAATAATAGGCTGTTGTTTTATTTTATTTTGTTTTTAGATGAAATGGACTTGAGTTATAGGATGACTAGAAAGGGCCAGTAGAGAAGAAACAAAAAGTAAACAGAAGAGAAAGGATCATTATTGAAACATGTTCCCAGAGGAAATGAGACAATGAGGATTTTCACTTTCTCTTTTATGTCTCTTTTGCACACTTACAGATTTCTATTGTGGCAGCTATTACCCATTTTTGTTATGCATCTGTCTCTTCCCAGACTATAAATTATTTAAGGTGTGAGTCGGAGACCTAGGCATTTCTTATGGCCAGAACCTTAAGCAATGTCTGGGATATAGCAGATATAACAGACTCTCAGCTATTGCGTGAATTAAGGAATGAGCTTGAGAAATACTTTTAAGTATTTTCTTCCTGGAAAAGAGACTCCAACTGTCTTTTGTACAGTGCTTGAAACTCATACCATTAATCACTCTTTGAGACTAAAGCTCTGATAACCTGAGTGAAGAATTGGTTACAAGGACGTTACAATGCACCATGCTACCTTCAGCCATTTGTGCTTCTGCATAAATTGTTTTGACCGATTAGCCAATCAGTCACCAACAAGACCCAAAAGGAATGAGAATCTAAACAGATTGTCACCATTTGGTGGGTTTGAACACCAAGAGGATAGAGCCTAGAGCATTGTGGTCTGCTTTAAGACTTCTGAGAGGCAATAAGGTAAGGTCTGAAAAACCAAGAGTCGGGATAAACAAGTCAATTGTGTATACATGGAGGTGGGATGAATAAAGAGGAGGAGGGGTTGATGGAAGAAAACTGCACCCAAAATTATCGTGTGTCAAAGGCTGGCTGTGGAGCCGATCTTACAACCTCAAATAATGTGATCATACTATCACTCAGCATAATTTGTGCCCCCCAGTTTTGTATGTCTAGGCTGCTTAGGAAATTGATGAATAACAGAAGATGCCACTTATCACTGAGATGAACCAAGTCATCCCAGAGGGAGTACTATTTGAAGATGTGTGGAACATTCTGTGAATATAGAAAAGGATCCCATACCATGATTCAATTCATGACTGTGGCTAGTAGAGATCCACATTTCATGTTTTGCTATCCATGGGATTTAAATCTGCTGTCACTCTCCTTCCTATGCAGCTTAGATTGCTTGACCTAACATTACAATTAAACCTTACATAAATGCTAAATCCTTCTGCCCCTCTGTTCTATATTGCTTGTATCTGGGACAAATCCAAACCTTGGATAAAACTATTGCCAGGAAATATCATGTTTTCCTGGAAAAATATCACATAACAGTGTGATTCCATTGTGAATTTATGATTGCTAACCTCATCTGAGTTCCAATAACAAGACTAACCAATAATTCTAGTATGTTGTTCTGGTCAATTTCTTTCCAATATTTACAATGGCTATTTCAAACCTATTCCATTTTCATTAATCTTCTGGCTCTCCCCATCTGCCCCTGTCAATTCTCAGCAGATGATCTTATTCTTCACAGGAGAAATTGAAGCTGTCATATGGGAGCTCTTGTATCTTTTCATCTTTCTAGCTACACCCATTCTTTTATCTCTATAACTTGTTTAAAAAGGCGAGTTATACATCTTATTTTAATACCAATTCCTTTCTAGATATTTAGGAACGATATATTTCTGCTCACCAATCCCTTCGTTGGTACTTCCACAAGACTCTTTTATAGGATCATCCCAATTAGCAGTTAACAAACTCTAGTCTCTCATAAATAAAATTATACTCTCAACTCCACCCCTATTCCCACTCCCCAGTATTGCCCTATATTTCTGCTTACTTGAAAATTAAAATTTTAAAAAGTTTTTTATGCTGTTTCAATGTCTCTATTTCCCTTGAACTGTATTTTATTTTACTATGGTCAGAAAACTTAACATGTGATCTACACTCAAAAGTGTAGAACATTATTGTTGGTTTTAAGTACAATGTTGTATAAGCAATCTGTAGGGTTTATTCATCTTGTTTGACTGAAACTTCATGTCCATTGATTATTAACTCCCCATTTTCCTCTCTCCAGCACTTAGAAACTACCATTCCAATACCTGATTCCATGAATGTGTTTTATTAGATACCTCATATAAGTGATATCATGCAGTATTTGTTTTGTGTGTGTGTGTGTGTATATGACTTGCTTATTTCACTTAGCATATTGTCTTCAAGGCTTACCCATGTTGTCATATACTCCAGAATGTCCTTCTTTTGTACATCTGAATAGTACATATTTCACTGTATGTATGTATCCTATCTTCGTTACCCTTCATCCCATCATCTGTCCAAGGACATTTAGGTTGCTTCCATATCTTGACTATTGTGACGAACTCTTGAACTCATTTTCATCAGGCTCACATCAAAATTGCCACTATTCCAGTATATGCCTTGGTCATCAAAGCCTACCATATCATGAAGTCAACTTTGTCTTATTTTTTATTTTTTGTTCTTCTCAGCAAAATGAAACATTTTTAGCTTCTTCCCCTTGAAACTTTCTTCTTTTCATTGACATCAACACCATACTTCTCTGTATTTTCTGTATTTACTCCTACTTCTCTGGACATTTCTTAGTTTTGTCTTTAAATATTGTAATTATTTAATGTTCAGTCTTAACTCTTCCCCTCTATTTAACCTTATTCTCTATCACCAGGCAATTGTACTCAATTACAGAGATTTTTCTTTTCTTTTCTTTTCCTTCCTTCCTTCCTCCCTCCCTTCCTTCCTTCCTCCCTTGCTTCCTTCCTCCCTCCCTTCCTCCCTCCCTCCCTCTCTCTCTCTTTCTTTCTTTCTTTTTTCTCTCTTTCTTTCTTTGTCTCTTTCTTTTTTCCTCTGAGACGGAGTTTTGCTCTTGTTGCCCAGGCTGGAGTGCAATGGCACAATCTCAGCTCACTGCAACCTCTGTCTCCCGGGTTCAAGAGATTCTCCTGCCTTGGCCTCCCAAGTAGCTGGGATTACAGGCATGTGCCACCACACCTGGCTAATTTTTGTATTTTTAGTAGAGACGAGGTTTCACCATGTTGATCAGGCTGGTCTCAAACTCCTGACCTCAGGTGATCCACCTGCCTCGGCCTCCCAAAGTGCTGGGATTACAGGCGTGAGCCATTGTTCCCTTATGATTCAAATTTGCATCTCTATTCATGTACCCATATATTCAACTATAACATTTTTATTTGGTTATTATCTAGGTGCCTAAAAATCCTTGCAAAACAATTTATGATGTCCTACTGACAATATGCCCATCTTCAATGATTTTCTGCTTTCTTTTCCTATACCTTCTATTTATTTTTCTTGGTATTACCATTGATTGGAAACTCCAAAAGAATGAATAGAAGAAGTGATAGTGGACATCTCCACCTTATCCGTGACTTGAATTAAAACGCTTCTAAAATATCACCATTAAATATGATGATAGTTATTTAGTAGCTGACACTGCTAGTTTCCTATGCAGTATTCATTACCCCCCTTCCATCTTACTAATAGGTAATTGATTTTGAAAAGGGCAGCACTATGTCCAGATTTTAAAAAAAATCTTACTTTTTCAAACTCCATTGCAGCTAAAATACCAGTACTAGATAATGACATGCAAATTTAAGGTTTCTGGGAAATCTTTTTACATTCTTGACATAGGCACTGCCCCTCCCCTCTTCCACTTTCTTCTTCTTGCCTAGAATGCAGATATGATACCTCTAAGAGAAGCAGCCATCTTTTGCATCAAAGATTATATAACAGAAAAGTAGAAGAGGCTGGAGACTCTGATGTCATGCTTGTGTTGCCATGCGGTCCTGAACTGCTGCTTCTCAAAGCATGGAACAAGTGAGGATTTTCTTATGTAAGCCCTTTCTGATAGGATTTTGATTGTTCTTTGCTGAAAACAAACCTAACTCATATGTACCTGTGGTAGGCAGAATAATGGCCTCCCAAATGTATTCACATTCTAATCTCTAGAAGATGTGGATATATTAAAATACATGGAAAAAGAGAATTAAAGTTACCAGTGGAATTAAGATTGCTAACCTTAGAATTTAAAATAGATACATTATCCTGGATTATCCAGAGGGGTCTAATGTTATCACAAGGGTCTTTGAAAGTGGAAAAGGGAGTTAGAAGAGAAGATAAGAGTGACGGAGTGTGAGGACTTAACCAGCCATTACCGGCATTGAAGATGGAAGAAGGAGCCACATGTTAAGAAAAGGGGCAGCCTCTAGCAACTAAAAAATGCAATGTAGATATTCTCCTAAAGCCTCTAGAAGAAACACAGCCATGTCAACAACTTGACTTCAGCCCAGTGAGACCTGTACCAAACTTTTAACACAAAAAACTGTAAGATAATAAAGGTGTATGGTTTTAAGCCAATATATTTGTCATAATTTGTTATAGCAGCTCTAAAAAAAAATCTAATACAGTACTCTTTGTGAGCTTTAGAAACCTGAAACTTCTGTTGGCTGAGTGTTTTATCATAGGCAAATGTAAAATTAAATCAAACGTTTTTCTGATTTAACCGGGAAATAAGTATTATGAGAAGATCCTATTTTTTCTTTCTTCTTTTAATTATTAATATGCTGAATTACATTAGGATTACTTTAATACGTTTCTGATTTAAACAATCATTGCATTCCTAGGATAAACAATGCATGAACCTGATGCTAAAATTGGTTTACTGTTTTTTATAAGTTGGTCAATATTTTCATCAATACTGTTGGTCTGCAATTATTATTTCTTATACTTGCCCTTGATAATTTTAGAATTAAAGTGAAACTAACTTTGGAAAATGAGTTGGTAACCTTAATCACAAGTCCTAGACTGAAATATTCAGAAAATAATATTATTTGGTTATTTAAGAGTTTGGCAAAACTTGACCATATATTAATCTATAACTGGTTTCCTTTTGAAAGAGAGGAAAATTTTATTACAAGGTACATATTTTAATGGTTATTAAATTTTTATTGATATACTTTGGTAATTTAGATATTGTTTTAGAAAATTATTTATTGTATCTGATTTATGTACCACTCTTTTGATTTTCTTTCTTTTTTTTTTTTTGAGATGGAGTCTCGCCCTGTCGCCCAGGCTAGAGTGCAGTGGTGCGATCTTATCTAACTGCCAGCTCCGCCTCCCAGGTTCATGCCATTCTCCTGCCTCAGACTCCCGAGTAGCTGGGACTATAGGTGCCCGCCACCACGCACAACTAATTTTTTTTTTGTATTGTTAGTAGAGACGGGGTTTCACCGTGTTAGCCAGGATGGTCTCGATCTCCTGACCTCGTGATCTGCCTGCCTCGGCCTCCCAAAGTGCTGGGATTACAGGCGTGAGCCACCGCGCCCAGCCATTGTTTTGATTTTCAAAATCCTTACTATGTTTGCATTTTTATTCTCTTTTCTAATCATAATTTATAGACATATTTCCTTTCTTTATCTCTCTTCTCCATCTTTCTGTGTTTTTTTAAATCAGACTTGCTGAGATAGTCCTAAAAATTGCCTTTACTTTCACTAATTTTTGTCTTATTTTCTTTAATTTGCTGCTTTTTATTGTTTTGTTTCCTTTATCTTTTTTAAAAAAAAAAATTTGTTTTTTTCTATGACATCTAAGTTCAACATAAATCATTTACTTCCAATCTTTAATTTCTTTCTTTTTTCTTTCTAAATTACTGTCTAGAAAGCTAAACTTCCCACTAGTCCTGTGTTAGTTGTAACTCCCAAATTTGATTACCTCATGCTTTTATTATCATTCACTTCTAAATATTTTATAATTCACATTGCTGCAATTTCCTCTTTGACACATGAGCTGTTTTGGAGGTCACCTTTAAATACATACTCACACATCTACAGATGATTTTTTTGTATATGATATTAGGTGGGAAATCCAAAAACAGTTTTTTCAGTGTATAGCCAATTTTGAAAAACTCCATTTAATAAATACTGTAGGGCCACAGCTGTCCATTTGTATGCCAGGGAACTTTTTTCATAAATGCATGAGTCAATTATGGGGTTATAACCTCACTTCTTTTGTCAATTTGTTTCTGCCTATGCCAGTGCTTTATGGACTTATCTCTATAGGTTTACCATAAAACTTGATGTTGGATAGTGCTAATTCTCTCTTCTTACTCTTTTTCAAAGCAGTCTTGGTTATTTTTGGCTCTTTATTGTTTCATACATATTTTTAAATTTATAATTTATCAAATCTATTTATAAATTAAGGAAATAATTGACAATGTTACAATACTAATCTTTTCCTTCCTTGAACACAGTATCTCTTCACTTCAGCCTTTCTTTAATGACTATAAATAAATAAAATATAATTTTCTAAGTACAGGTTTGCTTATCTTTTGTTAGATTCATTCTTGGTTACTTGGTGCTCTTTTATGATATTGTCTTCTTTTTAGTTATATTTTCTGGAGTATGAAATTGCAGCTGACTTCTGTTTGGTTATCTTATTATCTAGCAATCTTGCTAAACTCCCATATGATTCTAAAATTTATTCATAGTTTATTTAAATTTTTAATATAAAGTCACGTATCATTTACATTAATGAGATTTTGATTATTCTTTTCTGAACTTTAAGCTTTTTATTTTGTTTCAATCACACTAGCTAGGATCTCCCATACAAAGTCAAGCAGTTGAACTGATAAAAGTGAGTGTATTATCTCATTTCTAATTCTTCTAACATTTCCTGTTTAAAATAATGCTAATAATACTAATAATAGAGAATTTTGTTCCCTTCCTAGTTTGCTGGAAACTTTTAACAGTAATTTATATTTAATTTTATTAAGTGTTTTATGAAATTATTGAAACAATTATATGGATATTCCCTTTTAATCTATTAATATGTGTTTCTAAAGTAAACCCACATTGGCAATTATGCTTTCTACATGATAGCAGATTCTGTTGGATAATATTTTGTCTAGAATTTTTGCATCTGAATTCGTGAGTGAAATGGATTTTTTTTCCTTGTTATAATATCTTAGCCTTGTTTTACCTGTTTGTCTCTCTGTGCTGCATTTTGGGAACGGATTTTTAAAAATATTCTCTTCAACTCTAAATATTATTGTTGTACCACAATTATGATTGTAGCCCATCTTGAATTGCCATTACCAATAAAATATTTATATCAATAGGAATATTTGATCATGCAAGATTTTCTAGTTGTTTCTTTTATTTATCCGCATTTTATTTTATTATAGCTTATTTTAAAAATAATTTCTTCTTCTAAAATAAAGTTATTTTATCAGTTATATCCTTACTCATATAAAACATAATTATCTTAAATTCTTCATCTGACTATAACATTGGTTTTAAGTGAGGAAGTCGTTCTTCTAGTCAGTTTTTTTTTCTTTTGACTTTCTTACTTGGTATTTGATGTTTTCATTTGTTTTGAAATTTGGGGTTATAGGTGTATGTTGTGTGGAGATTATTTTTCTCTAGTTCTCTTTCTATTCTGTGCTCGTCTCTCACTCCTAGTGGTTTTGCAACTACCTCCACTAGTTTTCAAGATCCAGGTCTCATAAGTGCAAGCATCTGAGAATCATAATCCAGGTTTAATTTTATTCATTTTTAATTAAACATAGAACAAAATTTCTTGTTTTTGGTATACAGTGAAGATTCTGACAAATGCATGTAATCCTGAAATTACCACTATAATCAAGAAACAAAACTGCTCTATCAACATTCCTCATCAACACATCATGTATGAAATTCCCCTGTGCTACCTTTTGTAGTGACATCCTCCACATCCTTCTCCCATTTCTACCATTCAGCCCCTGGGAACCACTGATGTATTCTCCATTCCTACAGTTGTGGCTTTTTCAGAATGTCATATACATGAAATCATAAAGTGTGCAGCCTTTTGAATCTGGATTCCTTACTTGGCATCATGTATTCGAATGTTATGCACGTAGTGGCATGTGTCAATAGTTTAGTCCTTTTAATTGTTAAGCAATATTCCACTGTATGAATGGACCACAGCTTATCTGTTTCACCATTGAGAGTTATTTGGTGTGATTCGATTTTTTGGCAATTACCTATAAAGCAGCTATAAACATTCTCTATAGGTAAGCAAATTGGTTTTCATTTCTCTTAATAGAAATCAGAATAGAAAGTTGTTTCATGTAGCCTATTTTCATGAATGTGGTAAAGTCATCCTGTACTTTCAAACAAAGAGCCTGAATTCAGTCACTTTCCAAAATGCAGTGTTTTTGGTCTCCTTTGCCCAGAGAAGCAGAATCCCTGGCCACCACCACCTGTTTTTAAATCTGGGGTAAGATGACCTTCAGGTTTAGCCCCTTCTTTTAAATTATTCTTTTAATTAAACAAAATGACCTTATTTTCAATTTTTATTTCTGGATTGTGGAAATATTTCCTTTATTTGTTTCCAAGTTATGTTTTTGTGGTTTTCCCATTCTATATTTTGCCCATAATTAAAATGTGGCAAAGCAGAAGAAGTGATCAGAGTACAAACTCAGAGTCATCTTGAAGAAGAAACACCTGGAGTTTCCAGACAATTCTGCCTCTGCAAATGGCATCATCATTCATCCAGCTAAGCAAATCAAAGAATCAAGGGCTATTCCTGATGTCTCCTTTGCCCTCAGCTTTCTTATAAAATCAAATGCAACATCTTATTAATTCTTACCTTGGGACTATCTCTCAAACCCTTCCGCTCCTCTCCATTTATAACCTCCACTCTGGTTCAAACTCCCAGGGAAGCTGCTATAGCTTCCTGTGTGGTCTCTCCCCCATTTATTCTTCCCTTCTTTCTGCCTAACCTATTCCTCACAATGAAGCCAGAGAGCGCTTTCTAAAGGCACGTATATAATCCGATTACTCCTTGTTGCAAATATTCTTGGGGCTACCATTAACCATAGTTTATAAACAAATTAAGCCTGTGGGCTCTATTAGTTTCCTATTTCATTAACGTTTTTCCTCCACCCTGTATGTTTTGTTTATACCAACCTCTCAATGCTTCGTAGAAATGATACTTGTCTCACTTTAGGACCATTGCAAGTGTTAGTCCATCTTCTTGAAGTGCTTTTCCTCTCCCTTGTTAAACTCCCTTTTATGTATAATGTCTACCAAGACTTAGTAGAAAACCTTCAAGTCAGCCTTCCCTCACTCTCCAAACTCCTTCAAGTCCTGTCACATACTCATTATACTTTGTAACTTATAGTAATTCTTTAATTTATTATTAAATGTCTACCTTTCTTGTCTTGGTTATTGCACCAGCACCTCTAACTTGCAAGTAGTAACTTCTCATCAAAGACTTTTGTGTGAACAAATAAGTAGCTACAAAAAAACTTTATATACAGAAGGAGTCATTTAAGTGGTGTGATTTGATGGATGCCAAGTATTTTCCTCTCTTCAAATATCTCAACTACTGATATCTGAAAGTTTATCAATCTTCGCTGCTTTTGATTACCCACTGACCTGTCCAGACTCCTCATTTAAAAAGTAATTCCTTCTAGTAACACTAATACATGATGCCCTTAACACTTTAGTGTAATGAGATTATTAGATCACCTTCATTCCCATGAGATAGAGGTATTATATAACATATATAACATTGGAGGTAATTTTCCAGGTTAAGATCTTGCAAAGTTGAAGTGGTCAGGTAAAACTAAAACTGCACTGCCTAGTTCTTTCCCAAAGGGTATACATAGCAAATGCACAAAGTAGTGTTTATTGCAATAGCTTAATTCATATCCAAAAGTAGTCATCACAATTTAGTTGAGTTGAGTGGCAATGGTGTCTCTGAAGTCTTAAACAATGAGCTGTTCATTCAGAGTGAATTCATGTCATTGCTACAAGTGTCCATATAGAGCCTAAAACTGTTTCATTTAGCTTACTTTTGGGGTTGACCGGATAGTTGCCTTCTACGACCCCATCAATTTGGCCTATAACTTGAAAGAGAATTCTATCCTGCTAGCTAAAGTTGCTCGGAGTGACCAGTGAGATTGTTCCACAGCATGTATATTATAAAACAAATATTAGGCAGATAGCTTATAATGACTTTTTAATATTTATTTATTCATTTATTTTATAATAAGCAGACATTGGGACAAGAAACTTCTGAAAATATTTATAGTTCTCTGAAAGAAGGTGTCTTCCCTTCCTTCTGGGAGTTAAGGAATGTTTTGACAAGGAAGAAAGATGGGTGAATAAGAGTGTATTGTATTAATAACTAACATTAATTGAATATAGAATATGTACTAGGGGCTGTAAAAAGCTCTTTATATTGGATTATGGTATTTAATCCTCAACCTTATGAGCCTGATGCTATTAATGCCTCTATTTTATAAATGAAGAAATTATGTCACAGAAGGTTAAATAATTTATTCAAGGTCAACTTGCCAAGTGAGCATTAAACCCCCAGAGTGATCCTCTCCCTAGGTGCAGAGCAAAGTTCCAAGGGGCTTGGTATGCAGCCAGTCTCAGATGATTCTATTGTGGTTGGCTGCCAGAATCAAGCTTGCTGTGAAAACACTGATTGAAGAAAAAATAGTCCACACAGCTATGGCTATGGGTCCTGTGCATGAACTGAGAAGAAAGCAAAGCAGCATAAAGATGTAGAGTGAAACTTTTGCTGCAGCTCCTCTGAATACGGCCATCTGCACCAGAGCATGGATGAGGTGGTCAAGGTTCTAACGCTGAAGATGGGGAAAATAAAAACCTATCTTTTATTCTTTAGGAAACCTATTTTTCAGATTAAGACAACATTTGGAAACAATGTCTAAAAGGATAAAAGATAAGTTGTATTTTCTATAATGCAAGGAAGCATATTTAAGAATCAGAATTTAACCCAAGAGCTAACTACATGCTTCTGTGGCATGGTCTTAGGGATCTTGAAACGCCATGGTGAATCCCTCACTCAAAACTTGCTTTCTAAGCTGTATTCCTTTCACTTGACATTCCAATCCCTATTAAAATGCAAATTCTGCTTTAAAAAATTTTTTTTTCATTTAAAACAAGCAATTTTCAGACTTTTTTTTTTGTATAAACCCAGCACAACTGAAAAATATGCCACTCTCCATTCGCAACTGTAGTTCAGTATGGCAGTGGTTGTTGTCCAGCTTCCCACAACTTCTGGGTGCAGAGGATATCAGATTTTAGGGAGAAGCTGTGGGGAGAGAATAGAAACCCATACTGTCAAGGAGGGAACTGCACATGGATTTATGTAAGGGAAAGGAGAGCAGTGGGCACCTGAAGGAAGGAGAAAAGAAGAAAAGGGAAACCTTGACAACAGCTCTTCTGACCTCACAATGTACCAAAGATCAGCCTGCCAAATACAGTGATGCAACTGTGGTTTACAAGTTGAGGTAGTACAATCTGATAATATCTAATAGCCTTCAAGTCCATTTAAAATATTACTTCCAAGTACTAGGCATTGTCCTTACCAGGAAGAGAGGTTCATATGTGAAAAAGAGCTCGGGCTATGGAGGAAAATTCAGATTTAAATTTCTGCATCATCCTTGATCAGCTGACTTGGGGTCTATTAACTAAACTCTCTGAGAATGTTTCTACCACAACATATGACATATGGATAACGATATTTATGTAGTAGAATTTTTGTGAAGATCAAGTGAGGTAGGCTCCAGAGGGTGCTCAACATAGTACCTGCTCAGAGATATTTAATATGAGTTTACACCCTCAGTTTTCTTCCTGGCCCCATGATCTCCTTCTCCTCTCCTTCTCATGTCTCCCTCATGCTGCCTCCTAGTTTTCTGAGGTATCCCATCAAGACCTGCACATTTGAGATGCTGTGTTATATGTTGGCTGAGCTTTATCCCTGTACTGGCTTATCTCAAGAAAGGACCTGGGTAAATACATTTGAACCAACATATTGGCAATTAAAACCTTAGTTAATGTTACTCTCTGACAAATAGTTGCATCTTAATAAAAGGTAGCAAATTAAGATTTGGAGTTTCAGTAGCAAACAAGAAAAAATAAAATGAGGCATCCATGACTGATTAGGCTATAGGACTCTCAAATTCTGGTCTCCAGATTCCAAGATTAGAAGGCTGATTTTAGTCCTGGGTGAAGGACATTTAGGAAGAGACTGTGGATACAAAAGAGCTGAGGGTGTGCACAGAATGCTGGGTACTCAGGCATTTCGAAGTCAGGAGATGGGGAAGAGGCTTGAGAATTAGCAGATAGCATGGCGGGAGAAAAACCAGGGTATTGATCCAGAGTTGCTCCACATCCACATTTCTACCTGCTCAACTAGAAACCACTCTGAGGCTTGCAGAAGTTAGCATGCTGAAAGCAGTTTATATGTTCTTACTCTTTCATCCTCATCATAATCAAAGGCACCTCTGGTTCATCTTTTTACTATAAGCTATCTGCTCAATCCTTCCTTAATATTTCAGCTAAGAATTGAGATATTTTCAATTATTTAAGTTATGTTGGAATCAGAGATATTGTTATCCTACCTTGGAATCTATTTTATGTTTCCTTATGACCTCCTCACCACTTTTCATAGTCTAATAGTTAAAGCTTGAGATTTGGAGTCAAATGATCTGTGGGGTTTGGGCAAGCTGATCCTCCAGTTTTCATCTATAGTGGAAATATGAGATACGTCACATTATTCTGACTATTGAACACTTAAGAAGGAAAAGCATTCCAACAATGTCTGACACATCAGCAATATTGCCCAGGGGTCTGCAGTCAGCATCTGGGGTTGGGGACACCTCCACCTGGAGCCCCAGGAGGCCAGAGACACCATAGCATAGATTGACTGATGGTGTATATATTGTGCTTCTAATGTCATCAGGGGAAAAAATAGTCTTCTAGAAGGGAGAATAATATTACAAAGGAAGAAAAGCAGGCTGGGCGCCGTGGCTCATGCCTGTAATCCCAGAACTTTGGGAGGCCGAGGCGGGCAGATCACAAGGTCAGGAGATCGAGACCATCCTGGCTAACATGGTGAAACCCCATCTCTACTAACAATACAAAAAAAAAATTAGCTGGGCATGGTGGCGGGCGCCTGTAGTCCCAGCTACGCGGGAGGCTGAGGCAGGAGAATGGCGTGAACCTGGGAGGCAGAGCTTGCAGTGAGCTGAGATTGCACCACTGCACTGCAGCCTGGGCAACAGAGTGAGACTCCGTCTCAAAAACAAAAAACAAAAACAAAAAACGAAAAAAAAAAGAAAGAAAAAAGAAAAGCAGCCCATAGGTTGTAATTGCACTTTCTATAAAGAACATCCTACCCAAAAAACCATATTCTATTTTAATAGATGTGTTAAAGCTATTCAAAATGTTAACAAAAAGCATCAGAACCAAGCCATGTAGATTGCTGGAAAATTAATTAGCCTCAGGAGAAGATAACTACAGAGAAAGTGGAAGTTGCCATGATCACTTGAGGCAATTATTGTGTGAAGGGGAAAAGGTTATTTTTTTTCTATCAATTGGTAAAAAGTGAGCAAACTTTGGCTCAATGGGAAAAAAAAAAAAACTTTGTCCACCTTATGAAATAAAATTGTAAAATTTCATTGCTAGAAGCAAACTCTGAAATCACATTAGCTTATCTTCTCAATTGACTTGTGAGATGACTGAGGTCAGGTTGGGTTTAGTGACTTTCACAGAGTCACACAGGAGGCATACAGAATCGGAAAACATGCCTTGACTCCCTGCTCCATTGCTCTCTAGCTATAAAACCTTATTTCCTTTGTTCTACTTTCAGGAGCCCTGAGAGAAGCTGAGGGCTTCAAGCAATGAGATTTGAGCCTACCTCCCTTCATCAAAAGTGCAGCTAGAAAAACTTGGAGAAGCAACCAGAACGGGAGTTGGGAGGGTAATACTTTTACATCAAAACAACACTAGCTTTATTGGCTGTAATAAGAGCAAAGTATGTAAGTAGAAATGATATTAATCTGTCATGCATATCACTTCTCAAGTGGTTCCTCAACAATAGTGTTAATCAAGCTTTGCCCTACTTTTATCGGAAACCTGGTGAAGAATAGCTTTGACATTTATCAGACATAGGACACTAAGAAAATTGCCATATGTATAAATAAATTTATGCCTTGAAAATGTTTGTGCCATGCTCTGGGAAAGGGGGTCAGGAACAAATGAGAGGGTAGAGGTAGAAGGGAAAGGTCTGCAGAATGTGGAGGTGAGAAGGAAAGAAGAAAAGGGTTGGGCATGGAGGGAGGTAACATCAGGGCTAAACCTAATAGGCCTGGGGAGACTCCAGAGATTCAGGCAGTTAAGTTTCTCTCCTTTTTTTTTTTTCTGGTGTTCTCATTTTCATTTGGGTGGCTTTGGGCAAGTCTTTCTTAATCTCAGATGGTGCTAACACTTTCATCCAACTGAGGAATCAATAACATGACAGGCTTAAAAGTGTTTTGCTAACTATAAAGTGAAACACTAATGTTATTTAGAGCAAGGAAGAAAAAGTAGAGAGCATCTAATAACTTACAATGCTATTATGGTAAAAAAAAAAAAAGTTTGTCCACAGGATACACAAAGATGAATGAGTAAAAAGTGATTCATCAATTATCCCAACCTAGAAAGACTCAGCCAAGGATGGACAAAATACTAAATTCCTCTCTTAGCTATATATGAAATAGGTCAGGGAGAGGGTTTATTTTACTGCTCTCCTTCTTATAAATGTGGGGTTCAGAATTGAACAGTTGTTCCATCAACCATGACCCTAAAACCTGGGTATGCTAGGAATCTAGGAGAAGAGATTCAAATGTATTTTCGCTTGGATATAAAAATGGGGAGGAAAAGCCACAGTGGTGACATGTCATTTTGCATACCTCAGAATTCCAGAGATCCCTAGCTTTTGATTCTGTGCAGGCTCTCTGTGGTACTGGCTGTATCAGCTGCTCTTAACCATGAACCAGAACATCTTGGAGAGGAGCTGCTAAGTGCCTACTGAGTCTGTAGCATGGAAAACATGTCTGCAACGTTAATGGAGAGCTCCGGTTTCTGGGGCTGAGAGATTTCAATCACTGATATTGTCAGTGAGTGAGGGTGGCGGGGGCCATGGTGTATGCTTGTCTGGAATAAAGAACATCAGTTTTGAAAAAAAAATCAAAAAACAAAAACAAAAACAACCTTGCTAAGTAGGTGCCAGGTGTGGTTGTGAGCCATTAGTAGGTGTGTAAGCGGACTGGAGCTGGGCCGACTTCCTCCCACGCAACAAGGAGCCCTCCTGCAAGGCCAGGCAGCTCACCACAGCACCACTGCTCAGAAACAGGAGGTTAATTAGCCCAGCACTTAATGAGAGCGTCTGGAGGAACTGTTAAGAAAATACTAAAAAATAAATAAGATGGAGTAACGATGGAAGGAAGGCATAGACATGCTCCGAAATGGCTGGTAGAAGAAATAATATGGCTGAGACAAATTGAGAATGACTGAGCAGCTGAAGCCTGGCCCCAGTGCTGCTTAAGGGGCACCCTCCTAATGAACAAGCAGTGCAGAGATGGAGGAACTTATGAAGCTTGGCAGCTATGGTGGTGGTGAAGTGTGTGTGCATATGTGTGTGTGTGTTGGGGGTAGGGTAGAATGGGAGATAGAGTTTCTTTTCATTTTAAGGACTTTGGAATCACAAGACTTCTAAGTCAAAGAAATTATTATCTTCTATCCCTAGGATCATTTCGATTTATTTCCTATTAAGCTTGGCACTTATCAAAAATAAATATTTGTGGAATAAATGAGTGGATTAAAAAAATGAGTTTTGTTAATTCAATGCCATGATTTCATGGCAGTTGTTTTCCAACCATGCTCTGAAAAGTCTGAGAGTTCCATGGAGATATGTCAGGAAACTCCACGAAATTGTTGGCAAACTGCTTAGATGAGTATATGTCTCTTCAGAGAAGTATTTCAAAGTCCAAACACTCAGCAGGGCCTGATTTAGAACTAGGAGTGTAAATGAGCCAAATTTCAGCCTGGCTATCCTAGCCCAAGGTCACAGGGAGAGTTGGTAGCTGAGTTGAGGCTTAAGTCAAGAACTTCTGACTTCAATTCCAGTGCTCTTTCCAATTCGCCATGCTTAAGGCTGCATAAATTTCAGAAGGTTGGGCCAAATAATACATCAAATGTTCATGCAAAATTGTCAGTGCCTTGGAAATGCAACAAAACTTGAGGGGGAAAAATAAAAAATTTAGCCAGTTTTTCAGGGAAATGATTGTCCAAAAATGAGGACTTAGACAATAAACAAAGTCAGGACAGAAAACCCAGTAAAATGGCACACACATAGCATTATCAAAGAGATCACAACGCTGTGAAATCCTACTCTTGATCTGAGCTACTGTTCTTTGAGGTAAGTAACATTATCCCAACACTATAGTCTGAAGGCTAGTATCCTCTCAAAATTTATATGGTGGACCCAAATACCTAATATAGTTAAAAGGTGGGGCCTTTGGGATATAATTCGGTCATAAGGGCTCCACTCTCATAAATGGGATTAGTGTACTTATGGAAGAGTCTCAAGTGAGCTCTCTTGCCTTCTTTAATCATAGAAGGATGTAGCAATAAGGCATCATATTTCAAAAAGAGAGCAAACCTTGCCCAGAAACCAAATCTGTAGGAGAATTGATCTTGGACTTTCCAGCCTCCAGAACTGAAAACAATACTATTCTGTTGTATAAATTATCCAGTCTGAGGTATTTTATTATAGCAGCAGGAACAGACTAAGACACCCAATTTACAGGTAAGAAAGTTGAGGCTCTGCGAGATGAAATAACTCAACCAAGGTCACAGTGCTAGGAAATGGCAGACCCTGAATTCAAACTTAATCCTATCAAATATCAATATCTTCAGTTCCACTGAGTGGAATAAATGAGCAAAATCTCATTGTGAGATAATTAATAAAGTTGAAAAACAAATGGGCAAAATAATCAGAAAATACTGACAGATACTGTGGTGACAATGAGAGCCAAAGCTGTCGATCTCCACACTCTGTCTGGGCACTGAGAACTGAAACCACATTTTATCACCTACAATAGCATGACTGTGCCATTTTTCTGTCTCTGTTAGCTTGTCTTTGTTATTGCTATTTCTTCATTAGCATGGCTTTATTCTTTCAAAAGTCTCTTGCCTGGGCAAATATTTTGATTGTTCATTACAGGAACTTCCTGAAAGACTCAATTCTTCAATGGAAAACATCAACACTTTGTTCTCCCAAATTATTTGAATTCCTAACTCAAAATATTCACTGTGCTATTTCCACAAATCCTGGACAGTTTTATTACAATCCTTACCCAAATGTAATCAAACTCCAACTTTGAAAGATTTGCCTAAAATCAATAGTTTTTAAGCTTATCTTCTCTCCACAAGACACTGACAAAGTGTTGCAAAGTGGTGTTCTTCCTTACAATAATAAGCAAATAATTAGGGTTTTTTCTTACTAAGAGGTTGTGTTGGTAATATTTGGGGAGCCAGCTTTTGACAAAAAATCAGCTTTGGAAAGCATCCAAATGCCAAAATTCCCTCATCCTCACCTCTCAAACAGAGAAGGAAATGAGGAATCCAGACCTAGAACACCAATAAACAGAGCTTTCAAAAGACTCCACTGCTCTGCCGAGAATATTTAAGTTCAGAACAAGGGCCAAGTGGTCTGTTGTCTTTACCCTTTTCTCCTAAATACAATAGCTCCTTCTGCAGTCAGAGTTGAAGTCAATGCTGTTGGGGAGGAAGAGTAATATCAAGTAACATCAAGAAGCCAGAGGCAAAAGGAGGAAGTCAGAGGACCACCTCATGTCAAAGCCGGGAAGACAAGAGAGTTTAATAGTGCTACTGGGGTTGGCATACTGTTCTCTTAGGCTTATAATGTCATAGTGGTGAAGTGGGGGAAACAGATGCAGAAGTCAATTTCTAACCAAAAGGTCAGAATCACAATATGACACCTTTCCACCCAATTCTTTAACACTTTTAAGTTCTTTTTCAAATTTATTTATGAAACCCAAATTCCATCTTAAAGGCATTGCTATTGGTCTATCATTAGAGACAGAGGTGAGAAATAAAAAATAGGCTGGGAAACAAAATACATACACTTGAGTTCTCTGTGATGTGGGGGGCTGTTCTACCAGGAAGCCACCAAAGCACATAGCCTCCCTGTCACATAGTGCTCAGGCCGAGGAAATCACATAGCCTACCTGATAATTCTGCAACTCAACTCTGAATGGGATTACAGGTGGTGTTGCCAAAATCCTTTCCATATTAATTTGCTTATTTGAGTTATTTTAATCAACCCAGCATGATGTCTAGTACATAACAGTATTTTAAAATAGCAGTCAGATGATCTGATCATTCAAATTAGGAGGGGCTCTGAAGGTGGCTGAGTATAGTGAGAGACGAATGGTTTATGACTCTGATTCATTGAATAAATATTTAAAAGGAGTCACTACAAGCAAAGAACCACTATAGTCACTACAAGGGATGTCAAAATGTTGGGATGGAAAATCAGGAAGAGGGGCAAAACATGTATACAAGCCTAGTGCATGCAGAAGAAACCAGGTGAGGGAGTAGGAGGCAAACTCTTTTATATTCAAACTTCCCTTGAATTTGGCACATTTTTTGGTTCTACAGAAACAAAACAAAGAGCTTTCTTCTTGCTCTTAATTTTTTTAATGTGCTCCCAAACCATGGTATTTTCTGTTCTTTATTATCAGTTAGTTCTCCTCTGTCTGTTTCTAGCTTCTAAAAGTTTACAGGCATTTCATTTCTTTCTTTTACTGTTTCTTTTTCTTTTCTTTTTCTTTTACTTTTTTTTTTTTTTTTTTTTTGAGATGGAGTTTCACCCCTTCGCCCAGGCTGGAGTGAAGTAGCACAATCTTGGCTCACTGCAACCTCCGTCCCCCAGGTCCAAGCGATTCCCCTGACTCAGCCTCCAGAGTAGCTAGGATTACAGGCACCCACCACAACGCCCAGCTAATTTTTATATTTTTAGTAGAGACGAGGATTCGCCATGTTGGCCAGGCTGGTCGACATTTCTTTTGAACTGATGATTCTACTCATGATATTTTTGCTTTTAGTTACATTTTGTATTGTTTCTTTACAACATTGTACTTTAGGATGTTTAGGAGAGGAGAAGAGCAAAGGAGATGAGTATGAATATTAATCCATCTTCTTCACCTAGAAGGCATTCATTGTCTGGTGCCTGGAGGAATAACAGTAGTGTCCTAACTAGATTTCATACCCCAGTTTTGCAATCCTTAAGACTATTTGCCGCATCTTTCTAAATTGCAAGTCTGATTACACTATACTTCTTTGAAGAAGCCTCCAAAAATTTCAAGTAATTACTAAATAAAGTCAAATTTTCTTGCCATGACTAAAACAAAGGTCACTATGATATGCACCTGCCCATAACTTTAATCTTATTTCCATAGACTCTCGGCTCAAATCTCATGACCTAATCCTCTTGAATGTCTTTCATATCCTCACACATACCATGCTAGTATCAGCTTCACACTTTAATCCCACTATCCCTTCTTCCTGGAATGTTAGCACCATCTCCATTTTTTTCTGGCCATCTGGCTAATCAACTCATCTTTTGAGACTATGACAACATCCTTTCCTCCCTGAAGGCTTCACTAAATCCTCCAAATAGATGCGGCCATTCCTTCTTTTATGACCACTCTGTATCCTGTGCCTACAACTATTGCAGCATATTTTGGCATGCTTTAATTAAAAAAGAAAGGAGCCACAAACCCTATGGTCTCCCTCTAATATATTCTATGCTCCTCAAAGGCTGACACTGTCTCATTTATCTTTTGGCCCTATTGCTCACCAGAAGGTCTGGCATATAATAGGAACACATTAAACATTTGGAACTTTGTCTTCCTCTGCCATCTGATATTGGTATGCTTTAATTACTAGCTCATCTGCAAAAGATTTTCCCCTCTCCTTACTCCCTAATACATGCTTCTTCTTCCTTCTGGCACTGGTCATAATAATCAAGCCCTGGCGTATCAACCCTCACCACTTATCTGGGTTCAGAGTAGCAGCTCAAAATTCATTATAATTTCTGGGATTTATCCCAGACTCAGCCCTGATTCCTGGTTCATCTCGATGTCTTGCTTTTCTTTTTCCCACCTGCTGCTTTCCATGTGTGGTTACTGATATAAAGTGCTTTGATTAATGGACAGGACAGGGACTAGAACCAGTAAGATTTCAGCTGAGTCATGTGTCTCCCCATTAACAATTGTGTAACTTGGGTAAGATACTTAACTGTTCTTATCTGCAAAACAGAGATAATACCTTCCTGAATTGTTGCTTAAAGAGCAAATTAGAAAATAGTTCAAAATTTATTAAAATTCCTTGCATATCCCAAACGTTCAACAAATATTTGCCTTTTCTTGTTTGTCATTCAAGTGCTGAGTTGTGCTGAGTCAAGAACTGTACTAATAGTAATGTAAAGGTAAGCTTGTTTTATCATGATGTCTGGTTCACTAGTAAGAGCATTTCTTGCAGAAAGATCTGGTTACCAGGACTTACATAAAATCTTTTAAAAAAATCACTATTTGCAGAAGCATAATGTTCTAAATCAGTTTATTCTAACAATTATCAAATATTTATGAACAATTGTGGAAGTTTCAAGTTTGAACTATAGTATCTTTTACTCAATAAATGTGTGTTAAACTATTACCATGTATGTATCTTGATACTTATACTCTGACATCTACAAGAGTGAATATGGCACAGTTCCTACACTCAAGTTCTTTTCTCAAAATATATTTTTCAATTTTCATATAGTAAACTTTACTCTTTTTTGTAAAAAAAAAACCACAATAACAATCAATATACAGAAGAGTTTCATCCTCCTGCTTAATATTCCCTTATGCTGCTCCTTTGTTGACAAACCTTATCTCCACCCCCAAACCTCGGCTGCCAATAATATGTGAAAAACTATTCCTATAGTTTTGCATATTCCAGAATTTTATACTTATAGAATATACAATATGTAAGCTTTTGTCTGTTTTTCTTTTACTTAGCGTAATGCTTTTGAGATTCTTCTATATTACTGCATGTATAAACAGCTCAATGCGCTCTATTGATAAGTAGTATTCCACTGAATGGTTGTACCAGATTGTCTTTATCTATTCATCTGTTGAACAACATTGGAGTTGTTTCCAGTTTTAGGCAGTTAAAAATAAAACTGCTATGAACATTCATTTACAAGTTTCTGTGTGAACATGTCTTTAATACTCTTGGGTAATGAGTGAAATTGCTGGATCATATGAAAAGTGTAAGTTTGATTGTACGGGAAACTGCCAAACTATTTTCCAGAGTAGTTTTGCCATTTTACATTTCCACTAGCAATGTATGAGAATTCCCGTTGCTCTGCATATTTATTTGGTACTGTCAGATTTAAAGTGTTATCCATTCTAGTAGGTGTGTAGTATTTCATTATGGTTCTAATTTGCATTTACTAATGATTAATGATTGTGAACATCTTTTCACGTGCATATTCGTCATTTATATGTCTTCTCTGGTGAAGTCTATATTCAAACCTTTTAGCCATTTTAATTAATTGTTTTTTACTTTTGAGTTTTGATAATTATTTATCTATCTTAGATGTAACTTTTTTGTTGATATGCAATTTGCAAATATTTTATCCCTATCTTTGGCTTTGATCTTTTTATTCTCTGAATTGTGTTTTTTGCAGAGCAAGCATTTTTAATTTTATGAATTTTAATTAATCAAGGTTTTAGTTTATGGCTCATGTTTTTGGTGTTGCCTCAAGTAGCTTTTAATATGGTAGCAGGCTTAAAGCCTTTGGCTGAACATGCACAGGATATGTTAAGTGGGATATGAGTAATGTAAAGTGCTACAAGAGTTCAGAGGAGGGAGATATAACTTGGAAGTAGGTAGTTTTACAGTGTTGCTTAACAGTTTTCCAATAAGCTGGTGCTGACTCCTGAATTTTCTAAGTATTGAGATATATTGTTAATGTTTCAAAATTTGGCTTGAGCACAGAGCTTAAGAAATGTATCTATCTGTGGCCAGTGAGCCCAAAACTAAGCCATTAGTGATATAAAGAGTCAGGATTGTTCCTATGCTCTCAGGCTCTGCCCAGAAACTCTTCCCTTTGCCCTGGTGCCAGCCACATATTATTTTATTCCATGAGCGTTTCTTTAACCTTTTGGTGGACCCTTTGGGTTTTATACATTTTCTTCTTTGATTTATGAGGAACAAATTATCTGTTTATTTTACTCATTGCTGTGATCCTCTGTACCACACTGAGATCTTTGGTTCTGCTTACCTTAAATTTCCTTGTGAGAGACTGATGGTTTGTATGATTAAAATAAAATAAATCTTGTATTAGTATATGCCTTTGTCACAGCACCATGAGTGCCTTGTAATCTCAGTCTTTACATGATCAGGATTCAGCACCTAGTAAGTACTAAATAAATCTTTGATGAGAGAGAATAATTGATCGAACTCCTAAAACAAATTAGAAAAGATTTGAGCGAACTTTTGATCTTACATCTGTATATATCTATTCATATCGATATATGTATAAACATTAAAACAAGGAGCGTTCCAGATATTTCTGAGGTTGAAGGAAATATTTTGTCCCTGATGTTGGAGGGGAAAAATCTAAAGTTTCTGCAGGTATAAAAACAAAGGCCATTTAAAAAATTGTTCTTAGCTGTACAACAACAGCATTCGCTTTATTGCAAGTGTTACTTTGCTTGGTAGCCATTCTTGTAAGGCCAAGAAAAAATGCAAATGTGGTAAAGGAAAAGAAGTCCCTGGCTTCATCGCCTCAGTGCACATTTTTAATCAGGTGGGTGATGCCAGTGAGGTGAGACTTTTACGGAGATATCTGCAGTGTAGCCCAGTCTCTGCCTCGTGATAGTTATTGCTTGCATTCACACTGGGTGGACACAGTACCCCAGCCAGTTCCTATATCCTCAGCTTCCCAGCACTGCTCATAACTAGCATATGCTCTGGCTGAATGACCTGGCTTCCTTCACAGCTAAATCAGTACTAAAGCAGTTTGAATGATAGATAGCAGCTTATCAATAATTGAAAAGAAAGGCTCAGAGATATCCCATTATCTGAATAATTAATGCTCCACTTGGGTTTTGTAATTCCTTAATAAAACTGACTGATTGATTTGCTTAATTAATTCCTCCTTTGACAGGCTTATTGCTTTCTTTGGAGACAGGGATGGGTAAAAAGAAAAAAAAAAGATAATTCAAGCCAAGAGGAAAGATTTAAAATCTTCATAAACGTTAACCCCCTCAGAGTATTATGGAAAGAAGTTCTCTAGCAAACCTTCTCCGGCAATCTCTGTTTTGCTGTAAAAGACCCCTATACCCCTGTCAACGGACAGCACATGGGTGTATTTGGAACTGCAGCTGATGAAACATTATGCTAAACTGTAAGGGCCCCAGCCACGTCTGTAGTAATAAACTCAGCTGAACCTTAAACACCTTTAAATAAATCCATCTGAATGAATGTTTAAAGCTGACTTCCATTTAACGTAACGAGCTCTGAGTAAGGCAGCAGCAGCTACCTTGATGCTGAGAGAGCTGCTGGCTCTGCCGGCACGGAGCATCCCTCTGGCTTCCGTGCACCTGCTCTGACTGAAGAACAGCGCCTGTCTCTAGAATTTGGTCCAATCCCCGCTCTGCTGCCGTCTTTGTTATGTTGACTGGGATCAACCGGAGAGGAATCAAACTACCACAGAAAATTAAACCAACAAATGGAAAGAAACAGGGCATATGGAGGGAGGACTGGAAGGCAGAGAGTGAAGTACCGAAGAAAGAGAAAAGGAAAACTGAGTCTATAAAGGGAATTCAGGCAGAAGGAAAATAAGGACATTTACCTGAATTTGGGAACTTATATACAATATACTGCTTGAAAAAATAATAAAATCATTCTTTAAAAAGCTTATAAAAATGTTTAAAAAACAGAAAATAAATTATGCAACTGAAAGAAGGAAACAAGTCTTACAAAAAGACATCCCAATGACTTGTCAATAATTTTTGTCAAGTGAAAGAATCAGGATATACAATGGAAGTTTCAGTACTGAATTTTATTTTAGTCATCTCTGGCGTCAAACATTGATTCCTGTGGTTTTCTCAAGAACCTAATTAAAGACACTTGATGAGGAAGAATGGGGGCCTCCTTCTCCTTGGTGATGAAAGGGGTCCTATTTCTAACCAGAGGTTTCCATGCAGGAACCTGGGTAATGGCAGTGTCTGTGGAGTAATGAGAACAGGTTTCTTTTCCCCAATTTTTTGTGAATAGAGGTGGAAACAGTACTAAATGAAATATGTTTTCTAATAAAGTAGCATCCAGTCCTGCAGTGTGGGCAACTCAACTGAATGGCTAGAGGACATTGAAATGGTCAGAGGTGATCCTTAGGTCCCTTAAAAATAACATTTCACAATTTTGACTTGTCACAGTGAAAGTTACAAGTTCTCATTCCAAGAATGAACAAACAAATGATTGAGAATATCTGAGCACGCATTCTGAGCACAGTTCCGGGAGCTATGACACATACCGTCTCAGTTAGTTTTCATAGCAGTCCTGTAAGATAATCCTCTTTAGTTGCATTTACAGATCAGAAATCTGAGACCAAAAAGGATCAGTCGCAGAGAAGTAAATGCCAAAATTGAGACAAGGCCTACATCACCATTTTTGACCCAATTTGTTTAAGTCTCATTTGTTTGCCCCAATTCTTTACCCTTTTACCCAACTTCTTTCTGTTCTTCTAGGCTGTTCTCTTCCCCAAAAACTTTACTGATTACACCAGTTTATATCAATCACTCTTCTCTGAAATGCTTTCATTCTTGGCATTAAATATCTTCAATTAAGTACTAGATTTTACTTTCTTCATATGTTTCTTTTTTACCTTTTTATCTAGTATATAAATACCTTTGCTATTTTGATTTCTCTGCAGAGAACAGAATGTTTAGTATGTTGTTGGTTACATAGATATCTCAAAATATTGTATGCAGTCAATCAATTGATAAGCAATTTTTAGATATTTCTCTTGCAAAAGGTAAAATTAAAATGTATTACCCGTCCCACAATACAATTGAGCAGGTTTTTACTGGAGATTCACTACATATTTGATCCTATGCTAAGTATTGTAAGACTTCCAAGAGCTTTTGTAAGAATAAGTTTCCACATTCCCATGTGTACTTTTATGTACTATTTTACAACTATTTCATGTGTTTCCCCATTGTATATACATATTATTGTGTGTTCCTATTCCTCTTTCTTTGGTATATTTGAAAGAACACTGAATTCCCATAGAATATCACTCTATTCTCAGGTAGCTGGTTTAAGATTGGCCATACTCCTAGCTCTAAGGGTTAGTCCAATCACAATAATCCAATTAGCATGTCCCATCACCTGAGCATGCAAATGTGCTTAAAGATGGGCATGTCACTTTTGCTAGAATCTCTTCTTCCTGACTATTTTTTAAAAAATATTTGATGATTTTATGTCTTACAATGCCCTGGGCAGAGCTACACCAAGATGAGAAACAAGAAACAACTCCTTAGCTGCACTGCTGACATTACCCACTATGTGGTCTTCCTGCATCTTATTTCTGCCTATACATGTTCAGTTTCCTTTCTAAAATCAAAAGCTAATCAAGTCTCCCCCATGCTTAAACACACTTGATAGCTCCCATTGTCTAAAGGATAACAACCTACTTCTTCAGCATGAGTTATCATTTCACATAACTCTAACTAATTCCCACAATACCCAGCCAGGGTTTCTCAACTAAGAGTGCTACTAACATTTTGGACAACATAATTCTTACTTTTGTGGGACTGTCCCCCACATGGCAGAATATTGATCATCCCTAAATTTCTAGCATTTAATGGCTTCAATGTGCCCCGTCACTGTGAAAACCAAAAGCACTGTAGACATTTCTAAATACCTCCTTGTGTTTGATGAAAAACCTTGCAACATCACTCTTCTTTCTCCAAATATGCTGGAGCCTGCATAGATTTGTCTTCCTACAGCACATTGAACAGTGCTGAACACACATTAGTCACTAAACCATTTACTTGATTGAGATGAGTTAAATAATCAAGAATTGACGTAAAGATATATCTTGACTACTTGTTATATATTGAATTGGACTGGACAAAACCCAATATCAAATAAATGTTGTTATATTTTATTCATAACTTCAAGTTACTTAAGTTCTTAAAGAAAAAAAATATCACCCCTATGCAAAGTGAATTGATTGTACAAGGGAATAATAACCCAAGACAATGATTTAAAATAACCCATAACTTAGTATAGGATTGAATGTCTGTTGGGTTAAAAAACTGAGTTTTTGAAGGGCTGTTTGAAGGCTCAAGGTGGCTACAAAAAGGTTTTAAGCCTAGAGTCCTCAGAATTGTTTCTGTCAAATAGGAATATGAGTCAGTCTTCCAAGATTTAAAACTAGGTATATATTTCTTATAATAACATTATACCATGCATGTTTTTTCCAAAATTTGCCAGTTCCATCAATATTGAAAACACAGACAGGAAATTTCTTTCTTCATGACATTTTGTAGATGTCATAGAAGATTCTTTCTCACTTTTTTATTTGTGCAAAAATATGCACAACATAAAAATCACCTTATAAACCATTCTTAATGTACAATTTGGTGATTTTAAATATTCATAATGTCAAGTAACCATCACCACCATCTATCACTGAAATTTTTATCTTGCAAAACTGAAACTCTGTACCCATTAAACAGTAACTCCAAATTCTCTCATACCTCAGCCTACATTTTGCATATTCATTCATCCTATAGATACTTGGGGTACTTCTACATTTTAGCTATTATAAATAAATGCTACTATAATCATGGGTATTCAAACATCTCTTTGCATCTTCTTTCAATTACTTTGGGTATAAACCCCGAAGAGCAATTTCTGGATCATATGGTAATTCTACCTTTAACTTTTTGAAGAATTGCTATACTGCTCTCTACAGTGGTTCTACCATTTTACTTTCAACTAACAGTGCCCAAGGGTTTCAAATACTCTACATCTTTGACAGCACTTATTATTATTTTGTTTTTACTTTTTTTTTTCCGAGTAGTAGCTATCCTGATGGGTGTGTGGTGGTATCTTGTTGCAGTTTCTTGTTTGCATTTCTCTAATGTTGAACATCTTTTCATGTGCTTATTAGCTATTTGCGTATTGTCCTTGGGGAAATGTCTATTCAAGTGTTTTCCCCATTTTTGAATCTGGTCATTTATTTCTTTGTTGTTGCATTTTAGGAGTTCTCTACCTATTCTCAATTTTAATCCTTCATCAGATATATAATTTGCAAATATTTGCTCTCATTCTATAAGTTGCCTGTTTACTATGTTGATAGTGTTTTTTATGCACATTTAAAAATTCATAAGTCCAATTTATCTATTTTTTTCCTTTATCGCCTATTTATTTGGTCTCATATTCAAAAAATAATTGACTATGTCATATTCAAAAAATAATTGAATCTAATTTTATGAAGCTTTTTTCCTGTGTTTTGTTTCTAGGGGTTATGTAATTCTAAGTTTTACATTTAGGCCTTTGATTCATTTTAATTTAATTTTTGTGTATGACATGAGGGAAGAGTTTGACTTCAATCTTTTGTATGTGTATCCAGTTTTTCCCAGCTCCATTTGCTGAAAAGATTTCCTTTTTTCCATTGAATGGTCTTGGCATTTTTATCATAAATCATTTGACCATATATGTGAGCATTTATTTCCAGGCTTTTTATTTTATTCCATTGGTCTATATTTCTGTCTTTATGTCAATACCACACTGTTTTAGTTACTTTAGGTTTGTAGTAAGTTTTAAAATTAGAAAGGTTGAGTCCTTCAGTTTTGTTCTTCTGTTTCAAGATTGTTTTGGCTATTTGAGATCCCTTGAGATTCCATATTGATTATTGGATAGGTTTTCTATTTCTGCAAAAAAAAAAATCATTGTGATTTTGATAAGGACTGCATGAAATCTGTAAATAACTTTGGGTGCTGTTGGCTTCTTAACACTATTAGGTCTTCCAGTTCATGAACATGGGATGTATTTTCATTTGTTTATGTCTTTTTAAATTTCTTTCAGCAATATATGGTGGTCCTTCACCTCCATTGTTAATTTCTAAGTTTTTTTTCTTTTTGATGCTACTGTAAATGGAATTGTTTTTATAATTTCATTTTTTCAGATTGCTCATTGTTAGTGTATATAAATGCAATTGATATTTATATGTTGATTTTGTATTCTGATACTTTGCTGAATTTATTTATTAGTTCTAACAGGTGTGTGTGTGTGTGTGTGTGTGTGTGTGTGTGTGTGATCTTTCTTGCCTAATTGCCCTGGCTAGAACTTCCAGTACTATATTGCATAGCAGTGGTAAAAGTGGTTATTCTTGCCTTGTTCCTGATTTTACAGGAAAAGCTTTCAATCTTTCACTATTTTGTGTGAGGTTTGCTCAGGGCTTTTCATATATGGCTCTTGTTATGTTGAAGTAGTTTTCCTTTACTCCTTTGTTGTTAAGTGTTTTAATGAAAAAAATGATGTTACATATTTTCAAATGCCTTTTCTGCATTATTAGAGATGATCATATGATTCCTTTCTTTCATTCTGTTAATGTGATATATTACATTAATTGATTTTTCTGTGTTGACTCATCCCTGCATTCCAAGAATAAATTCTACTAGGTCATAATGTATATAATCCCTTTAATGCTTAATTAAGCTTGCTAGTATGTGGTTGAGAATTTTAAAAATCAATATTCATAAGGCATGTTGACCTTCTCTTATAGTCTCTTGTTTGACTTTGGTATCATGGTTAATGCTGGCCTCATCAGATAAATCAAAAAGTGTTTCCTCCTCGTCATATTTTTGGAAAAGTTGAGAAGGATTGGTGTTAGTTCTTCTTTAAATGTTTGGTAAATTAACCAATAAAGCTAACAGGTCCATGGCTTTTCTGTGTTAGGAGATTTGATTACTGATTCATTCTTCTTACTCGTTATAGATCTATTCATAGTTTTTATTTATTTCTGGTTTAGAATTTGTTAGGAATTTGTTCATTTCATTCAAGTTATCCAATCCGCTGGCTTATAATTATTCACAGTACTGTCTTATAACCCCTTTTTATTTCTCTAGAACTGGTAGTAATGTTCCCATTTTCATTTCTGATTTTAGTAACTTGTGTCTTCTGTCTTATTTTTTCCTTAGTTTTGTTTGTTTGTTTGTTTGTTTGTTTGTTTTTGAGACAGAGTCTTGCTCTGTCGCTCAGGCTGGAGTGCAGTGGCACGATCTCGGCTCACTGCAACCTCTGCCTCCTGGCTTCAAGCAATTCTTCTGCCTCAGACTCCCAAGTAGCTGGGACTACAGGTGTGTGCCACCATGTCCCGCTAATTTTTTGTATTTTTAGTAGAGACAAGGTTTCACAGTGTTAGCCAGGATAGTCTTGATCTCCTGACCTCATGATCCACCTGCCTTGGCCTCCCAAAGTATTGGGATTACAGGCATGAGCCACTGCACTCAAACTTCTCCTTTGTTTTTACTAGAGAAAGTTTATCATTTGCTCTTCTGGCCTGCTCTGAATTGTAGTAGTGGCTCTACGAAACAGTGCTGCCCAAAAGAAGGCAAGAGAAACTCTGTTAGAGTCACTGTGCCAGGCCTGTTTTTCTTAGTTATATCTAGCTAAAAGTTTATCCATTGTGTTGATCTTTCCAAAAAAATCAACTTTTGATTTTATAATTTTCTCCATTGATTTTTCTACTGTATATTTTGTTTATCCTGCTCTATTACTTTTTATTTCCTTTTTTTTGCTTGCTTGTGTTTAGTTTGTCCTTCTTTTCGTAGTTCCTAATGTTTCAAAGTTAATTTGTTGGTTTGAGACCTCTGTAAAGCACTCTTGATTAGGTATCTAACCACTAACTGTGATGCTCTTACCTAGCACTGGGGAACCATCCATGACAAGGAACAAGGAGTTTACTCTCAGCCTAAAGATATATTTCTGCCTTTCTCAAAAACACAAACAAAGAAACAAACAAAAATATTATGTTAATTGAAATCCAATCTTCATTTATCCCTCAAATATTTATTAAGCTTCTATTATATGTCAAAATTTTATATTGGCTAGTGCTGGTGGGAGGACGGTTTCTCCAACCTTCTGGACCTTCAGCCTCCCTGCTGCTTTTTTTACATATGTGTTAGCCCTAATTCGTATATTACATTTGTTTATCCCTCTAATTGTTAGAGTGGCTCTGATTCCATGGCCATGACCAAACCCAGACTAATTCATAGACAATGGCCTGTATGGAAATTTCAAATGCATTTTTATTTGTTCAAGTGAAAACAGCATGGACATTATCTTAATCCATTTGCATTGCTACAAAGGAATGCCTGAGGTTAGATACTTTATAGAGAAAAGTGTTTTATTTGGCTCATGGTTCTGCAGACTCTAGAAGAAGCATGCTGCCAACACCTGCTTTTGGTGAAGGCTTCAGGAAGCTTCCACTCATGGAAGAAGGGAAAGGACAGCAGGCATCACATGGCAAGAGAGGAGGAAAAAGAGGGGAGAAGGTGTCAGACTCTTTCAACAACCAGGTCTCATGGAAACCAAGAGTGAGATTCCACTCATTATCATGAGGACTGTCATTAAGGAGGGATCCACTCTCATAGTCCAAACACCTGCCACCAGGCCCCAACTCCAACACTGATGGTCAAATACAACATGAAATTTGGAGTGGATAAACGTCCAAACTATATCAGAGGTTCAATCCATCCTGACAGGCAGGCATGTACCAAACAAACAATTTCCTGTGATGAAGTCGCTTCTTGGAAATTTTAGGAAAAGCTAATATGCAAGCATCCCTCAAAGAAGGCTTTCATTGGAGTGGCTAAGGCCTAAGAAAAACCAAAGAAAACCCAGCCAGGCTGGCTGTGAAATACCTGTTTTATAGAAAACTTACAGCGATTCAACTCTCATTTTTTTCAGCACTTCTGAAAGAACTAAATTGCACAGGGCAGAACTTTTTCCAGAATTAAAAATTAACTTAGATGTCAAAATAAAACCCTAGAATTTAATTTATCATAAAAGCTATATTCTCGAATAGAATCTAATGGACCAAAACAGATAAAGCAATTAAATGGGGAATGCTATGAATTAATCTTATTTAAAGAGGCAGTCAAGATGGAATTCATATTTTTAAAGATACAATAATCAGAAAAAAAGCCTTCCCAGCTCAGTTAGTGGTGCCATAATTTAAAATAATAAAACATTACAAGTGCCTAATTTATTCATTTTCTGCAGGTGCTATTTGTTAATTTTGACATTCCTTTCAGTTTTGATTGCTGATGACTTTCTTCTCTTTGGGAACATTTCACATTTTTTATGTTACTTGCTAAATTTTGGTGGTAATTGTGTGTATGCTAAGTAAAGTGGAAGGGTATTGAAGCACTGAAATAACTTCAAGCTTAAACTCAATGCTTTGAGAGGATTCTATCAAGTAGTCTTACTCAGTTCTCTTCAGTGCTTCAGTTTCTCCTCTTAAGTGGTGAAAATCTCAAGCAACAATATGTTGGTAAAAGAATTTGTAAATGACTATATAGAATCCCAATTATTCCTCTTATTGTTATTGATTAATGGAGTACCTATGCTTTGAGGTTTTATCTTGGATTTTGTTTACCATTGTTTTTGTGGCCAGATGACCTATGAGTCACAAGGCAGGCTGTCCAGGCTCTCTTCCTGATTCCATCACTTCCTAGTTCTGACATCCTTTACATATTCATTCTTTCTGTGTCTTGGTTTCTTCACCTGTAATGTAAGAACAATAATAGTACTTGTCTTATAGAGATTTTTGTGCTAATTAAATAAGATTTTATAAGGAAAATGCTTAGAATATTAGATGGTACATAGTGAATAACAATACATGTTAGCTATTGTATTATTGTTGTTATCTTAAAATCTTTTTTTGACTTAATCCTACATATGTCTTAAAAATGTAGATGATTATTTGTACCTTTAAAAAATTTTTATTCATACTTATAATAAATTGAAAAATGGACTAACAAAAATAAACAAGAAAAGTTCAAACTATTACTTAGCCATAGATCTTAACCTTCAAGAACTTCCCCATTGGAAAATATAATATATCCTGATATGGTTTGGCTGTGTCTCCAACCAAATCTTATCTTGACTTGTAACTCTTATAATTCTCAAATGTCATGGGAGGAACCCAGTGGAAGACGATTGAGTTATGAGGGCAGGTCTTTTCTGTGCTGTTCTCGTGATAGTGAATGAGTCTCACAAGATCTGATAGTTTTAAAAACGGGAGTCTCCCTGCACAAGCTCTCTTTTTGCCTGCCACCATCCATGTAAGACGTGACTTGATCTTTCTTGCCTTTCACCTTCTGCCATGATTGTGAGGCCTCCCTAGCCACATGAAACTGTAAGTCCAATAAACCTCTTTGTATTGTAAATTGCCCACTCTCAGGTATGCCTTATCAGCAGTGTGAAAATGAAATAATACAAACTAATTCATAACATTTTTTTTTTTGAGACAGAGTCTCACTGTTACCCAGAGTGATGAGCAGTGGTTCAATCATGGCTCACTGCAGCATTGACCTCCTAGGCTTAGGCTTAGGCTTAAGTGATATCCCCACATCAGCCTCCTGTGTAGCTGGAACCATAGGCACATGGCACTATGCCGGGTTAATTTTTTTATTTTGTTACAGAAACAAGGTTTCACTTTATTGACCAGGCTGGTCTTTAACTCCTGGGCTCAAGCTGTCCTCCCGTCTCAGCCTCCCAAAGGGCTGGGATTATAGGCCACTGAATCTGGCCATAAATCCTAGTTTATGAAATATCAAGGTATATAGTATGAAAAAAAAATAAACAGTGAGACGAAATGCTTTGCCCTCCCCATATAGAAAAATGCAAACCTGATGTACTTTTCTCCACCTACTCCACCCCACCAGGAAAGTCATGGAGATGAGGTCACACTAGGCAACCTTAGTTCTTCTCTTTCCTCTTTTTGTTGTCTTCCATAGTCTCTCTCTTCAAAGTATATTTGTTTTCCAAAAGTGCTATCCTAAAAGTGGTGCCTCCCCTGCTCAAACACAGAGTCTGATCTTTTGGACTTCAAAGCCATACACAGGTTTTCTGCACAAGCTGTCTGCACAAGCTGTCTGCACAAGCCACTTGACTACATCTGAGTCACTGATAACTCTATTTAGTATCAGTTCCTCCTATCAGCCTGATGGTCTTAATCACCTCCAGTCACATCAAATCTGTCACAGCCCCCATATGCTGTGGATCTTTCCCTTTCTTGGGTGTTACACCCTCCTCTGCATTAATCCAATCTTATCCATCTTGATGATGCTGGGGTACCTAACAATTTAGCAAAGCCATTTCTGGGCCTTGACTCTCTCAGAGCTTTCTTCTGTGAACCCATAGCAATGAAAAAGGGCAACCCGCTTGTTCACATTATTTTATCTCCCCCACTATGTTTTAAGAGCCTTTGGGATAGAGTTTATGTTTCATATACCTAATGAAACAAATTGCAGACTTATGTTTTACTGTTATTGTTGTTTAATTTGTGATGACTGATTTATTTAATTAAAATTTTTCCCTTTCCTTCTTCATTATACCCCCTCCTCAGATAATGTGTCTGTAGCTGATGGTAATGTGCTCTCCTATCACAATAAAAGTTTTTATTTATTGCAAGGAGATCTTAAAAGTTTTTACTATCAACATGTATTGACTTAATATTTACTCCTTGGAGTCACATTGAGTTAATGAAATTTCAAAGTTAACACTATGGGTAAATAGCAGCGTAACTAAAGTCAAATTTGTTGTTATGCAATAAATTTGACTTTCTAATCAGTTTGCTTCTGCTATAAGATTTAAAATGGTATTGAACAATGGTGAATAAAATAAATACATTGATTATGATAAGAGAACATTGACTCAATTTCTTTTCCAGAAAATGGGTAGAAATCTAGAAAATTCTATGAAGGCTAAATAACCTTTAGACAGTCATTGAAGAGACATTTCTGGGGTAACTAAGCCAAAAACATAATTACTTTAGCTTCTAGTTACAAGAGAAAATACTGGAACTGATTAGAATGATTAATGTTACCTGAGAATGAATGGTAAGTATTTACCTGAGAAACAAAGAAATAGGTAGCATAAAGTTGTTGGTCAGATTGTCAGACAATGTAATCTGAATAGACTCGTCTGAGTTGAATCATAGAAGATCCACCTCTTCATTAGTTAGATAATTATGGAGAAGAAGGCTTATTGGAATGAAAATAATTACCTTAAAAAATAAACTTACAGACTCAATACAGCTTGGTTGTCAACAGTGAGATAAGATTAAAATGAGGAAATATAGTTAAACCTATGAAACCTTGATTGAATTAAGTAGAAACATATATTTTATGAGAAAGCAACAGTACAGAGTCTCATTTCATTTGCAATATAATCAGATTCCTAATTATAATGCAATTCTTTTCGGTTTGCATGTGTCTGAGGTAGCCACTCTGTTAAATTGAACATCTGGAGTGTGGTTAGGAGTGAGGGAGTATTGTAGCTGCACCGTAGAAAAGTGAGGCAATGGTATGACAGAGATTGCCGTGTAAGCACATTTAATGGAGGGAGATGGGCAGACTAAAGGACTAAGTTTTTCATGCATGGGAACTTAGAAGACACAAATAGAGATAAATATGACCTATAACTCATTCTGGGGTAGGCACAGTTGGAACAACAATAGCAACAAAAATAAAACAAAAAATAAACAAATACGAATATCCAACTTAGTCCTTTAGAATCCTTAAGACATTTTTAAAAGTAGATATTTGTTTTATTATAGTAAAACATACTTAAACCATTTTAAGTGTACAAATTCAGTGGCATTTAGGCCATTCATAATGTGTGCAATCATCACTACTATACATTTCCAGAAATATTTTATTATCCCAAACAGAAACTCTATAGCTACTAAGCAATAATTCTCTACCCCTCATTTCCCCAACCCCAAGTAACCTTTCATTTTACTGTCTGTCTGTATGAGTTTGTCTATTCTGGGTACCTCAGATCAGTGGAACTGTACAATATTTGCCCTTTTATGTCTGTTTTATTTCACTTAGCATGTTTTGAAAGTTCATTTATTTTGTATCATGAGTTAGAATTTCATTCATTTTCTCAGGCTGAATAATATTCCATTATATGTTTATACCACACTTTGCTTATCCATTCATCTGTTGATAGACACTTGAGTTTCTTCAATCTTTTGGCTATTATGAGTAATGTGACCACGAGCATGGGTGTACAAATATCTGTTAGAGTCTCTGCTTTCAATTCTTTTGGGTATACACCAAGAAGTGAAATTTATAGATCATACAGTAATTCTATGTTTAACCTTTAAAGGAATCAACAAACAGTTTTCCAGAGTGACTGCACCATTTTACATTTCTACTAACAGTATACAAAATTTCTGACCTCTCCTCTGTTTAGCCAACAATTATTTCCCACTTTTCTGAAAATAACACCTAATAGGTATGAAGTGGTAAAATAACATAATTTTTAAACATTAATATGGAAGTCTCGAAGATATATTTTTAATATTTTGTCCGTGAAAAAAGCCAAGGTCCAAAGCAAGATGTGTTTTGTAAAAATATAAGCAGAATGCTCACATGTTATCCAGGGCCTTCTATAATTTGGCCTATCCTGCTTCCAAATTCACCAGAGGTAAGAATTTTTCATTAAGGAGTAGGAAACAACATATCTTTCGTATATTTATACCTTTACTCTGCTTCACATGTTCTGTGCTTTAGCTGGGTGGTTAAAACCTTTTTAATGCTCTACCACATAGAAGACCATGACACATTCCATCACTGTGATGATGATTCCCACAAAGAATGTCCTCTTGAGGAGGGTCATCAGATTGACACAGTGGAGACACAGAGGAAGAATGAGAGGACACAGGAGTTGTGTATGATTTCAAAAGTCCCCAGGTGACCTGACTTGAGGAGTCCCCATAGTCCTCAAGCATGGCTATTGCAGGGACTACACTGGTGCACTTGTCTACCAGCAGAGTCACTGCAGTAGACACACTTGAGAAGCCATCATTTTCTGGAATGAATTAGATAATCAATTAATGTCTCTGCTATTTATTAATAAATTTATACCTTGTGTCTCTTTTCTGGAGAGAATTCACAAGGTGTATTATCTGTACATTGGTAAAACTCACAGTCTGTGAAAGCAAGGAAAGTTGAACAACCTAAAATGACAACATATGATTACTCATTGGAATAATATGGTATAAACTAAGTACTGCACAAATTAAACTGAAAGGAAGGTGAATAAAGATGTGAGTCATGCTTCAATATGCAGATGAATATTGAGAGACCTTGAAAAATGGGAAGGATTCATTCAAGTGGAAGATGAAAAGGCAGGCATTCTGGCAGTGATGTAAAGCCTGAATAAAGACATAGAAACGGCAAGATGTGAAGGAGTGTTTGCAGGACTGTTAGAAGATAATTTTAAGGCCAGCCATGGTGGCTCGTGCCTGTAATCCCAGCACTTTGGGAGGCTGAGGCAGGTGGATCACTTGAGGTTAGGAGTTCCAGACCAGCCTGGCCAACACGGCAAAACCCTGTCTCTACTAAAAATACAAAAATTAGCCAGGCGTGATGGCACATGCCTGGAATCCTAAATACCCAGGAGGTTGAGGCACGAGAATTTCTTAAACCCAGGAGGTGGATGTTGCAGTGAGTAGAGATCATGCCACTGCACTCCAGCCTGAGCCACAGAGTGAGACTGTCTCAAAAATAACAACAACAACAACAACAACAACAAAAAAAACAGATAAATTTAATAGACTTAGAGTAGATACACCAGCAAGCTGAGCAAAACATATACAAGAAGTCAATTTATGAAGGTTCTTACTTATTTGAAATGATACAGCAGCAAACATGTTTGAGCTGGTGAGTTTTGGGTTGTGATACATCTCCAGTTTGCCTAAAATAGTGTTATTCAAAACTGCAGACCCTTTCTGCTTTATTCCTTGCTGACTGAGTGAATAAAACCAATTGCCATTCACCTGGAAGTGAAGATTATCTGATAAAAGAAATGAAAGTGGTATTTATAGCAATACACTTTGTTTTTTACTCTTTACTTATTTTTTTTTCTTTTGGTAACAGTGGGGTAATGGAAATGGGAGTTGTCCATTCTGAGAAGTTGACAGTGAAAGTTCTGAACATAATGTTTTGTTGCACTTTCTTATAATCACTTAAGAATGTTTTGACTGTGCACCACCATTAAGTGCTAAATGAAATCTTACTCTAGGGTCCAAAAGCTAATTGAAGATATATGGAAAAAAAATGCTTGGGTTTTTCTCATCGTACACACAAAAAACAACCTCTTCAGACACAAATTTAGAAAAACTTTGCTTTTCTAAGATAGATATTTTGTTCACTATAAAGAAGAATGATTAAACCCAGTCCTTGTGGAGGGGAGGTGGTGGGGAACACGCTAACCATGAAACCATAAGATAGGGGCTACCTTGCTTTCTCCTTAAACGCTTATTATCTGACAATAATATAGCCTTTATTATTTGATGACTTTTTAAATGAAACTCAGCTACCAAATAAAGCTGGTTTCTGGAAGAATAAATAACACAAGACTTCCCCATACACAGATGTGCCCTCCTTTCCACACATCTCAGGTATTTAACTGACAGTAGAAATGCACACCAATCAATCACTCACCTTAGCACCTGAGAGGCAAATTCTGAGAGTAGTCAGTACCCACCCACAGGGTAAGACGACATTGCTCCCTCCAAATATGGGCAAACTCTAGGCCTCAATTAAGGACTTCGGGACAATGAGGAATCTTTGTAACATAAAAGTCAGAAATAACACTCAAAATATGGAAGAGAAAACTTGTAAGTGTGTTTATTACAGCACATATTGATTTTAGATTCTAGACTTGCTTCACTGTCAAATTCATACATAAATATACAACATTGCATATATATATTTACATATAATAAAATAAATTATATTTTCAGTGACAATAGAGCATAGTATTACTGTTCCTGCAATCTTTTTCCACTTAAAGGTAGCCGGTGAAAGCCAATTTTAAATAAAGGAAAACAAGAACTGGAAATGTACTGTGGGAAGATTTCTGGGTTAATACACATAGGTAGATCTCTCTGATTATTCTAACAGTCATCTTGTATTCCACTGTGCTGTTTGCACCATAACATGCCTGTCTCCATTTTTTGGTATTACAAATGTGGCAATAGATATACTTTTGCTTATTTGTGTGAGTTTTTCTGTCAAATAAAGGTTAAGAAGAGGGGCTACTTAAGCAAAGAGATATACATTTCCATATTTGGATGGATGTAGTCCATTGTTCGCCAAGTAGACTTTACCAATCTACGATCTAGCTAAGAATTTATAATAGTGATTGCTTTCCCACATGCCTGCCAAACTAGGTATTAGCTATGAAATAAATTTTGCCAATATGGCTTTAAAATGAGGACTGTTGTTTTAATTCGACTTTAATTTTCTGTCTCTTCACTTTTTCCCTCAGCTTCAGCAAAACTGGCCTTCATTCAGTAGTCAAGCCTCCTGTGCCGATTTCTACTACAGGGTCTTTGCACTTATGGCTCCTTGGCCTAGAATATACTTTCCCAAATTTTACATGATGGATTTCTCCTAAGTGTCTTGATTTCTTGATATTTTTCCTAAAAAATCTTTTGGAGCTTCCCTATTGAAATTCCCCACTATCCCTAACTTGGTCCCTCTCTCCACCCTTTTAGTTTCTTTTGTGTTCTTAGAAATGACTGGAATCATCTTGTTTGTCAACTTGTCTTGTTTCATTGAACATATGCTGCTGATATAGTGCCTAGACTTAACATTTTTCCCAAACATATAATTATCTCCCTCATCTACATGTTGTGTGGAAAAAAATAATTATTTCCCTCAGTATCATTTATTGGATAATTCATCATTTTTTCTCCTATTTGAAATGATAGCATATTTATCTACTTAATTCTCTTGAACTCCTGAGGCTGTTTCTTAATTTGCTCCTGCTTCCCACCAGTTAGATATGTATTCCACAATAGAATCCTATTTTTCAAGTCATTGAACTTTTTAGTATTGTTTGCTATCTTATGAGGAAAACCATTGTAATTTTTAAATGTTTTTGGTAAATCTCATGCTTCTATATTTTAAATAAATGTTAACAGTCAATATCAGTAAGACAAATTGATAATAGAGAAAAACAGGATAAAGTACATATTTGTTTTTCAAAACTTAAAAATAGCTACAAGTAGAATTTATAAAGTTAAATGTGTACTTCCAAAATTCTGGGCAGGAAACAGAATATGGGAGGTAAAATACAGTTCATTTAGCAAGAGATAGAAAATCAAGAACATAGCAAGAATACATAACAAGCATTAAGCATATGATGTAAACTATAAATACCCATTTGGCCAATACAGTTAATAAGAATTTCATCTGATTTATTAGACCATAGCTTTCAGATTAGTATAATAAAATAAAGCTTTGACAAGTACATACCTAAACTAAGAGATTCAGAAGGTGCAGAAAGGAAAGCATACCATAAGAATAAAAGACAGAAAGAAAGGTGAGAAGAAGGAAGGCAGGAAGGCAGGAAGGAAGGCAGGCAGGCAGGCAAGAAGGAAGGAAGGAAGAAAGGAAGTAATGGAAGCAGGGAGGGAGGAAAGAAGAAAGGAAGGAAGGAAAGAAGGGAAAATAAGCAGTGATTTCTATACAAATATGAGTTCTGTAGACATCTGGGAGAATTATCATGCATCAAAAAAAATCTCTAAAATACAGGGTATAGTTTACCATGGGATTACCATTCTACTATAAAATAAGTAAAATATGTATGTTAAAAACTGTTATAGTGGGAAATTTTAATGCAACCCTCAGTCTTTAACAGATTAAGGAGACAAAATTATAAATTGATGTAATAGATTCCTGAAACTTTCTATTTTGGGTGGAATATAAAGACCAAGAGATCAACCAGATCTTATGCAAAGATTCAATTAAAACACAGCTTAAGATAAATAGCGAAAGTTAAAAAAGAAAAAAATGCAACTACATGAAAAATTATAAAACATTTCTCTAAATAATTATTTAATAAAAGTATGCACTCTTGAAATTTTTGATAAAAATGGGATGAAGCTAAAAATAAAAAATAATAGAAAGCAGAAAAACTAAAATTAATATATTAGTGTAGTTTCTTTGAAAACAGAGGCAAAATTCTGAATAACATAAGTAATAAAAATATAAGGACATAAATATTAAAATATAGCCACAGAAATAAACATATGGACAGATAATGAAATGAAAATAATAACAGAATTAAAAAAATGTATATACCATTATATTTGAATATATGGAGAAAATTAATAATTTTCAAAAAAAATTATAATAGACCTAGGTACAAATAGAAAATTTCAGCAGTGGAAAATTACAAAAGAAATGGAAAATTTTTTCAAATCATCAATTTCTAAAATGTTACCTAACTTAAATATCTCAATGAGTAAGTTATTTCTAACTTTCAAAAAAAAGTAACTTTTGTGTGATATTAGAAGATAAAAACTTTTAATTCATTATGTTAATGTAACACTAACCTTAAACCAGATAAACAAAAGATGTTTTTAAACAGCGATAATTAAAATTCATGTCTAAATGTTAATACAAATGAAAATAACCTGAGCTTAATATTAATGAAGAGATGCTTAGTGAAATGAAAATAAAATATTTCCTAAAAATGATATTTGTTTTAAAGCAAGAGTCAACATCACACATAATGGTGGAAGCTCTTGCCACATTTAAAAAAATACTCTTTAAAATAAGAATGCAAGAGAATGAAATAAAAGGCATCCAAATATGAAGAGAGGAAGTCAAAGTATCTCTGTTTGCAGATGATATGATTCTATATTTAGAAAACTCCACAGTCCCTGTACAAAAGCTCCTTGATCTGATATACAACTTCAGCAAAGTTTCAGGATACAAAATCAATGTGCAAAAATCAGTAGCATTCTCATACACCAACACCACCCAAGCTGAGATCCAAATTAGGAATGCAAACCCTTTCACAATAGCCACAAAAAGAATATAATACCTAGCAATACAGCTAACCAAGGAGGTAAAAGGCATCTACAATCAGAATTACCAAACACTGCTCAAATAAATTGGAGATGACACAAATAGTAAAATATTCCATGTTCAGAGAGAGGAAGAATTGATATTGTTAAAATGGTCCTACTAACCAAAGCAATTTACAGATTCAATGCTATTCCTATCAAACTACCGATGACATTCTTCACAGAATTAGAAAAAAACAGCTATTTTAAAATTTATCTGGAACCAAAAAAGATCCCAAATGGCCAAAGCAATCTTAAGCAAAAAGAGCAAAGCTGAAGAAATCACATTATCTAACTTCAAACTATGCTACAAAACTGCAGTAACCCAAACAGCATGGTATTGGTACAAAAACAGATGCATAGACCAATGGAACAGCATAGAGAGCCCAGAAGTAACACCACACACCTACAACCATCTGATCTTCACAAAGCCGACAAAGACAAGCAATGGGGAAAAGACTCTTTATTCAATAAATGATGCTGGGATAACTGGCTAGTCATATCCAGAAGATTGAAACTGGACCCTACCTTACACCATATACAAAAATCAACTCAAGATGGATTACAGACTGAAATCTAAAACCCAAACCCATAAACATCCTGCAAGATAACTTAGGAAATACCATTCTGGACATAGGACTGGGCAAAGACCTCAAGATAGAGATGTCAAAAGAAAGTGCAATAAAAACAAAAATTGACAAATGGGACTGTGCTGGTTGATAATGAGTATCAACTTGATTGTATTGAAGGATGCAAAGTATTGTTCATGGGTATGTTTGTGAGGGTGTTGCCAAAAGAGATGAACATTTGAGTCAGTGGACTGGGAAAGATGGACTCACCCTCAATCTAGGTGGGTACAATCTAATCAGCTGCCAATGTGGCCAGAATAAAAGCAGGCAGAAGAACCTGAAAAGTCTAGAGAGACTTAGTCTCCCGACCTACATCTTTCTCCTGTGCTGGATGCTTCCTGTCCTCGAACACTGGACTCCAAGTTCTTCAGCTTTGGGACTCGGACTGGCTTCCTTGCTCCTCAGCTTGCACATGGCCTATTGCAGACGAACCTCACCTTGTGATTGTGTGAGTCAATACTCCTTAATAAACTTCCCTTTATATATACATCTATTCTATTAGTTCCATCCCTCTAGAGACCCCTGACTAATACAGGGACCTAATTAAACTAAAGAGCTTCTGTACAGCAAAAGAAACTATCAACAGAGTAAATAACCTGAATGGGAGAAAATATTTGCAAACTATCTATCTGAAGTAGGTCTAATATCCAGAATCTAAGGAACTTAAACAAATTTGCAAGCAGAAAACGAACAACCCCATTAAAAAGTAGGCAAAGGACATTAAAAGACACTTTTGAAAAGAAGACATACATGCGGCCAAAAGCATATGAGAAAATGTTCAACATAACTATTAGACAAATGCAAATCAAAACCACAATGAGACACCATCTCATACCATTCAGAATGGCTATTACTAAAAGGTCAGAAAATAACAGATGCTGGTGAGGCTGTGGAGAAAAGGGAGTGCTTATATACTGCTGGTAGAAATGTAAATTAGTTCAGCCATTATGAATTATTTGAGAAATCACCAAACCACTTATGGAAAGTGGTTTGGTGATTTCTCAAATAACTTAAAATAGAATTACCATTTGACTCAGCAATCCCATTATTGGGTATACACCTAAAGAAATATAAATCCTTTTAATGTAAAGACACATGCTTGCATATTCTTTCATGTTCATTATAATAGCAAACTATTTCAGACTGAAAATAGGGATATGAAATCTACCTAAATACCCATCAATGGTATAGACTGAATAAAGACAATGTGGTACATATACACAATGGGATACTGTGCAGCCATAAAAAAGAATGAGATCATGTCCTTTGCGGCAACATGGATAGATCTGGAAGCCATTATTCTAAGCAAACTAACACAGGAATAGAAAACCAAATACCTCATGTTCTCATTTGTAAGTGGAAGCTAAACATTGAGTACATATGGACACAAAGAAGGGAATAACAGATACCAGGGCCTACTTGAGGGTGGAAGGTAGGTGAAGGGTGATATTTGAAAAACTACCTATTCTACCTATTGAGTAGTATGCTTATTACATGGGTGACAAAACAATCTGTACACAAAACCCACATGAGATTCAATTTATCTATATAACAAACCTGGATATATACCCCTGAACCCAAAATAAAACAGCTAATCAATCAATACATAAAATAAAATTAAATAAGAATGCAATAAAAGTTGAAAGATGAAAAATAAGATAAAATGGAAAATTAGAGAGAAATTTGTAAATATTGATAAATGATGTGATTATACATTTGGAAAATCCAATAAAAGTAATTTGAAAAACATTAAAAATAACAACATACAAAAAATCTGTATGTTTTCTTTATACCAAGTTATAGTATTAGAAAATATAAAGAGAAAATGTAATTTGTAAGAATTGCTTAAAATATAAAATACCTGGAAATAAATGCAAAAAAAAATAATTTTGTCTAGGATGTCAATGATAAACTACCAAAAATTGCTGGGAGACATGATTTTAAAAATTAGTAAATGAAGATATCTATTCCTAATGGTTGAAAAAACTCATTTTAGTATTATACATACGGGAATTATCTGTACAGTAATTTAAAAATTTAATGTAATTCTGCTCAAAATCTCAATGGCCATTAGGCGGTATGAACTGTAATAAAGTAATTATTAAATTTATTCCCGAAATAAAATAACTAAAAATATCCAATATTTTTGAAAAAGAATAGTGAGAGGCTCAGACATTAGGCATTAAAGTCATAAAAAGGTAGAACATTAAAACAACATGATGCAAACATGAAGATATAATTGTTATTCAAGCAACCATTATCTCTCTTCTCCTAGAACCTTCCACTTCTATCTTTGTCACCCTGCAATTTGTCCCTGACCCAGGCAGCTGGAAACATCATTAGAAGGTAACTACAAATTATATAATACTTTCATTTAAAAATGCAATCACCAGTCATATGTTGCTTAACAATGGGGATATATTCTGAGAAATATGTTGTTAGAAGATATTGTCCTCCTGTGAACATTATAGAGTAGTGCAACCCACCTAGTATAGCCTGCTATACACCTAGACTATAAGTTATAGCTTATGGCTCCTAGGCTACAAACCTGTACAACATCCTACTGTACTGAATATTGTAGGCAATTGTAACACAATGATAATATTTGTGTATCTAAAGCTATATAAACCTATCTACACATAGAAAATGTGCAGTACAAACATGACATCAATGATAAAAATTGGTATACCTTTATAGGGCACTTACTGTGAATGGAGCTGACAGGACCGGAAGTTGCTTGGGGTGAGTCAGTGAGTGACTAGTGAGACTGTGAAGACCTAGAGTATAACTGCACACTACTGTAGACTTTATCAACACTGTACACTTGGGCTACCCTAAAGTTATATAAAATTTATTTCTTCAGTACTAAATTAACTTTAGCTTACAGTAACTTATTCATTTTCTAAACTTAATTTTTTATAACTTTTTAGCACTTTGGTAATAACACAACACAAACACATTGTAGAACTGTACAAAAATATTTTATTTCTTTGTATCCTCATTCTAGAAGCTATTTGAATTTTTAAAGTTAGTGTTATTGTTTTTTTACTTTTTTTGTTTAAAATGAAGACAGCTGGGCATGGAAGTTTATGCTTGGAATCCCAGTGCTTTGGGAGGCCAAGGTGGGAGGATCACTTGAGTCCAAGAGTTGGAGACCAGCCTGGGCAACATAATGAGACTTCGTCTCTACAAAACAATTTTTTTTTTTTAATTAGCAGGGCATAGTGGCACATGCCTGTAGTCTCAGTCACTTGGGAGGCTAAAGCAGGAGGATGGCTTGAGCCCAGGAGCTTGAGGATACAATGAACTATGATTGCATCACTGCACTCCTATCTAGTTGACAGAGTGAGACTACCTCAAACAAACAAACAAAACAAAAAACCTCCCCAAATGAACTCACAAACACACACATTAGCTTAGGCCTATACAGGGCCAGGATCATCAATATCACTGTCTTCTCCCTCCACATCTGGTCCCACTGGGAGGGCCTCCAGGGGCAGTACTAGACATGGAGCTGCCATCTCCTATGATAACAATGCCTTCCTATGCAATAATTCCTGAAGAAATGCCTAAGGATGCTTTATAGTTAACTTAAAAAAAAATAAGTAGAAGGAGTATACTCTAAAATATCAGTAAAAAGTATAGTTTAGTAAATACATAAACCAGTAGCCTAGTTGTTTATTATCATTATTAAATATTATGGACAATACATAATCGTATGTGCTGGACTTTTATTCTACTGTTGGTGCTGTAGGTTTCTTTACAACTGCATCACCAAAACCACATGAGTAATACATTGTAGTATGACTTTAGGTTGGCTACAATATCATATAGACAATAGAATATTTTCAGCTCCAGTATAATCTTAGGGGCCCACTGCTGTATATGAGGTTTTTCGACCAAAATGTTGTTATGCGTGCATGACTGTATTTGACCACTTCTTGTACACTTAGACATATGAACTAAACTCATCCTCATGCCTCAGGTCTTAGCCATCTTGCTTACTCAGTGCCCTGCACTCACCTGCTCCTCCATCAAATGCTGGGCTGTTTCTACCCTCCTGGGGGCTTCAGTGTACATCAGTTACCTGGAATGCTGTTCTCCACCTGATTCACCTCTGCTCATCCCTAAGACTTCAGCCTAAACATCACCTCCTTTGATAGTCTCTCCCTAGCTGATCTTTAGTCTATCTAAAGTAGGCACCCTTCTTACTTTCTACTGTGCTGTCCTAATTATTTGCTCCTGACCATATTCTGCTCATTTACTTGTATGTCTAGTTGTTAGCCTGTATACTTGGAAGTCTGTCTGTTTAACTAGAAGTTAGGCTTTGTGAGGTCTACAAATTCAGAAAGAACCAGCAAGTCTTGTGGCAAGGCAGGCTTTCCTCTTGCTCACTTCTGTTGCAGAAGGAGATGACTGTAGGTGTATTAGTCTATTTCCACACTGCTAATAAAGACATACCTGAGACTGGGTAATTTATACAGAAAGAGATTTAATGGACTCATAGTTCGACATGGCTTGGGAGGTCTCACAATCATGGCAGAAGGCAAGGAGGAGGAAATCACATCTTACATGGATGGCAGCAGGCAAAGAGAGAGCTTGTGCAACGAAACACCCCCTTATAAAACCATCAGAACCCATGAGACTTATTCACCACCAAAAGAACAGAACAAGAAAGACCCGCCCCTATGATTCGATTACCTCCCACTGAGTCTGTCCCACCGCACGTGGAAATTGTGGGAGCTACAATTCAAGTTGAGATTTGGGTGGGGACGCAGCCAAACTGCATCAGTGGGCAAAGTCAGAAGACACATCCTGTACTGCTGGGACAGTGTGCCCAAGATGATCTAGCAACTCTTTGCTCCAGGGGGTCATCACTACAGCTCCTGTGGGCTCTGCCTCAAATTAGGGATGATGAGGATCAGTGTCCATTCTCTCAGGGAACGTATTTGTTCTCCTATTCACTTATCCCACCGTTCTCTGATCATTTTGTTTTAGAAAAGTCCTTTCTTCTTAAAGTCTTTAATTTTACTTGAGTCCTGTGCTCTTAAAAAAGAGTAAATGCTTAAGAAATCCCCTCACCCTTTTGTATTTAAAATCTCTGATTTATTGTCCCATCATCCTACCACCTTTCATCCCACTATCCTATAGCTTTGTTTCTTCCCTCCCTCCCTCCCACTTCCTCCCCCCCTCCCACATCATCCCTCCCTCCTTCCCTCTCTTCCTTCCTTCCTTCCTTCTTTCCTTCTTTCCTTCCTCCTTTCCCTCCCCCACTCCCTTGTCTTACTCTGTCACCCAGGCTGAAGAGCAGTGGTACAATCATAGCTCACTGAAGCCTCTGAACTCCTGGGCTCAAAGGATCCTCTGGGCTCAGTCTTCCGAATAGCTGGGAATACAGGTCTCCCACAACACCTGATTAATTTGTTTATTTGGTATGTTTTATTGTAGAGATAGGGTCCCGCTTTATTGCTTTGTTGCACTGGCTGGTCTCAAACTCCTAGCTTCAAGAGATACTGCTGCCTTGGCCTCCGAAAGACTTGGTGTTACAGGCATAAGCCACCATGCCCCAGCCTGGAATTGTTTTTTATTTGATATTTTTCTCTTTCCCTCTCAAGTACTGTTGATTTCTTTGGCCTTCTCCTTAAATCCTGTTCTCTTTTCATTCTTTTGCAATAGAGTTCACTATTCCTTGGAACACAGATCCCAAATCATTAGCAATTCATACAGTAAAGGAAGGAAGATATAATCTTTCAATCTCTGCCATATGACAGAAAATATGTTGAGTTCATCATTCTGGAACAAGAATAAAATGCAAAAAAGTGCTTTTTTACTAAAATTAGTCTATATATTTACTCTAGCTTGCATGTATCAAAGATTTTATAATATACATTTCCTTTAATCCAATCACTCCACTTACAGAAGTTGTTCCAAGGAAATACTATGATATAACCAAAATCTGTTTAAAATATACATATACTTTTAGTGTTACTTACAATGACTAAAACTCTGAGAGGCAAAAAAAAAAAAACCCAATCAAAAAGAGAGTTGGAACATTCATAGAATGGAACAATCTTTAATAATTTATGTGCAAAGAATATTTTGTGGCATGGAAAAATACCCATAATATATTAATAATATATAAATACATAATAAATGTAAACAGGATAATTTTAGTTTTAGAATAATGATTGATATATCTATAGTTTATATTTTTGTATTTTATATTTATCCATTTTTTTATATTTAAAATATAATTTTCTACTTTTGAAAGCATTCTTTTTGTTAAACTTCTAGAAAACATGTAAGGTGTTAATTGTTTCTGTATCTTCTACCCACAAAATATGCCCATCTACCAGCTCCACAAAGTTTTTTGCCTTGTCTCACATATATGAAAGGTTATTTTTCTCTCTTTGCCTCTATCTTTCGTTATCTTGTAGAAGTCCCTAGCAGCAGTGAAAACACAGTTGAGAAATAATGGTAACAGGCAACAAGGAACCTATCACCATTAAGATTCTTGAAATTGTATGAGAAGGGTTTAAGGTTGCTTGCAGCCTGGATGTAAGAGGTGGAGACACAAGAGGTCACATTTGCCTTTGTGCAAATCTAAAATCCATTGGGTTGATCCTGGAGTTGTTAAATCTTCTCTCCAAGTAGAAGCTGAGCCTCTGTATTTTTACTTGTCAAAAAGAACTATCCAAACCGTTCTACTTTGCCCTCATAGCAGTTCCTAGGTAAGTGAAGTCTACTCTTATCTACTAGAAATATAACACTAAATTTGAGATTATAGAGGTGGCATAGCAATACTAAATTAAAAAAAAAAAGAACACACCATCTCAAAAATTAGTTTAGGATAGATCAATAAATTAAATCTGATAGTCAAATTTTAAACATTTTAGAAGAAAATAAAGACAAATCTTTTTATGACTCAGGATAGGTATAACGTATTTTCTAAATAGCACTCAAAATGCTAAATTATAAAAGAAAAGTCAACAGATTCAATTGCATTAAACTTAAATTTCTTGTCCATAACAAACTCTCTTTTAACAAGAGAATAAAAGGCAATTCATAAACAGAGAGGAGATGTTTGTAACTTATGTATGTAAAATGTGTATCTAGAATATATAAATGACTTTTGCAAATAAACAAAAAAGGACCAAAAAAAAATCCAATAGAGAGAAACCAACAGAAAAGAAATGACAAATAACAAGCAAACTTATTAAAGACCAAATGTTTTAAAAAGGCAAAGGCCCCATGATATGGTTTGGCTTTGTGTCCCCATCCAAACCTTATCTGGAATTGTAATCCATAGGTGTTAAGGGAGGGAGTTGTAATACCCACGTGTCAAGGGAAGGACGTGATTGGATCATGAGGGCAGTTTTCTCCAAGCTGTTCTTGTAATAGTGAGTGAATTCCTAGGAGATCTGATGGTTTTATAAGCTTCTGGCATTTCCCCTGCTTGCACTCCCTTCTGCCTCCTTGTGAAGCAGGTGCCAGCTTCCCCTTCACCTTCCACCATGATTTCAAGTTTCCTCAGGCCTCCTAGCCATGCTTCCTGTTAAGCCTATGAAACTGAGTCAATTAAACTTATTTCCTTATAATTACTCAGTTTCAGGTAATTTTTTTTTTTTTTTAGAGACGGAGTCACCTTCTGTTGTCCAGGCTGGAGTGCAATGGCATGATCTCGGCTCACTGCAACCTCCTCTGCCTCTGGGGTTCAAGTGATCCTCCTGCCTCAGCATCCCAAGTAGCTGGGACTATGGGTACAGCCACCATGCCCAGCTAATTTTTGTATTTTTTGTAGAGACAGGGCTTTACCATGTTGGCCAGGCTGGTCTTGAACTCCTGATCTCAGGTGATTCTCCCACCTCAGCCTCCAAAAGTGCTGGGATTACAGGCGTGAGCCACCAGGCCTAGCACAGGTAGTATTCTTTATAGCCATGTGAGAATGAACTAATAAACCCTACCTATATCTGGAATTTCATTCAAATAATTTCTATTGAGTTCCCTACATATGCAACTACTGTGGATGAAAGAGAATAACCTGCTTCTTGCCCTCCTGTGGTTTACAATCTGCTGGGGAGGGAGACCAACACATTAATGTAAGATGACATGTAAAATGTTCTATAGCAGCTTTGTCCATTGGAAACATACTTCAGCCACATATGTAATTTTAAATTTAAATGTTCTAGCAGTCACATTAGAAGGGTAAAAAGAAACAAGTGAGACTGATTCCAATAATATATTTATTTTGACAAATAAATTCAAATTATTGTCCAAAATATTATCATTTTAATATGTAATCAATAAAAAATGGTTAATATGATATTTTAATTTTTTAAATATTAAGTCATAACAATCCAGTCTGCATTTTACCCTTGTAGCACATTTCAATATGGACTAGCCACATTAAAAGAGCTCAGTAGCAACCTGTGATTAGCGGCTACTGTACCAGACAGAACAGGTCTATAGCATGGTTACAACTAAAACGTTGAAAGGGTTGGAAAGGGATATTTTGAATTTGAGCGTTCAGGAAATTTCTCTTGGGGATATGGTGCTTCAGCAGTGGAGGGAAGAGGTGAGACACAAGAGGTCACATTTGCCTTGGTGCAAATCTAAAATCATCTATTTTAGATGCCTGCATGAGAGAAGTAAAGATAGTAGGAAAGGCAATGCAGGGAGTGGCAGAGCATGAACTAGAGAAATGCAGTGTACTGTACGCCCACTGTGGCTGAAGTGGGCAGTTTATGGGGTGAAGGGAGAAATCCAGACAAGGTGGGAAAGCTGGTCTAGGTGTAGAAGGCCCTGAATGACTAATTGGCGATTAATGATTATATTCCATATTTGTTGTTAGTTTTCTGAGGGTATTTTAGAATGAGACCTATGACAGTAGTGTGTAGCAAGGACAGAAAAGGAGGTAAGCCAGTAGCAGGAATGTCAATTATGACAGTCTGAGCCATCCCAGCCAGTGGAAATGAGGGTCTGGCCACAAGCATTCAGAGTACAAGCATGCGGGACATTATAGGCATGGATTTGGCAGAATGTGGCTCATGACTGGATAGAATGGGAAGGAGAAGTCCTCAATGCCCCTAGGTCAGGGACTGACCCACAGGGTAGTGAGTGAAGGAGAGGATGGGAAGGTTGCTTTTAAATAAATTAAGTTTGAGGTACATATCCGAAGAAAACTAATATTTTATTAGTGAGAACACAAAGGATGTTGGGAAAAAAATTAGTTCAATCTTTTACTTGAGGAAACAGACCAATACAACAGTTTGGTGTTTAAAATATATATATATATGTGTGTGTGTGTGTGTGTGTGTGTGTGTGTGTGTGTGTGTTTATAATTCTTAACAAGAGGACCTATGTCCAACTCTGTCCCAGTTTATGTCCATCACAATGAAAGGAAATGACATATAAGGTGGTTGCTTGTAAACTTACACATCCAAATTCTTGCTCATTCAGACTTTATTATGAATATCAGGTCCTAATATCTCAAGTCACCCAAATATCTCTGTTTATTTTGGGAAGCAACTAAAATGTAGAATTTCCCTTCCTGTATTCTTCCCTCACCCCCTTCCCTCCTGTCTTCCCTCCCTTCTCTTTCTTAAAGCATTGGCCCCTTTTATAGCTTCTTGCAACCCTCCCTCCTTGACGAAAGAACAAACTTTTCTAAAGAAAGCTAGTCCCTAGCATACTCACGCCCTTTAGAGATTTCATCAGCTGCCTATGACCTAGTTAACCACTGATTTCCCACTGAGGCAAATTTAGTGAAAGTCCCACAGGCCCTCTCACAGGGAAGCTCCTGTTCAGCTTGTGGTGTCTGAAGAGCTGTGAGCAAGTGCCCAGGGTCTTGGCGTCTGCCTCAGCATGGGTAATTTATGAGTCCCCAGCAAGTCAGCCAGAGGAGGAGAAATCCGGATAGGGGACCCTGCTAATTGGTCCTTTCAGTTCCTGGCAGGCACTACTGGTGGGAAGCTCCTGGGCTCAGACTTCTTATGTCCTTTTCAAAACGCAGGGAGAGAGCATAGGTCGACAAATTAAAAAAGAAAACAAGTTGAAAAACCCCTCAGCTCTAAGGAGAGGCTGTCATTGGCTTCACCCAGCTGTGTCGCCATCTCCTGACTACGGAGGAGCCATGGGACCAATATTGGCTTTTGTTTTGTGCAGGCTAAACAGAGAAAACACATCTCCTGCTATAGAGAGAGGAGTCGGGCCAGTTGATTTGGACCCACGTGTTTCTGATTCATAAGAAGTTCAGCAGCTATTTGGAGCTCAGGTGCGGCAAGGGGCAGCAGAGAGAGGTGAGCTGCCAAGACACAATTGAACCCTGGTCTGCAGTTGTGGGGTCTATACCAGGAGCCAGAGATAAGGATATCAAATTACCATCGAGAACTTCATGAGGATGTGGCAAGTCCTTTAAAAGGACTAATGGTGCATTGTAGCTCTGCCCTTGTCAATACTCGCATCTAAAATAATGAGAACGGCCTTTACCCTAATTGTACTGCTAATTCCTATTTTCCTGCCCATTTTCTACCACACATCCATACCTGTACCTACCCAGGTATTATTTAAATATGACCCAGCTTCAGCTGTACAAAACTGAGGGCAATTGAAGCAGGTAGGGTGTGAGCAGATGTCCTTATGGAATGATTCATTCACTTCACCCCTAGAAATGGCCTCTAGCTCAAGGACGCATTGAAGAAGCACATAGTTTAGGTTGCAAACCAAAGGATTACTGGCATTGCACCCTCTCTCTGAGTCCCAAATAGAGAGAGAGATGATTACAGTTACAACAAACACAGGTGGAAATAGTTGAATTTCCTTTAAAGCCTTTTAAACCTACACTGGCTACTGAGGAAAAAGAGAGATTGGAAGTCTGCATTGATTGGGGTTATGAGACAATTCAAATTAAAAATTGGGTTGGACTGGAAGGTAATTTCCCTTGCAGAAAGAATTAATTGTTATCTTTCTGATAGTATCATGGCCAAACAATTCTGGACTCAATATATGTGATTAAGTTAGAAGTTGTTAAATTTGAAGAAGATACTGAACACAATCTCCTAACTTTGCCTGATACTATTAGTAGAGCATATTATTATTTAAATAATATTTTTATATTTCTTATCTGATTTTTTATTTTGAACAATGCTAAGAGAAGGTAATAATAATTATTATAATACCTTACTTTTATTGATTAACTACAGTGTGCCAAGCACAGTGTTAAAAATTACTATTTTACCTATAATGGCCCCAAGACTAATAGGTATTAATTCAATTTAGTTTTGGATGCTTGTTGAGTGAAAGTTTATAAATATGTGCCAAGAGATTTGACTTTTCAGCTCAGGCCTTAACCATCTAACCAGTGCTGTGGCTCTAGGCAAGCCAGTTAATATTTCTAGGCCTCAGTTTCCTTTTCATAGACAACAACTTATATTCAGATGACCCTTAAGAGTGTATTATAAGCTTTCACATTTGTTATTCCACCTTTTTAGCTAAAAGGTATAAGATAAGTGTCTCTTTTACAGATAAGGAAACTGTGGCCCAGAGAGAATAAGAAACTTGTTTTAGATCACAGAGCCCGTGAATGTGTATGCTTCGACTTGAACTCCAGGTTTCCAATACAAGATGTTATGGAATTTCTCCTTCATCTTGCCCCCTTCAGTGTTATCACAAGGCTAATATTTTAAGATTTCACCCTGTGATGTTTGATGACCTGAGGAATAATATGCAATTTTGGTAGAACTATAAATAGTGAGGCGTTTGCTTTTGAAAGCATTGGCTTTGAAATGCTCTACTGGATTGAAAACTCCATCTCCTCTCTTTCTGGCTGAGGGCAGTCTCCTAAACCCTCTAAACCGATGTGTCTTTATCTAATTATGATAGTTATGGTAGAGTCTCCTGCAGAGTATGGTGGGACAGTAAATCTGAGGCCTTAGCTCAGTGCCTAGAATTCTTAGTACACATGATCAATATTAGTTTCTGCTCCTATCATACAGAGGACACGGTGAGGTAGAAACCAAAGAACCAAAGCAGGACTCCCCTCTGGAGGTGGGGCTCAGACACCAGGGCAAATTGAGGACCAGCTAAAACAATGCTGGCAGAAGCAGCTTTTCATAAGACATGCCCACCAGTGTGCCATGTGAGTTTGCCACTGCTACGGCAACTCCCAGAAGTTACCACCCTTTTCCATGGCAGTGACCCCATGACCTGGAAGTTATGACTCTTCCTAGAAATTTATGCATAAACCACCCCCTAATTTGCAGGTAATTAAAAGTGAGTATAAATAAGACAGCAGAACTGCCTCTGAACTGCTATTCTGGGCACACTGCCTATGGTGTAGCTCTGCTCCACAAGGAGAAGTGTCTCTGCTGCTGCTCCTTACTGCTGCTCCAATAAAAATTGTGAACGCCACCAGCTTATCCTTGAACTCTTTCCTGGGAGAAACCAAGAACCCCCTTGGTCTAAGCCCCTGTTTTGGGGCTCACCTGCCCTTCATGAGAGGGTTTTTGCTGCCTAGCCACATAGAGGCTGCCAGTTTTGGGGATGCAACCCATCATGTACCTCAGGGCAGGGAAATGAGCCAAAGGAGCTACCAGAGCTGTAGTTCCCCAGGAGGAAAAATTAATTCTTTTCTCTGTGTTCTTGAGATCATGACCATATTAAATTAAATTATTCCATTGCAGTTCCCAAAGAAGCAAAAAAATACCAGTCCCATCACTTTGCACCATTAGAGAAACTGCCAACATTTCCATAAGGTACTCTGGCTGTGGGCTTCTGTAGTGTTCATATATTGATTGTTTTCTTTTTAAACTATTGATTGAGTGTCTATAGAACATTGTAACATGTCCACTGATGTGCAGTGACATGGTGGGGGTCTTTTTTTAAATATTATTAAGCACTGGGCACATTCTTCCTGTCTGTGTGTATCCATAGCTGCAATTTTAATAACAGTAAGAAAGGAGAAGAAGAAAAAAAAAAAAACCATGCCTGACACAGTCCAGGATCAAGATTCTCTTCTCTTGCAATCTCCTTTGGAATTTCTCAAAGTCCAAAATGCAATCACTCCTTTGAGGAAATTTGGAATCAATCAATATATTTCATCATTGCTTTAATTATCCTTAAAGCTGTTTGAGGACCAATGTTTCCTGCGTTTGGAAAATAAATGAATAAACAGAATCTTCATTGACACCCAACTCATTCTCTCTTTCACTCAAGGTAGAGCTATGGGCAAATACACAATATAAATAAATTATTTTTTGTTTCTTTCTTCTCTCCTTCCTCTTACTTCTCTCCTCATTTTCCCCTTCCCTTCCCTTCCCTTCCCTCCTCTTCCCTTCCCTCCCCTCTTTTCTTCCTAATAAGGAAATTAGAAAGTGATTTTCTTAGGGCTACATAAGCAGCAGGTGACAAGGCACTGAGCATACAGACTGATTCTGGAATTCAGTGGGAAAGTAGAAAGTGAAAGAGAGATGAGGATGGGTAGAATTAGTGAGGCAGAGGGATTAAGTTCCAGAATTCATCAAATGCATTGTTCAGTGCATTCATGGTAGATAACAGGACACAGGCACTAGACAGTAAACATGGAGCAAACAGCACAGGAGAAAAAGTTGAAATTTTAAAGTATAGACCCTCTACTTTGGCGCCAAGCTTTTTGTTTCCTCACTTTGCTGTAAAATACATTTCATTTTTTTATACGTACGAACACACACATATATACATGCACAATACATAGCTTAGTTTCTCAGTGTAAGGCAAGTTCTCCTGACTTACCACCCAGGTCAAAAAAATGAAACTACCCACCCCAGAAGTCCATCCATGGACTGTGTCCTAACTCAGCCCTTCCCTTCTGCCACATGTACTGTCTTTTCTGACTTTCATAGTAATCACCTCCATGTGTTGCTTTATAGTTTATCACCCAAGTGTGGATCTCTAAATTAGCTTTATCTTGCCTATTTTTAAACTTAATATGTCTCTTTTTATCTATAAGTTCTCCTTTCAGCCTCTTCTTGTCTTTATAATTTATCTGCTGAAAACTCTTAGGTGTTTGACCTATAGAGAGTCTCCCGTGGTCTGTCTGCTGCTGAGAGGAGACTCTTGGTACAGTTCAACATGTTCCACTGTCCTCAGAATTTCCTACAAACTGGCAGTTGGGTCCAGAGAATGGATCAGACTTGGGCTCAATACTGTTGAGTCAAACTCCTTTATCTGTATATTAAGGTGGCATAAAGTATAATATATAGCTTTGCTTTATAGTTTTATTTAAAATTATCTTGATTAGGGAGTCCTGATGCTTTCAGCGTTCTCTTTAATTCATGTCCTGTTAAAATCAACAAAAAAATTAACTACTAAATAATTCACTCTTTATTGATTCAAAAGATATTAATTGAGGTCCTGCTAGATCCTGGGCATGCTTTCCATGAGTAATACAAATTCCATGTTCTCATGGAATTTAGTTTCAGATGGAGAGAGACAGATCATAAACAAATACATGAATGAGTAAAATGCTAGGTGATGACAAGTGGATAAAGAAAACAAAGCAGGGCCAGGGAAATTGCAGTAGTGTGAAAACACTACTATTTTATATAAGGTGGTCAAAGAAGGCTTTATAATCAAGTAACATTTGAGTAGAGGCCTCCTTCCACTGGAAGAATAAGTCTGGCTGATATTCATGGGAAAAGCATTCCAACAAGAGCAAAACTCTGAGGGAGCCTGTTCTTGAAGTTTTGAGGAATCACAAAAGAAGCATGGTCTATTAGTCCGTTCTCATGCTGCTGGTAAAGAAATACCCAAGACTGGGTGATTTATAAAGAAAAAGAGGTTTAATGGACTCACAGTTCCATGTGGCCAGGGAGGCCTCACAGTCATGGTGGAAGGTGAAAGTCACATCTTACATGGCAGCAGGCAAGAGAGAATGAGAGCCAAGCGAAAGGGGAAACCCCTTATGAAACCATCAGATCTTGTGAGACTTATTCACTACCAGGAGAACAGTATAAGGGAAACCGCCCCCATGATTCAATTATCTCCCACCAGGTCCCTCCCACACATGTGGGAATTATGGGAGCTACAATTCAAGATGAGATTTGGGTAGGGACACAGCCAAACCATATCACATAGTAACTAGTAGTGAATATGTAACTGAGTCCAGTCTTGCACTACTCTCCCCACAACAGCCAGTAAGTTGACAGACAAGGTTTTGGGGCAAGGAAAGCAACTTCATTTACACAGCCAGCTAACCAAGAAGATGATAGAATAGCATCCTAAAGGATCACCTTAAGTTAGTAAGTATTAACTTCAGACTCCTTTTCATGTTAAGGGAAGGGAGGAGAAGAGGGAGTTGAGGCTAAAAGGTGCCCTAAGACCATAGACATCTGGGCACTAGTGAAGATTCAAAGAAGTTGTAACACTTCTTTGTTCTTCGTCAGTTGACTTTGGTTGGGATGAAGTAGATCAGGTCATAGTGTTCCTGTTAGTCTTTAACATTTCCTTATCTCCTCAGGAGTTAGTTTTGAGAAAGGGACTATTATTTTGTTTTAAAGCTGCACTGCAAGCTAAATTCCTCCTATAATTAGCTGGTTTACAGGCAAAGTTAAGCAGAAACTTTTAATCTAAAAGATACTACTGCTGGCATGGCTCAGGGGATGGGGGGTTGTGCTGCTCAGAGGCAAAATGGAGTCAGTATGCTGAGCCTCCCTCCACTGTTACAAGTATAGGAGAGACCAGGAAAGGATGGAGTCAGAAAGCCAGCAAGTGAACAGATCATGAAACATTTATCATGTATTCATTTATCAGAGCTTCATTTAGAACTTCTTATGTTTATGAAGCCTAATTTCAAGTACATTTCTAGAGACAGGGTTGGAATGGAACATATTATGATTTAGGCTTATGAAAAATGTGTCCAGCAATACAGGGGGTTTGAAGACATTGATTGAGTCACTATTGAATATTCTTAACTTACATACAAATAACTATAATTCAGGGAAGCATGCAATTGGCATTGCATTATTAAAGATCTTTTAGAATTCACTATAAACTATTTTTCTGATATAACAATGAAAACTTTCAGAAGTAGGTGGCAGATGAGCTGGACCTTGAGAAGGGTTAGGATTTAGAAGTCAGAAATAGGGGAGGAAATTCTAAGTGGAGGAGATGCCAGGCATAAAGTTTCAGAAATAGGAAGATAGAACACATTCTGTGAGTGGACAATGGATCCATTTGACTGGACTTGTCAAAGTAGTCGCAGGTTGTAAAGTCAGGTTCAGGTTAGAACTTGAACGCTACGATAAACAGTTTTATGTTTTGAAAGATAGAAGCCTAAAGAAGACATTTAAGCTAGCAAATGGCTTGATTAAAATGGAATAAGAGGGACTGGAGAAAAAAAGGAGCAGTGTTCAAACGACAAATTCATATAATAATATTTAAACTAGTACACCAATCCAGAGGTGAAGTTCTAATGACCTGAGTCAGGGTAGAGGAAACTTAATGAAAAGACTGAAGAGGCACTGAACATAAAATGGGACTTCAGTTAATAAAGGATAGGAGTGGACATATGTGCTGTAATTTCAGCTATAAGAGTTAAACAACTGTATATAGGAGCATAAATTATGAAGCAGGTTATACAGGCATACATACTGTAATACCCATATATTTGCCAGTATATGTATTGTATATATTTGCCAACTCCTTGCATCTTCTGTCTTGTTTTGTTTCTTTGTTTGTTTTTGTTTTCTTTCTCTCTGGAATCCTAGTTCTTTCTCTTTTTTCCCCTAAATTTCTGAAGCTTCTTACTAGCATAATTTATCTTACTTGGATTCTAGATGAATCCTTTTAGAAGCTAGATTTTTCCACTGCTTCCACCAAACACATTTCAAAACATTACCCATCCTGAGTGCCTTTTTTAGAGCTCTCTTTTTTAAAGTGACAATGAACCATGTAGTGGTAATAAACTTAAATACTATAGTACTTTTCTTATGTAACATATGTGAACACCACACAGACATACATGCACACACACACACACACACGCAGACACACGCCTGCTGAGAATGCTTAGATTCACTAGAAAGTTCAGGAACTGATGAAGACAAAGAAAAGACATTCTGTGACTGTTACCTCTTTTTAATTCACACAGCATAGGTAACCATCCGTAATATGCTAATTCTGCAGGGGGACAAAATAGTTTGGTGGTTAAGAAAAGCAGCTCCTGGAGTGGTATTGCCTACACTACAATTCTGTTTCCAATCTTACGAACTGTGAAATTGGGCACACGCCCTGAATCTCAGTTTCCTTATTCTGTGAAGTAGAATATTTATGTTAGTTACATTGTTGTTCTGTATTAAGGATTATCTAAGGTTAATATATGACAACAATTAGAAGTGAGATGGGCAGGACAAACATTCAATCAATGTTAGATATTTTGTCATATCAGTAATCCTTAAGGCTCAATCTCTACCAAAAACATAGTGAGCTTCATGTCACTTTCATGTACACTAGGATACCTATGAAAAGCAACTTTCAGGTGGGTACAGTGGCTTACGCCTGTAATTCCAATACTTTAAAAAACCGAAGCAGGAGGATTGCTTGAGTCCAGGAGTTTGAGACCAGCCTGGGCAACATAGAGAGACCACCTCTCCATTTAAGAAAGAAAGAAAAGAAAAGAAAAGAAAAACTTATAATTCACTATGGTTGATGCACAAAATTAACTTCAATAGCAATCTTGTTAAACCCCCAATCACTCAAGACATTGGACAATTCATCGGTGGTTTGTCTAAGAGGTGCTATGATAGTAAGAGCAATAAACTGCTGCAAAGTATTGGTTCTGCCATTAAAGAGCTGTGCAACTGTGGACAAGACGTTTTACCACCCCTGTCCCCCATGACTTCAAGTGCCCCATCACTAAAATGAGGGAGTTGACTACTCTCTAAGATTGGCTCTCAGGCCAGTCTTGCTATGTTTTTATTGTTTTCTAAAGAATAAATTTAGGGGATATAGGAAAAACATCTATCAAAATGGGTTGCTTTTCAAATGGCTCCTTTCAATGAAAGCATAAACACACACACGTGCACGTACACATACACACATACGCATACTGTCAACCATATTCTTCTTGTTTATTGCATTACCCACTGCAAGAAGTTGAAGTTTTTTCCTATTTTTTCTATGTCAGTGTCAGGTGACACTGTACAAATTTTGCTACACAGACTTTCTGATCTCTTTGCCTTTTCACTTTAAATAAATTCAGGTTTGCAGGAGAGCAGATTACATTTGTCATATTTCTTCTCGTATATATTCCTGATCTGGAGGAACAACTGAAGGACAAGAAAAATGCATAATATATTTCTATCCCTCAGAAACAATGCTAAGAGAGATGTGAAGTAAGACATACACAACCCTTTTATAAATAGGATAAGCATACATGAAACCTAAAAGCAATAAGAGATAAAACCAAACTGAAAACTTATCCAAAACATTATCTAAATAACTGCAAGAGAGAACAAATACCACCCTGCTGTCTGTGATATCACAAAGGCTTATGTGTTGCAGGTAATCGCATCCTCCCAGAATTTATTCCACCTTAGCCATCCGTGCAGATCTAAAATTTGGCAAATGCCATCTCTACCTCACAGGAGGGTGAGTTAAATCAGTGTGGGGCCTCTACTTTGGAAACCTTTCTTTAAGAATCTTAACATTATATTGAGACCATGATAGAGTCATAGACCTTCAGGTAAAGAGGTTGGTTGCTCTATAGGCAAGTTAAAATCATTCCAGCCCTTAAATGTGAGTGTCTATGTCTTTGTTGCTCTTCCAAGCTCTACTTCAAACTCCTTGTCTCAAAAAGCATCTCATTCCATTGTAACCTAGGGCTGCTCATTAGAAGATTCTTACTTATCCTGGGCTGAGCTTTTTCTTCATGTCACCTTCATTGATCATAATTTCACACACCAGAACTGCACAAAGCAAGTCAAATTTAAATCCCACATGATAGAATCTCATGTATTTGAAGTAAACTATCTTGACTTCTTGACTTTTCTTGACCTGAACTTTGAGAATTTTCAACAGGCAGGGTTAAACAGGACCTGTGCTATGTGGAGGCAGGTTAGGAGTTACAGGAGGGACCAGTCCCAGGGTGGAATGAACACAAAGATGAATAAGCTGCATCTTGGCAAGAAGGCAAATTAATTCATAAAACTGGGTTTGCTTTGTTATTGCAGATCCTTTTTAAATGTGTTAGTTAAATAGTCTAGCCCTGTCTCAGTTTTGCTACAGAGTACTAAAGGAAGGAGATGTGTCATTCTGGGGGATAAAGCATTACAAGGAGGAGAACAAGACACAAGAAGACTTCATTGATTTTTCCATAATTCACCAGGCACCCTGAGAGGAAAGGAAATATCAGCAGGCAGATTGCAGGAGGTGCTGATTGTTTGCCTTTAACTACTACAAGGCAATCCTTCTGGGGCCAGCATCTTAGGTTATGACAGTTTTTTCTATATACTTAGAAAATATTTTTTATTTCAAAAGGTAGTTTGGTGGAGAGGTACAAAATTCAGTGCTAAAGCACCCACCTTAGCCAATGTAAAAGCATCAGAGCATTGACTCTAAGATTTTCAAGCAGGAATGTTCAAGATGTACCTAAACACACAAGCACACACACACACCACACCACACACACACACACACACACACACAGGCTTGAGAAATAAGAGAATTCTTTACATCATTTAGGGTCCAACCTACTCACTAGAAGGCTAAGTTTCACATACATTATCTTTCCCCCTTAAGTGAAAATCTCCTTCACATTTTGTTGTCTAATAACGTGCCCCAAAGCAGGGGTATCCTGAGAAACCTGGGCATACAAGTTTGAGGAGAGCTGGCAAGATAAATGTTGAACCATATTTCCATTTACTGCTTATTGAAGGGTACAGAGCCAGTTGGTCCCCTGTATTGCAAAGAAGTTGCCTTCTATGATTTGGATTCATTAATCTATCCCCATTATTTTTCTCTCATTGCATTACATTCTTCACTTCCCAATTAAAGATTGATTTATAGCAATGAGATTCTATTTGGAAGTGTAGATGACTGTGGGAAATGTAAATTGGCATAAATCACTTATTTTTCTCCTATCAGGTCATTCAAAAAATAGGAATAAAGGCTAAGTAGAAAACGAGATGTGTCCGGAAAAAACTGCCGCAGGCATTGAGAGTCTGGGCAAGACAGCGGGACAAAGCAATAGGTGAGAGTGACCCCAGGCCCTCGGCCATTGAACAACCTGCCTCTGAAGTATGCTCAGGTGAAGGTTCTGCTTCTGGCCCAAGCGGAGCTTCTGGCCCACGGAGTGGAAGGGAAGAGGCAGAGCGAGACCCCTGCCATGCTTCCTTGTGTACTGCCTTCCACCAGCCAGAGATCACAAAGGATCCAGGGCTCCTGAAGGTGATTGAAAAGAGGAGCTGATTTTTAAGCATTTCATTCTAAAACGTACATTTCCTTCTGTTTACATTTGCATAGATCTTCCTACTGATGTGGCAGCTTAAATGCTTTATTTACTTTTTAAAGCTCTGCAATTGGCTTTTAAGTTGTGGTTACAGCTTCTGTCCTTCTCCAGATGCGATCCAATTGTACACAAACACATAAACAATTAAAATGGCGAGATGAGGTGGGGAAAGGGGCAATAAAAATGGTCAGAGTCAATTAAGCCAGTGAAATAAAAAAAAATTAAATTGTGGAATGGTGTACACAATAACCCATATTTTATTATTTTTCCCTTACGACATTGTAAAAAATGCATAAGCCCTTGATGTATGTATGTTTCCTCAAGAAAGGTGCTCTATGGCTCAGAGGTGGATTGGCGGCATGTGATGTGGGCAGCTGTAAGGTAACAACATGTTTTCCCATAAAAAGCAGAGGAAATAGGCACATAAATTCCATATAAACTGTCAGTGTGTCAGCTATGCTAACACTAGGGAAGCTGGCGCCCTGGAGCTACACTAACTTATGCACCTTCATTTTTCAAACACACACTTCTTGAATTCACAAAGCTAAGCTGCAATCAGGCTACTTTCTTCTTTTCTCATCTAGCAGCCTCCCCCTCCCCATTCTTGCAGACACCTCTTGCTTTAAGAAAGCAAAGCCATGAGCCAGGAATAAAAGAGGGAAGAAGGTATCAGGAAGTGATCCTTACATACTGTTGCCATCTAGCATAGCTCATTCTGGGTGCTCTGTACTAATAATCAAACCACACTAAATTGAATTTGAAGAGCATCATGATGCTAAGTCTGTGACTAGAAATTTCAGGAGCAAGTGGGGACTGGAAGTTCTTTCCTCTTCTTCCAGCTCCCTCTTCTGCTCCCTCCCCATCTCTCCCCCTCCTGCTTCTTCTGCCATTTATTGTTTTTTGGGAGAAGATTTCTAGGATATAAAATAAACTTTGGCATGTTTGAGAATATCATTCAGGAGATAATAACATTTTCCCCTTGCTAATAATTCAATGTATAAAAGTATTGAAAGTTTATATTACAAATCCAAATTCAGGGTCATTTGTTGAAGTGAAGCAGAGCAAAAGCCTCTCCTGCCTCCTCCCTCGAATGATCTGGGTTTGGTGGGTATGTGCGGTGGTAGTGGTGGTGTCCAAATTCCTGACTCTTTTGTTTGGAACACTTTCAGTAGCTATTTTGTGAAATTCTAACAGAGTCTCATTACTCGAACTCAAAATTTCCTTTCTATCATGACAGCTGATGCTGTGTTTAATTCAAACATGCAGAGTTTCTGTGTCCAAGACCTAAACTTTCTATTTGAACAAGTTTGCTGAACTCCCTGGGCTTCGGTTTCTTTATCAGCCCACAGGAGCTCATCTTTATCATACAGTGTCATAAAGTTGTTGTGCTTACTCAGTAAAATACTAAATGTGAATAATACACATTGAAAAGTTTCATGTGGTCTTCATGTATAAGAAATTATTGAGTCTTCAACAAACTTTGAATTCAGGATTTTATTTTTATTACTTTTATATTTTTTTGAAACAAGATCTCACCCTGTCTCCCAAGCTAGAGTGCAGTGGTGCGCTCATGGCTCATGGCAGCCGTGACCTCCTGGGCTTAATTGATCCTCTTACCTCAGCCTCCGAAGTAACTGAAACTTCAGGCACATGGCATCACACCCAGCTAATCTTTGTATTTTTTGTAGAGGTGAGGTTTCACCATTTTGCCCAAACTGGTCTAGAACTCCTAGGCTCAAGCAATCCACCTGCCTTGGCTTCTCAAAATGCTGGCATTATAGGTGTGAGCCACAACATCCAGCCTGAATTCAGGATTTTAAAGGTATGTTTAGATTAGGTAGAATAAAAACTACTTGGCTTTTTCTTTTTAAATATAGAGTTCAAGGGTCCCATAATTTAAAACGTGTTCAATATAGTGTACCTTTCATCTAGATTTTTGACAAGATTAAAATGATGAAAAGCATAACACAAAACACTGTAAATTTTAAAATTTAATATAATAAATAGAATAAAACAAATAGGATGATCCCACAACCATCCTTTTTGTATTATCAGTGATGAGGTGGCTTTCAAATGTGTCTTCTACATTGATACCTAAACATCCCTGATCATATTCTGTGCATTGTCTGAGCCCAGACCCACTCTTGTTATGGTTTAGCTATTAATACAATCCTATAATTTTTTAAAAAAATGTTATACTAGTTGTTAGAATCAGTATCAGACAGCAGTAGACTTCCAAGAAACGCATATTGAAGACTGCCAACAAAATCATTTAGACACAGACCTAATTGCTTATTAATCACTCTGCATCACAAAAATGTTATTAACGTTTGCTTTATTATTATGCATACTGAGAAAAGGAAAAACAAAGATGCTACTGGCCTATTCTCATATATCTCAACTAAGTAACTGCACTAGGGTTTTAACTTTAATTTCAAGCTATGGATAATTTTATCTATAGTTTATCTTGGCATGCATTTCCAAGGTCTTTTGCACATTTAAGTTGTTTATTCATGATTCTGGCACAGATTAAGAGGGAGGCATAGTGTTTACCAACATAATTTAAGAATAAAACGATAGTAATAACCTTTTGAGTGAAGGAAAAATAAAGCTGAGAGAGGATAATTAATGAATCCGAGTGATCTGCCTACACTTCTCTGCCTTGCTCCACACTCTATTTCAACCTATTTGTGTAACCACGAAGCCGACTTTTTACTCTTAGAGTCAGCTTTGCATATGGGGTCTCTCATGTTCCTAGCAGGCATATCTTTTACTGCTGTAGAACCAAAATGACTTAAGTTTAATTATCTAGATACATTGCTTTCTGCAGTAACTTCACTATTGTTCTCACTGTACTCTACCACGTTATTAATGCCAGATTTTTCCTATTAGCTTTTAAACTGTTCTTTTACACTGAGTAGTTTGCCACCAAATGGTTACCAATAAAACTCATCAAATGCCTAAAGGTTATTTTAAACACACTGTGAGCAATGCTGGTTTCATTTTGCCATTTATTTTGTTGAGTCATTATTGGTATGCATTGTGTGAACTTATTGTATGCATTTTTTTGCTGCTGGAATGGCAGTATATTTTTAACGATCCCATTTTAATACGAATGTCCTAAAAAAAATCATTAAACCCAGGGTTTAACAAGGACTGTACTAACTTTACCTATTGCCTCCGCTGTGTCAAACATTGTTGAGTGATAACTTTGGGAAACTAATATATTTGGAAATCTTGGCTTCTATTTCTTTCAGAGCTATAATGCATACTAAAGGATGCTATAAAAGAACATTTTCTTTGCAGTAAGTGTTCTCTGCCTCATATTCTCTAGTAGTCAGATAACCAAAGAGCTCAGGCGCAGAATAACCTTCTTTATAAATGTCAAAAAAATGTAGGCATATGGTACACATTTTAAGAAAACTTTTAAGTCATTGAAAATCTGATTCAAAAACTATCATAAAAACCAAAGGCATGTTCTTACCCATATTGTTACTTATGAATATAAACTTCAGCTATGGCCATGCCACTTCTAGCTAAAATTTCACCAGGATTTATAAACTAAGCAAAATTGAAGTGGGTCAATATGAATGAAGGCTTTCAATGGAAAAGGCAAAGACAAGCAAACAAAAGTAATTAAAATTATGATAAGAAAATATGTGATGTGTTTGCCACTTTGATAATTATGTTGTGTAACACAACAAACTCACTTTCCCAGGAGATAAAGAGGAGTGATAGGAGAACTTGATACATCACTTAGGTTGTCTAAAACTCTCCTAATCCATAGTATCATTCATATATATTTTATCCAGGTATCTTGGGAAATAGACTGGCCTGATGTGATATAACAAGGCCATAATTGCAAGGCTCAGGAGAAGTTTAGGGTTATTACTATCATATGGAAAAGGTATGTGTTGTGGGGAAGAAGAAATAAGCTAGCTCAGCCAACAAGAATGTCATTCATCCATTGCTCCATCTGTTCAGTCTTCCAGCCATTGATTTAAATCAAACAAATATTTGTGGAGCACTTAATATGTGCCATGCCCTATAAGTGCCTTTCAAGTTACACTAGCAAACAAGACAGACATAATCTGTATTCACAGGAAAGTTAGAGTTTGCAAAGTGAATTTTTTCCTTGATGGGTAATATAATCAGACATAAACATGCTAGGGTTACAAGAATTCTTCTAGCCATGCTGTAATCACACTTTACAGCAAGAGATATGAACACTAGCATCTCTTAGAATTTGGCTCTCAAATTTTGTTATGTTATAGAAAACTGCAACCCAACCCAGGATTAGCAATCAGAGTAGAAAAGGTAATGAATGGTAGAGAGGGAGATGACAATTTTCCTTAATGGTTCTAATGCAGTGAGAAACACTGCTTTACTTGGAGGAGCTGGTAAGAACTAGTCAGGCATATCTATCCGAGATATACAGGCCAAGGTTCCCAGCGTGGCCTCAATAGGAGGGTAAGAGGAGTGAACTGGGAGGGTAATAAAACAGAATTTAAGGCAGGCAAGCCATAGATACTTGCTTAACCTGAGTATGATACTGGGAGCAGTGGGTTGGGCAAAGGGAGTATAGAAGAGAAAAGGCTATAGCTGCAAGAAATCCAGATGCTATGTCGATTTGTATTAACAAGTTATTAAACCTCACCTTGTGACTGAGCTTGTTGACCAATTCCGCTTTCCTGACAATTGGTTAGAAAGCATATATATAGTTTGCGTTAATGTGCTACCCATTGATCTGGTTAGTCAAAAAACAAAAGCTGTAAGAAAGAGGAGGCTGGGCACGCTGGCTCATGCCTGTAATCCCAGCACTTTGGGAGGCCGAGGCAGGCAGATCATGAGGACAGGAGATCGAGACCATTCTGGCTAACACCGTGAAACCCCGTCTCTACTAAAAATACAAAAAAACAAAAAACAAAAAACAAAAAAAAATTAGCAGGGCGTGGTGGTGGGCTCCTGTAGTCCCAGCTACTCGGGAGGCTGAGGCAGGAGAATGGCGTGAACCCGGGAGGCGGAGCTTGCAGTGAGCCGAGATCGCGCCACTGCTCTCCAGCCTGGGCGACAGAGGGAGACTCCATCTCAAAAAAATAAATCAATAAAAATAAAGAAAGAGGCTTCATCTTTCCACCTATTTTTACCATGTCAAAGATGGCTCTCAAGTCTGATTAGGGAGGACATTTACTCTATGGCAGTACTAAGAGGGCTATTTAGCGAGTAATATACTAGAGGGTTAAGTGTCAAGTGCTGGCTTCAGAGACATGGAACTGGTTTAAATTGCAGCTTCAACACTAGATATTCATGTGGCCTCGATAAAAGTTATTCTTACTAAGCCTTAGTTTCCTCGTCTTAAAAAGTATATCTGGGATAATTTGTGTTTCACATGGTGCCGAAATTCTTAAACAAGATAAATTTTCTAAAATTCTTGTAATAAAGTAAATGGCAACTATCATTAAGCCTCCCTCCCTTCCATTAATAATCAAATGCATCATTTAGGTCAGTGTTATGCACAAATTAGTTCAATAAATTATTGGTGAATTGAATGGCTAGGGTAATCTCCTTGCTCTTACATTCTTTTACTAGCATATATTAACATAGTCACACTTCTTGTTGGCTGACAGGTAATAGAGACATGCAACTCAACCACCTTAAAAATTGATGTATTTGTCGATAGCTGGAGAGAAGTGTCTTCTGACAGAGTAGGTACCATCAGTTTGTAAATCACCAAAGAATGGAGTAGGATAGAATTCTTGATCAGATTTTCATGGCATTATCATATAGATTACAACATAAAGAAGAGTTTGAATATATCTGAAGAAGTGTTTCAGGATTTACATAATGAATTAAAATAAAGAGGCAGACTTAGGTCTGAATCCTTTAACCAACATTTATCCATAGCAGGGTCATGAACTTCAGTGAGTTCTGTCTGCACTGATGGGACGTCTTGTTAATGGCGCTAATGAAGGGAGAATATCTAAAATCTAGAAATAACTAAATATTCTTAACCTTTAGAAGGGTAGATAAAATGAAAGAGGCACAGTTGCTCAACTGTCTCCAAATTCAGTAAAATCTCAGATACCTTAGGTAAACTTTATAGCCTAGCCATTGGCCAGATTGTGGAATTAAAAAAAAAAATGTTGGGGCTTCATAGTCATGAAAACTTTCATTTAAAAATGCCTCCCTGTTTCTTTTGCTGTGCAGAAGCTGTTTAGTTTATTATAATTAGATTCCATTTGTCAATTTTTGCTTTTGTTGCAGTTGCTTTTGGCATCTTCTTCATAAAATCTTTGCCAATGCCTATGCCCTGAATGGTGTTGCCTAGTTTTGCCTTCCAGGGCTTTTATAGTTTTGGGTTTTACGTCTAAGTCTTTCATCCATCTTGAGTTAATTTTTGTACATGGTATGAGGAAGGGGTCCAGTTTTAATCTTCTACATATGAGTAGCCCATTATCTCAGCACCATTTATTGAATAGGGAATCCTTTCCTCATTGCTTGTTTTTGTCAGGTTTGTCAAAGATCAGATAGTTGTAAGTTTGTGGTCTTATTTCTGGGTTCTCTATTCTGTTCCATTGGTTTATATGCCTGTTTTTGTAACAGTATCATGCTGTTTTGATTACTCTAGCTCTGTAGTATAGCTTAAAGTTGGGTAGTGTGATGCCTCTAGCTTTGCTCTTTTTGCTTGGGATTGCCTTGGCTATTCAGGCTATTTCTGGTTCCATATGAATTTTAAAATAGCTATTTTGCATTCTGTGAAGAATGTCAATGGTAGTTTAATAGGCATAGCATTGAATCTTTAAATTGCTTTGGGCAATTTGGGCATTTTAATGATAATGATTGTTTGTACTCATGAGCATGGAATGTTTTTCCATTTGTTTGTGTCATCTCTGATTTCTTTGAGCAGTGGTTTATAGATCTTTCACCTCTTTGGTTAGCTGTATTCCTAGGTATTGTGTGTGTGTGTGTGTGTGTGTGTCATGACAGTTGTGAATGAGAGTTCATTCCCAATTTGGCTCTTGGCTTGACTGTTGTTGGTGTATGGAAACTAAAAAGCTTCTGCACAACAAAAGAAACTGTCAATAGAGTTTGTCTAAACTACAGAATGGGATAAAAATTTTGCAAACTGTACTTTCAACAAAGGTGTAATATCTGGCATCTATAAGAAACTTAAATTTAAAAGATGAAAAAAAACAACCCCATTAAAAAGTGGGCAACGAACATGAATACTTTTCAAAAGAAAACATACATTCAGCTAATAATCATATAAAAAAGGCTCCACATCAGTGATCATTGGAGAAATGCAAATCAAAACCACAGTGAGATGTTATCTCACACAAGTCAGAATGTCTATTATTAAAAAGTCAAAAAATAACAGAAGATGGAGAGGTTATGGAGAAAAACGAACACTTATACACTGATGGTGGGAGTGTAAATTACTTCAACTATTGTGGCAGACAGTGTGTGGTGATTCCTCAAAGACCGAGAGGCAGAAATACAATTTGACCCAGCAATCCCATTACTGGATATATATCCAAAGGAATATAAATCATTCTACTATAAAAACACATGCACACATATGTTCACTGCAACACTATTCACAATAGCAAAGACATGGAATCAACCTAAATGCCATTGGTGATAGACCGAATAAAGAAAATTTGGTACATATACACCATGAAATACTACACAGCCATAAAAAAGAATGAGATTATGTCCTTTGCAGGGACATAGATGGAGCTGTTGGCTATTATCCTTAGCAAACTAATACAGGAACAGAAAACAAAATACTACATGTTCTCACCTATAAATTGGAGCCAAATGATGACAACACATGGACACATAGATACTGGGGCTTATTGGAGGGTGGAGGGTGGGAGGAGGGAGATGATCAGGAAAAATAACTAATGAGTACTAATACCTGGGTAATGAAATAATCTATACAACAAACCCCCATGACACAAGTTTACCTATGTAACAAACCTGCACATGTACCCTTGAACTTAAAATAAAAGTTAAAAATAAAAAATAAAAATGCCTCCTTTCCTAGACAGCTAATGAATGGTCTTGTGAACCCTGGCAAATTCTCTTATTTGGACCTCCCAAATAAGCTCTTCTCTCTCAAGCAATAATGTTGGTCACATTTTCTTTCCTGGTTCTTGAATCCTGTTAAAAATTGTCTAGCTTATAGGAGACATCTAACTGTAGGTTTTATGTGAATCAAAAATTGAAGTTGCTAATGTGCAGGGATGTCTCTCTATAGGGAGGAGATTTGCATTTAAATCTGTGTCTTATGCAAGGATTACTAATGCATGGACTTCTGACTGCAGGGAAGCACACTTTTGCAGATTATTTAGGGATGTGAGTACCTCTCTAATGCCCCTTATAATATATAGCCACCCTCTAATCCAATACATAGAGCTAGATTTAGATTTGAGATGGGACATGACTTGGATGACCTGCTTTTCTTTTCTACAGAGGAGGTGGTTGGGAGTGGTTTCTTCATTTGTGAGATGCTTCCTTTGGTAAAGTGGTTGTTCCACCATGGGTACAGTGATGACCTTACTGTCTAGATGGAAGATGAGCTGACTTACACAAGCACATGTGATCATATGTGAGATCCAGGAAGGGGTGACTTCAGTCAAAATGGATAGACTGAACTTGAAGGGGAAACCAGAGGCAGTAATGAACACTTCTCAGAGTCCATTTATGGCTAGAGAATAGGTCCAAATATCAGTAGGAGTCTTTTTTTTCTGTTTTTTCTTTTTTTTTTTTTTTTGAGATGGAGTTTCACTGTTGTTGGCCAGGCTGGAGTGCAATGGCATGATCTCAGCTCACTGCAACCTCTGCCTCTTGGGTTCAAGAGATTCTCCTGCCTCAGCCTCCCAAGTAGCTTTCAACAGATGAAAAAGACTTCAAAAAACATGGAACTAAAGAGCAAAAAGAGTAATAAGAAGCCTTCTAGAGGAGACTATGGGTTGACTTCATTGAGGACTTTTACTCTTGATTTATGGTGTAGTTACAAAGTCACAGTGGTAGGACCCTGTCATCTCTTTCATTTCCATGAGTCATTTCCTTTGTTATCTGATAGTTAAAGTCAAGTGCCTAAATAAAAAAGTAACATTCTCTTCACTTGGAACTCACCAGATAGATGTATAAATTTTCAGATTTGGTTTCATGCAATTGTAATATATTGGTAATATATTGGTTAGAAACACTTTAAGCATCCAATTTGAATGTCTGCTAAGTTTATTCATTTAACATTCTGACATTCGTAACAGGTATATAGAATCTTCCCTTTGAACATGGGAGATAATTTGCTATAGTGGGCAACTTAGTTAATATTATCTGAACCATTACTTGCTACATAATTACGTATTTCCTTATATTTTTACTAGTGAAACTCTATTGCTCTTTTATTATTAATAAAGCTTTCAAATGACTAAGTCTAATCCCTGCAGCAAGATTTTAAGCATTTTGAAAGAGAGGCATTATTTTACGCTTCTTGATATCTATAAAGCATCCAATTTTATAGCGTGTGTTCAATATAAGTTTGTTGTGAATAGCAGGTACTTAACATATGTTTGTTGCACATGGCTGGTACTTAAGATATAATTGTTTAATGAGTATCTAGAAATGAAAAGAACTTAGGTTCAAATCCTGCCTCTGGCATCAAAATGGATCAATGAAGTCTAATCCATGAATAGAACTGATTGTGGCTCCTAGTTTACTTTTTAATTAGTCTAGTAAAAAGATTTATGACTGAATTCCATGTGTTATTTCATGTGTTATTGACTAGTAATTATTATATTATTGGCTCTACATAGGTGCCTATGTATGAAAAATGAAAGTTACATTGAAATATTTATATTCTTTATGATCTCAGTAGTATTCACACCATCGTCTTACTTAAATGACCCTCTATAGCCTTCAGAATAGAGTTCATTCTTCACCTCTTGTATTTGAAGAGCTTCCTTAACTGACCCTAATCCTTCTGTTCAAACTTAACTTGGCTGTTCTCCAACATATATGCTCAACCTAGCCCCCATGGAGTCCTTGCCATTCTTTAAACACATATGTTTACTTCCATGCCACATCATTATGTATGAGTAGCATGGTGCATTGGAATAATATTGACTTCAAAGCAACATGGGTCACTTATAAGCTGTGCCCAACTTTGACAATCTAACCTGATGAATATCAACTTTCAGGGTGGTAATGAAGATCAGAGACAAGATATTATACATATAAGCATAGATATGAACAAAACTTAGCCTGATAAATACAAATCTATTTATAAAGTCAGCAGGTAAGAAATAGATCATATCCAGATGATTTAGCTCTGTGGCTATCTTAGTAAAGGGAAAGGACTGCACACACAACTCCCCTGTCTTTTTTTTTTTAAATACTAATTACTTCCCAACTCAGACCAAATATCAAATCTTCTTAAAACAATGGCTTGAATTGTGCATGTTTATATTATCGATTCACATTGCTGTAACTTCTAAAGTTAACAAGAGCCCTAAAACCTTAATAGGTCATCATAAATGTTTTTTATTTGAATATTGACAAGAAAGATGCTCCAAAAGACACTTTGGCTGTTCCAACTGTCTAATTCACATACCTTCTATCAGAATGAAAAAGTTTCTAAAATTGTATAAATCAAAATAACAAAAGGAAAAAAGAGGGAAAAAGAAAAGACTCATTTTTGAGACCTTGACAATCTTAATTTCATTTATCTAGCACCTAGAATTATTCAAGATATTCCTTGGATTTCTGCTGCTTTGTTTCAGACATTCATTTTTTGGATAACGTAAGAAGACTGTTGTTTGATCAGTTGTAGCAAAACAGAATGGAGTCCTTCAGGTAAGTTGAAGCAAGAAATAAAAAACAAAACTCCCTAAAGTATATAAGTCTCTAAATAAAGCATTTTTAGGTTCTCAAGTCTCTGGGTGATGGCCCCAATTCCCAGCTAGACTGTGTGGAGAGACCTGTCCTGAGCACAGGAATTCTAAAGAAGAAAATGAGACTGCCTAACTCCTGACCTCTACCTTACCCCCTTCCCTTTTAAAGATGGGGCTGAGTCTCCTCAAATAGACTCTGGCCCAGATGAGAAAGAACAATCAATGTCTCGGCTACAGGAGGTTTCTCTGGGGTTAATCTTACTAGTTATTGAAAGGCACACAAGACAATTGCTATTCACTCTTTTCTTAAGGGAGGAAAGTCTCCATATCTTACCATTGTCTGGGGAAAAACTAAGGTCAGCCACAGTACCATTTCATTGCCATCTTACTTCAGGGAGGTGGTGAGGTACAAACAGAAGCAAGCCAGCAAACAAACAAAGGCAAGGCAATCAATGCCTCTCAGTTGGAACAATTTGTGGCAAAATTACAATAGTCCTTGTCACCTAGATCTCTATTACTCTCCTCTTTTCTTCCTTTTTAAATTCATTTTTAAATGCTTTAATAAATAACTAAAAATCTGTAAGTTGGTAAACTGCTTAAATTATTAATTTGAAATCCAGATTAGTCTATGGATAAGCTCTAATTAACAGCTAATATAGGACTACAAATGTCAATGTATTGCACATTATAAATTTTATTGTTTTGTTAAGAGTTTTTTGCATCTGGTGAGTGGAATAGATTTTAGAAAGAGAAAGAGAGAGAACCCAGACATACATATACATGTCTATAATCAGAGGCATTTAGAATAAGCAAATTTCCAACCCTGTCCTTTAAAAGTGGAGCATACTGTCCTCGTCGTCAGCCAGGGTGTTTGGCTGTGAAGCCAGAGACAGGAATATTTAATTACTATCAGCAAACAGAAACCTAGCAAAGAGTATTTGTGTCAGTTAGATGCCAACGAAACTAAGCCTTTCTGAGATGGAGAGGATCGATTTAATTTTTTTCCCCTTCTCCAGATTTTTGCTATGACAGAATGACATACTCTTCATTCAGCCACTCAAGCAAAAGAATGACTGACGATCCAGTGAAGGTCAAATAGTTTTCCAGCCAGTTGATGCTGCTTCACACAGACTTAACCCTCTTTACCCAGAAAGACTGGGCCAAAATTTTGGCTCTGAAGACCCTAGAAGCTGTCCCTCCAGAGAAAACCTCCTCTTACTTCCTCTGTCCCTAAAAAATACAGTTCATGAGAAGTTTCCAGTAGGTGGATCCGTTTCTCAGAAGGTTCCACCCTTTTCCTTGTATGCAGTTAAAACATCTTGTGACTTTCATTCTACTTTGCTGGAGTTCTCCTGGTCTCGCCTCCTTGTTGGGCTCTGGCTTTATTTCTCATCAATGTCAGTGTGCCTCAGGGAATTAGTTTTTCTCTTTCCCTGAATGAACAAATGCTTTCCCTAAATGAAATCTGGAAATATATGACCTTTCTAACAAAGTCATAAGGGAGGACTCTCCAGGAGGCAGGAGTATTTACATAAAACAAAATCTCAGAGGGACTGGCGAGTCCTTCAGTTTGAAACTTTATTAGCAGGATAGAGATTTTTGCCTCTAACCTCTGATGCTTCAGGCTGCACATTTTGCAGTATAACTTCACATTCTTGAGAGTGACACCTAAAGGAGAAAGCCAGGAAGGATTTTGCCAAGTATCATGTAGGGTGCAAAAATGTGAGAAAGGACAATAGACAGGTGAACACAGTAGATCGTGACATTTTGGGTGCTATAATCCCAGACATCATTAGCTGAAGTTAGTGGGTTCTTAAAGTTTAAGAAAATCAACACGTGCCACAGCCAGCCTGCCTGAGAGCAAATCCCATTCGGCTGTTTGGCCCCTAGGACACTTTCCAGCCTCTTGGAAGATAACCCCTTCTATTTTTAAGCTCCCGTTTCCTGCTTTTTTTCCACTTTGAAAAATGTGAAGAATTAGTGGATTAAAAAAAGAAAAGTGTGTCGAGGTAAAGTAATACGTAACGTTTCATTAAAGCACTTGCACAGACGTGAGTGAGCTGGTTCAAGTCTTTGTTTTGTCTTTTAGAGAGTAGAATAAGTGTTATAACTGATAGATAAGGAAAGAGAAACCTTGAGTGGTTATATTATTTGTGCGGCATCACCTTATAAGTCTCTGAAAAACCAAGAATGTGGGTACAGCCTCCTTATTCCTTAGATAGGATTTATTCTACATGTTGGTGGTAACTTGCTATTTTCAAGTCTAATTAAATATTACTGAGTAAGATATCACTTTTCACATGAGTTGTTATTAAATGTAGTTACACACAACACTAACAAAGGAATGTGTCTCCCATTGAAAGATCAAGAGGCCTGGCGCGGTGGCTCACGCCTGTAATCCCAGCACTTTGGTAGGCCGAGGCGGGTGGATCACGAGGTCAGGAGATCAAGACCATCCTGGCTAACACGGTGAAACACTGTCTCTACTAACAATACAAAAAATTAACCGGGCGTGGTGGTGGGCGCCTGTAGTCCCAACTACTTGGGAGGCTGAGGCAGGAGAATGGCGTAAACCCGGGAGGTGGAGCTTGTGGTGAGCCGAGATCCAGCCACTGCACTCCAGCCTGGGCAACAGAGCAAGACTCCGTCTCAAAAAAAAAAAAAAAAAAAAAAAAAGAAAGATAAAAAAGATAAAGAGACTTGGGAAGATCACAGGCATGCTGGACGGAAGTTACCAATGGCGTAAATTCTGTAATTAATAAACAATAATTCTACCACTTAAAAAAGTAACACGACCTTCCTTCAGTAATAGAGCTTACCAAATGAAAACCTCAATTTCACTATTAAGCTGGGATTGATTGAATCTATTAAAATAGACCCTGGAAGTGAAGGAAGTGTTGAATTTAAAGGGAGGTGCTTGTGCCCATTGCTTTGGGCCTCTGTAAATGTGCTAGACGAGTCAATAAACCTGGAGTGCCCCACTACTCTGGTGGTAGCCACAGAGCCTAGGTAAATTGGTGTTATGTAATTTTAGGTGGACCTGTCACAGAAAGCATACATAGAGATGTGGGTTTCAGTTCCATCTGTGACATTTTCTAGCAGTGAACTTTAATTATTTAATCAACCTCAGCTTGTTTTCAGCGTTTTAAAATAAGGGGAAGAAAATCTGTATGTCAGTTGGAAGAGTAAATAAAATAATTCACATATAGGATGTAACATTTAATAGATACGTGGTGGGATAATACCATTATTTTATTTTCTCTGTGCGTTCTCCCTTATTTCACAAAGACAAAGCAGGTGAAGCATCTAAGGAGTGCCTACACCACAAGAGCAATCAAACGGCCTTTTTTAGACTTGCCTTTAAATACAGTACTCGGATCATGACTCTTCCACCAATTGACTCAAATCATGTGTCATTCACTTTATTAGTTACCCACACCATCACACCATAAGGCAGAATAGCTGAGAATGTGAAGGTCAGTTCAATTCCAAATAATGTGTTGAGTCAGGGGGGCAATGTACTTTATTTTAATCCAAGTGAAATCAGTCTAAAATAATTTTGAGTTAAAAAAAAAAAGAAATCACAGGAAATGAGACCTGATTGTTGGAAACTTCACAGTACATTGGATGCAGGCAAGAACTAAGGAAAAAAAACCATGGCTTGATGTTATAAAATATCTGAGACTCACATATGAGAATTCTGAATTTTATTCCAACCCCAATCCCTGTAGCAGATAGCCATTATATTCTTTCACTTTGTTTCTACTCAAATCTGCACTTTGGGTAGCCATGTGATGCCCTACCAATCACATGGCTGCTATTAAGTTTCCATTAGAGCATCCATATTGCACACCTCCAGGTAACATCTTTTACATTGCCTGTGTATAGTTTATAATATAAACGGTGCCTTTTATAAATATGTGAGTGCTAGCCCTGGTATAATATGACCCTGTCCCTGTCCACAATTGATTGATCCAGGGATTTATATCTGATCCAAGAATTAAAAGATACCCGGAGAGAAAACCCATTATTTCCAGCTGCTAAGACCCATTAATCTGGCAGGTTTCTTGCTCTTCCTGAAGTCTGAATATTCAATACCTGCTTGGATACTCTGAGAAACCCTAGTATCCTTCTGATAATTTATCTGTTGTTGCATAAAGTAGCAATATTCAATAATTCAACTTGAGTGAAACAGTGAGGAAACTTTACTGATAAAACCACTAAACTCACAGGAACATCTTCACACATACCAGGTGGGGCCTACTCATTTTTCAAGACCCAGATCATTTCAATTGAGGATACGGCTCTGGGTCCAAACATGCTGTACTCAAAACCTGATTTTACCAGGAGCTGTAGTGGCCTTAGGCAAAATATTTAATTTCGGTGTCTCAGTTTTTTTTTCTTCTGCATAATGGGAAAAATAGTAGTACCTCTAGCATTGCTGACAGGATTCTAGAAGTTCAGAGTCTAGTAAACCCTTGATGTTAGATGTTATCATTGACCTTTAAAGTCATCTGGAATTTTCTACAGATGTTACCCAAACCTCCATTTTTCATGATTACTTTTTTATTTTGTGCCATCACTCTCCTCTGAATCTCTCCTCCATTCAAGCTCTCATTACATTATTTTACAATTATATCCACCTCTCTATTTGTATTTGTGACCTCCTTGAGGAGCAAAGTCCATGTCTCATTCAACTTTCACCCTTAGTATATAGCTAGAACAATATGTGCCAAACAATAGCTCTCCATGAATACATTTGAGAGAAATAATGAATAAAATGGCTAAAAATTACTATGCAAAATCACATTCTGCTGTTTGAAATTGTGAGTTTTTTTCTCTCTTGTCATTGACCCAAACATTTCTTTATTTATTTATTTATTTATACACTTATTTGGCAAATATGTGGGTAGAAAACTACAGTGTGGTATATTCTGTGAAAATATAAAATGAATAACTAGCTCTATCCTCTAAAGCAGTTTGCAATCCAAGAGAGGATAAAACAGGTACCCAAATTGCTGTAATATAAAGTGGAAGGTGATGGGTTTTATAATAGAAGCACTAGGAAATTGCCATAAGATCTAGAAGATGTAGAGATCATTTCAGGCTGCAAAGCTTAAAAAAAAAAAAGACTTCAAGGAGTAAGTGCATGAGAGGTTTTTCTTAGAGAAATGAATATGCTTTCAATATAGTGAGAAAATATTTCCTCAAATGGAGAAGGTCTACAGGTTAATGAATTTCTGCTAAGTATGACTGTTACTGACAGTTCCTGTCTGTCAAATGGACTTTGAAAAATGCAACCACAGTGTTTGACTTGGGTTTGATAAAGGTATAGGTCAGGCCAAGAGAGCTGTGTTAGCTTTAGTTTCTACTCTCCCAATGAGCCACTTTAACACTACCTAAATCTCTCTGAAGATTGAACAAATTGGTCTGTTTTAGTTTCCCTCAGAACAAAAGTCAATATTGCAAAAATAATTTTCACATCCATTATGAACAAAGATGATGCAACTGACATTCTCTTTGAGTTGTTTCCTCAATATTGGCCATAGTTCTTTGCAGGGAAAAAAATCACTATCTGAGATTCTTCCTAGGAATAATATCATCCAACAAATATTTATTGAGCACCTACTATGTACCATGCATTATGCTGTCCATTGGATTTTTTTGATCAATAATTTTTGATTGAGGTATGATTTATAGACAATGAGATGCACAGATCTAAAGAATATAGTTTCATAAGTTTTGAAAAATGGATATATTTATATATTCTATGCCTCTATTAAGAAATAGATAATTTCCATTACTTCAGAAATTTTTTCTTCCCTGTCAATCTCCATCCTGGCTCAAATACAACTACTTACTCAATTTCTTTTATCATCTATTCATTTTGCCTATTCTAGTACTTATTGGAAATAGAATCATACTGTACTCACTCATGTCTTATTCTTTCAATATATTGTTCTCAAGATTCATCTACATTGTTTCATGTATCAATAGTTCCTCTTCATTGCTGCATACTATTCCCTTGTGTATGAGTAAAGCACAATATCATTTTAGCATATTTTTCTATTGATGTACATTTGGATTGTTTTTACCTTTTATCTATGACTATAGTTCCTATGTATATTTCTGTACATTTTTGTGGATATGTGTTATCAAGTATTTTGTATAAATACCTAAGCTATAATTGTTGAGTCATTGGAAATATGCATGTTGAGCTTTGTAAGAAACTGGAATATCTATTTCCAAAGTGTTTAAACATTGTTAGACTTCTACCAGCAATATTTAAGCAAACTGGTTGCTCAACATTTGTATCAACAAACACTACTGTTGCCAATATTTTAATTTTAGCCATTGTTCATTTAATATTTCCCTGATAGGTAATTTTGGGTGTTTCTTTTTGCTTTTATTAGGCATTTGTATACCTTCTTTTGTGAAGCACTTGTTGAGATCTTTTACATATTTTTAAAATTGGGTTTTTTATATTGACTTTTCCAAGTTTTTTATATATTTTAGACAAATCTTTTGTCAAATATATGCATTACAAAATTTATTTTCCCAAAATGTGGCTTACCTTTACATTTTCTTAAGTGTTTCTTAATGAGCAGAAGTTTTTAATTCAGACAAAATAAACGTATCAGCTTTTAATTATGGTTAATGCTTCCTCTGTTCTGTCTAAGAAATCATTGCCTATGCTAATAACCTCCTGTTTTCTTCTAGAGCCTTATGGACTTATGTTTAGGACTATGAGCTATCTAGAATTATTTATTTATTTTTTTGTATAATGTGAGGTAGAGACTGAGATTCCCTCTCTCTGCCCTCTCTCTCTCCCCCCACAAATAGATATGTGGTTGTTCCAGAATATTTTTGGGGTGTTTCTTTTTCTGCATTGTAGTACTTTAACACCTCACAATCAATTGAAGAAACACTAAGTGGGTCTATTTCCAGATTTTCCATTCAGCTCCATTAATCTATTTATGTTTCTTTATGCAATAATACATTGCCTAGAATAATGCAGATTCATAATGGATCCAGAAATCATGTACCATCAATTCTCTAAAATTGTTTTTTCTCAAGAATACTTTGGCCACATTAGGTCCTTTGCATTGGCATGTAAGTTTTAGATAAAGCTTGTCATTTATTACAAAATACTTGCTGTGATTTTTGTTTGAGATTGCATTGAATCCATAGAACAATTTGTGGAGAAGAGGCATCTTAAAAATATTGTTGACTTCCAGTCCATGAACATTTATTTAGAACTTCTTTAATTTCTCTCAACAACATTTTGTAATTTTCAGCACATAGGTATCGCATATGTTTTGTTAAGTTTTCCCCCTTTTTATTTTGTGGGGCTTGATATCACAAATGGTATTATTTATTTAATTTTTGTTACCAATTTTTTTTTGAGATGGAGTCTCACTCTGCTGCCCAGGTAGGAGTGCAGTGGTGCAATCTCGGTTCAAGCGATTCTCCTGCCTCAGCCTCCCAAGTAGCTGGGATTACAGGCATCTGCCGTCACATCTGGCTAATTTTTTTTTTTTTTTAGTATTTTTGAAGAGATGGGGTTTCACCATGTTGGTCAGGATGGTCTTGACCTCCTGACCTCAGGTGATCCACCCGCCTCGGCCTCCCAAAGTGCTGGAATTACAGGCGTGAGCCACCGTGCCTGACCTTTGTTACCGATTTTTAAAATACTCATAGAATTACAATTGAATTATATATATAACTTGTGTGTTTCAATTTTGTTAAATTGACTTATCACTTCTAGTATTTTTGTAGGTTTCTTACTATTTTATATTTTCTTCAAATCTGTTTGTCTTTTATTTATCTGTGTTTTATTGATCATGATAAGACTTCTAGCACAATGCTGAATAGAAGTGGTGAGAACAAACTCTTTTTCTTATTCTTGGTTTTAAGTAGAAAACATTCAGCCTTTCACCATTAAGTATGAAGTTAGCTGCAGTTTTTGCATAGATGCCCTTTATCAGGTTGAGGAAGTTACCTCTGTTCCTAGTTTGTTGATGGGTTTTTCTCTTTTAAATCATAAATGAATGCTGGATTTCCAAGTGTTTTTCTGCGTTTATTGAGATGGCTGTGTGATTTTTCTTCTGCTTTTGTTAATGTGGTGTATAACATTGGAGTGTTTTTGAATATTAATCAAATCTTGTGTTACTAGGATCAATCTCACTTTGTCATTATGTTTTAGACTTTCTAAATATTGCTGAATTCAACTTGATAATGTTATTAGTAATTTTTTTGCACAAGTTCAAGAGAGATATTAATCTGTAATTTTTTTTCTTATAATGATCTTTTCTTGATTTAGTATCAAGGTTATGGTGACCACATAAAATGAGTAGGGAAGTATTCCCTTTTACTCCAGTTTCTGAAAGAGTTTGAAAGTTTATATTACCTTAGCTTTAAGTTCACTGATTTTTTTCTTCTGTAGTTTCTATTAAGTTTTAAGCTAAATACAGATATATATATACATATAGATGTATAGAGACATAAATATAAATATATTTCAGATATCATATTTCTCAATTCCAGAATTTTCATTTGCTTCTCTATATATGGCTTCTATTTATCTATTGAGATATTCCATTTCTTTCTCTGTCATGGTTTTTTTCCGTATAAATTCTTGAACATAATTATAATAGCTCCTTTTAAACCCTTAGTCTGCCAATTTCATCATTCCATGGTCGGTGCTTTATGTTTTTTCCTTCTCCCTCCTGGTTATAGGTCATACTCTCCTGGTTTTTTACATGTTTAGCATGTTTTGACTGTGTGTTGGGTATTCAGTTTCTATGCTGTTCAATAACTGAAGTTTTTCATTTTTCTTTGAAGAGTGCTAAGTTGAATTCAGGCAGGAAGTTAGTTTGCTTATAGATCAGCTTGCTTCTTTAAAGCCATGGTCCCCAACCTTTTTCCACCAGGGACTGGCTTCATGGAAGACAATTTTTCCATGCACATAAGATGGGGAATGGTTTTGGGATGAAACTGTTCCACCTCAGATCATCAGGCATTAGTCAGACTCTCATAAGGAGTGCACAGCCTAGATCCCTTGCAGGCACAGTACACAATAGGCTTCATGCTCCTGTGAAAATCTAATGCTGTGGCTTATCTGACAGGAGGCAGAGCTTAGGTGGAACTTCTTGCTTGCCTGCTGCTACCTACTGCTGTGCAGCCCGGTTCCTAATAGGCCACTGACCAGTACTGGTCCATGGCCCAGGATCGGGGACCCCTGCTTTAAAGGCTTAAAGTTTGAATAGAGTCTAGAGTAGACTTTACTCTAAAATTGTATAATCTTTGCTCCCAAGGTTGCTCCTTCTGAAGTCACTACTCAATACTTCAGCTATTCAGTAATTTCTTTCCACTGTTGCTATCACACCTCAGAATCTCCTGGTCCTGTGTGATACCCAGAAATTGCTTGGGTCACAGCTTCCCTATAGTTATTCTTCCCATGGCATTTGTTTTAGTCCAGTTTTGTAGAGCCTCACCCTGCACATGCTCTGACTACCATTTGTTTAAAGTTTCACAGGGACCCTATGCAGGTTTCTGGTGCTTCTTTGTTACCGGTACTATGCCCTGTAAATTAGTCACCATATAGTACCAAATTCTGATTTTTGTGCTTTACTTTGCAAGATCATCATGCTCTGCTTGAATTTTTCCCCATGCTGGGTCTGGAAAATGTGTCTAGACAGAAATATTGGACAATTATGGAGCTCTCTTCCTTTCTTCTCTTGGGTGTGTGGTCATGTACTTCCCTTTGTCCTGTATCTGAAAACTGTATATTGCATATGTTTTGTCCAATTTTATCCTTAGGAAGGCAAATCTTGTACCAGTTACTCCATTACGGTTATAAGCAAAGTCTCCATTGGATTTTACAAGATGTCATGTCAAAGTAGCAATGTGCTCCAGGGCTAGCGAATGGCAGATAGACTTACCATCCACAAATAACCTGGTGGGCATTACAATGAACTTATAACAGGTAGTTTAAAAGAAAATATGGTATCTGGGTAAATTATCACATAAGAAATTTGTATTATTATTATACTGTTTTTCATTTTTGGTTCTACCATGGAAAAGCAATATGAGAGTCCAAAATATAGCAAAACTCATGTGTGCTTTTCAGATGGCTGTTCTCTCTAAAATGTGAAAGGTAGCTAGGTCCAGGTATATGTTGCTATACAACATTTAAGATCACAATGATTTTATCATCTCATATCTGTCTAATAGTTATTTCCATAAAGATGCCAGAAGTAGTCCTGACCCAGGAATCCTTTAGAGAAATGAGGTTTGAACCCTCTTGTTTGGGGAATATTTATTTCTTCCAGAGAAAAGTAACAGTCTGATGTTCATTTGTTTAATTCAGCATACTGCATTCCAGGTTTTATACCTTGGAAATGCTCCTTTCTCACTGCTATTTCTCTACATGTACAAAAAATTAAGTAGTGTTATTCCTAATGACATTTTCTTGCAAATTGGCTTTTATGGCAAAACAATTATTTCCCAAAACAGAACCACTATATTTACACCTTCAGATTCTACATATAATGCAGATTTTCTCAGTATCATGAGTTTCAAGAGAAATAGAGTGAAGAATGCAGAATTTTGGTGCCAAATAGATCTGGATTCTAATCTTGACATGCCAATTACAAGTTACGCCACTTGAGGCAATTTCCTTTACCTGTCTCAGACTTAATATCTACATCTGGAAAATTGGAGTAATGAGAATACATATCATATAGCATCATTTTAACAAATAAATGAAGTCATATATGTAGCAAAGTGCCAGACACTTGCTTAATACTAGTGTTTACTATAGTTTAATATATTAATATGAAAACATAAAATTCCATAACAAATGGTTAAATTGAGAAATTATATACAGTCACACATTGCTTAATGATGGGGATATGTTCTGAGAAATGCATTGCTATGCAGTTTTGTCCTGTGAATATCATAGAGTGTCCTTACACAAACCTACATGGTATAGCCCACTACACCCTTAGGCTATATGGTATATTCTGTTGCCTCAGGCTACGAACCTGTACAACATGTTACTGTACTGAATATTGTAGCCAATTGTGACACAAAGGTAAGCCTTCATGTATTAAACATAGAAAAGGTACTGTACAAATGTAACATCAAAGATTAAAAGGTGATACACCTGAGAAAGGTACTTACTATGAATGGAGCTTGCAGGACTGAAAGTTGGTCTGGGTGAGTCATCGAGTGAATGTTGAGTGAATGTGAAGGTCTAGGACATTACTGTACACATTTATACTACTGGTAGTACAGTAGGTTTGTTTACCTCAGCATTACCATAAACACATGAGTAATATATTGTACTACAAGACTATGAGAGTTATGATGTCACTAGGCAAAAAGAATTTTTCAGCTCCATTATGGTCTTATGAGATCACCAATGTAAATACTGTTTGCCATTGACCAAAATGGCATTATGCGTATGCGACTGTATATATATATGTGTGTGTATATATATACACACACACATACACACACATATATATACATGCACAGATATATTCAAGAGCCAAGCAGCGTCTTAAGCAATACCAAGTGTGATGGTGAATTTTATGTGTAAACTTGACCATGGGGTGCCCAGACATTTGGTCAAGCATTGTATCTGTGAGGTCTGGTTGTATCTGTGAGGTTGTTTCTGGATGAGATTACTTGAATCAGTAGACCGAGGAAAGAAGATTGTCCTCCCTAATGTGGGTGATCTTCATCTAATAGTTGAAGGTCTGGTGAAATAAAAAGGCTAAGAGGGAACTCCTCTTGCCCAACTAAGCTGTGACGTCATTCTTATCCTGACTTTGAACTCAAAACGAGAAATCAGCTCTTTTTAGGTTTCAAGCCAGCTTTCAGAGTAGAACTTGTATCACTGGCCCTCCTGGTTCTCAGGCCTTTGGACTGGAAGTTTACACTAGAACTACATCATCTGCTTTCCTGGGTCTCCTGCTTACTAACTGCAGATCATGGGACTTATCAGCTTATCAGCTTCCATTATCATGTAAGCCAACTGCTTACAGTAAATGTGTGTGAGTGTGTGTGTGTGTGTATGCACACACAATTGGTTCGTGTCTCTGGAGAACCCTGATTAATACACCAAGTCTCTATAACTTTGGACTCTCACAAGTTACAACATAAGAAAAATTCTGCATTTCCAGGTATCAAAGACCCACAGTCTCGAGGCCTACATCCTGATGTTTGCTTAAATTCTTATCTTACCTGCTGTTACTCTGAAACTAAAAAGGATAATGACATATTTATTTACATGTGCTGAACAGTCATGAAGTAAGTAGCCTAGAGGGGGGGAAATAAAACTGCACCAAGAAACAATTGTTTTTCTATTCCAGAGGCCCACAAGATGAATTTATAATGTGAACAGTAGGGGGCCAGCCCATCTCTGACTTAAAATGTGTTTGCCTTGGGTATTACTCAGCCTTTTATGATACTAAATTGTCTTAGTCACCTTTAAATATAAAGCAGAGAACATTATAAAGGCATTAAGGTGAAGTCCAGGTACAATTATTCCTCAGACACATTTAGACTGCCCCATCAACAGGCGGTTAGCACTTGCTACAGTGGCACAAGTTACCAGAGAAACTACAGGGCAGAAGCGGATGCTAAAAAACAGGACATGAAGCCAAACACGAAATGCCACAATAACAAATAACCTTTCTTTAAAAATTTTTTTGAGATATACCCTGCTGATGAAGAAAAAGATAAATCTCTGTTGTCTGATTAAGTTTCTCGTATCAACTAATGGCCCAGGTTCTGCATCTGAGCCCTGCACCTGAAAAGTAGGCACGCTCTGCCCCAACAAAGCATCCATGTTTAGAGTTTAGCTCATGGATTCCCTCCTTGTTTAAAAGCAAAAAAGTAAGCATTCAGTTCCATCTATTTACAAAGCATTGTTTAAAGAATTTTAAGGATGTAAATGTGATCAAGATATAATTCAGTCTCTCCAAGCAGCTTAAAATTCACTGAAACATTTTAACCAGCATTTGTTGATCATCATCATGTGCCAGGCTTTGTTCTAGGTAAAGGGGCTGCATAGATATATATGACACATTATCTGTTCTGGATAAATGCTTGCACTCTAAGGGAGAGACACACGAGATAAATGAGTTTTATAAAATAGAAGTACATACAAGAAGTGAAAAATGGAGAGTGGGTAATTCAGTCTGGAGGGAGAGATAGATTTGTTTAGAAATTAAAAAAATTAAGATGAGAGAGTGGGAAGATGTGCTTCATGGATCCATCACCTTTCTATAATTCATGTTTTTGTTTTAAATCGTATACAGTGTGCAATTAAAGAGTCATGTTGCTTACATCCAATCCCAGCAAGTGGAAACTGGAAATCCTCTGCCGCTTGACATGCCTCTTCTAGTTTCAGACCTAAAAAACCTTTTCCTCTAAGCTTCTTCAGGATGCACGGCCTTTTACATACAATTTACCTCTAAAAACCACTGATCCTTCGTAGGTGCTTAGTGCTCAGACTAAGCGTTTCTGGAGTCCATTGTGATCATGTGTGGGATCAGTAGGAACATCAGGGCCCTGGTGATACAGAACACTAGTTGTCACTGCCTGGCTTTATTTAAAGGAAATGAGGTAGGCTTCCTCTGTAGAGCTCTGAAAAGGTTGACTATATAGAGGTCTTGTATATTTTTACTTGATCAAGTATTTCTCACATTTTTTGTTATCAGAGTACCATTCCAATCTCTTAACTTGCAGTTGTGTGGAAAACTGTTTTGTAACAAAAGATCTTCATTGGGGGATTGAGCAGCATTTAATAAAGTCTATGTTTGTATTTTGCCTTAAAAAAAAAAAGAAATAATTTACTTTTCAGTAGCTAAGGAAAGAACATTTCCTTAGAGTATGAAAGGAGGCATGGAATACCTCTAAATAGAGAATATATAAAATGACGATTTTTGAGTACCCATTATTCTTTGGCCAAATTCACAAATAATAAAATGTGGATATGTGTAGTAGGGAGAGATAGGTGTATATTAAATATGTTCCTGGCCTCAAGTGATTGTTAGGAATTACAAGAGTTCTCAGAGCTTAGTTTGCTCCCAAAAAAATAGGATATATAAAAAAATTATGCACCAAAATTAGTGGACTTCTTTTTCAGGTTTCACTTTATGTAAGATTTATAGATAATTTAAATATAAAAAAACATGTAAACATAGCTGGGAGGTATAAGACAAGTGGTGATATGAAGATTCTACTTACCCCTGGGATAAAAACTGGCTAAATATTAAAGATTTAAAAGTAAAAGTGCCCAATTTTCTGCATCAGGCTCATTTAATTATTGGTTCCTCAAACTATCCAGAAAGATATCATTTAGAAGTATATAACTCCTTATTTGGGTGCACAAATGGGACATTCATTTTACCGTCAACTCAACCAATCAATATATATATTTTAAATTCAATGCTTCATATATACAAAGCACTATCCTAATTGTCATAAGGACACTAAAATAGGCATAAACTTTGCCCCCCAAAAAAACTTGTCACCGGCCGGGCGCGGTGGCTCACGCCTGTAATCCTAGCACTTTGGGAGGCCGAAGCGGGTGGATCACGAGGTCAGGAGATCGAGACCATCCTGGCTAACACAGTGAAATCCCGTCTCTACTAAAAATACAAAAAAAATTAGCTGGGCGTGGTGGCGGCGCCTGTAGTCCCAGCTACTCCGGAGGCTGAGGCAGGAGAATGGCGTGAACCCGGGAGGTGGAGCTTGCAGTGAGCCGAGATCGCGCGACTGCACTCACTGCAGTGAGCCCAGCCTGGGCGTCCAGCCTGGGCGACAGAGCGAGACTCCGTCTCAAAAAAAACCCAAAAAGACAAAAAAACTTGTCACCCAGCTAAAGAGTTAAAGAAAATCAGATATGTCTCTACATAAACACACAGATATATACACATACATATATACATACTTTTACCTTGAAACTAAAATGAATACACACAACACACACACACACATATATATATATATATATATATATATATATATATATATATATATATGCGTACAACACACAGAATTACAAGAGGGGGTGGATGCTTTTATGAATGCGTTTGTCATGATACCGGCTGCAAAGCTTAGAATTGCAGTTGGACCTTAAGGGGAAGTAGTATTAAAAGGAAGCTCTGAGTGTTCTTAAGGATGAGGCATTGAATGCTTACCCTGACTTGAAAGGACAGTCTCTGTACGGGACTACTGGGAGAGGGGCTTGGATGTAAATCTTCAAATACCTTGGAATTAGGGCTGAGAAATATAAATTTTATCCTGTGAGCAATGGGGAGAACTTAGAGGATTTTGAGCAGGGGAGTTATTTATTGAAGAGGACACTTTTGGATGTGGAATCTAGGTGAACTATGCAATGTGATAGTCAGAGAAGCAAAAGCAAGCAGTCAGAATAATGAGGAAAAAAATACAGATTTAAAACTATGAAGGTCAGAACTAAAGGCTCCAAAGCAAAGTGCCTGGACCTGTCTCACTCTTGGAGTTAATCTGAGGCTTCTGAATGTCATTTCCTTTCCACTTGTGATACTTCTTTTTCTTTTTTTTTTTAATACTCTCATAGATTTGATTATAAAAACCTACATTCTACATTCCTACGAAGCACAGATTTTGGAACAGACATTTTTTTTTTCTGATCTTTTCATACCGAAAGACCCAAACCAATTCCCCTAGACAAAGATTTACTTAGATCTCCAGCCCTTCCCACTAAGCTCCCATACTATATTCCCGAAATACTTGCCTAACTGAAACTCACACATTTAAAGGTTGGGATTTTGTAGACAGTGGGATTTAAGAAGTTTCTCTGTGTTCATTCCCCCATCCCTGGTTAGCCAAGGTCATGCTTTCTGGGAGTGAGGCTATAATCTGTCTGGAAACAATCCAAGACTGCTGAGCTTTCAGAAAGAAATAGTGAGAACCTTACCAACATGCACATATTGCACATAGTCCTTATTTTAAAGAGAATGGGCTTAACAGAAGTCCAAATCCTCTGTTATATTCTCATTCATTAATCTGGTACTATAGTTTATAAACAACAAGTGACAGGGAAAATGACACTGCTGAGGAAGTCTGAAACAGAGATGCTGGACTTCAGGTCTATCAGAGCTTTACAGAAGTATGCAATCTAGGCAGAAAAGCATTCAAGAAATAACTATTCAATGAGTCCTGCATTTTCCTCTGGTCAAAAAAGGAAGCTCTCCCCTTTTCCGTCCTTGCCCTCCTCCTTTTTTCTTTCTCTATCCTCCGTCTCCCTTCTTTTATCTTCCTTGTTATCCTCCTTTTCTTTCTCCATGCTCCCCTTTCTTCTTCATGTCCCTCTTTCTAATGAAGAAAATAATTTTATTGTCTGGTTTCACTAAACAAAAGGTTGAGTACGGAGTGCATTTTTCTGGCTGTTGCCTTTTCTTTCATATCCTTTAGCAAAAAAGGACCTTTCCCTTTAGAAGCCCAAAGGTGGAGCTGTTGCAAAAGGAGAAAGCCAGACAGGCCAGCCGCGCCCGGCGGGGCCACCAATGCGCACACAAGCCACACACACAAACGCAAACACGTACATGCTGGGTCTGCACCGAGGAGCTGCAAATCCTGGAGGCTTTGCTTCCAAAATATAAACATTTCCCCCTTTTTTTTCCCAAAGAGAAATAAAAATCCTGATTACAGCAGATGCATTACTGCCAAATTGTGCAAAAAAGAAAAAGTATTAAGTGTCCGCTTAACCCCCTTTAATTGTTAATTCCATGTACTTTACTAGATTCTTGTATTATCAAAATAACTGCAGGGAGAAAGGATTCAAATTTATTTAGGTTCATTAATACCACCATTTATCAGTGTAATGTCCTATAGATAATGATTGGAGGATCATTCTATTTTTTCTGTATAGTGTGCTGAAATATCTATCGGGATGGTTACATTTCAGTGGGAAAGACATAAAACGAATGCGCATTTCAGCAGCTGGAGAGAAGGCCTCTGCTTTTACATTTGGTGACATCTCACAACATTTTCCATAGAAGTGGCATTTATCTTTTTGGGTGTTAATATGATATTTTGCTTTCAACATCCTGGGAAAAAGCAGCAAATTTTGAAAACCCATTTTATGGAGAGAAACACACAGAAATTGCTGTGTTGTTCCTCCCAGAGATAAGACAAATTATCTCTATCGTGTTTCATAGATGCTTAGCTTGTGGCTTTGTCTAGCAGTTTTGGCTGCTCTGCTTGAAAAACAGAAAACCCCCATTCAATCATTCGCCTCTTCCTTTGCCTCTATCCCTAGAGCAGAGGCCTTCAGCTTGATATCTCAAAAGCTGGTGAAGCAAACATTTTAGCCAATTTCAAAGTGTCCTCATTTACTCTGAAAATATGATTTTACCCTCATGACTTTAACGTTTACTTTGAACTTGGAGTTGCTGGAATAAACAGGGACAAAGTAACCTGAGATGTTTTACGCCACTGAGAGAAAAAGGTATTGATCTTTTTTGCCTCTGGAAAAAAAAAGGTTTCAATAATTTCCAGATATACTGGAGATTGCATTGCTATCTTTAACTAAAACATGCCACAAGACAGAAACCAATTATTTATTCTCTTTAACCATAGGTCCACCTTTGTCTTAATGTATTCTGATGTCCCATTTGCAAATTGGCAAGTTTGTTCTCAGTAACACTGTAGGCGTACGTGCGTGTGTGCATGCTAACATGCTTGAATGCAGGCACGGTCGTGAATTTATTCTTGGCTTTGCTACTGGTGACATTTAAATATGGGTTTATGCCAGGTAGTTAAAAATATATAAAAGGCTGAGTTATACCAACCCAGCCTATCATGTGTGTCCCCAAGATGACTGAGAAGGGAGTTTCCAAAGTGGTTTTATTTATGCAGCTTGGGTGCGCTACGAAATAGGACTTAGGAAACAGGGGCTAAAGCAAAGTAGAGTAAAATGAGATGCCTTGAAAGGGAAAGGGTTTCGGATGCGGAAATAAAGCAACCTCATCCTATTACAAGAATACTTGAACTGGCTCAGTCCCTTCCTTATTTCTTACTCTCTTCTGGCTGTTTCAAAAGGTGCATCTTATTGCACGTCTCTGGGGCTTTTCCTCTGATCCAGACCTGGCCTGCATTCTGTTCTTTCCTTTCAGACACTGCTGGTCTCGAAGACATCTCCTCAGCAGCTTCTGCCATCTGAAGCTGTCTGCCTTCAACTCTGTCGTGCAGGCTTAGGCTCCTTGAAACTGTCATCTTAAAACATATTTATTACTTCCTCATACTCGGGCTTTTTGGTGCCACATTCCTTCTGCTGTTTGATTACACGGGGCAGAGGCAGTGTTATTTTACCATCTGAATTAGTGCTAAGAGGTGCTGTTAGTGAGAAGCCTAACGAAGAGGTAGGCATAGCATAGGGCTGCCTCCCAGAGAGTCCAGGGAAGGGTCGGGCTGCTGATGTTAGGTGATAACTTCATGCGGCTCTGAGGCTGGTGGCAGGGGCACCCAGCCTTTCCTTTCCTGTTACTGTTTATGCCGTGCAATGCATCTGATGTGAAATGGATCCAATGTGAATGTGTCTCCCTCTCATCTGTCTGATAATGTACCCAGATACCTCAGGTGGCAAGGCTTTTTAGACCATTGCCTTCATTGGCTCCATTCTGTGCACTAGTGGACTCACTCAAAGAACAGAGGGGAAGTTGTTTTAGAGTCCAGGGAAGATGGATGTTCTGCAGTCATTTCCCAACAAAATGGTAGACTTGCCAAAGCCTTACAGACAAGATTGATCTAATCCACCATGAACAGAGAAACCCATTTGCACATTTGTATTTGCAAAACTCTCGTTGGTGTCTCATGACCTAGTTCCAGTTAATCCCATGGCACTGCATGGTCCTCTCAGTAATTCCGGTAATAAAATCACATTTCAAGGACCCATGAGAGATATACTGAACCACAAAGTTAGTGCTAGAGTGCATCCTGTAATGACAGAAGTCATATCTCACAGACAATGGACAACGATCAAAACCGATTTGACTTTTTTTTTCCTTTAAACTTCTCATGGCTCCATATCTTCATTTGTACCATTGCTTCTTTGACTATGGTTGCCCTTTGATGGATAACATTAAGTGAATGAGGGGGAAAGTGACTGCCAAATGTGTCCCAGTGCAATTTTTGACAGATGCTCTGATATGAGCTGCTGTAATAATGGACAAGGAGGGAGAGAGCTCCGAAAGGATTTTAGAGTTCAGCTTTGGTTCAAGAAGTATCATTAGTCACATGTGAGAAATATTAATGTTTTTCGTTAATTCCAAAGAAATTTCCAGATTTATGTGGATTTCCATGCTTTGTATCATGGTGGAAATTCAATGAAGACTGAGAAAGGAAAAGAAACTGACATTTTTTGAGTGTCTACTAAATGTCAGGCACACTGATATGTCTTATATACATCAGGCTGTTGAATCTAAAAAAATCATCTCAGCAACCATGCAAGGCAGATATTGCTATCCCCATTTTACACATGTAGAAACTGAGGCTCAGAAGGTTAAAGGACTTGACAGAGGCCCGGCCAGTAGCAAATAATAGGTGGCAGGACTGAATAATGGAAAAGCAACACTGAGATCGATGTTACCTTTTGATAAAAAAAGTATACCTTGGGGTGCCAGTCTATCAGGAAAGCAGATTCACAGGTCTATGCTTGCAGGCATCCTGACAAACAGATCATCATCAAATCATTAAAATCTCAAGAGATCAAATGATAAAAGGTACGGACAATGAGGTGCAATCAAGCAAAGATACCTTGATGAATTCTACTTGTTCCTCAGGGTTGCAGGAATAGAGAAAAGCATCACAACCTCCCTGGATCTACTTACTCATTCCTCTGTACAAAGGGCCAGCTGAGGACCAGGGCAATCCGGAGGAGAGTTCACCCAGAGCACTCTCCAGGAGCCATTTCTGAAGTGGAATACAATGGTTTTGCCCTATTCTTGGCTAATCCTTCCTAGCAAAGGCAGAATTTATATTCGATGGGGAAATAAAAGGTTAAGTTACTAACACCCTCCTGGACATGAAGGATGGAGTCAGGTTTCAAATGTCATTAAATTTTCACCAAAGATGAGAGGAAGTGGAGGACTTAATGTTGAATTGCTGTGATTTTTAAATCTCTGTTCTTATTCTTTATGTCTTAAGAAAGAGATGGGTCAATGCCCTCAGAAGCAAAGGAAATAGAAAAAAGTATAATGAAACACTCAGATAACTAAATAAAGCATATGGGAAATATAAATGGTGTTTTCTGAGCAATGGGAGATCCAAATGACCCTTTTTGTTTTGAGATTTATATGTCTGCATATCACAGATGCCCTATTGCTTTATTCATACTGTTAAGAAGGAAAGGCAGTGCCAAACCATCAGCAGCTATCATTAAATCATTATAGAAACACCACTGTTAAAGAGATAAGACTTTTAAAAAGACACATATACACATACACAACATGGTGCAACTTTATTTAACCAGAACCCAGGGACCTCACTTTTTGTATTGCCTGGCCAACACATAGATTCTTCAAAGCTGCTATTTTAAAGAAATAAATACACACAAATAAAATTTATTATTTATTTATTTTTCCAGCCTGATCACTATTTGGGGAACTGGATCAAAGACACATTTAGAATGGGTTTAGGGGCACCAAATGCATCAGAATGAGATGCATTTTTTATACCAATGCTACATTCAAGGATGCCAAACTGATCACTACATATGTATCTATTGATTAAATAGATTTTAAGAAGAATTCTGATCAGGGACACTCTCATCTTCTTTGAGTCCAGACACCATTTTTGAGGGTTTCTCTCTGCTAATTAGATTGCATATACTTTAAAATTGTCTGGAGGGGCTCTTGTATTCAGTGCCAATTTCCACCAAACATTCTATAATGTGTCCTAAATCAAGGCAAGAATAGGTGGTAAAAATATAATCTGCCATCAGACAACTACAAAGAATTGTGATTTCAGAGAGTTGCTTCATCCTAAAGAAATGGTGTCTTCTTATATCAGATTTGTAAGGCAAATACTGTGCTTATGTTAGCAAACATTATGGTGACATAAAAATCCTAGGTCTCTTGTCTCTTTTGTTAATGAACTTTCCTTAGTCATTAAGATTACCCATCTTTATAAATGGCTATGTATAAATTAGCACGATTTGAAATAAATTTTACACATCCATTGAAGGGCAGCTCAAACTTCATCTCTTCAGACCTTAACAATCTCCCCAACCCCTGACACACCCCATGACTTTTGCACTATTATCACTACTGTTCACTTCACTATTTGGAAATTGGCAAAGATTTAGACCTTAATTTAACTCAACATGGTTTTGGAACCTCAACTAGATGCTAGACCCAATGGTTGAATCATGATCTTAAGTTTTCCTTAATTCTTGTGTAGAAACATTTCCAGCACAGTGTTTCACACTCATTTATTAATTAATTCATTCTCTTCTTTGTTCATCAAATGTCATTGTGCACCTGTTCTTGGTGGCTATTGAAGGTGCAGTAATTACATTCACAGAAATGAGATATTTACAGCAATATAATCTACAGAAAAATAAAAAGAATACATTTACAGAATAAATGTGAGTGTCTCCAGTCAGTGTAGGGAGAGAAGAAACTCTGATAAACAACTTTGTTCATGGTAGTGGCAGACAGCAGAGTTCTCCGAACATTATGTGATATCCCACATGAAATTTTAACTAACGAAGTGGTCTTGTTTGCAAATACATGCCATTGGGCTGAGATTTGCAGAAAGCCCAGGACACTTACATTGTTTACCAGATGCATCTTTTCTATTTATTGACCATTCCACTATTTTTGTATTTAAAAACCAAACAAATAAACAAAGTTGGCAATTATTATTTTTTTGTGTGGATGTCCTAGAGGAAAGACGAATTAGTCAAAAGTTGGAAGTTCATTTTAGGTGTCACGGACCAAAAGAAGATATAGGTGGAGAAGAGTTATGTTATGAAAGTTTAAATCATTTCACCAAGTTTAGAGTTACTTATGGTGAGCATGGAATAGTGGAAGGAGGTGGAATGGCAGGCTGAGGTGTCAATGATTTTCTGATGAAAGACTGCATTGTTGTTGAGAAGGAACTTTAGGTGGTGGGTGGACATGCTGAACAACCCTGCAGATGCCATGCACATTATCATCTGCATGAATGTTGCTTTGTGGGGATGTACAGTGGAGCTGTGCAAGGCACAGCCTACAAAACCACCCTGCATGGATCTGATCTTAGGGTTGATAACTAGGTATTACCATTAGGACCATGTTGAGGTCCCATGTGTAAATGTTTCCATCCAGGGCAAAGAAGTTATTAATGGTTAAACTGTGGAGTGAATATCTGTAGAAAAATCCATTCACCTATCACTGCTCCAGCAAATTATGTTTCTTCTTTGAAAAATGTTACTGTTCATGTGCATATTCTTTGCTTTTCTATCCCTTGGGTGCCACATACTTGATGTGAGGCTTTTTTCCTTTCCTTTTTGGCAATTAGAGTGCAAAGGTGCCCATGAGGACTGAGGGTTTGGCAGAATTTTACTAGTGAACACAGGGGTGCCTACTGCTGGCAGACAGCACCACAACTTATTTTGAAAACATTCATTTGGGCTAAAAATGATAAATCTGTATTTATCTTCTTAAAATGCTCCCAAAGGGGAGGAAAAAAGAAAAGAGAGTCTGGATTTGGAAAGCACATAGACCAGAGAGAAGAAGAAGGCAAAATCTGCTTTTCCCAATAATTTATCTTCTTTGATACTTCCCAGTGGGCATTGGGTACAGTTCCAGTCTGTGTTTTGAAAGATAAAATGAATATTTCATTTAACCTGCTGTATTCCAGAATATGTAATATCCAAAGCCTCATTGTGAAGAACCAGAAGAGGCTGCTGTTCCTCATCTCATATAAACCAGAAGAATATTTTCCAAATAAAAAACAGTAGATACCATCCCTGAGCGTTAAAGTAGCCCACACTTGATAGTTCTATAATACTTTCTACCAATTCTTTCTGGTTTCTAAGATGCTATATATATTACCTAGGACCATTTCTCCTCAATGTTTAAATCTTTTAAGAAGTAATTATGTATTTCAAAGATAAAATGGAATGAATGGATGATTCTTGGACATCGATAAGAGAATCAAGAGCTCAATTTCCTCTAAATTGATAATTCATTCTTGAAAATTATAATCAATTAGAATACAATTGTATTTTGGTAACATGTTAATGAATACATAAATGAATATTATTCTTTATAACCTAAGTAAAAGAACATGGTTTTTTAAAATTTTTCTTTTTTGTTAGTTAAAGGTCAATGACTTTATCTTGTTTTCTTATACAGTATTTATCCAACTTTAATGTGCATACAAATGAACTGGAGATCTTGTTAAAAATGCAAATTCTGATCTGGGGGACTTGGGTACGGCCTGAGAGTCTGCATTTCTAACATGTTCACCATGAGTACCAATGCCCTTGGTCCACAGATGACACTTGTAGCAAGGTTGCCCATCCTACTACTTAGAATATTGCTTGGCAAGGCCGGGCACAATGGCTCACACCTGTAATTCCAGAACTTTCGGAGGCCAAAGCAAGTGGATCACCTGGGGTCAGAAGTTTGAGACCAGCCTGGCCAACATGATGAAATACAAAAATTAGCCAGGCGTGGTGTCACGCGCCCGTATTCCCAGCTACTCAGGAGGCTGAGGCAGAAGAATCACTGGAACCCAGGAGGCGGAGGTTGCAGTGAGCCAAGATTGTGGCACTGTACTCTAGCCTGAGCGACAGAGTGAGACTCCATCTCAAAAAAAAAAAAAAAAAAAAAAAAAAAAGAATATTACTTGCCAAATAATAGGAACTCAATAAACATTTGCCAGTGAGTGAATTGATAAAGAAATGAATCTCAGACTCATTCTTGTTTTCAAGTTACTCTTGATATTGTCTCCTAGTTGGGTTAATTGCAGACCTTAATTAACACAGACATGATTGGTATTCATACTAGACCAGCAAATGCTAATATCTATAGCTTTGAAGCAAAACATATACATATACCACCTTTTTGCTACAGGGAAAATAGAATTATAGCATGAATAGGACCTTATGGGTCATGCAATGCCATCACATTATTCAACAGGTTAGAAGAGAAAAGCCAGAAGAGTCAAGTTCAGAAGCCACTTGGGTTGAAAATAAAAGTTGGAGGCTGGGACAGTGGTTATGCCTGTCAGAGTTGAGGGTCAAACCTTACTCATTGTGCTACAGCGTGGTCTTGGGAAGTCACCTTACTTCACTAAGCCTCAGGATCCTCCCCTGAACACAGACTTAATTTTAATTGGGGTATCTGTACTTCTTGCAATTCTGTTCTTTGAAGGATTTGGACTTCTGGCCTCACCACTGGTCCAGTTCAGGGACCCACTGGGAGTAAACCAATCAGCACATTCTATTCTCCTGGCCACACTCATTAACCATCCAGTTTAAGCAATCTAATGAGTCCATTTTGGATCTCTGTCAGAGATGCTGGGAAAAAAGCTCACTTTGTCTTCATCAGGATGGTGGTTGATATGCAGATGTGAAGTCTGGAAGTGTAGCAACAAATTTGTTTTCACTGGGGAATCCAGTCTTGGGATGAGACTGGCTCTATAGAAGCAAGTGAGAAGGTAGAACTGATCCAGGTCTGAATCAATACAGCTCTGAAGCCTAATCTACTGAAGGACTTCGACTTATATTAAGCCATTTAAATCATGTTTTCTGACATACAACTCTACAGCTTTTCTGTTAATTGTTCTATCCTGAAATGTTTCCAAATCATCTTGGACCTAAGGATATTCAAAAATAAAATACCTCTGTATATCTAAATATGGTCTTTCTTATCTAAATATCTAAGTAGCCCACTTTCCCAAAAGCCTCTATCAGAATTTGGCTACCTGAAGAGTCTCTCCTTGGGCCTTATGTTCAATCTTCCATTGTGTTCAGTTTTCCATTACAATAGTTATCAACTGATCAAGTGTGGGGGATAGTATTGCCAAATCTCACTTCAGTTTCATTTTCCTTGAGCCCCTTTAGCTGAGTGGCATCCCTTGTCTTAGTGCTGGCATTTGCACACCATCAGCTTGTTCATAGTCTGGCTCAAGACCCAATTTTGTTCCCAAGCCAAGGGAAAAACTTCTTGTGGCCAGGTGATTCAGTTGCTGTTGCTAATAAAATTATGTCTTAAAATAGAGCCCAGCTTCTGAGGCATCATGGAACCAGTCAGTTTTCTCACTGGATTTGTCCAATCAATATTAAGAAAAGAATTATAAATATCCAGGCAACAGAACAGACACTTGAAATGTAGAAGGCACAAAAAAAAATTTGTGAGAAAATGGCATCAGTGTCTTGACCTGGGTGTGGGTCAGGCTGGCCTCTGCTCAGGGAGGGTCACTACATCTCATAAACTCCAATGACAGCAAGGTATAGACACAGATGTTGGTGGGTTAAACTTGTTCTAGAAAGCAGGTGTTCATCTGCTGGAGCAACATTTTAGCTGGACTTCACAATATAATGTGGTGCAGACTCCGTAATATTGAGCATTTCCACTTGTTTTAAAACCAGCCACAATTTTTTTTTCAGGTCTCTAGAAAAACACTCCTCAAATATTTATTGAATCTATCAATTCCTCTCTGTATTTTCTTTTACTTTGTGAGTTGTGCCAGCCAGACGCCAAGATGGCTCCTGTGATTGCCATCTTCCTTTATACGCACCTGTGTAGTGCACTCTCACAATGTAAGATGACAACTGTTGATGGCTGACCTTTGGCTTCTCTTTAGTGGAAGCCATAAGAGCACAGATTTATAACAAAAAAAGTGAGGCTAGAGGCCCTGGAGATGAGGTGATGGAGAATAGGGGTAAGTGTTTAATTGAGACCAAGCAGAAATATTATTTTTAGACTCTTCTGAGATTTGGAGTCCTAGGAACCTGAGAGATAGATTCAACATTAATTGCATCACTAGGTATTACATTTTATCTCAAAAGAATAAATAAAGTGGGATAAGGAAGAAATAATTTGTTTTGTGTTTGAGGTTGGTTGGTTTTCCTCACTTGGTATATGCATGCAATCTACTCACGTGAGTGGTAAATATACCATAAAATATTTACATGGATTTAACATCTTCAGACAGCTTGGTGGAAGGAAGAATCCTTCTTCATTATTTCATGACATTTTTAGTAGGGTGGGGAAAAGTGCTATATGCCATAAAGTAAGATTCCATGGCTCAAATTATCTGTAGAAATTTATTAAAATGTAGAGAGACTGATATATTACTCATAATAAAATTGTTTATTTGTTGTGCACTAGAGAGGATACTTTTGCCTTATTTGATTCTAGTACATATTTTGTGAATCATGAAAGTATGTTTTTTGGTGTACTTCTAAGTCTATTTGAGGCTCAGCTTTTACATATGTAAAATGAGACTCTTTAAAAAAACACTCCGAATGTTCTGGACTAGTTCTAACATTCCAAGATTTTACCTCCATCATGCCATGCACCTTTCAGTGATAAAGACTCTGTCTACAGTTGCAACAAGATAAATATCCTCTACATTCATGCCCATTAGACCTCTAGTTCATTGAGCTTTAGAAGTGAAAGCAGTCTGTTCAAGGAAGATTCCATGGTGATCAAAAGAGGAAGGAAATAGAATATTTTTTCCTTAAGTCAATAGTACAAGTTTGTGTCAAGAGTTCCTGCGTTACTAAGGACAGTCTGAAATTTTTAAGTGACTTTCACTTAAAAGCATACATTGCTATTTCACCCAAGTAAGTAAAATGGATCCAAAGATGAAAGTCCCATTTTTTTAATACTGTCACAAATCCAAATTAAGGAGAGGTATCTGCAAAAGCCTTTGATTATAGATCATAAAATCTCCAGCTTATATCAGACACTGTAAAATCGCTCGGTGACAAATGAAATCCCTATGCACTAAATATATCTTTAAGCACCTTGCAGTTCAGATACGTTTATCTCTGAGATACAATAGTACTTCTGCAGGTCACAGGTACAAGGTCAGAAATGCTGGTTCTGCTGGTTTGGAATGTAACACTAAATGGCCCATTATTTGAGGACATAGAGCAGAGGCTTCGAGCAAATACACAGACTGCATTTCATGTGGAAACTTCAGAAGCCAGTAGACCAGCCATATTTAGAAATAATGATAGACTAGACCCAGCATGCACACGTATGGCTCAAAAACCACAGGGACCCACCGGGATTCAGCTTTATAACAATAGCTTGCATCTGTGCAGTGTTTTGTAGTGTTTCAAAGGACTTTCACATACAGTACCTCATTTGATCTTCACAGCAACATTGTGAAGTAGGCAAGGCAGGAATTATTTTCCTCATTTTATAGGACAGAAAACTAGACTCAGAGAGGTTAAGTGACTTGGCCAAGGTCACCCAGATGGCATGCAAAAGAATCACAGGATTTGAATATATACCTGATGAGTTAAAATTCAGTAATTGTTTCATTACAACAAGAAAACAAGCTGATAATGCCCATTCAGATAAACTGTCGGCCATCTGGGGCTCTGCAAGTCTATAGTATGGAGTGAGGCAGGAAAATCTCATAGACATTTGATAAAATTGTTTTTATCTTCTCTTGCCATTTCCAAATGCCTAGAGGTGAAACAGGTATATTTTGACAATGACAGTGGCAAAGTATCTCCAATATTAGCCATTGGATGGCCAATGTGAGAGGTTTCCCCAAGAGTAAGTTTGGATAAGTGAGAAGGAAAGGAAGCAGAACACCACTGGATGCTGAATTATGAGCAGGACACCATAGAAAAAGGCACAAGCTGATAGTGGTTGAAAACTGAAATACTGAAATCATCCTTCTCAGTGTTACCTTCTCATCAAGTGAACACTTGCCTCGCCCTCCTCCAATATTGTATCCGGCCATTTGTTATTTAGAGGTACCTTTCTGTGCCTTGTTTTGCTGTTTCTTGGCTGCTGAGAAACCTGAAGATCTTTTTCTCTCTCTTCAGGTAAATAAGTTAAATTTTTTCCTGTCCTCCCTCCACCTCTAAGTGGTCAGTCCTGTCTCTCACTTCTGGAAAGCCCTCCTTTGCATACTGCTAAACAAATAAGCCAGTCTTCTCTAAGTGCAAAAGAAAAGCATGGACTTCCTACATCCTGAGCTGGCTCCTAACAAGAAAAGCCAAGTCTGAAACAATTATGGATACTCTCCTTCCTTATTCTTACTCCTGTGGCATGCATCATTAATAGATCCCAGAATTATTTTTCCCCCTACTGAACTCAATCAGGTCATCAGTGTCCTTCTTTAATGCAGTGACAGATGGTTACCAATAATTAATGAAATGAGACAAAAGAAATGGAACCTATTTTACCCTTGTTCACCCACAGGTTTTATGGGAAGAGGAAGTTGAGAGCTTTCCTATAACACCTTTCCCACCCAAATCGAAACACATATTTGACCTAGAAGGGAAGAGCTGCTGTAGGTTTTCATCTAGCTTTCTTAGCCTCATTTTGGTCCATCTCAGATTTGTGTATTCAGAAGCACTAAAAAAAATAGCTTGTATCCTGTGAATGAGCTAGAGTGGTAGTTCCAAAATTTTGCATGTAAAAAATTAAAAGCCTATGACTCAAGTGATCATTTTGTTTTTTAATACTTCTTTCTGTCCTGTGATTCCAACTCATTTGACCAAAATCAAAATGCTAATCAAGAGTGGGAAGCAAGAGGGATAATTAACTGTGCCAATCAGTGACTTAAGCCTGAATATCTTCCATTTTCTCTGAATTCTTTCAGAAATGGAGAGAAAAATCCTTCCTTTAAATTTTATTTGTTGAAAATTAAGAGAGGTAAAGATGTGAGTATTTGGCAATCTCTTGCCTTCTCTGCCTCACGAAAGGTGTGCAGACACTCCTGCAGCTTTGCACAATAACCCTCTGGCTTTAATTCTTTTCACCAAGGAAGTTCCGAGGCCCCAGATAGTGAGGAAGTTTGGTTTGAAATAATCGAAAAAAGGACTCCAAATTTTACCTTGCAGCCAGGACGGCAATCTGCAAATACGTTCTCAGAGTATATTGGAAGTGGAATTCATCATCCTTATAGAAATAAAAAGATGGCAGTTCTGTCAGGGCTGCTTGAATGACATGTCCAAAGGGACATTGCTCATAAGAGGCTTACACCTCCTGCTCCTCCCAGGTCCTTTGTATTAAGACAGGAGCAGACACACCCAGAAATAAACAAAAGATCCCATATTTAATAAAACTGGGAATAAATGGAACTGGAAGAGAATATATCAGAACTCTATGTTCTGTTTTTGGTGGTGACTTTCGGGAAGCAATGGGAAGAAAGAGATGCTGGATTGGTTAAGGGTGTGCATTGAAGCCAAAGTTTCAATGTAAGCTGTGAAAAAACAAGAGAGGGCAGTGTTGATGCGTCTAAACCAAGTGAAGGCAGCTTACAGGCTGACTACGAGAGACATTTTTTTTTGTTCAAAATTTATGAATTCTTATTGTTGTTTGTCTCATCTCCCAGACTAGACCCCCCTACCAGTACACATTTCTCTTAGAAGTTTTGCCTGACCTCCTTCAAGTAAGAAACCCTTAAGTAACAACGAGTTGGAACCCAAGCAAAGATTTAACTGTGATGATGGAGTCGAGAATGAAAAACAAACCAAACCTGGGAAGGGAAAGAGAAACATGATAAATTACTTGTAACTAAATGGAATCATTTCAATCAAAAGGATTTTTTTTTTAAATGAATGAACTTCTTTGCTTGATTCTAGCTTTAGCAAGAAGATCAAAGAGATTTATGACCTATGTCTCTTCAAGCTTGATGTCAGAAACGAACATGTTCTCATTAATAGTCATTTTCTCGTCAAAAGAAGGCTTTTATTCAGACAATGTGCATTGCTTTCATGGCTTTATTGTTGGCGAAATTTTTTATTAGAAGTTGGATGTCACATCTTAAGGGATGATGTGTTGTATGTGTGTTTGTGTGTGGGTTGAGGGAGCATTTAATTGCTTTTATGTTTCCAAGATACCAAACTTATGTGGCCTGTATATTTCAACTTCCAGAATTCCGCCTGTTTTTTTAACGTGGGAGATCCACTGACATGGTGAGAGGTTCAACGGACAAAGGTAAATCTCTAACCATTTGGATGTTTTCAGTCTGATGATATGAGGGGATGAAATTTCCTTTGGAGTTCAAATTTTGCACATTTTAGTACTGCTAGCTTCACGCTGAGATTCCACAGGATGATTCTTGTGGCAACTTAAACAATTATCTCCTGAATTTGAGCAACCAAAGTTCAAAAGCTGAATAGTGAAAAAATAAAATAAATAAATACAAATTTATCTGCCTCTTTCAGAAACAGGATGTTTTGTTCCTCTTCATTGAGTGATTTCTGTTTGCTTGTTTGTTGAGTACATAGGCCCCAGTCTGTGTTTCAGGATATATTTAGACACACAAATAAATTATAAGCAGAAATAATGGAAAAATTCAATTAAACAACCAGTTTGAATTTCTGTCACAAAATTAAACAGACCAATTGTGTAGAACATTATATAACCACAGATAAAGCAATAACATATATTTGGGAAATATTTTCAATGTGACATTAAAACAAGGATGAAGCCAAGGCCTATTATTCCTTGGGGACCCAAGCCACTGATGGCTGGCTTGTGACCCCACCCTTAGAGCAAGAGTGACTTGTGGCCATTGCAAATTTTTAACTCTATGCTGCAACACAGAGGGCTCTCTCAAATGGACTGTTTTCTTTCTCAAATCATTCTCTTTTCTTGGATTATATTTCACTAAACAATCATCATTTTCTTTCCACTTCTCAGGCCACTTTACTTGGCCTCTTTATGTTCCTGCATTTTTCCCCAGCATCCAAATATTAGAAATCCCCTAATCTTCATCCGGGGGTGGATTGGTTGTGCAGTTTCTCCTTAGATGATCTCATTCATTGCCATGCTATCAAATGGCATCTATATGTTGATGGCTTCCACATTTCAACCCAACCTTGGCCTCTCTTTTGAGCTCCCCATGTGTATAGCAACTCCTTACTGGATGTCACCAATTGGATGGCTCATAGGCATCTCAAAATTCAGGTGATCCAAATGGCATTCCCAGTATTCCTCTTCCCCAAAGCTGCCTCCATCAAACCTTATCTAGAAAAGCTACCACCAGTCAGCCATCTGCTCAGTTTGATTTCTCTCTCTCTGACAACCCAACTCTATCCATCTGAAACAGATGAAATACACACATGTTTCTTTTGGTGTGTGTGTTTGTGTGTGTGTGTGTGTGTTTCACATAAATCTAATTTTCCCTATCTCCACTGCTCTCACTCCACTGCAAGCTACCACGATCATCTCTCACCTAAACTACTGAAAATTTCTGAACCATTCTCCCTGTTTACATTCATAGCCTTTCTAATGCAATTATCCTATAATAATCAGAGTGATTTATTTTTATGATTATTATTTATTTTACCTTTGTAGAGATGGTATCTCACTATGTTGCCCAGGCCAAGCTTGAACTTCTGGCCTCAAGCGATCCTCCTGCCTTGGCCTCTCAAAGTGCTGGGATTACAGGCTTGAGCCACGGCACCCTGCCAAAGTGAGCTTTATAAATTGTTGTCTGTTTATTTTGTATTCCTTCTTATAATTCTTTGGTATTTTCTCCTTCATTTTGAATAATATTTTACCTATGTCCGTGGCTGCTATGGTTCTTACTTTCCTTTCCAAATTTATCTCGTACCTCTCTGTCCATGGCTCACTCTGCTACAGCAGCTCAGGCTTCTTTTAACATACTTGCTAAATTCTTTCCTAATTCAGGCTTTCTGCACATGCTATTCTTTTTGCTCTTTGCAAGAATGACTCCTTCTCAGCTGTCATGTGTATGTTTAAATGTCAACTCTTCACAGGGACGTCCCCTGACCATCATACCTCACAAATCTCCTCCCTGTATTTTTTTTTTATCCTTGTACCCTGTTTTATTCTTTCAACAATACATGAGAGCAGAGGACATGTCTGTTTTGTTCACCAAGGATCCACTCAGTGTCTAGCAGTGTCTGTCCCATATTAATCCCTCAATAAATATGTATTGAAGGAATAATTTTCTTTAAAAAAGAAAAAATGGGCCAGGCGCATTGGCTCAAACCTGCAATCCCAGGAGTCTGAGAGGCCGAGGTGGGTGGATCATTTGAACTCAGGAGTTTGAGACCAGCCTCGGCAACGTGGTGAAACTCCGTCTCCGTCTCTACCAAAAATACAAAAAATTAGCTGGGCATGGTGGTGGACACCTGTGGTCCCAGCTACTGTGGAGGCTGGGATGGGAGGACCACTTGAGCCCAGAAGGTGGAGGTTGCAGTGAGCAGAGATTTGGCACCTGCACTCCAGCCTGGGCGACAGAGGGAAACCTTGTCTCAAAAAAAAAAATGCATAAAAAAGGAAAAAGAAAGAAAGAATATGATGAATAAACCTTCATAACTAATGAAATAGCAACTTGTATTTATTTGTTTATTCATTTTAGAGACAGGGTCTTGCTTTATCACCCAGGCTGGAGTGAGCCATCATAGCTCATAGAAGTATGTAACTTCTAACTCCTAGGCTCAAGCGACCCTCCCACATCAGCATTCAGAGTAGCTCCATCTACAGGCATGTACCACCAACCCAGCTAACGTTTTTTAATTTTTTGTAGAGACAAGGTCTTGATATGTTGCCAAGCTGGTCTCGAATGCCTGCTTCAAGTGATCCTCCCTCCTTAGCCTCCTAAAGTGCTGTGCCCAGCCATGAAATAGCAACTTTTAAAGGTATGCTTGAAAAGGATAAATTTTCTTAATAAACTAGAAATGGCTCTCTTCCAGCCATACACAAAGCTCTATAGAATAAAATAACTTTCATGGTTCGTAGATACGTTAAACTAGAAACTCTTCTTCCTTTGTCTGGCCAGGAACTATCTGCCTATGATCTAGAGAATACATAGGTAATTTGAAGATACTATCTGTCCCTGAGATCACAGCAATTGTTCTCCAATGAGCATGAAAGTTTCTTCTTGAAAACATTTAATGTGTCAGTGCGAATAACATATTTAGTTAATTCTGAAACGAAATTATTGATTCAAAATCACCTGTGTAATGTGACAGGAGCAATCAATTGATGTAGAATTTAGTTTTCTAGGCATATATCTTGGCAATCAGCAGTTGCTTCTTTGGGACTGGCCCTTTGCCTGCAATTTGCAGTATCTGCCTCTGAGTGGAATGGTGTTCTGCTAATTTAGATAACTACAACAACAAAACAATTTAAATGCCCCACTGGTCTAATTGAACAGTTAGAAATTATAAGAGATGGATTTGAAAAATTTAAATGAAAAGAAACAAATTTGGTCCAAACAGTGAAAACTTCAGAATGAGTCAGAAAATTTAAAAGGAAAACAAGGTGGGAATACCTTGGAAAAAAACTTTAGTACATGTTGTAATCTGCATGATACCAGACTGATGGTTACTATATTTCCATCATTCCCTAGGTTGCACTATAGTTTTTTAGGCAAGCTGTAAAACTTGGTCTTTCTATGTTGTTTACCGGGAAAAGTGAGCTTGCATTAAGAATAGCATACTATATAAAACGTACCTAGAAAATGAAAGTAAAGGAGTGCAGAATCAAAGAAAGTATGATGCTGATGTTCCTGATCAAATCAATTAGAAGAAAAATATTATTCATTATATCAGCATTATACACATATTACATATCTAATAAATTGAGTAAAAATTTTTCACATTTAAAATAACTTTTTTTCGTATTGAAACAATGTGGGACCCTGAAATGAACAGATACAAAGACAGAATATTTTATTCTGAAGAAATTCTACCAAAACTAGAATTTGTAACTGTCAAAAACATTGAAAACCAAAGTGTTAAGAATATAATAGATTGGTGGGTTTTTACTAGAATCTGGACAGGGTTTGTTGTCTATAAAGAGGTGGGTGACAATGAACAGCATCAAAGATATTGGAGTGGGAGGTGAGAGGATTGCTTTGAGGCCAGGAGTTTGAGACCCACCTGGGCAACATAGTGAGACCCTGTCTCTAAAAATTAAAATTAAAAAAAATCACCTGGGCATGCTGGTGCATTCCAGCTTATCCAGAGGCTGAGGCGGGACAATCACTTGAGCCCACGAGCTCAAGGTTACAATGAGCTAGAGCTATGATCCCACCACTATACTCTAGCTTGGAAGACAGAGTTAGCCCCTGACTCTTAAAAAAAAAAAAAAAAGAGGAAGAAAAGAAAGAAAGAAAAAAATACTGGGGGAGCAGAAACCAAGGAACCAATGTGTGCATAGATCATATGAAGCATTTCAGATCCACAAAAGTAAAAAAAAAAAGTAAGTTTAAATGCAAATGACTGCCTGTCTTCTTCCACACTGAATGCACAATGAATGGCTTTACATTCCAGGACCTATTGTCTTTAATGGAACCCTCAGAGCTTTCCAGTATATTCCCTGGTACACCTTTACACAAATCATTTTCTTCCACCTACTTTTTGAGTATGGCTGTACCTGTTCTCTGTTCTCAAACTTTTCCTTCTGTCTGACCATCCACCCTCTTCCTATTGTTTAACCAAATCAAGCCCATCTTTTGTGACCCAAAGGGTAGCTCACACTCTTTTTCAAACTTTTTCTGACCATTCCATTTAGAAGTAAAATCTTTCTCTTTCTAGTTCCTATGAGATAGTTATGTGTACAATACAATTTACATTTAATCACACCCTGCTTTTGATGTGTCTTCTACTATTATCTTGAGCTCTTATTTTGGTTTTGAATTATTATATTCATTCACTTTTCACAAATTTATGTTTACATGTTAAAATTGTATTGTAAGTCTCAATGGCAAGGTCCATGACTCATATTTATTATGTAATTTTCACAACATTCAGTACAGTTTTGCAAATATACCTTTACAACTGTGATTTTTCTTTTTTGAGGCTTATTGACCTGCTAAATTTCCTGAGCAGAAATCCTGTAGGTAGGGTTTTGCTTTGGATTATCGAAGCTCTCTTGCATCAAGTGAAGACAGATCAGATTTTTAAACAAATTTTAGATTTTGGTTTTTAAATGAATTATTCGTATGCCTCCACCTTTCCTCAAATTCTAGCATTGTAGTGTTTGCTCCAGGGAAAGCCAATTGCAGTGCTATAAGGAAGGGAAATGACTCTGGAGTTGAGAATGTACTAAGTGTCCTTGGCCTGGCTTGGAGATTGTTTACAGTTCTCAATTCTCCTTTTCTCCTGTTGGTTTTTCTTTTTTCTTTTTCTTTTTTTTTTTTTGCTGTTTATTACTTTTCCTTATTGTTTATTTTTCCTGTTGTTTATTTTTTTACATTACCTGTTTATTTAGTGGTGTCACAAAGCTTGGAATGGAATTGACAGATTTTAGTTTTGCTCCTATTATACACTATGTGCTCCATAGACAGCAGTGAATTTAATGCTCACAACTCCTTGGTGAGATGCATTTTATTGTCCCACTTAATAAGATGAGAAACTTGGGACTTAGAGAGGGTTTTACCTAGGTTGTTGAAACTAAAACCGCGGTGATTGGTTTTTGTATTTTTGTTTTTAGGAGAACACAGAATTTGCTACACACTGAATACAAAAATGAAACCATCTAAGTCGGGATCCAGAGAGCTCCTTCTATTCCCTCTAGGTGCCCCAGGCCATCCCAACCTACCCTAGTAAAAACATTTCCCCAGTCCTGCAGTTTTAGGAATGAATGCATAAAAATAACAAAAGGTGGCAGTGGGTGAGGCTATATGATAGCTAAGAAGCCTGTGCGATGAGTCAAGGCTATTGTCATCTTGAAGCTAGGTGCGCTTGCCGTATTTTCTATCTCCTTTGGTTTTCATGGCCCCTACCATTGTCAGGTTCCTCTAGTTAGAATTTGTGTGAGCAGTCGAATTTGACAGGTGATGATCATCTGGGTTACAGAAAGGAAGCACGTCAAAGGGTTTGCTATAATGACAAGAAATTACAGAGCCGCAATATTCAGTGTGATGCAGCACAAAATCCTCTCCCTGAGAGCTGAAACTGTGTATCAAGCCAAAGCAGTGTTGGTCTGTATGGAGCGGTCACCGGCTACCTTTAGTGATAACGTTGCTAGGATATGAAACTCCAAATGCACTGTTAGTGTGAAAATGGGATTTTTATATTTGAAAAAAAAAAAGAGGTTGGGGGAGAAAGGAAGAATAAGGAAAAAAGAAAGAAAAGAAAAGTCAGGAAAACAGTCAGTCCCTGGTGCTTTTCCTGGGCATTAGAGGCACAGGGATGACATCACCAGCAGCCTATCAGGGCTCTCCAGCTTTGTTCAGGTTCTGAAGCCATGTCATCATCGCCGCTGTAGCCCAGAAATGAAAATAGAACCATCTCTAAATATACAACAATGAGAGTCAAGCACTGCTTTAAAAGGATGAGAGAACCAAGAAAAACTCCTTAAATCCTTAAATCATAGAGTCTTCCTTTCATAAAGAAACTAGAATTTGCCTTCTGGAGCCACTAACCCCAGTATTTATTTTAGTCTGCTTGAGACTTTACAAACTGGCAGTTAAAGCTAATTAAAACATGACTGACACCACCATCATTCCAGTTTGCTCCTGGATGTGGGACAGAGGCAGGTAGACTCTTCCCTAACAGGCAGCAGCAGGATTATGGCCACAGTGTCAAAGGGACAGTTTATTTGGTTTGGATATGGGGACATAGGACTCCCCAGAAAGGTGGGCAAGTGGCTGTTATTGTTAGTAGGTTTCACTTAGCTAAAAGCACAGTTTACAGTTGCTGAAGTTTGATTGATCTGTTGATAAACACTAATGTTTTCCAGTTGACAATTTCTCCATGTTAATTTCTTTAACGCTGGCAGACCTGCCTGGAAGGGACCTATAAATAGTATCAGTGTCATCATCCTTTTTAAGTTAATAATGAGCCATCGTGTTTCAAGGGGCTGGGATTTGGGGACAGGTTGTGCTTGACTGCAGTTTCTGACACTGATACGTTAGCATTTGGAACTTGGTTGAGATGAGAACATGTTTCTTAAAAAATTACAGCAGTGGCCAAATGCATCCATAATAAAAGAGAGCTGTTCATAATTAGTGACTAATTAAACTTTGGAGAGAGGAATAAAGTGCCAAGCACCTCCGTGAAGCATGTCCTTGATGCCGAGGCATTAGTACTGTCCCCACCTCAACTGCAGCTGCCCTTCGCTTTCTTTGCTCCCTCTCTCTACACATACCCTGTTATCACTGAGATAAATGAATGCCTGACTCTGGGAATCAGCTTCGGCCCAGACTGTTCTGTCTGCCAACTGGTGACAGGGGACCAGAGCAGACTTCTCCAATTAGCAGGTCCCCCCCATCAGGCAGCTGGATGCAGTGTGTGTATGTTTGTGGAAGCACATTGCAGCAGCTCAGCCTCTGATTGAGGTCTCCTGAACTGATGAATATGAGCCTAAAAGCAAGACAGACAAATGGGTAAAGTAGCACAACACCTTTTGAAGACATTCTCTCAGTCCAGCTCTCCCCCAACTTGAAGGTGGTTCAAATGAACACCAAAGGCATCATACAATAATGATGATAGTGATGACTGACATCACGCCATCAGGAATCCTAACTAGGTGCATAGCTTCTAAACGGGCATCAATATGAATGGGACACCTTCCCAAGCTGGGTTTGTTATAACAACTCAGGTATTTCTCTAATCTTGAGTTCTCACACTGCACAGAGATGACCTAAGACCAGGATTTTCCGGGCCAGGATTTTCTATTTAGATGCTTGTCCCTCTCATCATTCTATTTTCCTTCACTTTTATTACAATAACTAATTCCTCATTACATTTAACTATTTCCTTCAGGAGCTGCTTTTGGATTCCCAACTCATGACCGAATACATCACTATTCTGATATCAGAAGTTTCTATATGTATTTTCAAAAAAATAATTTAGTAAATATGTTTTCATGCAACGTAACACATTCAGAAAATCTTTCTCAGGTAGCCAGATTTTAAGAAATGCAACTTTAAGCATACCAGGGCTGATGGTCTGGTATGTTAACCCCAATATATGAGGTCTGACAACTTGGGAGCATAGAAATACAGAAAACAGCTAAAACATTTACTGTCCACTAAGGACATTTAGCTCAGCTGAACCAACAAACAAAAACAAAACAAAAAACAAACAAACAAAAAAACAGGCTTTCAGTTTCTCTGCTGGGTCTATCTATTTCTATTCTTTAGTAAGAGATCTTAGAAAAGAAAGACAACTTAGGACAAAAGGCAAAGCTGATAAATCATTTTTTTTTCTATAATAAGCTAATTGTCTATGACTCAAAGAGCATTATAGAAAATTTGACTTGGTACCTTTCTGCAAATCAACAACTTCCTGTACATAATTATTAGATGTAAACTGGCAACAAAGAAACAAATGTCTGATTTCAATAATCTTAGTTATATTTAGAAGCATTGCAACATATTTTTGAAAATTAAGGTCACTTATATGCTCACAGTTATAATGAGAAATGGTTTCATGAAACCGAAATTTGTTTCCTTATGTCAGAAGATAATTTGAGATATTTAAGGAATAAGTTCAAATTAGTAGATTCAAGCATCACGTAATAGAAGGCTTGATCAAAGTTGAGATATGATTATAAGACAATAGCAGTTTGGAAAAGGAGGGGAAGTTAAGGGGGAGCAATTGTGTTCATTTTCTTTGGGTGGATTCTAAGGTGGCTGTAAAGGCAACTCAACAATAAGAATTACCAGACTGGTGACAGAGTTACTGGAACACTTACATGTCCTCCCTCAGAAACTAGTGTAGAGGACATATACTCCAGTGAGCTTGTTTAAAGGAAAACCAGAAAGATTATCAGATAGCCACTGTTTATTCCTTTCACCCCACTACCAGGCAATCGACCAATGCAATCACTGGCAGCTAAGAGGCAGTGGAGGTGACTGAAGAAATTGTGGGAAAATAAAGAAAAGTCAAGTGGTTATATTTACTCAGTCCAAAAATTCTGTCGAATAACACAGTTTCATACAGGAATTCCATAAAATCCCAGAAAAGTTGGGGAAAAGAAAGGACATGTTGCCATAATTAGAGTGACAAAGAACAATGTGGAAAGTGAATGTTAGGCAAAGCATGTGACTGAGAATCCAGAGACATGGTGACTTACCAAAATCATATTTTGTGGGCTTTCTTGTGCTTATCTTCAAAATGAGAGATATTTAACTTGATAATCTCTTAGCATTGATGGCCTTGATATTGTATTATTTTGTGTTTTACTAAGTTGTGTGTATATCTTTGTGTCTACATGTACATGTATACACAGTTTTGTATATAACAATTTAAATTGCACCATATATACATACATATGCAAATATATAATATATAATGTATATTTTATGTGGGTATATATGCACATGTATGTATTATATATTTTATGTGGATATATATTAAAAATGCATGGCCAATCTGGTAGAATATTCTCTCTCTAAAATCTTAGTACAGCCACCCAGTCACAGCAGCTATCTACTTCTGTATTATTGTAGTATTAATATGTCTTAAGACAATCTCCAAAGGAAGGTCATACATTCAATTGCAGAATACATTTTACCACCCCCAAAGTCTTTCAAAATTTTATTCAGATATCTTTCCTCAGATGTGGAATAACTAAGGACAATTGTAAACGATTGAAACAAGCAAGGAAAAAATATGTTTTAGGTAGTTTTAGTCTATCACTGCAAATTCTGTGACTCAAAGTAACATTATTAGTGAAACAGAACTTAGGTGTTTTTTTGGTGAGGGGGGTTGTTCAGTAGTAATCTCTCTTGGCCTTGATTTAAGGAAGACTCCTCTTTTGCTCAACGAAATAGCAAAGAGTGTTATACAGAGGCTTTGATGTTTTCCACTGTCTTCCCTGAAGCACTCACCAGCAACTTTAAGTCAACAATCATCATACTCTTGGTACTGGAGATAGCAGATGAATTTTTTTCCCTAGTAGTTTAATTTTTGGATAAAAGGGGACAAGTTCCAGAAAATAAATGTCACTAGGGTCTTGAATTTTGTCTTGCTATACATGCTCTCTGTATGTAGGCTTTGATCATCATTCATTTAGGCTGTTTTTTTTCCACCAGGTTTTTGAAAAGATATGTCATGCATGCCTGAGCTAACAAACATATCTGTGTTTTCCAATATGTATACTGCTTGCTGTCCCAATGTTCTTTGCTCACTGTGTGCAATAGCCATCACACAGGCTACATTTCAGGGTGAGCAGAACATAAGGCCTCCAACATAGGCCTCCTTGTCCATGAGAGCAGGAATGTTCTGTTTCCTCCTTGCAGCAGGGATACAGTACACAGATCCTTCCTCACCTACTAAAGTCATTGCATAGTCATCTCATTCTCTTCCTGCCTAAAATACCCCTAACACATGAACCTTTTACTTCAGATGCTTACTGCTCTGTCCTACAGACCATTTATAAATTGACAATGGCAAACAGTGGCTCTTGATGCACATAATAAAACAATGATTATATCATCAAAGAATTACGCAGTTATAGTCATGTAACTGCCCTGATTGAAGTAGAAGCAGGGCGTAGCAGAGAGTTAGAACAGTTGTTCCATAAATGTTAAGTAACATACATATACATATATATGTATTAAACTGTTTTAAAATGAGAAAATACTTTCCAAGGAAGAATTGAAAAAGAGACAAAAAGAGAGTTTCTAAATAACACTTCATTGTTCAGAAATTCAGTCTCTTAGTCTGTTTCAACTTCAAGATCAAGGTACCAAAAGATGTGATGTCTAGTGAGGGCTCTTTGCTTCATAGGTGATGTCATTTTTCTGCATCCTCACATGACAAAAGGGATGAACAAGCTCTCCCAGGCCTCTTTTATGAGGGGACAAATCCCATTCATGAGAGCCAAAAGCACGTGACTCAATCACCTCCCAAAGGCCCCACCTCGTAACTACCATCACCTTTGGGATTAGGTTTCAACGTATGAATTTTGAGGGGCACAAACATTCAGACCACAGCATTCAGTACATCTCTTTTAACTCAAATCTTATAGTATTTTGGTATTTAACTCTAATCCGAATTAACCTGTCTGTGTTATTATCATTATAAATAGATATTTGTTAAGTATCTACTAGATAAGTTGTTTTTGGAAGTTACAAATATAGGCAAAACATACTTTGTTTACAAGTTTGAGTGGCATTCTATCGTGTAGCAAAGAAAAGGTCTCCAGAAATTTTACCTAAATTTAGAAAAAAGGTTCATGGTGAGTTCATTTATAGAATGATTGGCTAATTCCAATGCCTTGTTTCAGCTATTAAGTCCTCTACACAGACTTTAGTGATGTTCTAATGAATACTCTGCCAGGATTTCAGTGTAATGAGATTTATGTTAAAACCTTATAAGGAGAGTCCTACAAAGAAAGATCACTACCATTTGTTCTTATTCTGTGTCTAGAAGGACACAAAGAAAGAGGTCCCCTGATTTCTCATCTAGTAATTTTTCTGTGATTATGGCACATTGGCTTGTGTAGATACTGGTTATAAAACTCACCAAGTTTCAAGTGTCATCAGTGTATTATGGAAAATGGTTGGCTAGTAGACACTGTTGTGTGTTATTGCCTCTTCCATCCTATGAGTGGCATATATTTAGAGAGACACTGCCAGTGCCTCAAGGTAAACACAGTTTTAAAACACTTCACTCCAAAATACAAACTTCATGTTCCCTCAAGCTAAAGCCTTCCTGGAATATTCTATACTTTATTGATTTCTCTCTTTTCTGAGCTCCCAAAGGTCTTAAAGTCTGTATTGTCCCCATTAAGAATGCTTTCACATACCATCTTGTACTATTAACTAATTGTTTCAAGTGTGTTGGCCTTGTTCAATTTGATGATTCGTGCCTCTTGGGTACTAACCTTTTCCTCTTTTTACCATCCGCTACCACCAAAATTCTAGGAAAGTAATTGACAGAAATAGCCTTTTGAATTGTTGGTTAATTGAGCAACATACTGAAATCAACTAATTATTTCTTAAACTTGGGTTATGCTTCTGGTTTGGATTGAATTTCAATAAGAAAATGGTATAATAGTCAAGAATCAAGAATTTAAAGTGGTACCTCAGATGTTAGCTAGCTTCTAGACAGCCTATTTTCAAAGAACACTAAATTGTTTTAAGAGAATGACTTTTTCTTCTCAGAAAAATCTGAGAACATGAGCATAATTAGGGGAATTATACAAGGCTCAGGAGCTTGCTATTGAAGAAAACTATGCATTTCGACCCAAGTAACCAGGTTCAGTGTTTACCTCCATCCAAAAAAAGGGGAAAAAAAACCACAAAAACCTTGGAAATATTCAACTTTTCAAAGTCAAGAAAGATAGAGGTAAGCTACAGTATCTGCATATACATACATGAGTGTTTGTGGTTCTGCATTAGCAGCATAGTGGAAATGGTATGTATTAAGTCTTAAGCAAGCATCGGGAGACGAGTGAGAAAAATCTTAATCACATGAGGATCTTAAAGAACAAACATTAAATAAAGAGGAAGTTTATAGAAGCATGGCAGGAGTTAAGGGGTTCAGCAAGGCATATTGAATCATCCAGAGACAAACTGTTGGAAGCTGATACTATTTCTACACCTAAGATACAGAGAGAGAAAACAATGTTACTGGAACCCAAGAGGACTGGAACCATGGAGAATGAGCTGCCCAGAACAAAACTTCAGTAATGGATAGAGACAGCCAGAGATGGTGTTCTGATGCAGACAGCAACAGGAAAGGGACCTGTCCCTCCTTCTGTCTTTTGATGTCCTATTTGTGCCTCCAGTGTACTTAACTAGAATTCCATGAGTATAACAGTGAGAAGTTATAGTCCTTAGGGTCAATCCTTCTGGCCACAGAGGAAGTCCAAACAATATGGATAATAGATAGGGGGCCAGGAAGATGGAGAAAAACCAGTACAGTGTACTCCTTTTGTCCTTCAGCTTTTGCCCTTGTCCTTGGTATAGACAATAAAATTCTCCTTTTAAATACAGGGCAAAAAGAAAGTCCTGGCAGCCACTGTGTATCATCTCAGTGTTTGTCTACTTAAGCCTACTTCTAAATTGTTCGTAATTAGTAATGTAAGGTACCACCGGCATGCTTCATACAAGGTAGAAAGGAAGAAAAGAAGCAAGAAAAAAAACCAAGATCAATTAGCATAAACTAAGCATTAATACTTCTCTCCGACTCTTTAACTTTTCGTAAGGCCAAAGCTGATAATCATAACTTCCTTTTCTCGTTATCCATTCTATTAGAATGATCTCACCTGGTCAGGATTGTTTACCTGGTGAGATGACCCAAACCTTTAAGTCATAGGCTCTGAGCCTTTAATGGTCTTGTCTACATTGGTTTGCCAAAGTTTTCCATAGTGGTATTAGGATATTACCAATACCTGCAGTGAATCTTCTGGGTTCAAGGCTTAGCCCCCCTTATCCTTATAGTGGAGCAGCAATCTACTTTCTCATGGGTGTTTGTTGAATGGCTGAGGAACCCAAAATAACCAGAGACACATTTCAGCTAGCAATTAGTGAAATCATGGCCATCGTCTCTAGTGTTTCTGTGTCAATATGGATAGGCTAGGTTATGCTGTGGCAACAAATGACCATGGAATTTCAGTCACTTACAAGGTTGATTTCTCTTTTGTTCTCTATATCTATTACTGGTTGGCTGCACCTCTGTTCCACAGAGATTTCACTTCAGGACCCAGACTGATAAAGCAGCCTCCATCTGAACATTTTTGGTCATGAGACAGAAGAAAAAGAGAAGATGTTGAACCAATCACTGATTTGTAAAACTACTGCTTAGAAGTGATAAGTGATACGTATCTCTTCTAACCACATTTTATAGGCCAAATTAAGTCACATACTAAGCCTGATGTAAATAATTCTCATCCAGGAAAGGACAGATACTTCTTATGAACAATGATACAATCCATCAAGTTCAATTAATCCAAAGTTACTAGAATTAGAAGGAAATTCTTGAATCTGAGTAATCTTGCTGTGGAGGATACAAATTTGATGTATTTGTTGTTTGTTTAAGACCAGTTTCAGAGCCTGTAGGACAGCACCTTGACCTTGCAGGGTGCTGATTCTCAGATGGATTCTTTGACTTTCAAGAATAGATGGATGGCTAAAAGACGGATTGCTTGTGCCTCCTCTTCCTGTAATGCTATCTCCCTATTTAACCTCACAGGTTCATTTTCTACACTTCTTTTTCTTGTTCTGTGGCCCAGGAGACTAATAATTTCTATGGCTTTCTTTGTATTGCTTTCTTTGTGTTAGATTTGGCCAGTGGAAAGCACTAGTGCAAAATCAGCAGGCAAAAGAGAGAGGGAGAGAGCTGGGGCTACTCTTTCCAAGCTTTTATTCTCCTTTGACATCTGACAGTGACTTTATTCTCTTCAAGCAGATGTGAAGCCCTTTGGGTGCAATGTCTGTGCCATATACATTTTCTACACCTTCTTTATAACTATATGCAGCCTGATGCAGTGTTTCTAGTCTGTCCAAATTCATGAAGGCTATGACTGCTGAAAAATTGCTTGTAGAAACCTGTTTGTCATCAAAACTGCAATGAGATACCATCTCATACAAGTCAGAATGTCTATTATTAAAAAGTCAAGAAATAACAGATGCTGGTGAGGTTGTTTAGAAAAAGAATGCTTTTACAAAGTTGGTGGGAGTATAAATTATTTCGACTATCGTGGAAGACAGGGTGGCAATTCCTCAAAGACCTAGAGGCAGAAATACCATTTGACCCAGCAATCCCATTACTGGGTATATACCCAAAGGAATACAGATCTTTCTATTATAAAGACACATGCACACGTGTGTTCATTGTAGCACTATTCACAATAGCAAAGACATAGAATCAACCTAAATGTCCATCAGTGATAGACTGGATAAAGAAATGGTGGCACATATACACCATGGAATACTATGCAGCCATAAAAAGAAACGAGATCACGTCCTTTGTAAGGACATGGGTGGAGCTGCAGGCCATTATCCTTAGCAAACTAACACAGAAACAGAAATCCAAATACCACCTGTTCTCACTTATAAGTGGGAGCTAAATTATGAGAACACATGGCCACACAGGGGGAAAGAACAGACACTGGGGCCTGTCCGAGGGTTGGGAGTGGGAGGAGGGAGAGAATCAGGAAGAATAGCTAATGGATGTGGGGATTAATACAGGGTGTTGGGATGATCTGTGCAGCAACCACCATGCACAGGTTTACTTAAGTAACAAACCTGTATGTCCTGCACATATACCTCCGAACTTAAAATAAAAGTTGAAAATTTTAAAAAAGAAACCTGTTTGCCTGTGAAAGAAGAAAAGAAGTTTTTTGTTTTTGGTGAAGTGCCATATTTCCATATTCATAGCATAACATTCATAACATGGTATTATTCTTATATCCTCAGCAGGATACCTGTATTTTCACTCCTTGAACATTGTTATCCATATGTAATAAATTTCCAGGAATGGAACTAGTCCATTAGTATTATTTTTTTACTCAGTCAATAAAATTACTGCACATGATTCAGGAACATCTTGTTCTTAGGAGAACCGTTGCCTTTCTTGATTTTGGTATATCTAACTTTTACTTTTATCTTTCTATCATAATTGTATCATATAGTATCATAAAATTTGCTTCTTGAAAAATATTTTTTATGAGGTATGTTTGCTGTAGAAAGCAACTATCACCTTAGAATTTTTATAGAGAACTTATGCATATTTTTTAGAGTTTGAAAAACTCAAAACTTTCTATCTTACTAGTTACTACTACAAGTGTTAATTTTCTGATAAAACAAAGGTTCCTTAGGGGAACAGGACTCAAATAGTTGTGTGGGAAGGGGGTAGATTGGGAGCATGTGTTTGGGAGAAGAAAAGCAAAGGAATAAAGAAAGAGTAGGAGGAGATAAGGACCTGATTAATGCTTACTACCCTATTTTGGTGTGGATGATCTTAATTAGAAACATCCATTATCTAGGTAGAACTCTTTGTCTGTGGTGGGCAGCCCTCAACATTTCTAAACACATTCATGTCAGATCATTCTATGAAGGAGGACAGATTTGATGCAGCATCTCTAACTGCTTTTATTGAAGTGTGTAGCTTAGTATTGCCTCTACACGTGTATTTTCTTCAACTTTAATGCCACCTGCTCTTCTCTTCAAGAATGCTTCCCTTCTACCTCTTTACTATTAACAATTCTCATTATTTTTAAGACCTTTTCCCATGCTATCCTCTCCAATGAGCCTTTCCAATTTACCTCTGTCCTGATTAATCTCTCCTCTAAACTGCAAGACCTATTGCTCATAGGTCTCCCTGGCTAATTAATCATATACTATTATATTGCTCATGCTGTTTCCCATCTTATTTTTCAACTTTCCAGTCATACATATTATCTTTCTACCTAACAGAGGTGTTGAGAAAGTAATTTTACAATCCCAATTCAGTGGAGTGCCCTGGAGACTCTATGATACTTATGTTGGTAAGACACTACTTGGTTGAACCAGTGTGGCAGCCCCACCTGTGAACAGAATTGCTTGTAGCTCTTCATGATTTAGGGTATGAAGATTGCCCTGTAGTTTGAATTTTAAAGTGAAAAATGCTTTTGATGTAATAATTCACTCCCTATTTGCTAAGACTGATGGAGAGAAAGAAAACACTTTTATGTAACAAAGAATATCAAAGTGATGATTGGAGGTTTAGTGATGCCATATAAAGGGAGTACCACCAGATGGAACCTAGTATTTTAAAGAAAGCTGGAGTTAAGACAGGGTGGTACCTACATCACTGAGAAATGCAAAACAGCTCTCTAGGGCTTCCTAGATTTCCTGTGGCCCTTTACAAGGAGTTTGCTTGCTGGCCTTTTAACGCAGAACTATTCAGGGAGTAATAGAATTATAGAGTAGGAAAAACCTAAGGTTTGTGATTGAAAGACATCAATCAATTAGCATCCTATATTCTAAATGCTGGCAGACATGAGTGTGGATATTAAGGGTCAAAAACAGAATGAGAAAATAACCCTGAACTGCAGAGAAATATAAGGCAATTTGGGACAAATCCAAGGAATATGATTTTTGATCGGTAAATAAGCCTTACTGGGAGAAATATTACACACAAAACACACATATAAACAATGGTCCTTGAATTGTTTAATTATCATCAAAATGCTTATCTCACATAGGGCACATATATAAATCTATAAATTATTTAGCAAAAGTTCAATAATGTGCGTTAATATTTATAATGATTATCTGCCATGTAATAACTGTTCCCTAGTCACACATTAAACATTTGCTTTGTTTCAGCCCTTAATGATCTTTGTAAGCCTCACACCAGGGCCACACACTGAGTCACATAAAAGGAGAACTCAGGCTCCCTCTTGCTGTTCACAGCCTTAGTTCTGAACTGTTGGTCTTGACCCATTTTTTTGGGGCCCCTGTCAGCTTGCTTTTGATCATCCCAGCCTCAGCACTCATTGCTCATTCTCTCCACTCTAGCACCACATTGCTTCTCTCTTTATTCTTGATGTGTTGCACTATCTTTCCAAGTTCTCCCCCAAGTAGTACTAACTCCACTGCCACAGGTAAATACTCCTCCCGTTCGAACCAGGTTCCTGGACCCCCTGGCTCAGTGCTGTTCCCTCCAGGCTCCTGTAACTCTTCTGCTCCCTCCCCCCAGGTAGCATAACTTTTCAGCTTATCTATGCTTCACTATGAACACCAGGAATGTCAGTAAAGAGCATACAACTCTCTGTTTCCCTGTGATGAAGGGCAGTGTCCATTCTTACTTGTACCAACCATAGTACATATCAAAAGGATGGAGGCACATTAAGAGCCCGAAACAGGTTTTATAATTTATTTGCAGACTAGACAAACCTCAAGAAGATAGGGCAAATGGAGTTGTAGAATGGAAGGTGAGTGAAAAAGCAAACTTCGGATTTTCCACGTTCACATCAATATAGGCTTGTGTTAATTATTAGCAAATGGCTTCTAGCTATGAGAATGAATCAGTGATGGCAGACAATGAAGAAGGAGAGAAGCTGTAGCATGTTACCATAGGTTCAGCATGTCCCAGGTAGTCTTGGCCAATGGCCAAGCTCCTCTCTTTATCTTAAGTAGTGGAGCCATGTCCAAGCATCACAGCCTCTTTGCTCAACTCTGCTATTCCTGTGTTGAATCCACCTACTTATCAGCCATTACAGAAGAGATCCTATTAAGTTCCTCAGCACTAGTTTGCTGTTCTAAAGATAATTTTGTTCAGCAGCCAGGTTGGAGAAGAAGTTGTCAGTTATCCTACAATTTAATTATTATTATTATTATTTTACCTAAGATAGGTTTGCAACTCTTATAACATTTTTCATAGTCAAATTCTTCACCATTGTGTCATTTTAAGCCTAGAAGAGGAAGAGGGAAAAATCAAAAAAATTCATGAAGGTTTGGGCAGGGGGAAATTAAAGACACAGGAAGATTGAGACATGAGTACTTTTCTGCCAAGAGCAGCATTGAAATTTGTCATCTGTAAAGATTTGTGAAATACTCAGCTAAGTAGTGTAATAATCTTAGTCCACAAACTCAGCAGTATGGAAAGAATGCATTTATCACCCTAAAATTCAAGTTAATAAGAATCCCAAGTCACCATTTGTAATGCTGGTGGGAAATTTAACCTCAGTCATAGTGGGAGCTTTCTGCCCTAGGAACCCATTACATGTTGCATATTATACAGCTGATTTCTGGTTTTTGATCATTTGTCCATTCAAATTCTTACCTAGTTTCAATGCTATACGGAATCACGAAAGAGCATCAAGATTTCTTTCTTTTTTTTTTTTTTTTCTTATTTAGGTAACTTAGAGATGAATAAGGATATGCTTCGGAGTTAGTCCATTCTTGTGTTGATAAAAAGGAATATCTGAAACTAGGTAATTTATAAAGAAATGATGTTTATTTTGACTCACAGTTCTATAGGATGTATAAGCACGGCTCCAGCATCTGCGTCTGGTGAGGGCATCAGGAAGCTTACAATCATGGTGGAAAGCAAAGGGGAAGCCAGTGTATCACCTGGTGAAAGCAGAAGCAAGAGAGAGAGTGGGGAGGTGCCATGCTCTTTCAAACAACCAGATCTCTTGTGAAGTCAGAGCAAGAACTAACTCATTAAAGCAAGGAAGGCACTAAACCATTCAAGGGGGGGTCCATCCTCATAACACAAACACCTCCAACCAGACCCTACTTTCGACACTAAGGATTACATTTCAACATTATATTTAGAGGGGACAAACCACCAAACCATCTCATCCTCCAAATGTAAAGAATGTCATTTTGGCAATATGTTCAAACATATCATCACCTACTAAATATGACTGTTTTTGTGCTTCTACTTATTTCCAAAATTTTGTAAAGGATTTAGGTAGAAGCTTACAGTCAGAAATCAAGCTATCAAAAGTTTCTAAATCCTGTGATTTGGTCACCCTTGTTAGTTTAACAGGATAAAATAATCATTAACCAAGAATCTACAGCCATTGAGATTTTGGTCATAAATCAAATTAAGATATGTGTTTACATGTAGCAGGAATTTGCTGAAATTGAATTTAGGACATCTATACTCTTGGAAGTAATTTTGATTCTTCTGAAAAATACATATCTTTGCCATTTATTTATATAGTTTATTTCCTTCAAGTGGCGAGATACCTATTTGAGAAGACTACTGATGTCTAAAGATTTAGAATTTCTTCAACATGTTGGAGCTGAGCCATAGTAAGTGTTCAGTAAATACTTGAAAAATAAATTGAGGTCAAAAATATTGTTTTTAAGATATGTGTAGCAGTGAATTGGATTATTATGTCCTAACTCATATTTAACTTATGTATGTATCCTAATTCAAACAAATCCAATGAGAACACATTTGTAAGCCCAACAGTATTATTTCACTGCAGGACTTTTGCTTTCTTTGCCTTCTTACTAAATGCAAATTTCCTCATATTTTAAATGACTCTATATCTTTGAATGTGGAAAAATGCCTTTTAGAGATTTAGGAAAAAAAGACTGCAAATACTTCAAACCACAATATCAAGATATCCAGATGAATCCTTGAAAGAACCAGGGAAAGCAAATATGAACAGTGTTTGGTTTGAAGTTTAGCTTACCTATAACTGTCATAGATAAAAGTGAGAACTCATCCTCTTAGAGAAAGCCCTTTTCTCTAAAACATACCTGATATGATTTGGCTGTGTCCCCGTCCAAATCTCATCTTAAATTGTAATCTGAATTGTAATCCCCATGTGCTGGGGGATGGACCTGGTAGGAGGTGATTGGATCATGTGGGAGCAGTTTCCCCCATGCTGTTCTCATAATAATGAGTGAGTTCTCACAAGATCTGGTTGTTTTTGATAAATGTCTGGCACTTTCCCCTTTTCTCTCTCCCTCTCTCACTCTTTCTCTTTCTCTCTCTCCTGCCACCACGTAACACATGCCTGCTTCCCTTTTGCTTCCACCATGATTGTATGTTTCCTGAGGCCTCTGGAGCCATGCAGAACTGCGAGTCAGTTAAACCTCTTTCCTTTGTAAATTTTCTAGTCTCAGGTAGTGTTTTTATAGCAGTGTGAAAACAAGCTAATGCAGTAACATTCTCGCTCATGAATTTTAATCAGTATGACTCCAAATCATCACACTATAGGACACCTGGAGAATTTAGAGTGTTCGGACTTGGGGGTCTGGGAGTCATTGTCACTACTGATTATATAAGGGAACTATACATATATTGACCACAGGACCCAGGACATCATGTTCTGTTGCAATGTTCTCCTCTGTCCTTGCTAGTGGCAAAGTGTAAAAAGATCCGTTGGTCTTGCATGAGACCTAAAACTTCAGACCAGGAAGCAGGTGAAGTCTTGAAAAGTAGAGAAAAAATGGGGCTAGGCATGAATAAAATCTAGTAAACATCATATAAATTTAACAGGACACATTTTGCAAAGTTTAGTTTGTCCCTACTTCCATATTTTGTAGACTAAGGCTGTGTTCACATTCACTGATCCTCAGAGGAACAGATCGGGTATTTAAAAGCCTTGTGAAAGAGGCTTCTTGAGAACTGGGATTTGCCATGCTAAGATAAGAGATAGATGTATATTAACATAACACATCCACTTCCTCCCCCATCCTAGACCCTCAGAAAGTCTGTGGTAACCTTGAAGGAAGTCAAGTGAAGGACAAACATCAAAGGTGTAAGGAAAAAAATACAACTTGGGGCCGCATTAGCCCACATGGATAGGAGCAGAATGAGAGCTATACTTTTAGGAGAAGAAAATCAGAAATTCAGTTTTCTTTTTCTAAGACAAGAAGGGAAGACAATTACTGTGGACCTGGTTGGCAGGCTTACTTTGAGATACTAATTCACACTGATCCTCACTACTCACATACCCTGAAGGATTTGGGGGGAACAGGATTTTTGCTTGAGGGTAAATCGAAGCCCTGTTTCCTTAATCCCCCCCCAGGGCCACTCCCTGTGGAACTCCTTAATTCTGGATTTGCTTTAGGCATTGCATTCCACCAGTACACAGCCTGGGGCACAGTTCTACTGATAAGCTTTGGGCAGTGGGCTGGAGTGGGAGGAAGACTTCCCATAGGAGGGGTGAGGCAGCAAATAACAGCTCTCCCTAGACCACTATAGAAGCCTGTTGTAAGAGACCTGGATAGACACTTCCTCGAATAACTGTTTAAATGCACTAAGAAGGGTAGAGTTTGGGAGAAGATGAGAATAGTTCTTATTAATTTATTTTGCTGCCTGTCAACCCCCTACCTACCTACAAAATGACTGGCTTTGGCAGTGTCCTCATAGGCTCAATGTGGAGGTTTCTAATCTTCTGGAGGTCATAGACTCCTTTGAGAGTATATCTGAAGCTGTGAATTCTTGGGGATGGGAAGGAGCAAAGGATAAGGGACAGAAGAAAATGTACACAACATTTTGCATTCAGTTTCACTGCATTAATAAAATATTTAAAATCTATTCTTGAATATATTAAATATTCTTGAATGTGAAGTTAAAACTCGTATTCTAGATATACAGAAGCCCATTGATTATGTGCAAATATTTAAAGTAAAACCAATCAATCAACCTATAGGGATTATGGGGCAGTATAATCTGGTGGTTAAGGGTGTGAAGCCAGCTGGAAAAGCAAATGCTTCACAAGGGCTGGGGATCACTCTTTCTTGCACACTTTTATGTGCCTCGCATCCTTGTGCCTATTATCTACCCATCTTTATGAGACCTGCAAGAAAGGAGAAAAACTATTTCATTAAATGTCTTCTGACCTCAAAGAATTTACAAGGTAAAGTGAGGAAAACAATGCCAAAGGACAAATTATATGGTGTAGCAAGAAAATAAGGGACTAGGTACTGAAGGCAGTACAACAAACATGGGCAGAGAGAGGATGTCTCAACTAGGTGGGAAAGATGGAGACTTCAGCAGTGCCTGAGATAGTAAGTAGGATTTTAGGAGATGAGATAAAGCATAAACGTCAGGAAACCATCATGTGGGAAAATGCTAAGGTTGGAAAAATGTAGCCTGCAGAATCATCCTAAGTAAACCAATGAGTACTCACTGCAGGGCAGTGGCAAGTAATCCTGGCAAACTAGAGATACCCTTAAGAGATTCTTACTGTTTGGTTGAACTGATTGCAAAGAATACTCAAAGTTAGCCCAAAGATCTTGAACTTTATCAAAAGCTTCTGAAAGAACTACTTTAGGTTTCCTAAAAGGACCTGCCTATAGTTCAATCTACTATAGCACTCAGGATCAATGGATGATCACAGATCAGGGAAGATATGGCCAAAGGATTTTTTTTTTAAGTGAAACCATGTCTCATTTAAGGCAGGAGCCACAGATACTTGGAAAGTTCAAACAAGAGTATTCAACAAACTTCTTGCGCTTAAAATGATTAATCAGTAATGATATTAATAAGTCTGGTTGTCACTCTGAAAACCTCCATGGAGAGCTCTCACTGGAGAGGAAGGTACATCCTGTAGCCTCACAATTGGGATGAAAATTGGACTCAATAATAGCAGAGGAAAGGAGAAATTAAATGTTATAAGCCTGATAGAAATGAGACAGCATGGGCAATGAGAGTTGAAGAGCAAAAGGAGGAAATTTAATAAGGGTAATGTAATAAGCTCTCTTGTCTGGCAGACACTGAAGGCGATGACTCCCCCACCCAAAGGAGAAAGAATGACAGGGATGTCTAGAGAGACTGATTATTCAAGGAAGTTCACAATGGTGTCCTAGATGAGCTGACTACAATGGCAAAAAATAAAAATAAAAGAAAGAAACCCCACTAGTGCTAGGATACTGATGATACCCACTGATACCGCTCTCCCAGCATCCACTTCACCTGCACTGTAGCTATGGCTCTTTTTAAGTATTTTTAATATCAACTCAGATAAAAAACCAGGTCTGTACTCTTGTCCTATTATGCCATTACTCTTACATATCTATGACTATGTATTTTGAGACAAACTACTTTTATTTAATGCTTTTTTCTCCTTATAAAAACTCTTAGAAGCCTTTAAAGTCAAGAATTCTTGTCTACCTTATATGGATGTGGAAATTGAAAAACAATATGGTAAGTGGGTTATATTATCCCTTTTTGCATTGCTGTAAAGAAATACTCAAGACTGGGTAATTTATAAGAAAAGAGGCTTAATTGGCTCATGGTTCTGCAGGCTGTACAGAAAGCATAGTGGCATCTGCTTCTGGGAAGGACTCAAGGAGCTTTTGCTTATGGTGAAAGGCAAAACAAGAGCAATTAGGTCATATGGTGAAAGCAGGAGCAAGAGAGAGGGTGGGAGGTCCCAAACACTTTTAAACAACCAGATCTTGTGATAACTGACTCACCATCTCCAGGACTGTACCAAGGGGATGGTGCTAAACCATTAATGAGAAATTTGTCCCCATGATCCAATCATCTCCCACTGGGACTCACCTCCAATACTGGGGATTACATGTCAACATCAGACTTGGGCAGGGACATGCATCAAAACTGTATCGTGGGTTTTCTAAGGTTAATAGTGAACTGGAACTCAAGAGCTCCTAGTTCAGAGCTCTGCTAGCACAGCTTTATGTTTTCCGGAAGAGTAGCAAGGGAAGTAGTTAAGTATTCTTTCTCCTCATGTTTTCAGTACAGGTCAGAGAGCAGGGCATTGTGCTGCTAGCTATGTAGAAAAAAGTGCTGTTGGAGTAAAATCTGATTCCAGTATAAAGCTTTACACAGAAGTTTTGCATAACAAAGTCATTCTTGTGTCCCGGGGGAATGGCCTACAGTAATAGTGTTTTGTTGATCTGGTCACAACAAATAATCTACAATTAATAACAGTATACAACAAATGCTTTCTTTCTTAGCTGTCCATAAAACATTCAGTCTCTTAAATAAAAGACTTCTTGGCTTATTGCTTAATTATTATTTAATTATTGCCTTTTAAAAAAGTCATTCAATAGAGGATTGTACACGAGAAGGACACATCTCCAGCTTTGCACCAGCGCAGCTCTCCTGAGTTTAGTTTCTGTTCTCAGGCACTACAAGTTAGTTTTCCTAATCTTTCTCATTTTCCATCTATTCACCATTCAGATGCCACTTTACCAGAAAATAAAATCTATGAAAATCTTAGTTATAACAAACAGCCTTGGAGGTGAGAAGGAAATGAGCAATCGATTATATCAGCAGATATCTTCTCATTTCTGATGTCAATTCAATCACTCTAACTCATTCATTCAATCACTCAAACTTACTCAAACTTCATTCACTTGAATTAATGTTCAAGTGCTGTATAAATAAATGTCTGATGATTTTTTTTGGCTGCAACTTGTGTGAAAGGTAAATATAATTTGGAAAAAAATTACAAGACTAAATAATTTGATTTTTTTGCAGTGTTTGTTATAATAAATTATAATTGATACCTCTTTCCATAGGATACTCTTATTCTGAATTGCAAACTAGGCAGTTAATCCTTTCCCCTTGCATTCCTAGAAATTGTTTTGAATGGCAATTATTAATTTTTCCTTTTTTTTTTTTGAGATAAAATCTGGCTCTATCTTCCAGGATGGAGTGCAGTGGTACCAATTTGGCTTACTGCAACCTTTGCCTTCTGGGCTTAAGCCATCTTCCCGCCTCAGCCTCCTGAGTAGCTGGACTACAGGCATGCACCACCACGCCTGGATAATTCTTAAATATTTTTTTGCAGAGATGGGGTTTCACCATGTTGCCCAGTCTGGTCTCTAACTTGTGAGCTCAAGAGATCCACCCACCTCAGCCTCCCAAAGTGCTGGGATTACAGGCATGAGCCATGGTGCATGGCCTAATTTTTCTTTTTAATCACTTTTCTCTGAAGTGTTCTATCTCTTTGATCTTTGTCTTACATAACTTTATATAAGACAAATATATATGTATACATATATACATGTATATATGACAAATATGCACATATATAGTCTCATACATATGTATGTATTTATTGTCATATTTATCATATACATACATATATAAGTATGTGTGTAATTTTTTATAATTTATTTGGATTAAACTAATGGCAAATATAATATGGCTTGGGAAGAAGGAGATTATAAAATGCTGTCACCTTTAATTCATTGTGGATGTTCTAAATCTGTTTAGATTTGGCTTTAAAAACAAGAGTATTAAAGCTTCCCTATAGAAGTGGTAGTGTTCAAACTCAAAATTAGAACAATCATAATAGTCAAGACTACACTCACCCAGAGTACACATCCTGTACCACATGCTGGGCTAAAAGATTGGCTTATATTACCTTAATGGTTCTTCTTAACATTTGTAGGTGCTCTTATTATTTCAATGTGCAGATTTAAAGAAAATACAGGCTGTGAATAGTTGACTAGAACTAAAGAAAACAAGGATGTAAACCCAGATTTTTTCTACTTTTAGTTGTTTTTAAACATAGGAAAACTCATAGGAAACCTTAGTGGAGATGGGTTAAGAACAATCAAGCTACTACATAACAAATTTTTTAAGAGGCAAATTATGCATTTGCTGAATCAAAACAGACTAGTACAGACCAGATTTGAACTATGAAGTTTTAGATCAGTTTTTCTAATTTTTTTATTATCCTTCCTGCACCATGGAGACTTTTTAGACAACTTTTTTCCTAAAACTAGTTTAGAAAATTTCATGAAATTTTTATGTCACATACACTGTATTTCTATTTATGTAATATTATTTATATATATGTGTGTATATGTACATCTCTATACCCACACATCTGTATCTTTATACATTTAATAATAAAGTACTTTTTTCATCCCTTTTAACAATTTTTTATCCCTGTTGATATTGCAATTTCTAGGGTAATCTAGGTGGCAACGGAAAATAGTCTTATGACCAGCTTCAGTGGCCTGTAACCCAATACTTTAGAAGACCCATTGGGAGGATTCCTTGAAGCCAGGAGTTCGAGAACAGCCTGAGCAATATAGAAAGATGCCAACTCTGCAAAAATAATTCGAAATTAGCTGGACATGGTGAGTGCACTTGCAGTCCCAGCTACTCACAAGGTTGAGACAGGGGGATTGTTTGAGTCCAGGAGTTCAAGGTTGTAGTGAGCTATGATTGCACCACTGCATGCCAGCCTGGATAACAGAGCTAGACCATGTCTCAAACAAAACAAAACAAAACAAAACAAAAAATATTAAAAAATGTAGGGCCCAAAGTAACAAAGTAATAACAAAAATATCTTCATATTTTTATATCTTTATCCACCTTTTAACTGTGACTGAAGGGTTGCTGATACTTAAAAAAACTACATAAAATTTAACCAATGTATAGATTTTTGCTTTCTTTTAAAACACATGTAATTGACTATTTGCTACTTGGCTTCATTTTCCATGTATTAAAAGATAAATAAAACACTTGCTAGTACTAAATATACTTAGGTAAATGCTACTGTTGAACTCTGACAGTTAGTTGAAGTAAAGGCTCAATTTATTAACAGGTTTTCATGTATTAGCAGAAAAAAAAAAAGATGTAAAAATAAGGGTCCTAAGTGTAAAACCACCACTAGCTAAACAAAAAAGTTTAGATGTGAACATAAATTACATACACAAAAGCCTAAACTCTTCGATATTGACTTGCCAGAGATTAATGTATTTCATATTTTTCATATATTTATTTTTATTGCTTTGATAATTTCAGCTTCTAAAAGTTCTCACTATTACTTTCTTTACAGTTTTAATGTATTTCTCAGTTGTATTATCTTCACTTCCCTAAAACTTGCAACATTTATAAAAATCATAATTTTTCATCCTGAGAATTTGAAGTTTACATTTTTTAAGTTTATTTTTTAAGGTACAACTTCATGATTTATTTGATCACTTTCTTCATTCTGTAACAAGTGCGCTACTCTGCAGTTGCTCTTCATTCATTTATACATATTTTTAGTACTCCTACCATATGACAATGATATCCCAGGCCAGGGAACAGAAGAATACACAAGTTAGGTGAGGTCCCTGAACAAGTTAGAGTTGGAGAACGCAAATAAATTATTCTCATGCATGTATTTTAGATGACACATGGCTTTTGAAATGAAGCTACTCTTCTCTCTCTTTCTATATGACCTTTAAAAATCCATTTAACTTGTCCCCAATTCAGCTTCCTCCTATGTTAAATCCTTTTACTACTAGGGTCAATTAATAACAATGGTTATTATTATTGTTAAACAGTAATAATAAAACAAGAGCAGCTAACATTTATGAGATATATGCTACATGCTTGGTGCTATACTCATTTAAGCAACCCAAGAATTCTGAAGCTATACACAATGATTATCTAAATTTTACAGATGAAGCCAAAGCAAAGACGATGTATTCCTCTTGAAAGGGAAAGAGGTAGGAAAGAGAAGATAAGATTTGAACACAGTTGAGTTTAGAGCCCTTGCTCTTAACCATTACACCATGTAGGCTGAATTGGATGTTCCCTAAGGTTCCTACAAACTTAAGTCGTCTCTGGTTCTGTAATTTTTCATTATTCATTTATGTTGGCTCAGCACTACAGAATACCGTCTTTCATTTAATAATGGTGAGAACGAAGACTTTTCTTCAATGAATACACAAGGTAGGGAACAGGAATGCAAGAAACTCACACAGGAGATACTTTTTAAATATGTTTTTATAATCATACAAAGTGTGATTTTTTTTATTGCTTTTTAAAAAACTGCTTCTGCTTTCCAAGTGTTTCTCATTGCATTAATCCAACATAATTGGCCATTACCCATCACCAAAACTTGGGAGGCATATGTGTATATATATATAATATATATAAAAATATATATAATATATATATTATATATATGATATATATGAAATATATATATTATATATATATTATATATAATATATATTATATATATTTTATATATTAATATAATATATATTATATATATTATATATATTTTACATATTATATTAATATATAAAATATATATTACATTATATATTTTATATATTATATTAATATATAAAATATATATTACATTATATATTTTATATATTATATTAATATATAAAATATATATTACATTATATATTTTATATATAACATATATTTGTATATAAATATGTATTATATATTAATATATAAAATATATATTATATATTTTTGACATATTAGCAGAAAAAAAGATGTAAAAATGAGGGTCCTAAGTGTAAAACCACCACTAGCTAAACAAAATAGTTTAAATGTGAATGTAAATTACATACACAAAAGCCTAAACTCTTCGATATTGACTTGCCAGAGATTAATATACTTCATATTTTTCATATATTTATTTTTATTTCTTTGATAATTTCAGCTTCTAAAAGTTAAAATATATATTTATATATTATATGTATAATATATATTAATATATATTCATATATTATACATATAATGTATAATATATTATTAATATATATTATATATTATACAATATATGTATAATATATTATTAATACATATTATATATTATACATATATTGTATAATATATTATTAATATATATTATATATTATACATATAATGTATAATATATTATTAATATATATTATATATTATACATATAATGTATAATATATCATTAATATATATTATATATTATACATATAATGTATAATATATTATTAATATATATTATATATTATACATATAATGTATAATATATATTAATATATATTATATATTATACATATAATGTATAATATATTATTAATATATATTATATATTATACATATAATGTATAATATATTATTAATATATATTATATATTATACATATAATATATAATATATATTTATATATAAATATATGTAAATATATGTATAGCCTTTAAAATTAAGCAAAATCTGTTATTGGTCTCTGCATATTTAACCAATATATAGACTTTTGCTTAGTTTTAAAGGATATATATATGTCTTCTTCCAAATTAAATTTATATTTAACATATATATATACTTTTGCTTAATTTTAAAGTAGACGTAATTGACTATTTGCCATTTGGCTTAATTTTTATTGTTTTAAAAAGATAAAACACTCGCTAGTACTAAATTCACTTAGGTATATGCTATTGTTCAATTCTCACAGTTACTTGAAGTAAAGGCACAATCTTTAATAGGAGATAAATATATATATATATATATACATATATATGTACCTGCTAAGTAAGAAAAGTTAAGCTAATGATTTGAATAGGCACTAAGTCTGAATTCCCTTTTATTGTCTTCCAAGATTTCATATAAATAGATTTCCTGTCTTCTTCTGAATTGACTGTTTAATACTTGGTTTGATGTCAGGAAGACGCCATAGTCTCTGCCTTCTCAAGGCTTCTGGTCTAAAATACATCCCACTGGTATAAGAGAATCATATGTAGGCATAAAGCATTTTCTGTCTTAATAAAAGGAGCTCCACATTACTCAATTAATAAAGTAGATTTATTGAATGTCTACCATATTACCTGCTCTATGCAGTAATATATATATATATATATATACATATATATATATATATATATATATATAGAGAGAGAGAGAGAGAGAGAGAGAGAGAGAGAGAAATAACCACCAAGACAGCAGACATTCTTCACAGAGCAACAAATAGACAAATGTAAGGAAAAGCAGCAGCTGAAGAGGATGCAAAAATAGGAAACAAATTCTGTATTAACATGGATAAAAATTTGGAAGGATATTTATTTTGGACAGATATTGAGTCTTGGTGCAATAGCTCACTTATAAACATAGAAGCTCCTTGTGTTGTCTAATTGGTGGCTGAAAAGTTAAGCTAAAGATTTGAATAGGCACTAAGTCTGAAGTTCTCTTTTATTGTCTTCCAAAATTTCATATAAATAGATTTTCTGTCTTCTTCTGAACTGACTAAATTTTATACTTGATTTGATGTCAGGAAGACCCCATAGTCTCTGCCTTCTCAGGACTTGTGGTCTAAAATACATCTCATTGGTATAAGAGAATCATATCTGGGCACAAAGCATCTTTTCTGTCTCAATAAAAGGAACTCCATGTCACTAAATTAATAAAGTAGGCATATTGAATATCTACCATATTACCTTCTCTATGCAGTATAAAATGTCAAGAATCTTTTGTGGGATGCAATGAAATATTATTTGCCTTTGAAGATAAGGCAGTTCTCTTCTAGCAAAGTCTCTTCTCTTTGCCAGTTCTCTTTTTGGCAATGTCTACTTTTTGCATATGGCATGTGCTACAAAGAAGTGAGCTGTGCTTTTTTTTTTAACCAACCTGAGACAAAGCCAGAACACAACACATTTAGATCTGTGTAAACTTCCCTGCTCCTGCTTCTTCATTGAGGAATGATACACTCATCTGGAATGAACTACTCTAATTCCAAACTCTTCAAACTAACCACTAGATGATAACCACTCACAACAGATATTGACTTTCAATGCCGAAGTATTCATTTTATGTGTAAAATATTTCATAGCGTTCCAGTCACATCACTGGATGTTATTCCAGAAAGCATCTGTCTAAACCACTAACCGGGTTTTCTTAAACAAACTGCATTAGGCATTCCTTACTTGGCCTTGCAAATTTATTAAACAAAGAATGCAAGACTTGAAATGCTTGTGTATCAACATCAATGATAGTATCTACTGGTGCAATGGCTCGTCCTTATAATCCCAGCACTTTAGGAGGCTGAGGCAAAATAATCACATGCGCCCAGTAGCTCAAGACCAGCCTGGGCAACATAGCCAGCTCCTGTTTCTACAAAAAATAAAATAAAGATTCCATAAACAATAGTATCAAATATACAAGATATGATAAGGCCAATAGTAGAGGGCTCTTTTCTTCTGAGATTGGTAGGGATTTCATGAAGAAACGTAAGTTTCCAAAAGTTGCTGTTTTCAATACCTAGAACAGGATCTTTGGTTAAATAAGCCTGGAAAATAATACATCTTTTATATCCCTCTTATAAACTTATAACACATTCTATCATATTAAAGCTTAGAGGTTCTGTGCAATCCTATAGTAAAGGAACCTACTTCATCAGGTTTAAGACAAAATTTTCTTCATGAATTTGTTTGTTTGTTTGTTTTGTCCTTGTAACACATAATATCAACAAAGAGAATTAATGCCCCATAGAACTCTAGGACATGAGAACATCATAGGAGCAACCGGGATTGAGAGTTGGAAGACTAACTCCTGCCCTAAAATGAGCTCTGTGACCTTGGGCACAATTTCTCCCCTCATACTCAGTTTACTATTTTTCAAATTCAGGTGAAAGTATCCATCATGTCCAGTAAGATATAGGATTTGCATAAGAACAAGTGCTGAATGTCTGTGAAAAACTTCACATTAAAGTTGAAGAGTAATATATATATACTCCCTCTCTATATATACATATGATAAAGCAAACAATGTCTTTGTAAGTAATATATATATATTAAGTACTATATATATATATAGTACTTTATATCTCCTGGTCTTGGCTTTAGCTCAATTCTAAATATACCACTGAAGATTTATTCTGTTGCTTGTAACCCTCATCTTCATAGCAAAACATTTACTAAAATAACAGTTTACAGCTGCCTGTGTCCTACAGACTGCATTAAATAAGTTAGCCAAGATCTGTTCTGTTTTTTGCAAAATTTAGACTATTATTGATGTAAATAAATCCAGAGGCATAAACTGAATGTATATTTACTTAAACATTATACAAGATTTATTCCTAGGTAGTAGTGATTTAATACGGTGTAGCTACTTTATGATACTGATCATTGTGAAAGAACTTACTCCTTTTAGTTATATAACTGTCATATCTGCCTTTTACAGTATATAGCTCTGATGTTTGGAAGAAGAAAACAAGTTTTTGGCAAATCAAGATTCATGACATAACAAACAGCTATATTGTATCAATTGATACATGGGGCTGTAAAAAGAAAACTATTGGCACATTCCCTTGTTAATTCTTAAGGCTTTTCCTTAAACATGTGTAATGATTGATGTTACTTCATAGATTGGGTTTGTAAGGCCGGCATTCCAAATTATTATGCCTGCTATCGGGTAAGTTGTCAACAGGTCGACAGAAGTGCCTGATTATAAACCAAATACCCTGGATTCCCACTATTTGATCAACTCACAGAGTTAATAACAAACATTTGTGGTTAGTTGACATTTCCTTCAATCAAAACAAACAAACAAAAAATCTAGCTTTAGCTGCAAAGCATAAACATTTGTTAGACAAGATGTTAACACAAATAATACACAACTAAACCATTGTGTGTGTGTGTACTCTGTTCTTTCACTGATCATGAACAATCCCCAAATACTGCTTAGTCTGATTTACTTCAAAACATGAATTAAGTTACTTCCTTCTATCTTTGTAAGATTTCTGTAGTCCTTCTACTTTTGGTTTTATGATTCCCAGGTCTCTGGAGAGCCCAATTTAGAAGCTTCATTGCTTTTTTTAGATAAAGCAAACAATATCTATGTAAGTGATATTCTCTAGGTATCCGCCTGCCATTTTTCTTTTTAAAACAAGGTTGCTTTAAGAACTTCTTGGTTCCTGAGCACTCGTGCTTTTGGGGATCTTAACACGCATTCTACCAAACACACACATCAAACACCACATTTATGTGTTAAGGTACAGCTGATTAGTTGAAGTTATACTATGCTTTATCAATACCGTAAAATATTTATCTAAGTTTTTTTTGAGGGGGATTCTGGACCTATATCCATGGTTTTAAATCTCAAACATGATTTTTGTAGGTCCTTAGAAACCTCATAGGTTTTAAGCACTGTAATTATAGAACCTAAATGATTATAAAAGCACTCACATTTCCCTATACCACTCAAGCAATCCCTCTCCCTCCCCTTCTCTCCCACCCTCAGACAGTATGTCTAGCATAATCCATCTATTTTTAGGACCAAACTCAAGACCCATTCATAAAGATGTTCTCACAGATTTCCTCCATCTCTGGAGTTTAAATCTTAGACTTTGTAACTGAATTTAATACCTAAGTATATCCGGTGTCTCCCTTTTCTGAGTTTGTTTCCTGAGTGGCCCTCTGATTTCCTCTATTAGCCTACGAATTTTCTATGTGGAAGAACTACATTTCCTTCTTTCTTTTCTCCTTTCAGAGAGGGGCATGTACCCCAGAACATGGTGAATAGAATTTTAGGGTGCTGTTTTGTACTTTAAAAATCCCCTCTGATGTGCCCTAGAGGTGCAGTCAGTGCAGTGAATGTCCAGAGAGTGTGTGGGGCCATGCTTGTCACTACTGCCCCTGGATGCTTTGCTTCCATTTGCACAAACCAGAAGACAAGCATTCTGAGAAAGGCTGCCTAAGTCTCTGTGTCTTGCTTAGTTTTCCACAATTTGCTCTCCTCTAATCTAGAGGTTATAGGGACTAGGATACAATTGTTTGCTGATTGCTACACAGTTGCATATAGGGAGATTATAGAAAACCTGAGGACTACACTTGCTTCCCCCCATCTGACAAGCATCAGAACAGGTGTAATCTGAAAGGCTTCCCTTCCTCTCCTCAGATACCAGTGGCCCCAGATTGGCAGGTTGGCCTGAAGAGACTTTGCTACAGCACATGACGGAGAGCACTCTCCTGGCAGTGGCTTTTCACTCCCTCATCTTTATAGTCCTTGGCCAGACAGCCTCAGCCTTTTAGAAGTGTTGTTGACAAAGCCAAGCTTGGACAGCACAAAACACTCTGTTGAGTGTGCTTAGAAATATCAGAGTGGCGATACCAGGGGCCTTTGTTCTTCCGAGTCCCTGTGCATTTAGGGAGAACTAATTCCCATATCAGTTTTTCTCATTTCGCCTATTCAAAATTCCTCTTGGCCTGGGCTTCAATCTTCCAATCCATCCCAGATTCAGTTTACTCTTCCCAGACTGTGCTGGTTTGTTCCCTACACAACTATTAGAAAGCAAAAGGCTTAGGCTTACTTTGAAGGCAACAATTTCTGTGGATTTATCAATGTGCTATCTCTGGGATTCCTCCAGCAAATTGGGATGAAGTTGGATGATATTTCCCCATGATTCCTGACTTTCAGCCTGTGTGCATCTCCTAGCACCACCCACCACATATTCTCATACCACACTCACATATACACGTGTGTATACACATACACATTCTCACCATACACACACCAGAAACATATACATATAAGCCACGTATCATAAAATCACAGGCCACATTCACACCGCACACATAGCACATGCAATCGACATGTACACTATATACTCATCACACATACACACACAATAAGAGCCCTTCTGTTTCAGTACCAGATCTGGAACACAGGGATGTTTCTATGAGAGCTGCTTTCATACAAAGACTAAGTTATGCACTGGGATTTAATCTGAATACTGGAAATTCAGAAAACAGCCCTGAAAGCCCATATGTTTGTGTTGGCATATCACTTTAGGTCTTTCAAAAAGTCATGTAGTCTACATCATAAGCTTCAAAACTACCCTGTAAGAGATCATCTTCAGTTTATTGATAAGAAAAAGAAAATTCTAACATGGTTAGTGGCCTGTCCCAGATCTTTTTTTTTTTTTTTTTTTTTGAGACGGAGTCTCGCTCTGTCGCCCAGGTCGGACTGCGGACTGCAGTGGCGCAATCTCGGCTCACTGCAAGCTCCGCTTCCCGGGTTCACGCCATTCTCCTGCCTCAGCCTCCCGAGTAGCTGGGACTACAGGCGCCCGCCACCGCGCCCGGCTAATTTTTTGTATTTTTAGTAGAGACGGGGTTTCACCTTGTTAGCCAGGATGGTCTCGATCTCCTGACCTCATGATCCACCCGCCTCGGCCTCCCAAAGTGCTGGGATTACAGGCGTCTGTCCCAGATCTTAAAGGAATGAACTGGAAACCCAGAATTCCAAACCAAGCCTCCTGCTCCTATCTTAGTGCTATTTCCACTTCCTTTCATTTTGCCTTTAGCAATGGTATGAAGATGGCAAACTTGCCAGCCTTGATTTTGCTCTTCTCTCCTACTTTCCTCAAAGGCCTCTTTTCCAAGTGACCACAGCTCTTAATATCTTTCACTGTGGAAGTCAGGAAAAGATTGGATAAACTCATTTCCTGGAACAGTAAAGAAAAGATGAAGTATAGTTTGCGTCTACGCTCAAGAGCTTCAACCACATGGGCTCTTTTCATTTTCCTTAAAATGCTCCAAGCTTTCACAATTGCTCTTTCTTCACTAGGCCACTTTCTTCCCATTTTTCACCTGTGTGTCTACTACTCTTGCCTTTAGGACTCAGCTAAAATTGCACTTCCTTAAACGCGCTTACATTTCCCAACAATCCAGGTTAGATGTCCTAGTTACTCCCCACTTAGCAGCCTAGTAATTTTCTTCTTCGTTTCTAAGACAAGTCAGTATTATGTTTGTTTACTTGTTTTCCAAATGTCTGGTCTCATGGGTATGCATACTCCCAGAGAGTGGAGACCAAGCCTGATTTTTGTTGTTTTTTTCATCAACTTCTAGCATAACATTAAGTAAATGGTAGAATTTCAATGAAGAGTTTCGAATAAGTAAATTTGTTTAATGTGAAAGTTGAGAAACTAGATTCTATGCTTCTTTTTTATCCTTTAGAGCCCCTAATACGTTGTTGAGGATATAGAAGCTGCCTCAGGAAGAGAGCTAGGCAGTTAACAATAATATAGGTTTTATAAAAGCATGATTGATTGATTGTATTTATTTTGTAGCATGTCACAAAGTGTTTATTCAGAAGATTACCAAATATGGGGACATTTGGCAGAAATAAAAATCCTCAGGGCGCAAATAGGCAAAAAACCCAATGACCATTTCCTAAATGGAGCAGGAATGCTGTATCCTATCCTCCCATGTATAAAGAGGGCATGTGGTGTGGGTGGGGTTCCCAGGCTGTAAAACCAAACCAGCCTTCCTATTCCCTGTCATCAGCCAATCTCTAATAGACAGTGAAGCCAATCCCCAAGCTGTTCCTTCTGTGCTTTTTGCTTCTATACTCTTTAAATGAAAAGAAAGAGAGAGACGCACCCTTTAAAAGGTCTGCGGCTTGCATTCAGTACTCATAAAGTGCAGCTTAGGGGGCCAACTGCAGCAGTCAAATTAATTGACCCATGCTTGCCAGAAAACTATTTTAGAAGAATGTCCACGACACTTTTCAGTTTTAGCCTCAGCTGACTTCGACACCTCAAACCATCCACTGGAAAAAAAAAAATGCTAGGTACCTTAAAAGAACATAAATGCAGGAGGTGAATATATTACTTACCATTTCTCATGCCTAATTATCTTGAAATCTATAGTACTGTCGTGCGTATTTGCTTCAGAAGCGATTTGCTCTTTCAGACTTCCCAATTCAAAAGCCGACTGTGCATTAACGGATCCTTGTTCTCTGCTGCTTCTATTCTTAGGTTGTTTCTCATCTTCTTAAATTTCATTCCCTCTTTTATGTATTATGTCTTTTTACCACTTAGTTCTCATTTTTTTTCCAAAATTCTTGTATGTGCGCCTGTGTGTGTGTGTGTCTGTCTGTGTGTGTGTGTGTATGTGTGTCTGGATCCTACAGTAACTGAGCAATTTAAGTTTAACAGAATTTCAAACTTGCCTTTGGAGATAGGAGCAGTTTTTTTCCTGGGCAAAGAGGAGAAAATACAGCCTTAATGAAGCAGGAAGATAGTGCCAGTGAAAAAAAGATGCCTCAATTTACAAGTTTTCTAATATGTATGTCTAAAATGTGTCCTAAAAAATTTGTCTTCACAAATGCTGCATAACTACATTATTGACAAAAGCAAAACAAAACAAGATTTCCCCTGCCCAAATAAAAAGAAAACAAAACAAAACCAAAAAACAACAAATAAAACTACTGGAATGTTTCTCAGGTTGGCGTTTCATTTTACTCATAGGAAGCATTAATATGGATCTTCTACATAGGGAAATGGGCTGATGTTAATCCTTTTTTACAATCATCTTAATAGGATTTCAAGCAATTCAACAGCTGTTGAAAGAAACCTGTGTTTTCATGAAATAACAGAGGTAGGATTGTTGGGAAGAGAAGACAGAAAAGAAATGGAAGGACTCATGAGAAACTATAAAGGTTTTCATAGTGAATGAGCTGCAGTACTTAAAAATGTTTAGGCCTCAGCACCCAGCACATAGCAGATATGTAATGAATATTTCTTGGAAGAAAGGCAGGAAAGAAGGAAGAAAGGAAGAGGAACAGAGGAAGAGAGTAAGAGAAAGGGAGGGAAGGATACAAGGATACTGTTTTTGGTTCCCTGGCCTAATTCAATATGTGAAGTGAAGAGCTGTGCTGTCTCTGGGAGAAAACCCTTCAAGTGTAGTGTGTTAGTAAGGGGATTCTGAAACACAGACCCCTGTAACCAGGGTCTTATTTCTTTGGTCCTGAACACCTCACCATCTGATTTACCAGTTGTAAAATTGGACCTCCAGGCTGGAGATTAAGTAAAGGGCTAAGGTTGGTGCATTTATGTAGCAGAAGGATCTCACATAAGTTCTGTACACAGATTTCTTTCCCACCGGGGGACCCTATGGTTCTATGGGCAGAGAATAGTGCACCAGAAGAACACTGACTTTAGAATTCACTGAGTTTGAATCCAAAATCTGTTAGATGGATACTTCTATTTTCCTGGCCTGAAATGTCCATGGGGCATCTGTGAGAATCATTTTCCTAGCCTTTCCCTACCTATTACTCAATATTCTCCAAGGAATGTGTCACTTACCTGTCTGGTGAAACGTTAAACACATCTGGGTACATTCACCCTGGAGAATGATCTGTTCTCAGATCCACTTGCTCTCAGAGGGTGTGCTCTGGTCTGCTCTGAAGCATGAGGTGGGATGGGAGGATTCTGGCTGTCCACCTCTGCCAGAGACAGGGTGGGATAAACCAATGCCTCATTGGGTAAGTTCATTATGATTGCAAACCCAGCCATGTTCTCCAATTTTACTTTTATTGTCTCCGTTGTAATTTACTGGTAAGACCTTAAGCAAATTGCTCATTCCTTCTGCAGAGGTTGGGGGAAAGATTTTCCCACTGTAAAAATTGTACTGTGTGGAAAACAATATAAGGCAATGGTTTTGTATGAAACACCTAATTCAGTGCCTAACATATCACATGTTCTTTTTAAGCAGCAGCGAGATCTTCTTTATAGTTTCAACTATGACTCTCTTGTAGTAAGTGTTCAATAAATATATGTTCATTCATTGCTGTCAAGTATGGTACCCAAGATTAAATCAGGTAGAAAAACAAGATTTTAAAACATGTCCTCCTAATCTTAATTACTTTTTTATATAACTTACTCCCCTCTAACCCCACAAACCTGAAGCAATATAGGAAAAGCAAAGTGTTAATTTAGGCAGTTTTTGGTGACGTTGATTAATGCAGAAAGATATTACTCACTAATTACAGACGGAACTGTTATTGAACTCAATAACAGTTTTAATTAAAATTCTTAGTCTCCCAAAGCATGACTCCCTTAACCTGGTTTAATTATTTTGTAGGTCTTGCCTATGACCTTGCATTAATTTGCATGGTGCTAAACATGTTTTTCTGTTTATGTGGCTATGTGCTGTTATGGGGAAATTTCACATTTTAGCTAAAATCAACATTAACCAAAGATGCCAGCTGACTAATTGGTCTTAGAGATGTGTCAAACATATACTTAAAATGCAAATAAATGGTGGACTTTAATGTGAATATTTAATAATGATGTGGAAGAATTTAGCTTGTTCATATAATTTTTATTAAATGTGAATTCGTTACTTATATACCACTCAAATAATACAATACAGAGGACAGTCTTATTTTAAAGATTTTGTTAACTGCATGGTTTCAAGATGGTGTACAAATCAAATATATGGTCTTTATCAAGATTTAAAATGAACATACTTAATTTCAAATTTTAAATGAGTTGCAAACATATAAGCAACTGTACTTTAGGAATTTATCATGCAGCCACAAAAATATATGTACAAGAAGGGTTCACACAGTTATTTGTAATAGAGAAGCTAAAAATTACCTGAATGTCTATCAACAGTATGCATCTGTACAACAAGGCAAACATATAAGTACATTCATGAAACCATGTTCATGGTACACTGTGCAGCATTGCAGATGGGTTGCAGAGATAAGAAAAGAGTCCATGCCTGCTACAAAGATGTAATTTATTTATCCAAGGAAGCAGAACTTAGGGAAACAGAGATGATGGCACAGAAAAGGAGCAGGTACAGCCTGGCTTATTGCAGTTTGCACGTTGGATCCCTTACAGGGAAAGTAACTGCCAAAGACATGCTCCACCCAGGTCCTGCTGATGACAATGAAGAAATTAAGTTCTTGCTTTGCCACTGACTTGGTGTACCTCAACTTCTGTTACAATTCCAGAGGAGTTTACGTAGGTCTTCTATGTATTCTGTTTAGGGTAATGCTTATAACACAGAGTCCTGGTAGTGTTGAACTAAACTCAGCCCCAGCAAGACCACCTCCCAGCAAAGGAGAGAAAGTACAATTGGTTCCCAGATATCCTTGTCCAACATTTCTGCATAGAAAGTCTAAATCTCCTAAAGCTATTTTTAATAGAAAATATGATGAACAAATGAAATAAAGAAATAAGAAGATGACAAATCAGCATTTATTATATAAACTGATTAGCCTTATATTTAGTCAGAAAGAGTAGAAGAAAATATTAGGGTGGTGAAAAAGTAATTGTGGTTTTTGCCATTGAAAGTAAGGGCAACTTTTCTAATTCTAATACATTAAAGAATAGAAACATTTGATTTTAGATACTGAGTTCATACTGTTTTTTTCTTCATTTTTTCCTCCATATTCCAAGTATGCTTTTATGTATTCCTTATTAATGGAATCCTTAAATAGTTAAACTTAACACATGTGATCATCTAATCCTTCACAAATTTTCATGCAATAATAGGGCCAGAAATACTACAGCTACTCTTACCTGTTAAAAAAAAGAACAAAGCAATTAATGTTATTCACCCAATTAATATAATAGCCACCTAATTGTTTTGAAGATAACCTAGCTGATATTGAGAAGCTGAATATTAATATATCTATTTTTCAGTCTCACTTACTCCCCAACACATACCTATGTTCACATCTATGTACACCCACAATAAGGAAAAAGAATGCATATGAAACAAACATATGGTAAATTTGTAATAAAGATCAAATACATGATGTAAGGCTAACCTTTTTCTACCTGTGGAACTGCATCCATACATTTTACACTTTTCTTTATTTTTATGACAAAACCCAGTCAAAATAAATTTATAATTTAATTCCCTATAACCCATCAGAGTACATATTGTTCAGGAAACATTCTTTAAAAACAATGGCATGAATACTTTCAAATATCATCTTCCCTCTGAACAAGCATCACATATTTCAGGAGAAAAATAAATAAAAATGTTTTAAAATATCATAAAGAAGACACAACAATGCTGTTACATGGGACAGCTGCTTCACTAACTGCCTGTGCTTTATGATTATTCTGAAATCTGAAGTTAAAATGTGAGATAGATAAGAAAAAAAAAGACTTCCCTAAGTATTGCTTTGAAATTTGTAGTTTAACTAAACAATTAAGGGAGAATAAATTCTGTATTAATAAAATTATAAGATTTTAAAAGAAATTTACCTTTGTTACCTTAAATTATGTACAGACAGAAAACAGGGTGATATTTTAAAAAATCAAATCTATTAGAATACAAACTTTTAGTTTTTGGTCATCTTTAAAAGGGAGATAAAATACCTGTGGATCTGCTTTGACCCATCACACTCTTTCACGGCTTGCTTTAACTCCATCTTCTCCAAGGAAGTCACAAATGCCTGTTGAAGATTGCAGTATCTTCACAGAAAAGCCAAGTGGTTCCTTATAATAATCATCTTTTTCTAAGTCTTTTGATACTCTCCTTATGCTTCCAAGTTAATATTTTTCAGAACTATCAGTGGGCAAAATAAGAAATGCTAAGCTCTGGAAAAATTCTATTTAATAGAATATGTTCCCATTTCTGCTTTTCAGCCACATTGCAATTCTCCATGACTTTTTTCAAGATTGCTAATCTAGATTATGTTAACAATTGACAGATTTCCCTGTTTCTCTATGTTGTAATCCACCTGATCTTGGAACTTTGAAACTATTTAAAGCCATAATTAATGACTGTCTTCCAGTGTTTCTGAGGCTTCGACTTCCTCTTAGTCAAATCCATCCTATCCTTTTGAGTGTGAAGATTATTCTTTCTCCCTGTTGTCAATAATGGAAGCAAAGCAGAGGATGATTGATTCTGCCTTCTCTGAGTAAAATTCTCATAATGTCTGCTCATCCAAAGCTTTGATAAACTCACAATCATGTGTTAAATCTGTCTAAGCTTGTTACTTAGTTTAGCTGCCATGGGATTCAGGAATCTCTATTATCAATACTCTATACTGTATCAACAAATTTGTAACTGGAAAACAGAGTAGGCATCAGGAAAACTCAGACCTGACAGTGCACTACTGAAAACATTGATGGAACACGTAGAATTACTAAGATAGGTAGGAGGACAATTCACTGAAGTAGAGTTAAGAGTATAATTCTCATTCTTTCCATGCTGCAAAAAAATCACATCACCTAGCAAGCCTGGGACTCATCATTCATCAAATTTTAGAATTGACCAGTAGTAGACATTATAATTTGCCTTAGTCAATGCGATTCCCAATTTTTTTGTTCTTTTTTTTTTCTTTTGTTCTTTGTTTTGTTTTTGAGATGGAGTCTTGCCCAAGTTGGAGTGCAGTGGCATGATATCTGCTCACTGCAACCTCTGCCCCATGGGTTCAAGTGATTCTCCTGCCTCAGCCTCCCAGAGTAACTGGGACTACAGCTGCACGCCACCATACCTGGCTGTTTGTATTTTTAGTAGAGACAGGGTTTCGCCATGTTGGTCAGGCTGGTCTTGAACTCTTGACCTCAGGTGATCTGCCTGCCTCGGCCTCCCAAAGTGCTGGGATTATAGGCGTGAGCCACTGCACCAAGCCTTCTCCTTTGCTTTTACTAGAGAAGCTTTGTAATTTGCTTTTCTGGCCTCCTCTAAATTTAGTAGTGGCTTTACAACACAGTGCTGCCCAAAGGAAGGTAAGAGAAACTCTGTTTGAGTGGTTTTGGAGACTGTTACAAGGTAAACTGAGGCACAACAAAATTTTTTTTTTTTTTTAAAGAGTTTATTCGAGCAAACAGTGATTCATGAATCAGGAATCTCTGAACTATAAGTGGTTTAGGGGCACTACCAAGGAGGAGAAAGCTTTTATGGGACTAACATGGAAATAAAGCAAGAAAAATATTTGATTGGTTGCAGTTACACAATTGCCTTAGTGTGCTGGAAATTCTCTTGTCATATAAGTTAGGGAACAGCTTCTGATTGCTTAGCCTTAAGTTTGTTTCTTTAATATAAGCATTTACAAAAAATAGCCCAAGTTAAATTACACCTATGTTTGCAAATCAAGGAAGATTAAGGTCACTTATGAGGACATATTGGGTTTGTCTACTCAGGATTCTTCAAATCTGGTCTTTATTTTAATTTACTTAAATGAGAAACTTTAACTTTCCTGAAAAAAAAAAGGATCCAACTCCTTTGCTCTTTCTTTCACCTCTTTTTTCTTGCCTTGAATGAGGTCTCCCTGTCTGGATTGTGATAAACACTTTTTGATAGCTTGTAAATCAAATTATACAAAGCAAAAAGTCATAAGCTAGGATGATGGAGTAGAAATGTTACCTAAGCCCAGGTTCCTGATGACATTTCTACACGATGGGACCAAAGTCAGTGGCCAATTACTTCCAGACTCCTTGTGGGAGAAAAATTTGTGTTTTTAGGATTGAACGCTTTTCAGGTAGCTATTCTGTTGCTTGAAACCAAGTGTGTTCCTCAATCGCTGTTTCTTAAACTACACTGGTCATAAGAATCAGAGTGATTGTTCAAAATCTGGATTTCTAGGTCTCTTCCTTCCTTTGAAATTTCATTACTGTAGGTTTGGGATGAGAGCCAGTATCTATATATTTAATGAGTATTCCAGGTGATCTTTAGGTCAATGTTTCCCAAACTTACATGATCAAAAGACATTTGGTAAACAAAATATGTCAATAACCTATAAATGAGCCTTTATTCTCCACTTGGTGTTTGTCAATGCAGCCTTCAGGTAAACCAGTAAAAATAGCTAGCTGAGAACGTTTCACAGGTGCTTCTCATTACTTTCCCTCTGATGCCTGGGTTCCTGCCACCTTGACTCACTCTCCTACCAACATTCATCACCTTTCCCATTTTTTTTTAACCCACAGTCTTTTTTCTTGCCTGCTGGAATTCTCACTTTCCCTGAAATATTCACTTCTCATGTGTCACTTTCTCACTTTACAACTCCCCTTCAATCCTTCTGTTCCTCTTTATTCTATGATTGACTCTCCCTAAGAAGCCATTTGCAATCCACTATTATGAAGAATTCCCTATAAAAATAAATTATATTGTGCTGTGTTTGGGAGATAAACTTGATGGGGTAAACAGCTGTACACAGCAGCTCTGTGCAAACAAGTTTAAAGCAAAATCCAACCAGCTGCTCAGCATGAACCCTCTGAGAGCTGAGATCAGCTATTGTACTACCCAACAGTTGCCCTACAGAAAGCCAGGTTTGCTGGGAGAGAAACGAAAGAACAGTATTGCCAGGAGATCGAGGCAGGGGTAGCGAAATATGTACTGTCCAAAAAAATGATGCTATAATGATCATCTTTCTTTACTCACATTGGGATATTTCATCAGGAGCAAACCAAAATTATTTTAGGAACTGCATAGTTTAAAGAAGGACCTTGACATTGCTAATGCATATCTGTGCATACATATCCTGCTCTTTATAATAAAATAACAGAGGTTGGTGGTAGAAATTAAAATTTTCTCCCCCTTGGGAGGTTGAAGGCCTATACATTTCTCATAAAACATCTTCAACTTTTTTTTGAAGATTGCAGAGATTTAATTTTCTTCCTGCAAATGTTGTTTTTTTCTTTTTTAAAAAATGATTAAGTTAATCTGTATTTGATGAAAAGACTATAAATAAGATTGGTTTAGATCTGAATGGTTTTCTAGCCTTATTACTTTTTGACACATTGACCCCTTCCACATATACTCAAGTGAGAAAGAATTTCTGCTTCCAAATGCAGCCCATCTGATAGTTATATATTTGAACAGTTTAATTACACAGAGCTAAAATAAGTCTCTTTGTATATTTTCCCTATCAGGCTTCTTGTGGTCACACAGAATAAGTGAACCATTGTCAACTGTATGAAGCAAGCTAATCTTTATACCACAATACGCCCAAAGTCTTCCTTATACTAAGCTAAACTTTGCTGATTTATTTAATAAAATCTCCCAGGCCGTGAATTCAATTTCTTCCAGCATACATCATTGGATTAAGTTCCAGCCTTAAAATTTAGGGCTCAAGATTATGTAAAGTATACAAATTAAATTCTGATAAATAATAAAGTGGGATTATAATTATCTTTTAAAATGTTATATAAATGTTAATCCCACCCTATGTTGATTTATTATTTTGGGGATGCTTCATAATATTTTTAACTTACATTTAGCATTTTAAACTATTTTTATAATATGTACTTTTTAGCCCATTGTTATATATCCCTGTACCAAGACCTCTAACTATTCCTAGAATTGTGTAGCTGGATACTGGCTCAAATCTTTAAGCATTAACATTAGAATGGTTAAACTTTACATTATTATATTCAGCACATATGTACAGATTTCTATGGACGCTGATTCTGCTATCCAATAGTCTTTCTAGTATTCCAGCTTCAAGCTGTCAAGAAATTAAGGAATCATTGTTTTTCATCAATTTCTCCATTAAATTTCTAGCCCTCTATTAAATTAGGTCATCTTTATAAAGATGCAAATCATAAGTCACTTTACCCTCTTCTTGTCCCATCCCATTCATTCCACACAAGGACTCCAAAATTACCTTCATAAAGATAGTTTAACCACATCTCTGGCTTTCGTTGGTTAAGGGACAAGTACTACATCAAGAACACATTTGTTTTTGGTAAGACTACTATGGGAGTATTATTTGTTATGCTAAATAAAGCCTTCATATTAAGTTTGTTCTTTTCAAATTGTTCTGAGTTGAAGCCCATGAAAAGCTGAAGAAAAGAAAAGTGTTCCTTTTTATCATAAAATGAGAGCTACATATGACATAGAATATTCCTCCTTTACCTCATTGCTGGAAAGTTCAGAATAAATTTGTAGCAATTACTATAACTTTTATTTGCAGGAATATTTGTTAGTATTTTCCTCTTGTATCACTCTTTACTAGTTTACTTTTCCCTTTTATTATATTAGTTGTTTGTTATATTTTAAACTATATAAATATCTGAATAAAATGAATTAATTTGTATATTGATATAGTTGTAAAATGAAAGAGTATTAAGTACAGAATTTTCTCTCTGTTTCTATAATCATTCTGGTGAGTTAATTTTGACCTTTAACATCGTTTGGATATCCATAGCTAGCTGGCTAGTAATCAATGTATATTTAATGCAAAGTAGTCTATACTGTTTTTTTAAATAAAATGTTTATATTCACAATCTCCATTTTTTCATCTCATGCACATTCCTCAAATCTCTCAAAGAGAGATTATCTTTCCTAACAATTTTACTGAGCTACACGTGTCCTAATTATTTTCCTAATAATTGTCTTTCCTAATAATCTTTAATAATTAAAATAATTATTTATATTATTATTCTTTCCTAATAATATTTAATAATTAAAATAATTATTTTCCTAAAAATTATCTTTCCTGATAATTTTTAATAATTAAAATAATTAGCTTCCTAATTATTTTCCTAGTAATTATCTTTCCTAATAATTTTACTGAGCTACACTTGTCAAGATCACCAGTGATACCCATGTGACTTAATCCAATAGTTACTTCTCAGTTCATATCCCACCTACTTTCTCTTAGAACATACAAACTATTTTCTCAAATAGTACGCAATGTTGGTTTCCTTTGCCTAGACTGTGTTTCTTTCCCCAACTTCACCTATCTGGTCTCTACTGCGATTTAAACCTTAGCTTATTTTATCCTAAATACACTACTAGTTTTTTAATTAAATAATTATACTTTTTTCCTCCTTCATTATTGTTTATTTTTTTGTTGATTCCTTTATTAAATTACACATTTCATGACACAAGAAGCTTGCTTGTGTTATTTAATTCTGTATTCTCAGTTCCCCAAACAGCTCCTGGCAGATAGCTGATGCTCAATAAATATATGCTAAATGAATTAATGCAGCTAAGTTTTGACTTCACCAAAAAACTTCAAGCGAACCTTACATAAGGCATATAACATTTACATATTGCTTATTTTTTCTACATAGCCAAAAACAAAAAGGAGCAAGAATTTCCAATTATCCAGTTATGAAGATGAATGTATAGAGTCAAATAAAACAACTCAGTTAAAAATTATGTTGCTGCTTTCAGCATCAGTGTGTAGTCTGGTTAATATATTTGAACAAGGTTTTACAGCTTTCAAAATGATTTCCCATATATCAGCTCGTTTGAATCTAGTATTAACATGGTAAAATATCCAGAGTGATATTACGACTTTGATTTTTCATATGAAAAACAAAAAACAATGGTTAGAAAAATTATTTGCCAATAGTACCCCACTGTCTAAACTTATATTTGCACAATGATGTCAGGAAAACCCAGAAATCTTCATTTTAAATGCAGTCCTACTCTTAAACTAGCTATGTAACTTAGATAAGTCAACACTATTCACTGTGCTTGAATTGTATTATTTATAAAATTGGAGCTAACAGGTCATACTCACCAACTTTTTGAAAATTGTGAGCTCATTTGTCATACAAAAAATTAATGTGAAATCTCTTTGACAAATACTAAAAAGCTATAGAATCACATTCTTTTAGACATGGAAGAAACCTTAAAAATCAATATATGAAGTCCTTTGTTTATCATAAAAGGGAACTGAGGTCTAGAATAGTTAGATGGGTTGCTGAGGGTCATGGAGTATTTTGATGAGGAGATTCTCCTCTCCTGGACCCTAGACTCCTGTGACTGGGCCGTTCTAACTATGTCATTCTGCTCTTTATTTAAATATACATCTAATGTCACATTAACATGATAGTCACATTCCTTTTACTTCAAGGTTAGATATTGCTTACTGTTTTGAATCATAATATTTTGAAATAATAATACTACGTGAGAACAGAGCATTCCAGATTGATGATCCTAACATCTCGAGTTCTAGGTTATATTTTCCTTATAATACAAGTTCAGTATTCCTCAAATTAATAACTTCTGATCATGTTTGTAGACCTGGAGGGAATTTGGACATATCAAAAAGTCAATATCAAATAAAATTAAGCTATCATTATATTAAAGAATTAAAATTATAAGATGCCATTGATACATTTAACAAAAGGAAGAAATAAGAACACAGAAACTTGATTTGAAATGTCACATATTGGGGAATATATATGTTTTAACCGAGTTAAAGCCTGTTTAAAAAAATAAAAACCTTCAAACAAATTAAATTTGAGCAAAAGAACAATTAGCTAATTGGGCAAAGAACACTTGAGCAAAGAACAATTTAATTGAGCAAAGAACAATTCGTTAATTGGGCAGCCCCCAGAGTAGGTTCAGAGTGACTTTGGAGATACCACATGGTGGGATAACATTTGTGGACAGGAATAAAAAAAGGGACATACGGAAAACAAATGTGAGGTACAGAAACAGCTGGATTTGTTACAATTCAGTATTTACCTCATTTGAACATGGTTTGAATTTTTGGCCACCTGTGATTGACTGAAACTCTGTGATTGGTAGAAGACATGTGCATTAATCTGTTTTCATGCTGCTGATAAAGACGTACCTGAGACTGGGCACTTTACAAAAGAAAGAGGTTTAATTGGACTTACAGTTCCATGTGGCTAGGGAAGCCTCACAATGATGTTGGAAGGCACAAAACAGCAAGTTACGTCTTACATGAATGGCAGCAGGCAAAAAGAGAGAACTTGTACAGAGGAATACTCCTTTTTAAAACCATCAGATCTTGTGAGATGTATTCACTATCATGAAAACAGCATGGGAAAGACTTGTCCTCATGATTCAATTATCTTCCACTAGGTCCCTCAAAAAACACATGAGAATTCAAGGTGAGATTTGAGTGGAGACACTGTCAAACCATATCATTCTGCCCCTGACACCTCTCAAATCTCATGTTCTCACATTTCACAAGCAATCATGCCTTCCCAACAGACCTCCAAAGTCTTAACTCATTTCAACATTAATTCAAAACTTCACAGTCAAAAGTCTCATCCAAAACAAGGCAAGTGCCTTCCACAATGAGCCTGTAAAATCCAAAGCAGGTTAGTTACTTCCTAGAAACAATGGGCAGTACAGGAATTGGGTAAATACAGCCATTTCAAATGGGAGAAATTGGGCAGAACAAAGGGTCTACAGGCCCCGAGCAAGTCTGAAATCCAGCAGGGCAGTCAAATCTTAAAGTTCCAAAATGATCTCTTTTGACTCCATGTCTCACATCCAGGCCACGCTGATGCAAGAGGTGGTTTCCCGTGGTCTTTGAAGCACTGCCCCATGGCTTTGCGTGGTGCAGCCTCCCTCCTGGCTGCTTTCATGGACTGGCACTAAGTGTCTGAGGCTTTTCCAGGCACACAGTGCAAACAGACAGTTGATCTACCATTCTGGGGTCGAGAGAATGGTAGTCTTCTTCTCACAGCTCCACTAGGCAGTGCCCCAGTAGGGACTCTGTGTGGGGGCTCCAACCCCACATTTTCCTTCAGCACTGCCTTAGCAGAGGTTCTCCATGAAAGACCCCACCCTGCAGCAAACTTTTACCTGGATATCCAGGCATTTCCATACATCTTCTGAAATCTAGGCAGAGGTTCCTAAACTCAAATTCTTGACTTTTGTATACTGGCAGGTTCAACACCAAGCGGAAGCTGCCTAGACTTGAGGCTTGCACCCTCTGAAGCCATGGTCCGTGCTCTATGTTGGCCCCTTTCAGCCACAATGGGAGCGGCTGGGATACAAGACACCAAGTCTCTAGGCTACACACAGCATGAGGACCCTGGGCATGGCATATGAAACCACTTTTTCCTCTTAGGCCTCCTGGCCTCTGATGGGAGGAGTGCTGACATGCCCTGGAGATATTTTTCCTATTGTTTTGGTAATCAACATTTGGCTCTTTGTTACTTAAGCAAATTTCTGCAGCTGGCTTGAATTTCTCCTCAGAAAAGGGGATTTTCTTTTCTACTGCACTGCCACACTGCAAACTTTACAAACTTTTATGCTTTGCTTCCCTTATAAAACGGAACGCCTTTAACAGCACCCAAGTCACCTCTTGAATGCTTTGCTGCTTAGAAATTTCTTCCACCAGGCTGGGAGCTGTGACTCACACCTGTAATCCCAGCACTTTGGGAGGCTGAAGTGGGAAGATCACGAGGTCAGGAGATAGAGACCATCCTGGCTAACACGGTGAAGCCCTGTCTCTACTAAAAATACAAAAAATTAGCTGGGCATGGTGGTGGGTGCCTGTAGTCCCAGCTACTCTGGAGGCTGAGGCAGGAGAATGGCGTGAACCCAGAAGCCGGAGCTTGCAGTGAGCCAAGATCACGCCACTGCACTCCAGCCCTGGGGCGACAGAGCGAGACTCTGTCTCAAAAAAAAAAAAAAAAAAAAAAAAAGAAAGAAAAGGAAAAGAAAAAAGAAGAAATTTCTTCCACCAGATACCCTAAATCGTTTCTCTCAAGTTCAAAATTCCAGAAATCTTTAGGGCAGGGGCAAAACGCCACCAGTATCTTTGGTAAAACATAACAAGAGTCACCTTTGCTCCAGTTCCCAACAAGTTCCTCATCTCCATATGAAACCACCTCAGCCTGCATTTCATTGTCCATGTAATTATTGGCATTTTGATCAAAGCCATTCAACAAGTCTCTAGGATGTTCCAAACTTTCTGACATTTTCCTATCTTCTTCTGAGCCCTCCAAACTGTTCCAGTCTCTGCCTGTTACCCAGTTCCAAAGTTGCTTCCATATTTTTGGGTATCTTTTCAGTAGTGCCCAACTCCCAATACCAATTTACTGTATTAGTCCATTTTCATGTTGTTGATAAAGACATACTTGAGATTGGGAGATTTACAAAAGAAAGAGGTTTAATTGGACTGACAGTTACATGGCTGGGGAAGCCTCACAATCATAGTAGAAGGCAAGGGGAAGCAAGTCATGTCTTACATGGATGGCAGCAGGCAAAGAGAGAGAACTTGTGCAGGGCAACTCCCATGTTTAAAACCATCAGATCTCATGAGACTTATTCATTATCATGAGAACAGCATGGAAAAGACCTGTCCCCATTATTCAATTACCTTCCACCAGGTCCTTCAAGATGAGACTTCAAGATGAGAATTCAAGATGAGATTTGGCGGGGGACATAGCCAAACCATATCAGTGAGGTTACAGTCTGATTACATATCTGGTTAGGTTGTAGTTCATTATGTATGGAGAAACTTTTAGGCCAAACTTAAAATATATAAGGCAGATTTAGGCTAAACTTAATTTAACAAACTAAATTTAAGTTTGTTAAGCTAAATTAAGTTTAAGTTGTTAAACTTAATTTAACAAACTAAACCCCAAATAAGCTAGTAAGTTGGTTTAATTTGTTAGTTTTAAGTTCCTCTGCTTCCCAGAAAAAAAAAGGTTCTTTCCTTCCTCAGGATTAATCCCAATTCCTAAAATATAAATCTCAAACCTTTATTTTCCACCGAATTTTCTGCCTCCAAATCATGTGGGCTTAAATTGTTGTTATGACTTTGTTCAAAAACAAAGTAACAATCATTCACTTTTACTTATTAAAATATTTATTATTTATTATTTTCAATTAGAATTATAATTTTTATAACAGATATATGCCAGGAGAAATGGGATGAGCTTGTGGTGGCTTCAGACTCTTATTTCCCTATTTGTACTATTATTTTCTTTTCATTTACTGAAAGCCACAAAGAATTCCAGTATTCAGGTCCTGGGATGCAGCACAAAAGGGAAATTCAGAAGTTGCTGATTGGAGGGGATGCCAGTCTCTCAAACCACAGAAATGTGAGCCAAGTGTGTGGTTTCTGCAGAATTGGAAGCCTCTCATGCACAATAAACCTTAACCACTCATCCAGTGGTCGGTATAAATGTGTGATGCAGGTGATCATTTGATAAAGAGCAAAGCAGGGGCAGGGGGAATTACAACGTCAACTCCTAGCTGTAGGAATTCTCACATCTAACAGTGTCCCAGGAAGGCTTAGGATGAAAATAGTTAAGAAGAGCAAAGAATAAAGGGACTTGGAAAGAATAAAGTCTGTTCTCTACCTCTAAGTTTTTCCTTCAAAGAGAATTTTCCTGGATACAAGGATAGGATAGATATGCTATCATAGGTATTTGGAAAGATGAAGTCCAAACTGTTGTGTATGTATGAATGTGTTTTAAAAATTTCATGGGAAAAAATCCTATCTGCTGATTTCCTTGGGGCCCAAGAGACCCTAGGAATGAACATATGTAACTCTTCAGACATGATGTGGATATATTTGGGAGACAAGAGAGAATCACTAGAAGCTAAGTTGTCCTTGAAAGGGAAAACAAAATGCAAACAACAACAAAAACAACAACACAACAGATCAAGAGAAAAACCCAAAGACGCAAGTGATAAGAGCCTGGTGGACCAGACTTAGCTACAGGTTTTAGGTATGGGAAGCCTAAAGTGGTTCCCAATAGAACTTTGGAGTTGTATTTGCCAATGCCGGTCACCAAAATACATTGAGAAAGAGAAAAAAAAAAAACGGAGATAAATTGACAAAGTGACTTGACAAAGGTGAAGCTGGTAACAAAGCAATGTGTAAGAAAGGTGAGGTGTTTTCTCATCAGAGGAAATGAGAAGTGAATGCCATATATGCAAAAAGGTAGTGTTGGCTCTTTAGGAGAAAGTAATAGAGAATTGATACCCCAAAACACTGTGGATGCTAAGAGGAGATTGAAACAATCTTTTCAAAATTGTGATAGGAAAATAAGCCTGACATAGTTGACTTTATCTTGTTTCTGACCTCCAACCTGTCCTTGGTCATTCCTGGGTATAAGCCAACCTAACTTTGGGAGGATTTCAGTTTATAGTTTAATTTGAAAGCAAGGATGATAATAGTCTCTCCTTAAAACTAATCCCCTCCTTGCTCAGGGACTGAAAAATGCCTTTCTAAGACAAATGAAAGGCCGCAATAGGATTATGAGAGAGACCTGAACGCTACTAAAATGTAGGTGCTGTTTTATAATCCCTTAGTGCTCAGGAGTCATGCGGCCAGAGGTCACAAGATTTGTGATTTCTACAATTGCTCCTGTAGATAACATCACTATTGTAGAACCTAAGATAGGTTTTTGAAATGTTTTTCTGACTAACCCCACTGGTACTTGTGACTCATGACTCTGGTTCTGTGGCCCCACCCAGAGGCAAACCCAGCTCATGAGGACTATTTCCACACCCCTATTATCATCCCCAAACAATCAGCTGCACCCATTCCCTAACTTCCTTCCCACCAAATTGTCCATAAAAACTAACCTCCAAGCCTTTGGGTAGGCTGATTTGAGTGATAACTCTAGTTCTCTCACAAGGGCCAGCCTCACCTCAACTAAACTCTTTCTATACTGCAATGCTGTGGTCTCAGTGAATTGATTTTGTCTGTGCTGTAGGCAGGAAGAACCCATCAGGTGATTACAAGATCAATATCGCTATGTTAACAGCTCAAAGGAGCAAGTAACAAGGTGAAATTGACCAAAAGGCAAAACAGAAGGCTTATCCAGGAGTTAGAAGGCAAGGATGATGGTAGCAGAGGAAATGGATGTGCCTGGTTGGAGGGTCAGATGCAGTCAGAGAATCAGTGCTAAGGTTACCTCAAAGGCATGGCAGCTGAGGGAGGAAGTAATAGCTGCTGGAGCAGACAATATCACGGCAGTGAGATAGCCTACCCTACGTGGCCTGCCCTGCCTGTGCCTTTGGGGCTCTGAGAAAGTATAAAGCTGTTGAGCTGTAGCATTTGCTGGCTAGGAATGTGGATCCAGTCATTGAGGAGTCAGTTATTAAGATGGACTTATCTATTATCTGTATACACACTCTTTCCCAGATATGCAAATTTACTTTCCTAGAGTTAGCCTGGCAGTATTGTTTGCTCTATCTAGATTATTTCATGAATCTCTGTCTGCATCTTATTCAGAAAAAAATATTAGCAGACTATGATATAATTTTACATTCCAAGAAAACCAAATTAGTCATGTAATTTTGTCATCTGTTCCTCTTACTAATGTGACAAAACTTTCTAAGAATGATCATCTTCAAGTAGAAGCCAGGGAGGTTTCCAGGAAATGGCATTCAAACACTTCAGACATTGGGTCATGTTTAATTTGGAGAAGTATTGGCAGTTTATTCCTCTAGGGAAGGTGCCTGGAGGGAAACTCTTATACTCATTCTCTCTCCCTTAGGTAGAATGTTCAGAAATGAGAAATTAAAATACCTCATGAACTCTTTAATACTACCTTTGGCAATTTAATAAAGAGAGGTGCTTCCTGTATGACTAGACCTTCACTAGAGGACAGTAAAGCAGGGGCACACATGAAAAGAGCACTACTCAGTTACGTTTACATTTCAGCTGGAGGACAGATAGCTCAGGGCCATAAAGGTAACAGTCGTAATTAAAGTAGGACCTATGAGCCATTCATCCTGTGCTCTGGAAATATTACTGTAAAGATGACTGGTCAGTATATGCTCAAATTTCACAAAGAGAAGTAAGGCTAAATATTAAGCAATCTAGAACAAATGAAGTACTATTTTCACTTTTCACAAACGTACACTTCCCTATTATCTAAAGCACTTGTTGACATAATATACCTAAGCTTATTTATTATATTATAACTGTCACATTTATCTTGCAATGTGGACTAATTGCACATGTAATTGTCTTTAGGAATCAAAGCCCTGTCTAACAGAGACACGCACACACATATGCACGTGATATATGGTTTTTCAGGTATGTTAAACACCGTGTTCTTGGTGTACAAAGAAGAAAAAGACTAGCCCTGAGAGTTTAAGTATAGTGGAGACAACAGAAAAGTTATATCCAATAAAACTAATCCAGTACCATGGTAACATAAACAAGTAAGAGATGGATATGTGATTCAATAAGGAAACTATGGGATGCAATGAAAGAACATACAAGAGGAAACTACCTTGGTTAGACACTCAAAGAAGACACTCTGATAGAGATGATATGGGGACCTGAGGTATGAGTAGAAGTTATTCAAGTGAGGATTTGGAGGAGAAATATTCCACAAAAAGGAAACATCATGTGTGATGACTCAGCAACAGGAAACAACACTGTGTATTATAAGATCTCAGAGAAATACATTGTTGCTGTGATTACAGCCTGGGTGGAAAAGTGAGACCCTGTCTCAAAAAACAAACACACAGAAAGCCCTTTTGGACATGTTAAGGAGCCTGGACTTTGTCTTAGTACTTAGTGTCCTTGAACAAGTTATTTAACCATGCTGTGTCTCTACTTCCTCAATTCTAAAATGGATCAAAACATTCAAATGGCATGCTTTTACATGACTGTTCTAGGATTTGCTCTCAGGTCCTCTGCCATCAAATGCACTGAGACTCTGTGCTACACACTGTAACTCTTTGTACTTATGAAAAAAATTGAATTATACATGATTTTCCCTCAATATCTCTAGTATATGAAATGTAGATCCACCTGTATTTTTTTCTTTTGTCTAAAAGAACAATGATTAGAATATTTAGTTTAGAGAGGAAAGGCTTAGGGGAAATATAACTTTTTCAAATATGTGAAATCCTGTCATTTTAAGATATAATGAGATTTTACTGCCCCAGAGGGCATAAGTAGGATATATAGATCAAATTTACAAGTAAGTAGATTTCAGCTTAACTGAAGTTTTGAATAATTTGTAATATTCTCAAGTGCAATAGGCTACTTTAAAGATAATGAACTTCCCATCATGGAAGTGTTCAAATAGAGGCTAGATGACCACTTGGCAAATATGTACTAGGGTGAAGGGAACGTGGATTTAGAGGACCCTTATGATAGACAGTGGAGTTACTTTCATGACTAAAAATGTCTCAACTAATTTGATTTCGCCCATAATTCCAACTAAGTGAGTGAAGACTACTTAACTGTCTCCATCCCCATGTCTACCACTCAAAGACACATTTAGGTCACAGCCAACTGAACAAAGATACCCAGAAAGTACCATTCAGATTTTACCTTGAGAAAGTGAAGTAATAGACTATTATCATATGATAGTCCAGGCTCAAACAGAAAGTTTGCATAATGCTAGAATTACAGATAGTAAAAAAGGTACCAATTTGGACTAAAACCAGGGGAAGCTTATGGGGTGACAGAGAAGCCATAAATAAATAGAAAACGATGGACTTCAGAGGTAGGCAGGCAATAGCACAGCCATGCAGTGGAATTCCAAACAGCCCGATTAAAGGCTGGGGAGTAGCCTGGGTTCCTGATATCTTAGAATTTTATCATATTCAATATGTATTTAAGATCATTGCTTAGTGTAGCAGAAAGTTTAATCTAAATGCTAGAGCAGAATAAATTGAAAACTAAGGATCAGAGGTCATAATACTCGTATAATGTTTGTTCTTTCTACATTTTCTACCACTTCCCCGAAGCCTGAAAAAATAAAGGACAAGGAAGCAGAAAGGAAAAAGAAAGGAAGAGACATGTGGGCATAACCCCACGAGTTGGGAAGGGATGCAGACCACTCTAGCTGCATGAAGCATTTGAATCACAGAAGACTATTAGAGGTGAATGGTAACATTTCCAAATAGACCTGACTTTCTTGGGTTTGCCTGATCACTGCCCCAATCATCTTTTGGGGGTCTAGTTTGGTCCTGGGGCATTAACAGTTAGACAACACTTCTATCATCTTTGTGCTCATGAAGGCTCCTTTCCTGCCACGTTAGCATTTTGGTATCCAATATTGACAGATGGTTCCTAATATTTCTACAGATAGTTTCCTCTATTGTACAAAGCACAAATTATAATGAAATAATAGCAACAAAAGTGGTTATTTAAGCAAAAGCTTTCTATGGTTTTGGGTGGGAGGAAGCTGTTCAGCAAAGATCAAAGTAAAAGATACTTTTTCCTGCTTAAATACTCCTACGTTTAATTTTTCTAGTTTCATTGCTTATGTGGTCCAGCTATCTTTCATTTACTGCTTTTGCATGTGCAAAATTTCCCCTATGCCCTTAAAACTTTGTATTAACTTGGGTTGGTTTATAAGGGTTTAATTCCATATGACAAATATTTCTCTAGTTGAATAATCTCAACATTCAGAAAGTTCAGTAACGGAAAATTTTGCTATTGGAAGACTACTCTGGTGTTTAAGAATGCCTGCACAATAATACCACTTTACACTTGGTGTTTTCGACTTTTAAAATTGAGTTCTTAAAGCCTATTGTCTCATTGTTCAAAAACACAATTACTGGTTCTTTTTAAAAATACAATCCTATGATTTGGATTATAGGTGGTCATAGAAGATTGAAAGTCTAGAAGTTAACACTCATTATGATAAGAGGACAATGTGAAGATATCAAAATGTAACCATTATAGGGGCTAAGGGAAAACTTCCCTTTTGCCTTCTGAAGGTTTGTTTAAAAATTTACTCACAAAAGGCAGATTAATACAAGAAAAAGCATAAAAATTTATTAATGTGTACACAAGGAGAACCACAGACTGACCATCCCTGACCCCGAAGGTGTTTAGAAGCTTATATTCCATTTTGGCAAAACAGGTTATGGGAGGGGAAAGAAGGGGAATTCTATTAAGGGGATTACTAGGGGGAATAAACGCATCAGGAGAGATTAACTAGTATATTATCTTGTGAAAGAATCTGTTCAGGTGTGGTTATATTCTTGGTATTACAGGTAGGGAAAGAAAAAACAATTGTTCCTTTTGGTAGGTGTGAATAGGCAGATAAAGGAGCTTCAACTTTACCATGTGCATTGGGAGAAACTGTGAGTAAGAGTGAGAAAGGAAGAGACTTTGAGGCTTCTTTGTGTCAATAAGACAAAGTACCATATTTTGAGGTACCGGTTTCTGAGTCCCAATACTATACACACCCTCAGTAAAATTTTAAAGAGGTTGTAAACCAAAGATAAAATTCTAAGGGCCCCCTACCATCTAAATAAACCCCTTCTCTCAGCCAAGGGAATTCCAGAGTAAACCTGAAAAACTGGTTTGGGCCATGATAGAAGACAGGGTCGAACATGCCTCATTGCACTCCTCCAGTGTTAACATCAATATAGACCTAAAGTCTAATGAGAAACATTTACAATCTATTCTCTATGAAGGCTGTTACTCCTGGAAGGCTTCCCTCATCCTTTGAGTTGTTCTACCCTTCTAGATCAACCCAGTGTAAATATGTAAATCTTACATGTATTGATTGATATATTATGTCTCCCTAAAATGTACAAAAGCAAGCTGTACCCCGCCAAACTTGGGCACATATCATCAGAACCTCCTGAGGCTTGTCGCGGGCATGTCCTTAACCTTGACAAAATAAACTTTCCAAATTGATTGAGACTTATCTCGGATATTTTGGGTTCACAAGGTTAAAAAAAAAAAAAACTACAACAAAGTACAGATTCAATAAGTTTTATATTAGCTCACGATTCATTTTAAATAAATCTTAATGAATGGATATTGTTTTAGTGATGTGAGTTACTGGAAAAGACTGGGTCACTTGGAGTTGGCACTTTCTAGCAGCAGTCACTATGGAAAGAACTGGACTCACATTCCCAACCATCCATTCCCATGAGTCCTGGCAGTCCTTGTCTGAGCTGTGAGGCACTGCCTCTGATGGCCTGCTTTCCTTGATTCTACTCAAGTACAATGTTTATTAACTTTCCGCTTCTTATTGGTAACTATTATGGAGTTTAAGACTTTCTGCCATGAATTATTCTCAATATTATAAAAGTCCAGAAAGCATACTAGGTAGGAGTAATGGAGAAGGTGTGGTGGAAGAATCCACCAGCACTACCAACATTATCATTCACTCTGTTATGCTCAAATGTTACCTGTCTCACTTTCAAAATAGGAATTCTGTCTGTGTTCGATGGTTTAAAACTGAAAGTGACTTAAAATTGATCTTCAAGTATGTTAAGAACTGTCAGGCAGAAATATTTTACCTCTTTCCTGAACTGGAGAGTGATTACCCTGCAGCATGGGTGCTTTGGTGAGACACACAGTGCAAAGTCTATTAGACGTTTTTTTTTCCTTTATCCGTTCTGCCAGATCATTCAATAATTCCTGTTAGTTTGGGTTCCAAGTTTTTTGACTGGTTGTCAATGTGTTCCAATCTGTTTAGTTTTTTGTACCATTTTAAAATCTCTGAAAAGAGAAGAAGTAACTTAGGGTAGAGGGAGGGCTAGAGAAGAATGTAGACCCACGGGAGGACAGAAGGTTGAGACATAATTAAGCTGAGGTCTAGTCACAAAGGTATTTCTCAGCATCGTGAAAAATCTAAGGACAAGTCAATGGAAGGACTATGGAGGAAACACAAATATGAAATCAGTCAAGAAGAAGGAACACCGGTTTTTACATTCATATTATTCATTAAATAGATCTCAGTACCTTTCATATGTTGGTTATTAGGAAGCTTTTATTGATCGTGCTTCTTTTGTATCCCTGTGTTTGAGTGTTAATCTGATATATTCCCAGTGCCTTGGATATTCAAGATTTCATAGGGGCACCAAAAGATTGCCCAAAATAAGAAAAAGCAAACACACTATAAAATACAACACTCAAAATGCAGGTGAATATACTTTGCCTTCCTGCAGTGCTAAGTTAAGCCACAAGGAAGTATTTTAGAGCAGCATATTTATAACTTAATTTACTATTTTAAAAGCTCTTTCAATTTGTTCCTTAAAGGAAATACAATTGTAGAATTATTTATATTTCTTTTTACATTTTTTCTTCAATTTAGATGACTGCTAATTAGGTATTTTTCTTTTCAGTATAGCAGAACCTAGCCAACAACATTGTATATGGAAATATACGTGAATACATAAGAGCTGAGGGTTTCTGTTAAATATTCATAGATTTTTATATGAGAAATCCAGTTTCAATATTTGGGTAAGTATTTTAGTTTAGGAAATTCATTTTTATAATAGCTGATTAAGACTTTTTTGTTATTGTTTTCGTTTATAGGTGATTTAAAGTTTGTAGAGAAAAAAAAATATCTTCTTCCTTTCTAGGTTCTCAGCTAGGGCAGGTATAACAAAAAGACATATTAACAGGAGAAAAAAAAGAGAAGCTTGTTTACATTATATCATATATATATATATATATAATCTTCAACTAAAAGCAAAGAGAAAGGGTGTGGGGAGGCCAGTTAAGGGCAGGTGACCAGGAAAAGTAAGGCACACAAGAGTAAGTTTGGTTAGGCACACTTAAGTTGCTGCTTTTTCCATCGATAAGCCTCTTGCGAATTATAGTCATTCTTATCTTTCTGGTAGAGAGAAAGACACTATGACAAAAGAAGATTTATTTTATAAATGTAAACTTATTTTACAAAGTGTTATTTATGCTGTTTTCAGAGCTTCTCTTAAGTCTGCTGTTTCTCAAAATAATCAGCTCAAAATAATCTATATCCCAAAAAGGCATAGTTGGGGTGGCATATTCTGGTCTCCCACAAGTTCCAGCAAAAGAAAGCACTGTCTAAATGCCAGGTGGAAGGATAGAAAGAGAAGACTAGCCTTTATTTTGTTACCTCAGTAAATATATGTACTTACTCTACTCTGATCAGTTTCACTGACTGAGATGAACTGTAATCCATTTCAAGGATGGGAGAGCAGGTTGCAAACATCGTTTTGTTCAAAGAGACCAAACAACTAGAGGAGACAAAATGTTCTCCACAATGTTTCCCCTTCCATTCAAACCTGTCTGGTTTCTGAGAGAGGCAACCAGCTGAATATAAAGACTTCCCTGTAATCCATTTCCATATATATATTTTTTTATTTTTTATTTTTTATTTTTTTTGAGACAGGGTTTTGCTCTTGTCGCCCAGGCTAGAGTGCAGTGGCATGAATACGCCTCACTGCAGCCTCAACCTCCCAGAGTATGATGATCCTCCCAACTCAATCTCCCAAGTTGCTGGGACTACAGGCACATGCTGCCATGCCCAGCTAACTTTTTATGTTTTGTAGAGATGAGGTCTTGACATGTTGCCTAAGTTGATCTCAAACTCCTGGGCTTAAGCAATTCTCCTACCTCGGACTCCCAAAGTGTGAGATTATGACACAGGTTTGTTTCTCAGTCACTTTGAAAACTGGAGACCTCTGGCTGGCAAAGCCCTGCCTGGGCCTCACTCAGCCATGCTGTCTGCTGCAGGAGATGCCCTGCCCACTCAGCCCACCCAGGCCACGTCTGGCTTGCACATCAGATCCTGAAGTCTTGTCCTGTGCCCAAGAAGAATGAGGATCCGGTGACAAATGAAGAGTGAGCAAGGTCAGGAGTTTTATTGAGTGATGAAAACAGCTTTCAATGGAGAGGGGATGCAAAGGCAGGAAAATATCCTCAATGTGGCTGAGTTTGGGGCTTTTATGGAATCAGAATAGGGGAGGGACAGGCCATAAATAGTATTGGAAAAGGCAATATTCAATTGGTTAAAAGGCAATATTCAGAAAGAATTAATCAGGAAAGGGCAGGCAAATAAGAACAGAAGTTCTCACTCTGGGTCATGGGTTTCATCTGGGACCAGCAGTCAGGTCTTTCAGCCTTCAGGCTGTCTTTTTTGGCTTGAATGTGGGGTTTCACCAGGGAACCTCCCCTATCTGCCTAGGCATTTGGCTGCTTCTTGTCACTATCAATTACAGGTGTGAGTCACTGTGCACGCCAATTTCCATATTTTAAAACTCACATTGCTTTGATACAAGGTACAATGCTCTCTCATACCATCTCATAGCCCACTCTAAGTTTCTCATAACTTCTATTTCCTCCTGATAGCTTCTGTTCAATAGAGTTTGAAAGTACCTGGTCTGCCTATTCTGCAAAAGCACGTTTTGTGTTCCCTTTTTTTTTTTTTTTTTTTTCTGTCATGCTCTATCAATCAGGCTAGAGTACAGTGGGGTGAACAAGTCGCACTGTCTTTACCTCCTGGGCTCAAACAATTCTCCCACCTTGGTCTCCTGAGTAGCTGGGACCACAGTTATGCTCTACCATGCCTGGCTAATTTTTAAAATTATTTGTAGAGGTGGCTGGGGAGGTGAGGAGGACTCCTGTGTTGCTCAGGCTGGTCTTGAACTCCTGGGTCAAGCAAACCTCCTGTCTCAGTATCCAAAATTGCTGGGATTCAGACATGAACTACCATGCCCAGCACCTTTTGTGTTCTTGAAGATCACTAGTGTATTACCAGTCATAACATTAAACTCACAGCAAATTAACATTACCGAGAGCAATAAAGATAACATTTTCAAGTCAGAAAAAAAGTGACATTCAAAATACATAAGAATTTGGAAAGAAAAAATAAGAACTTTTCATGTATGGAGAAGATAAATTTGTATAAAAATAAATTATTTTTCTTTATAAAACATTCTACTTTGCCCCCAAAATTTTATACTTACATATCAGAAATATTAATAATCAATTTACTTGTTATTCTCAATATACCCATTTCTTGCAGCAAATTTTCACTCAGAGAAAATGTGTTGTTTATAGAAATTAACCAACTTACTAAATATTTTCCTGCACATAGATAAAATTTATATGCTTTTGCCCCCTATTTAAGTTTTCTTAAGGCATTATTTTTAATAGATGTTTATATTTTACATAGAATAACCTCCAGCTTTTAATATCATGAGAGGGAGCAAAATGAAGTTTAAAAACTTAGCTCTTTGGCCAGAGTGTAACAGCCTGATGGGCTCGTTTTCCCCAATGTCCAGAAAAGTCAATGCACTGAGATCATCAGGTTTTGTTGGAAAGAAACTGTTTAAAACTTTCAGTGGCAGCCAAGCAGAAGGATGGGAGACATTTCTCAAATCCACCTCTCTGAGAGCTCGGGGGCCAGGGTTTTTAAGAATATTTTGGAAGGAAGAGATCTAAGCAATGGGTGCTATTGATTGGTTGGAGATGAAATCACAGGCGTGTTCAAACTATCTTCATGCACTGATTCAGGTTCTGGGTTGTGGATCACCAGCTGAGTCAGCTCTTTTATAAGAGCCATGGTTTCTGGTGACATCAGTTGGTTGCCAGAATGCACAAGTCTCAAAAATATGTCAAAGTCCAATCTTAGGTTTTGACAATAGAGAGTTTATCTATAGGAGCAATTGGGGAAGCTATACATCCTGTGACTTCTGGCTACGTGACTTTTGAACAGTAAGGGATTATAGAAAAGCAAGCTAGGGAATAATGGCTGAGGGTCATTTAACTTACATTTTAGCAAAATTCAGTCCCCTCCCATAATCTCAACCTTGTGTTTTTTTATTAGTCTCACAGAGGCTTTTTCAATACCCAAGCAAAGAAGAAGTTAATTTGCGGAAGGACTGTTATCACCTTTGCTTTAAAGTTAACAAAGGCAATTAGCTTGTGAGGTAAGAAACGAGATGGAGTCAACTATGTTGGATTTCTCTTACTGTCATAATTTCTGTAAAGGTGGTTTCAGAGTGCCTGGATTCAAATCACAGGTCCATAACTTTCCATCTATGTGACCTTGGGCAACTTACTTCATGTTTCTAGGCTACAGTTCTATATGTAAAATTGCGATAATAGCACATGTCAAAAATTCCTAATAAAAAAATCTAAAATATGAAATGCTTCAAAACCTGAAACGTTTTGAGTGCTCACATAATTCTACAAGTGGAAAATTTTACACTTGACCTCATGTGATCAATTACAATCTAAACACAGTCAAAATTTGATGTACAAATTTATTTAAAATAGTCTATAAATTAACTTCAGACTCTGTGTATAAGGTATATGTAAAACATAAATGAATTTTGTCTTAGATATTGGTCCCATCCCCAAGATAGTATTATGTATTTGCAAATATTCCAAAATCTGAAAAATGTGCACATTCTGAAACTTTTCTGGCTCTAAGCATTTTGGACAAATAATACTTCACCTATGATTACTATTTTGATTAAATATGTTCATGCATGTTGGAAGAAAAATATTTGCCCTCTATTTTCCTAGTTTCTCTGAGGCCCTGCAAATTAAGCTGATAAAAGACAGATTAACAGCAGAAAAACCAACAGAAGTTTATTAACATTAGCAGCCCACATGCACATGGGAGAAACTCACGGATGAGTAACTCAGAGAGATGGTTAGAGCTTGGGCTTGTATAGCATCTTAAAAAGGGACAATAAATTTGTAGAAAAGTGAAAAGACAAAGGAAAAACATTAAGCTTTTAGAAGTGGAAAACTGTGGTAAGGTAAATATATAAGGGAAATTAATGGAATATAAGGGTTATCTTAGTAGGGCTTGTTTGTGCAGGTCCATCACAGGGCCATCTCATGTCTGGTGATAAGACTATCCCCTTCCTGGATGGGTATGGGAAGTTGAGGGGGAAAATCACCTCCATAAGGGGAATGAAATATATATTCTGTTTTCAGGTAGACAAAGGTGAGCAGAAAGCTCACCCTGTTTCTGCTATTTCTTAATTGCCTTCAGCTCAAAATAATCTGTATGCTAGAGTGGCATATTTTGGGATGACATACTTTGAACACCTCCATGTACATAAAGAGGTTAGAACAGTGTCTGGCTTATTATAATCATTCAATAAATGTTGACTACAACAACTATTGTTTTATGTTTATTTTTATTCATTTTTTAGGATAGAGCCTTGCTTTGTTGCCCAGACTAGAGTACAGTGGCATGATCACAGCTCACTGCAGCCTCAACCTCCTATGCTCAAGCATAGCAATCCTCCCACCTCGGTCTCTCAATGTACTGGGATTATAGGCAAGAGGCACTATGCTCAGCCTATTGTTTTATATATACATATTTTAAAAAGCAGTTGGTAACTGGGTGCAATGGCTCACACCTGTAATCCCAGCACTTTGGGAGGCTGAAGCAGGAGGACCACTTGTGCCCAGGATTCAAGGCTACAGTTAGCTATGATCATGCCACTGTATAACAAACTAGGTGACAGAGCAAGACCCTCTCTCAAAACAAAAAATAAAGAATAAAAATTAAAAATCATTTCTGAATGGCAAGTCTGCATGTGACCTCTAACAATATTTAATATAAAATGATAAAACTGGAGAAATGGTGTATAACACAAAAAATCTGCTCTTTAAACAGGCTGAAATTATACCCTGGGAGTCAGAATTCATAACACATTATCAAGATATAATGATATTTCTAGATCTTCAAACTGGGCAGTGATAATTTATTTTTTTCCCCCACTTCACCTTGAACTGATTTTCTTTCCCCCACTTTGGGTAATTTTGTCCAATTTTTTATCCAAGGACAGTTTTGACCTAATTCCCAGAGTGGTATGGAAGAGTCATGTAGGCTGGAAATTGATATTGACAATCTGCCCAAATGATTACTGTAAATCCAAAGGAGCAACTAATTTTCAATTTCTCAAACCTCCAAATACTAGCTGGCTGAGGCTTATCAAATAAAAAAGAAACAAAAAGAAAAAAAAAAAAGGAAGAAGGAAAAACATAGAAAAAGCCTTGATTAGTTAACAACCAAATAGCGCAACCTTGGGAGACTAAAAGTATGTATTACTTGATGAGAGCTTCCCTTTGTTAGTTAAACTTATTGGGTCTTCTTTAAAAGGGAAACTACACAAGATTGAAATAGAACATATGAATGATAACCATAGGGAATGGGGGTGAATGCTTTTTACATTTTTACACAAACTGCAAAACAATGAGACTCATACATGCTCAGCCATGGCATGAGATACCTTCCCTACAGATGTGAAGTAATTAGATATGCTAGAAACATGTCTTTGAATTTTCAAGTTGTAAATAATCTAGATTACATAAGAAAACCTCTTTATTTTACACAGGAGGAAATTGAGGCCTTTTAAAAGAATGCCACTGCAATTGTGGGGAGAATCTAGGTCTCCACAATCTAACTCACTTCTCAGTCCCTTCCTGTTAGGTAAGCAAATTATATGCACTTTCTTCCCTATATGAGTTTTGCAAGTGGGCACTCCTTAACTCGTTGTTGTCAGCTCTATTAAGCTGGGCTAACTTCCTAGGGCTAAACGTATAACCATTTTTCATTTCTTGGCAATCTGTTCTATTAAATTTGCATATTCAAATGTGCAGCATTTATGTCTGATCTCCAAAGGAAAACTCACTAAATTCCTGGTAGGATTATTGTCTCTCTTTGGCTAGGGACAAAGATTTGAATAACAGCTGAGAGAGAAAGCAGAAGTTAGGCAGTGCTTTCATAAATGAAATTAGCAAATTTCTACAATTTAAAGGTTCTATTTGTAATTCTAAAAACCTTTTCTCTTTCTCCTTGCTTAGCTTCAGGCTTGAATAAAAGTGTTGGGGGGAAATGTTTTCTTTTCTTCCTCTTAATGGGTAAGAGATAACTAAATGCTGAATTTACAAAATACTTTGCTGGTTCTGGATTGTATGCATACGCACAAGATGAATATCATGGCTGGGATCTTAACTGAGTAATATCTGCAAAGTCACTTTGCTGTATATGTAAAAAATTACATTGTTTAACTTGACAGTCTTCTCAAATGATATCCACAAGTATTTAGCATTAAAAAGCTCAGTTTAGCATTTGAATTGCTAATGTTGACTTTTCAATTCAAGGTTCTACAATTCAAAACAGGCTTGAAAAGGAAAAACTAAAAAGAATAAGGGGAACAGTAGCTTTGGTTCCCACTTGGTTAAGTTGCTTGCAGGCAACCTTGGTTAAGTTGCTTGCAGGCAACCTAAGGGATCCTCACTCTGTGTGACTTCCAATTGCCTTCCATTCAACCATGCTCAGGGGTGGAACAGCCTAAAGAAAATATTAATGTTACTGTTATCTGAGCTGAAAACACACACACACACACACACACACACACACACACACACACACACACACACTACACTAAGCAAAATCTCAACAATCCTCTTAAAATACAGTTTTAAGAAAAGAGAAAAACTGTCAGAGACATTTGAATCAATGCAACTCCATCTTAAATAGGAGCTTGGTAAAATGAGGCTGAGATCTACTGGGCTGCATTCCCAGAGGGTTAAGGCATTCTAAGTCACAGGATGAGACAGGAGGTTCGCACAAGATACAGGTCATAAAGACCTTGCTGATAAAACAGGTTGCAGTAATGAAGCCAGCTAAAACCCACCAAAACCAAGAAGGCCACAAGAGTGACCTCTGGTCATCCTCACTGCTACACTCCCACCAGCACCATGACAGTTTACAAATGCCATAGTAACATCAAGAAGTTTCCCTATATGAAAAATGGGGAACCAGCAGCCCTCAGGACTGCTCTATGGAGTAGCCATTCTTTTACTTTCCTAATAAACTTGCTTTCACTTTACGAACTCACCCTAAATTCTTTCTTGTGTGAGATCCAAGAACCCTCTCTTGGGGTCTGGATCAGGAATCATTTCCTGTAACAAAAATATTCACTGTTATCATCAACTTTGATTCTCTTCTTCCCTTTCTTTCTTCCATACCCCATGTTAGAGGTGTTACTTCTGGACTTATGAAGAGTTGTGTATAAAATTTTTTGAAAATTTTTTAGTGTTCTATTTTTATTTTCTATTTCTTTCTAGATTGATTTCCCTCTTTCTGTGGACATTCCTCTAATGTTCAAATATCTAGGATCTTCCATCCTAGATATTTTTTTTTTGAGAAAAAGTTCTTGCTTTAAGTTTATTGTCCATCTCTCTAAAAATAGTCATGTCACTTTGAAGTTCACACACAAAACCACATGGTTGACAAGAAATGCATGCCAGTTTCTGGAAAGAAATATAGTTATAATTAAGTATTAAGCAAGCCCCTTCTTTGTTGCTAATGGTCACATAGCAGTAGATACTGATCATTTGTATTTCCATTGTTTCTATAGATAGGATTTCTGACATTAAGATTATAAAACTGTTTAAGAATTGTTTTGCATTCCCAATGTTCCCATAGAAATAGTCTCTGACACTGGAATTATAAGACTTTTATTCACAGATCACTTACGATTTTCTTCAGACCCCAAATTCAGCAACCAGTTTGAATACCCTCACAGAGGAAGAGGATCAGCATGAAAATACAGTTTTTTTCATCTCCCTGTCCCATGACTTCATCCTGCACTCTTCAACCAATGACCTCCACACTTAGGCCAACTCCAAAACCATTAAAACCCTATCCCCAAATTCCTCTGGGAGATGGATTTGAGGTTTTCTCCCATCTCCTCCTTCAGTGACTGTATGATTAAACCTCTTTCTCTACTGCAACCCCCATCTCTATGTATTAACTTGCTGTGTGTATTGGGTAACAAACTTATTAGTTACATCATCACCAAATTGTTTATTGAAAATCACTCCAGAAACTCTGTAGCTAATTGCAATGAAAACTAAAAATGTTTATCAGTGATTAGTCAGTCTTGAAAAATGATGGATAGCAAAATCCATATTTATTATACAGTAATACATTTCTCTATTATACAGTAGGGAAAACAGGCCAAATACAAACCTTACTTGTAATCCTTTATCTGTGTTAAAAATCGATTTTCAAAAAAAGTAAAATCACAACTCTAGTGGAGCAAAAAATGGCTTCCTTCCACCCTCCTTGGTTCCTTGGCTGGGTTATGAATTCAATTGTCATAAGACATATTAACAGGAAAAAAAATTATATTTAATTATGTATCTATGCACACATAAAATTCTCACAAAATATGAGAGTTGAGGAGGGGTCAGATGATTGAAGTTTATGTAGCATCCTGAGCTACAGCAAACAGGAGGGGTTTGGAGCTTCTGAGGGTTGGTGGCCACACAAGTTATGGGAAGTGAAAGGAGAAATTGTATGGTGAATAACAGTTAACTTGTTATGCAGATAAAGCCTCTCAGGTAATAAATGTTTTGGAGCAGCCTTCTTTTTGAGACAGATACTTTACCAATGTAGATGTTCTTTATAGAAGTAAATTTCTTTTACAAATAGCTTTTCAGAGCTACTCCTATGTCTGCAAGTTTCTTAGAATAACCAGCTCAAAATATGCCAAACAAGTATATTTTAGGGTGACATATTCTGGTCTCCTAGTCATATTTCAGGGTGGTGTGTCCTGAGCAAAACATGACTCTCATATAAATATAAAATGTCTATAAAATGTTTTAGTAAATTAATTGATGAAAGTACCAGTCATGGTGTTGTTGGGGGTCAGAAAAATATAAGAATCTTGAGAATATTCTGGGAAAAGTATACCTTAAAAGTTAAAAAAATGTGTACTGTCTTACACACAGTGAGTAAATCACTTCATTCAACCTTGTATCAATGTAAGGTGTTGTAGTTTTTAAGACAGATTTAAAAGATTTTCTAATGTGTGTACACTGGAGTATGTTACTTTAGCAAGCTGAGGACTTTTAATTAATATAAATTGGAAGTCATTAGAAGCTGCTTCAGAGCCAGTAATTTTCTAAACTTCTCATGTTTCTCCCTGCCTCCAAGGGAGAAAGGGGGCTGTCTCTAGAATTTTATCTAACTAACTGAGGAGACATCTTTCAAAGGAAATGGAATTGTCTTAAACCTCCTTCCTAGGAATCTTATTAAATTACCAGGAAAGAGGCTGGGCGCGGTAGCTCACACTTGTAATCCCAGCACTTCGGGAGGCTGAGGTGGGTGGATCATGAGGTCAGGAGATCGAGACCATCCTGAACAACATGGTGAAACATCGTCTCTACTGAAAATACAAAAAAATTAGCTGGGTGTGGTGGCATGTGCCTGTAACACCAGCTACTCGGGAGGCTGAGGCAGGAGAATTGCTTGAATCTGGAAGTGGGAGGTTGCAGTGAATCGTGATCTCTCCACTGAACTCCCGCCTGGCGGCAGACCAAGACTCCATCCCAAAAATTAAAATAAAATAAATAAATAAATAAATAAATTGCCAGGAAAGATTAACTACCAGAAAAGAGGAGATTAAAGTTGTCGCCACACCCAGACAGACTTTTTATCTATTCTTCAGATGGCAGCTAAGAAGAATTACCTAAGATAACTTATCTGAATAATAAGACAACTTTCGCTTGCAATGCAGTTTTATCCTTCATCTTTCCATAAATTTTTGGCCTCATTCAGTTTCTAAACACATTCATTTACAAACTATTGTATGCCCCTTGGACCCATCAAACTGTCCTAAAAATTATTTACTAGCCCTAAAATTGGCCTACATACCCCCATCTTCCCCAACTCTATGAAAAGGAGGCTATTTAAGCTTCAGCCATCTGTTCCTTCGAGTCTCATATTTTGTATGACTCCTGTGCCTATGCACATTAAGAAATTTGCATGCCTTTTCTCCTGTTAATCTGTCTAATATCAGTTGATTTCAGCAGGCTAAAACTTTCAAAGGGAAATTCTCTTTGCCCCTAAAGTGTTAAAACTAAGTTAAAGAAACATCTGAAGAATAATTATACATAGATAATCAGGAATATTAAACAAAATTTTAAATAAATGTAAGACTGCTTATTGTCTTTTTTGTCAGAAGTAACAAAGACTCCTTGACTAACCTTTAGTCGGGGCCTTCTAATTTCTCTTCTCAACTAGGCTCTTAGTTGTTGCGCCTGTATCACCCAGTTTTAACAAGAATTCAAAGTCAGTTTAGAGGGAACCTCAGACCCTTGATATCTGATCATCCTAGCCAGCCTTCAACGAGAATTCTGTCAAATCTGCTTAGCCAGAATCCCACCTTACCTTTGATATTTCCTCTTAATAATATTGTTATCCACTGACCTCTACCCTACTTCTTGGCTAAAAATCTTCACTTGTCCATGATGCATTAGCAATTGAGTCCAGCTCTATGCTGAAGTCTCTTTCCTCTATTGTGATTGTTCCTGAATAAAATGTTTTGAATGTTTTATTATCCAGACCAGGTTTTCTTTGACAGAATTGAAAATCAATTGTGTTTCCCTCGGAAAAAAAATTATTTGCATTGTTATCAGTTCTGTACATTTTGCGGAATTATAAGATTAGTCAAAGATGATGAAAGTGGCAGACACCTATAGATACTAACAACCTTGAAAGGTTTGCTAGACTATTCCCTTCATTTCATTGAAAGGATATCTAGAAATTATTATGTGTATTTCAAATTATTTCCCATTTTACCTTTATATCAGATATTGAAATATCTGCCATAGTGAAAGCTTGGTAGTCATCTCTCCTTCTCACTACCATATGGTAGCTATTTCTTTCAAAGGCTCTGCTTCTCTTTTTCACCCTATTTGTTACTTCTAAAATTCATCTGAGAGACTGTAACACTTTACATTACAACAAGGTTGAATCAAGTAAATTATTCACCTTATGTGAAGGCATTAGCACATTTTGTTATTCTTTTAAGGCCCATTTTTCTGAGAATACTCTCAGGATTCTTACATTTTTTAGGCATTACTTCTTACCAAAGAAATAAAAGAAAAAAATCACAATTATTAATAAAAAATAATTACTATCTGTGGCAGGCAGGATAATAGTTCCCAAGATGTCCATTCTTAATCCCTCAAAACTGGAAATATGTTGGCTAAATGACATTTATGATCACAGACGGAATTAAGGTTGCTTATCAGCTGACTTTAAAATACTAAGCTTATCCTGGACTATCCATGTGAATCCAATGCAATCACAAGAGTTCTTAAAAATGGAAGACAGAAGCAGAAAAAGTGAGTCAGTTTGAGATGTGACTATAAGACAATGGCCAGAGAGATTCAATGTTACTAAATTTAAAGATGGAGGGAGAAGCCATGTCCAAAGTAATATGGGCAGCTCTAGAAAAGGCAAGAGAAGAAATTATTCCCTAAAACTTTAGAATAAAATGCAGCCTTATTGACAACTTAATTTTTTCCCAATGTGATCCACATAGGATATCAAAACTAAGATAACATATTTGAATTTTTCAGCTGCTAATATTTTGGAAATCTATTATATTGCTACAACCTGATGGTTTTTTTTTCTTTTCTTTTTGCCCACTGCATGAAAAAAGCCAATACACTGAGAGAGCAGAGTTACAGTAGAGAAATATATTAACTATTGCAAGGCAGCCAAACGAAAGGATGGGAAACATTTCTCAAAGCCACCTATGTAAAAGCTCAGAGCCTGAGGGTTTTTTTTTTTTTTTTTGAGATAGAGTCTTGCTCTGTCACCCAGGGTGGAGTGCAATGGTGAAATCTTGGCTCACTGCAACCTCCACCTCCTGGGTTCAAGCAGTTCTCCTGCCTCAGCCTTCCGAGTAGTTGGGATTACAGGTGCCCACCACCAAGCCTGGCTAATTTTTGTATTTTTAGTAGAGTCAGGGTTTTGCCATGTTGTTCAGGCTGGTCTCGAACTCCTGACCTCAGGTGATCCACCCGCCTTGGCTTCTCAAAGTGCTGGGATTACAGGTGTAAGCCACTGCACTCGAGCTGCCTAAAGTTTATTTTAAGGATAATTTGGTGGGCAAGTGCTAGGGAATGGGTGCTACTGATTGGTTGAGGATGAAATCATAGAAGTTTCCAAACTGTCTTCATTCACTGAGCTAATTTCTGGGCTGAAGTCTCAGGATCAGTAGTCAGCTTCTTGGTATGAGCCACAGGTTCTGCTGATATTAGCTAGTCCACCCAAATGCAAAAGTCTGAAAAATATCTCAAAGACCAATTTTAGGTTTTGACAATAATGATGACATCTATAGGAGAAATTGGTGAGTTTACAAATATTGACCTCTCGCTATAAGACTCTTAATAAGTAAGGGATTATAGAAAGGAAAGTTAGGAAACAGTGGCTGATTATTATTTAACTATGCCTACACTTTAGCCAAATTCAGGTCCTTGCCATAATCCTAAACTTGTGGTCTTTCATTAGTTTCACAAAGGCAATTTTGGTCCCAGAGCAAATAATACATTAGTTTGGGGAAGGGACTGTTATTATCTTAGTTTAAAAGTTAACAAAGGCAATTAGTTTGTGAGGTTAGAAGCAAGAAGGAGCCAGTTAGGTAAAATTTCTCTCACTGTTATAATTTTTTTTTTCTTTTTTGAGACAGAGTCTCCCTCTGTCACCCAGGCTGGAGTGCAATGGTGCAATCTCAGCTCACTGAAGCATCTGCCACCTGGGTTCAAGTGATTCTTGTGTCTCAGCCTCCTGAGTAGCTGGAATTACAGGCATATGCCACCATGATTGGCTAATTTTTGTATTTTTTGGTACAGACAGGGTTTCACCATATTGGCCACACTGGTCTCAAACTACTGGCCTTAAGTGACCTGCCTGCCTCAGCCTTTCAAAGTGCTGTATTACAGGTGTGAGCCATCATGCTTGGCCTTCACTGTTATAATTTTTGCAAAGGCAGTTTCAATATCAGTAACAGGAAAATAATATAGTATTCCACAGTTAGATAATCAAGCAATGGTAGCTAGAGATGATACACCCTCAGAATAATGCATCTAGTTTAAAAAAAGATAGCAAGAGTTATTAAGTTCCGTTATGATCTGTGTTCTCCAACTTGTCTAAAAGTATAAAATGTGAGAAAGAATCCAATAGCACTTGATGGACACTCAGGAGTATAATAATGTTTGAAAAGGTAAAATTATGTTCTTTTAGAGAAAACAGAATGAGCACAGTATCCAAGATATTATTTTAATCACTAATTAATATGGGAACAAGGAAGACTTGATATCCTGCTAGAATAACACCTGTTAATCCATGATATTTAGAGGCAAATTAGCAAATAAATGTTAGAATAATGTTGCTGAGTTAGATATAACCTGGTTAGTTTCCAATAAGCCATTAGTGATTTGGATCATCTCATCTACCAAAATGAAATTAATGCATCTCTTTCAAACAAAATTCTGCAATTTAACAAGTCACTTTACTAAATCTAGAATATTCAGTAAAGACTAAATAATATGATAAAGTATACTGTCCCTCTGACAGTCCTTTGGGGGTGCCTTTGCATCTGCATAAAAAAATGCCACAACAACTTTTGCTTTATTTCCAAGTTTAAGTTAATTGTTTCTAACAGGGGCAATAAAACATATTGTCAGTTGGAAAACATGGAATATCAGATAGCTATATTAAACTCAGGAATTAAAATAGAAAAAATAGAAACATAATAATCAAAAATATAGTAAATAGGAAAAAAATAGTCCTTTATGTAGTCACATAGCATAAGAAAAGGAAAAGATCTATTCTAAAAATGGAAAGAAAAGTTTAATGGCAAAAATATTTTTATTCTTAAAATAATATTTTATAATTTGTTCTATGTTTTCAAACATACAAAAAAACAGAATCTTTGGACAATGGTATAGTTAAGATAAAAACACACACGATATTCCCTTATCCATTTTTAATACATCGGGATATTGATAAAATATTTTAAATAGCTATAAAATATGCACAGTAAGTCTTGAAAGTAAAAATAGAAACAGCAGTGTCCCAAGGACAAAGAAGAATCCCATAGTGTTTAGTATAAATTGAAGTTAAACTGCCTACAGAGAAAGTGAAAATAAATGTCAGCCTTCAGGACTAGGGATTGTATGTTTTTGTGGGGATGATAGTCAACGTCACAGAGGTACTACATGGAAAAACTCTTTGCAAATTAATAAAGGAGCTGAAAATGTACTTCCTCTCTGTAAATTAGAAACTCATGATTCCTGCTTATCAGCCCAGAGACACAGTTTGAATAAAAATGTACACACCATGCCATAGATGAAAACCAAATCAATAATTGAAGAGTAGAATTCCAAGTCACAATTATATTTGTCTTGGAGGTGGGATGGCTGGTAGGGCTGAAACATAAACTGTAAACCTTAATACATTAATAAAAAAAATCCATGCTGAAATGGGTAAAACTTATAGTGTTCAGGCAGATGTAACTATGAGGTAGTAGTCTTACAGGAATATAGAAATGCCTCCTCAATCCAGAACAAACTTGGGTCTGTGGCCAATGATAATCTCTAATAGGACTAAGACTATAGAAAGAAACATAAAATTTGACAGACAGTAAAAGTCTATGAATAATGTAATGCCATTAACAGTTTATTAAACAGATAAATTCCCGTGGGACTAGAGACAATAGATCAATCTGAAAGGGACAATTATATACTTTTATTTAAAACATTCAAAGAAATAAAGTAGGAAAGGCAAACATAAAAATGTCAACAGATGTATAAAAATAATTACAGTGGAATCTTGGAAATGAGATTGGACCAAATGGACCAAACAGACATTTACACAACTCTCCACTCCAAAACAACAATATACACTTTTCTCATCTGCACATGGCCTATTCTCTAAAATCAACCATATATTTAGCCATAAAATAATCTTCAGCAAATTCGAAAACCTAAATTTGTACCAAACACACTCTTGGACCACAGCACAATAAAATTGAAATCAGTACTAGGAAAATAACTCACAACTATATAATTACATATAAATTAACCTCCTCCTGAATGACTTCCAGGTAAACAATGCAATTAAGGCAGGAATCAAGAAATTATTTTAAACTAATAAGAATAAAGATAGAACATACGAGAGTCTCTGGGACAGAGTTAAAGCAGTATTATGAGGAAAATTTATAGCACTAATTACCCACATCAAAAAGTTAGAAGTATCTCAAATTAACAACCTAACATCACACCTAGAGAAACTAGAGAAACAAGAATACACCAACCCTGAAGCTAGCGAAAGACAAGAAATAACCAAAATCAGGGCTGAACTGAAGGAAATTGAGACACAAAATAACATGGAAAATATCAATGAGTTCAGGAGTTGGTTTTTTGAAACAAGAAATAAGATTGATAGACCACTATCTATACTAACAAAAAAGAGAGAAGAATCAAATAAACACAATCTGAAATGATAAAGGGAACATTACTACAGATCTCACAGAAATACAAAAAACCTTCACAGACTACTATGAACACTTTTATTTATATAAACTAGGAAATCTAGAAGAAATGGATAAATTCCTGGAAACATACAACCTTCCAAGATTGAACCAGGAAGACACTGAATCCTTGAACAGACCAATAACAAGCTCCAAAATTGAATCAGTAATAAAATGTCTAGCAACCAGAAAAAGCCCAGGAACGATAGATTCACAGTGGAATTCTGCCAGATGCATAAAGAAGAGCTGGTACCATTCTTACTGAAGCTATTCCAGAAAAAAAATGCAGGTGGAGGAAGTCTTCCAACTCCTTCTATGAGGCTAGCATCATCCTGATATCAAACCTGGCAGAGACACAACAATGAAAGGAAACCTCAGGCCAATATCCTTGATGAACAGATATACAAAAATCCTCAACAAAATACTAGCAAACTGAATTCAGCAGCACATCAAAAAGCTAATCTACCATGATCAAGCAGGCTTTATTCCTGGAATGTAAGTTTGGTTCAACATGTACAAATCAATAAATGCTATTCACCATATAAACATAACTAAAAACAAAAATCACATGATCATATCAATAGATAAAGAAAAGGCTTTCAATAAAATTAAACTTCTTTCATGTTAAAAACCATCAACAAACTAGGCATTGAAAAAGCATACTTCAAAATAATGAGAGTCATCTATGACAAACCCACACCAACATCATACTGCATGGGGAACAGCTGGAAGCATTCCTTTTGGCAACTGAAACAAAGCAAGGATGCCCACTCTTACCACTTTCATTCAACATAGTAATGGAAGTCCTAGCCAGAGCAATCAGACAAGAGAAAGAAATGAAAAGCATCCAAATACAAAGAGAGGAAGTCTTTGCAGATCCGTTTGCAGATGATGTGATTCTATACCAAGAAAACCCCATAGTCTCTGCCCCAAAGCCTCCTGATCTGATAAGTAACTTCAGCAATGTTTTAGAATACAAAATTAATGTTCAATAATTAGTAGCATTTCTATAAACCAACAACATCCAAGCTGAAAGCCAAATCACAAACATAATCTCATTCACAATAGCCACAAAAAGAATAAAATAGTTCCTAACCAGGGAGGTGAAAGATCTCTAAAATGAGAATTAGACAACTCCACTCAAAAAAATCAGAGATGACACAAACCAGTGAGAAAACATTCTGTGCTCATTCATAGAAAGAATCAACATTGCTAAAATGTCCATACTACCCCAAGCAATTTACAGATTTAATGTAATTCCTATTTCCTTATGGCCACACTTCTTCCTCTTCCAGAAGATAGTTTATTTAATGAGACTATTTTGAAACATTCTCTATTTACTTTGAAACACTGCTTTTTAACCTGTAAAAATATAGTTATACATTGAAAGGAATTTGCAAAGAAATGTGTAGGGAGGTCCTGGGGACCCTTTCCCTCAGCCTCTTTCAGTATTAACATCTTATAGCAAAATACCTAAATCATGAAATAAGCATTGGTATAATTCACAGTGCTTATTTATATTTTACCAGTTATACATGAAATAATTTGTATGTTATTTGGTGTGTGTGTGTGTGTGTGTGTTTGTGTGCGTGTGTGTATGTGGCACCCATGTAGCAACCACTTTCCTTCTTCCCCTAGCCCTTGACAGCCGCTAATTTATTCTCTATATCTATAATTATTTCGTGAATGTTATATGAGTAGAATCAAACATTCAAACCCTTTGAAACTGGCTTTTTTTTCCCCTACTCAACCTAACTTCCTTGAGGCTCATTCAAGTTGTTGCACATATTTTTAACTTGCTCCTTTCCATTGCTGAGTAGTATTCCAGGGTATGAATTACCGCAGTTTGTTTAGAAACACGTGTCTTTTTAAATTATCATCATTCCTCCACATAACTTTTACTTAGGGCAGTGCTTTGAATCCAAAACCATTAAGCATGCAAGAAGTATTGGAAGATAAGAAAGAATTACTTGCCTACTGTGCTTTGGTGTGACCCTAAAGTAGCTATTATCTACAAAGTTTCAAATTACATAATTTTCCATCCTATATTTTAGAAAAGTGTGTTAATTTTAGAGCTGTGTATTCCAGAATATCTGATTTGATGTTGTTTGAATATAACAAAAATATCAAATTGATTGCTTTCTTCCTAGTTGATCAGCTAAATCCATTTGCTTGAATGACCAATCTAATTAAAGCCAAATAGTAAATATGATCTTTGCAGGTCATATGGTCTCTGTCATAACTACTCAACTAATCATTGCAGCGGGAAAGCAGTTATAGACAATGGCAAACAAATGTTCATAACCAGATTTGGCCTACGGGCCAAATAGTTATATATAGTTTGCTGACCCTGATATTAGACTATTGCATTGTGCACTGTTAACTGCAATAGAAAACAAAAAGTTATCTCACATAGTTTCCATATATTCTGACCTCCAGTCTAATGTCATAAATACAGAAATGTTTATGAAGTGAATAGGTATTGACTGTGATATTTGAGATATTATGTAAAATCTCATATCTTGTTACCATATTTACAATTTGTTTTTTATTTTTGCCTTTCATTATCTTATTATTTAATTGGGATGAAAAGCTATGACTCAATTAAAGAATAGTAAAAGGTCAAATGATAGTGCAGGTAACAAGGTTTATAAATATCCAAGGCAGGGAGAGGTCAGCTACAGTGAATAGACCAAGGGACACTGAAATGAAAACCATAGCTTTGAGCTGGTCCATGAAGGATAAATAACACCTGGAGTGGAAGAAAATATATAGCAGGCATTCTAGAAGAACTCTGGGTATAGCTGCGTATAAATATTGAAACAGTGCCCTGCACAAAGTTAGTGAACAAAATTGCGTGTTTTTGTTGTTATAGTATTAATACCATGAATATAATAATTATGGAAGAGTGCCATCCAGTGCATCTAGAGTTGTGTGTTTCACAGGATAGTTGCTACTCCTATAGAATATAAACCCATGCATTTGATTCTCATTTCTGGTTCCCAAAAGGTCTGCTGTTTATTGGTGGTCATGACTCACACTGGACACCAAGTTTCTACAATTTATAATATCCTGTTTAGCATAAGATCCTGAGAAGAAATCAGTGTAATTTTATTTGATTTAGCATTTAAACCTCATTATTAGTGATTTAATGATTTATTGTTAGCGTACCATCCAAATACCTGACCACAAAAATCACATTCTTTCAATTTATCTACTTATGTTTTATGCTTTATATTATCACCAATTCATAATCCCCATAGGTTTTTGTTGATTTTTTGCTCACCTTGCTTACTATCTCCAGGAGAAAAAGCAGCTTACTTCCTAACAGAAGAAGCCTGGACTAGAGACACAGGGAAATAATGATGGAATATTTTTCCTTTTGGTTTACCGCCCTATATTCCTGGTGCCTTGTTAGAGCTTAAAGAAAGTAAGGTCTTTCTCTTGTTCCAAGTATTCAGAGCCTGTATTAGCCCCTATAATCAGAACTATGCCTCTGTGTCTGTGGTGGGAGGGCAGTAAGGAACATAAAATTCTTTAGTGTGGCCCTTTAAGTTTCATTCTAGACATAGAAATAGAAGGGCTCAGTACTTTTTTTTCATAGTTCTGTGTTTGTCTCAAAACATTACTCTTCTCAGTATACAGTCATCCCTCCATATTGATAGGTTTCATATCCGTGGATTCAATCAACTGCGAATCAAAAATATTAGGGAATAAAAAAAGAAAAAATAACAATATAACAATAAAAATAATGCAAATAAAACCCCACAAAGTATAACAATGATTGACAAAGCATTTACACTGTATTAAGTATTATGTTATTAGTTTGTTCTCGCATTGTTATAAAGAAATACCTGAAGTTGGGTAATTTATAAAGAAAAGAAGTTTAATTGGCCCACATTTCTGCAGGTTGTACTGGAAGCATGGCAGTATCTGCTTCTGAGGAGGCCTCAGGGAGCGTTTACTCATGGTGGAAGGCAAAGTGGGAAAAGACGTCTTACATGGCAAGAGCAGGACCAAGAGAGAGAGTGGGGAGGTGCCATATCCTTAAACAACCAGATCTCCTGAGAGAGAACTCACTATCGCAATGACAGCTCCAACCATGAGAAACTGCCCCCATGATCCAGTCACCTCCCACCAGGCCCCACCTTCAACATTAGAGATTGTAATTCCACATGAGATTTTGACGAAGACTACCATATCAGTTATCCAGAGATAATTTAGAGTATACGGGAGAATGTGCATAGATTATATGCAAATATTTTGTCATTTTTCATAAGGAACTTCTGTATCTGTGGATTTTGGCATCCACGGGGGTCCTGGACCCAATCCAGCAATGATACTGAGGGACAACTGTATATCTATATCACCTCCTCTTCTTCCCCTATTTCGTCTCCTTTGTGTTATCACCACCACCGCTATAGAGGACGATTATGATTAGGGACCTAGGGATAAAAGATGCCATAAGACTTGGTTTATTCCTCCCCTTAAGAACTATTCAGCCCTGGGGAGAGACAGAACTTAGATAAAAAAAGATCTATTACAAAACAAGGTGACTAAGCTAGGTCAAATGCGTATTACAATCAATATGTCAAAAGGCAAATGCCTGACTGAATGCTGTAACTGTTGGGATAATTTTATGCTCTTTTTTGACTCTCTGCCATTCCTTGGCCTAGAATATATTTTCTTTTTATACTGTCAGTTTGATCTTCCTCCAAGAAGACTTTCCTTCTTTCCATCTCTCTTCCCATCTATGCTAGGTACTACTCGTATGTCCTCTTATAGCACAATGGAAAGACCTCCATTAAAATACTTACTATTCCCTAATGTTTATTTATTTGTCTTCCTGAATAAACAATAATATTTTTGAAAACAGAAATGGCAATTTATGTCTCATTCTATCCTCAGCACAGTGCTTCAGACTGGAAGCTACTCAACAAAGAGTGATCAAGTAAATGAATGACTTTGGATGAAGGAGAAATTTTTTTAAAGTGTGGCTTCATAAAGAAAGATGAACAATGAATATTTAGCAGGACACTTACAAAGAGAAAAGAGGGCAGTTATGCCTGCTGGACAAAGAGAACTGACTACATAAGTGGGTAAAAGTAACACAAAGTAGTGAGTAAGAGCTTTGACTCTCAGATCACTTAGACTTGAGTTCAAATTACAGCTGACAATTACCAGGTATATGTAATCCTTTAGAAGTAACTCAAAGCTCTGAGCCTCATAATCTCTATACTGAGAATAAAAATGATATCAAACCCACGCTAAATATTAAAAATGCTTTTAAAGTGCTAAGTAAAGTATATGATGGAAAAAAATATTTAACCTCTGTGAGTAAATAAAAACTTGTTCTAAGTCACATAGGCCATATACCTTTGTCACAATTGCATCCATATTGGGTTGCACACCCCTATCCCTTACATGATGCCTCCAGCTAAGGACTTCAGAAGGGCCTTTTCAGATTCCTTTAGGAATTACAATGGATTCTTAGCACTTCTAAAATATCTGTACCACCACACCAAGAAGCCTCATTTGAAGTACAGATTTCTGGAGCACACAGGTCGTAGCTAGAGCTCCAAGTGATACCAGGACAACAGCATTGCCCTTTATAGTGATGAGGAAACAAAGCTTGAATATCTTATATTTAAGTTTCCACCAGTTTCAAAGAGCAAAGCCAAATGGTGAGAGACTTGGAGGGTGACTGGCCTCAGCAAGGATGAGAGATACGAGCCAAAATGCAAAGTGATCATGCCGATCAGTTCCTTCAGTGCTAGGAGGGGAATGGTGATGGGTGCCAGGAAACAGGAGACATTGCTCATTTTCTGCATATGAAAGAATGGGAGCCTTAGCCTCCAAACACCCGTGCTTTCCCAGCTTGCCATCAAAACTGGTACTGGATGAAAATCCCATTGTACACTAGGTTCGAGGGAAAAGTGGACTCAGCCAAGATTTCAGGTTTCCACACACGGTAAACTTTTGGCTTTCCTTCACTTTTGAAAAGATTATTGAAATATGGAGCAGATATGTCCAAAATGCATCTATCCACCCTCAAAATTATTCAAAATATAAAATTACTACAATAAAAGTCAGGAAATAGAATTTAGAGAGTAAAATGACTCCTTGATTTGTGTAAATGCAGCAGGAATGAAGCTGCATGATTTGCTGAGAAAACAGCCTGCTCTCAGCAAAACCAAAAAGCAATGTTCTATGTTGCCTTGGCCCAGGCATCAACAGACTTACGTGGGTCCTCATCAATGCACACAGAACTATGCCCTTTTAAAGTGAGTTTCAGAGGTGAGTGCTGCAGAAGCTCAGCTCATGGCAAGATGGATGAATTCTGAGCAGCAATAGTGGAATTAGACCCCAAGGGATGGTGCAGGTGAAAGTACAGGGAGAAGAACTCCATAAGCACAGGAGAACTTGTGAGAAAGCTGAGATAGAAACAAATACACGATTTGTTTCCAGGATTGACTAAAAGCTGGAGAAGCTCACTGGCAACCTTTGGAATCCCGTTTGCTGCCCCTGGGCACTTACCTGATTCATCTCTACCCTGAGATTACATCTATTTCTTATAGGAACCAATAATTTTATTTGGATCACAACTCCCCCCACCCCTGACTTTGTCCTTTTGGATTAGTTTTCAACACTCATTCTCATTTTCTTCTTCTTCAGTCAATATGAAATAATGAGAGATCTGGAATATGGAACCTGAGACCCCTGGTTTGAATATTGACTATGACTTATGTGCTGAATTCTCTGAACTTCAGTTTCTTTATCTGTAAACTTAAACATTTGTGTTCTTAAAACGTATAAGAATAATACATTCAAATATGTGTCAACTAGATTCAACTCTGTCATTTAAAACCCAAAGACAGTTAAGCAGGTTAATTTTCTCTTTGTTTAAATTTCCTCATCTATAATTTTGAAATGATAATATTTTCCAGCTTGTCTCCAATATTGGTTAAGATGACTAAATAAAATGATGCAAATAAAAGTGCTTTGAAACCCATAACATATACAAATTTATGCATCTACTTAACACATTGACTTACATTGGTTTTCAGTCTCCATATCTTTTTCATTCCTTCCTTGAAAGAATGGGTATTCCCAATACCCATTCCCCTCTTATCCACATGTCAAATCACAGCTCAGTGTACACCTCTTCCTTGATGTCTCCTTGAGCAGCTCAGAGCCCAGCCATATGTTACAGATGGATTCTTATGGGAGACCATGTTAACTTATCAGTTAACGCCACATGATTTTGTTTGTTTTGTTGTTGTTGTTTTAAATAATGCTTTACCTCCCTTCTTAGGAAAGCTGCTCTTTCTCTCCTTACATGCACCTGAGCATGAAGTTCACTGGTCCCTTGATCTAGTGACCATGTGGTCTGGGTAGTAGCTGAAGGAATGCCCTGAACTGGAAAGGAGATTTTCTGTGAGGTCCAAGAGGGGACATTCAGTCATTAGGATATGGTTTTCCTGCTGATTACATGCAGTCATGCTTTCCAGTTACTTCTTTGCACAGCCAGAGGAGTCCATACTGACTTGAGACAGAGTCTCCAGAGATTTAGATTATTTTAAAACACCCACATCTTTTATGCTTTTTTACTCTGTCTTTTCTACAAATACCTTGATGTTGGTGAAAGTCCACTTGAGTTTGCCAACTTTTCTGATTATTGTTGCATTTTGTTTTTCCCGGTAATAGACAACATGCCCCCACTTGCTTGCTACTTATAGGAGGGGTGACTTACAGGGTGTACACAGATCAGACAGTGGTTGAAAGTGGTCATTTTGATTTGCAGAGTTGTATTCAGATGGAAAAATAAAAAATGGACTTGGATAAATACTTCCCTTGGAGATGCCTGCTTTAGGAATAAAGACTCCTGTGTTGTCCAGCGATCAGATACCTGACCTTTGATCATTTCTCATGTGGCTGTCTAAAGGACTCATGACAAATTAGTTGGAGACTCGGTAGCAGTGGTGGAATTTGAGTGTCCAGTGAGTGCAACTCATTGACTAGCTGACCCAGAACATCACCTTGATTATAGCTGACATAAATTATCTTTTAATTGCATGGGATTCTTTTCAGGTAAAGAAATAAATTCTCTCTTTTTTTTCAAGACCAATAAGTTAGTCTACACTGGAAGTTGTGCCCCAGATTCATGAGCTGGAAGAGAAACCTGTTGTCATCTGGGAATATGTCTGTTAGAGGAAAATTAAGCACTCAAGTTAGTGCCCAACTTACTTCTCAGCAGCTGCTCCTACACTGTGCACTCAAGGTGGAGTGGCCCAAAGGCCCAGCATACCTGGGATTTCAGTCCTGCTGTACATCTTAAAAGTGCCTTCTTTCACTCTCAGAAGTGCCCTGGTTCAGGAAATAAATTATGGAGTCATCCCTACACTAGGTGCTTATCCAGATAGCAAAGGAAACTTTCCATGCCCAAACAGCAGTCTCTTTACCTGGTTTCTTCAGGTATGGTCCATACATCATCAGCCTGGACTTATTTCCCTCAGTGACAAAATTTGGTCTCAATGGCCAAAAGTAATTCCTTTTGTTCAGAACACATAATTAGCCTTAGAAATGTGTACAAATTATTTTAAAATTGATTTGTAAATATGGAAACAGAGCAGGAGATTTCATGCAAATGTGGTGAGACGTAAACCATTAGTGGGGTCAGATGAAGAGTACATAAATATTCATTATATTGGTCTTTTAACTTTTCTGCAGTATTGAAATTCTTCAAAATAAAAGAAGTGGGGGCAGTCTCCTTGAGATCAGAACAGCCTACTCTGGCCAATAGGCACCGGGGCTTTCCTTAAGTAGCTGATAAATGATGCACTTCACCTCTGGATCATATACAGGGATGTGTGTATAATAATATTTATATGGATTGATAGCAGGGACCACACCTCTTGCCTGTTGTTGGTCTCTTACAGTTTTGATTGCAGAGTTCATGATATGTATTTTGAAATGACAATAAAATTGATTTCTGATGAAAAGCATTTTTGAGAAATTCAACAACGTGTGTGATCAGTTCTGCTAACATAACCATATTTAAATATGTATTAGTATTGTTTTAATTTCCCAAATTCTAACTCCCAACTTCCTTAATTTCTATAGCTAGTTTTTTACTTATGAAACATTACAACGTAAAAGTAACAGAATGAAACTTGTGTTTCAAGGGAATGGGGGAACTTCTCATAATGCTGTATTGCAAGCTGTTATCCTTATAATGAAAGAGGCAAATAAATTAGTTTTATTCAACCCAAAGAACTTAAATTAGTATTGAAGAGAGCTGAATGTGAGGAACTGAGGCAATGGGTTTGAATATAAATTAAAATTTACTAACACTGTGAAAGAAATGATGTTGGCAATCTTCCAAAATATTTGTTCGTAGCAGGTATCATATTAATGAATACATAAATTTATGTACACTTTACAGTTAGCATTTTATGAAGTGTTACTTGAAGTAATTATCAGTTCAGCACCATACGCCAGCTAATAATATTTAATAACAATAATAATGCTTTGTTCTTTTGCCAAAGATTACAATGGGTTATCAAGCAATTCATTATCCTATAACATCTTGGCTGTGTGGAAATATCTTCATGACTTGATTTTGCATACGAAGAAACTGAAGCCCAAAGGTATAAGGAAAAACATTCTTAAAAGTCATTAAAATCTCAAGGACAAATAAAATTTTGAGCAAAAACAAGATTTCCTTAGGTACAGAGCAGTTGCTTTTTGGAGCTCTGGATGAGCCACAATGCTCATTCTCATTGCTGTTTGGAAAACTTCACTGAATTTCTTTTATTGTAAACTGGATCTATTCCAATTAAGTTGGGAGAGATGAAAAAAGGACAAAAAGACTTCAATAATTTGTACATTGAACACCGAATACACATATTTACCTCTCTATTACTATCTCAGAAATGCAGTGTTTTTTCTTTGACCTCATGATTTTCCTACCTTTGAAGCATAGATTTGTCCATGAAGATTGTGTGAATGAAACATTCACTTCTGTCTTGTGTGTGTGTGTGTGTTTAAACACTTATATGGTGGAATAATTGACATACAATGGACTGCACATATTTAAAATGTACCAGTTAAGTTCTAATGTATGTATACACCTGTGAGACTATCAACACATTAAGATAGCAAATATATCAATCACACCCGAAAGTGTCATTTTTATTTTATTTTATTTTTAGTTTTGGAGACAGAGCTTCACTCTGTTGCCCAGGCTGGAGTGCAGTTGCACAATTTTGGCTTACTGCAACTCTCCCTCTCATGTTTAAGTGATTCTCCTGCCTCAACCTCTCCAGTAGCTAGGACTACAGGTGCTCGCTAGCACGCCTGCCTAATTTTTGAAATTTTGGTAGAGATGGGGTTTTATCCTGTTGCCCAGGCTGGTCTCAAATCCCTGACCTCAAGTGATCCTCCCTCCTCGGCCTTCCAAAGTGCTGGGATTACAGGTATGAGCCACTGCACCTGTCCACGCCCAAAAGTTTCCTTATGACACTTTGTAGTCCCTCTCCCCGACCCCGTCCTAACTCCCCACCCCTAGACAACAACTGGTCTGCTTTACATAAATTAGTTTTCATTTTCTAATATCTTTAAAAAATGGAATCTTGCAATCTGTATTTTTTGTTATTTTTGGGTTTCTGTCACTTAGCCTCACTATTTAAGATTCACCAGTGTCTATAGATGTCTGAAGACTTCATACCTTTTGTTTCTGAATAGCATTTTAGCATATAGATATATTACAATTTTATTGTCCATTTACCTATGTATGACATTTGGGTTGATTTCCTTGAGGCTATTACAGAAAAAGCTACTATGAAATTTCATGTTCAGTTCTTTCTATAAACATAGGCTTTCATTTCTGTTTAGTAAATACTTGGGAGTCGGATAGCTGAGTTATGCCCTAAGTGTATGTTTACCTTTTTACAAAACTGCAGAACTGTTTTTCAAAGTATTTACAACAGTTTACATAACCCCCAGAAGTTTATGAAGTTTCCACTTGATTTAAATCCTTGCAGTACTTGATGTCATCAGTAGTGTCAATTTAAGACCTTTTAATGTGTGAGGCAGTGTTTAATTGTGGTTTCATTTACATTTCCCTAATGAATAATGATATTGAACATGTGTTATGTGCTTATCTGTCATCTCTGTATTTATTTGATAAGTTTCTGTTAAAATCTGTTGCTAAATTTTTTTATTATTATTGAATTTAGAAAATTATATATTCAGGATACAAGTTGTTTATCAAAAATGTGATGTGCAAATATTCCCTAATGTCTTGGTTTTTTATTCTTTTAACATTGTCTTTCAAGGAACAGAAGATCTTAATATTAGTGAAGTCTAATTTATAATTTTTTAAGTAAGTCAGACTTTGATTTTGTTATCTAAGAACTCTTTGCTTAAACCACAGTCACAAAATTTTTTCTCGTATGTGTTCAACTAAAACTTTTATAGTTTTAGCTTATGTTTAGGCCTATTAGTTAATTTTTTTTTTAAATGTGGCAACAGGTATGGGTAGAAGTTTATATTTTTATGTGTAGGTATTAAATTGATCTAACAAATTTTTAAAAACACTGTAATTTCTCCACTGGATTGCCTTTGCATCTTTTTAACAAATCAGTTGTAGCCATATACGATTGTATTTTTACAATCTTTATCATTTTCTCTTTTCTTTTTATTTTGTGGCAGGATCTCACTCTGTCACCCAGGCTGGAGTGCTGTGTCATGAATATGGCTCACGGTAGCCTGGACATCCCGGGCTCAAGCAATTCTCCTGCCTCAGCCTCCTGAGTAGCTGGGACCACAGGTGCCCCACACCGGGCCCGGCTAATTTTGTTTTTGTATTTTTAGTAGAGACGGGGTTTCTCCATTTTAGCCAGGATGGTCTTGATCTCCCGACCTCGTGATCTGCCCGCCTCAGCCTCCCAAAGTGAACCCGGGAGGCGGAGCTTGCAGTGAGCCGAGATCGCACCACTGCACTCCAGCCTGGACGACAGAGCGAGACTCCGTCTCAAAACAACAACAACAAAAAAAAACCCAGAAGATTTAACATAATACATTAAACAACATTTAACAAAAAGTGCTGGGATTACAGGCGTGAGCCACCGTGCCCGGCCATCTTCTGTTGATTTTTACATTATTGTTTTGAGTTATTTTTTCTAGTGGTTGCTTTTGGAATTAAAATATAAAATTTCGTGTACATTATCTTGATTGTTTTCATAAAGTTGTTCATCATCTTCAAAACATTTTTAAATTTTGGAGATTTTGGAAGTGATGTTACCTACTTCCTTTTCTGATTTCGTCTCTCACTTTCTTGTTTAATTTAGCTACATATTTATCAACTTTGTTGACTTTTTTTTTAGAGTGAACTTTGGTTTCATTTATTTTTATTTTCACTATTTATTTATTTATTTATTTATTTATTTATTTATTTTTGAAACAGGGTCTCAGTCTCGCCTAGGCTGGAGTGCAGTGGTACAAACAAGGCTCACTGCAATGTTGACCTTCTGGGCTCAAGTGATCCTGCCACCTCAGCCTCCCAAGTAGCTGGAACTACTGACACTCACCACCATCCCTGGCTAATTTTTTTATTGGCTCTCACTATGTTACCCAGGAGTGATCCTCCCATCTTGGCCTTCCAAAATGTTGGGATCTATTGATTTTTAATTTCACTCTAATTTTCCTTGTGATTTCTTCTTTGACTCATTGGCTATATAGAGGGTATTGATTAATTTCCACATTTTGTTCATATCCCCAAATTTCTCCATTATTGATTTCTGATTTGATTCCATTGTGGTTGATAAATATACTTTGTATGATTTCAATCATTTTATATTTATTGAGGTTGTTTTATGGCATAAAATAGTCTATCCTGAAGACTGTTCCTTTGTACTTGAGAAGAACATGTATTCTTCTGCTGTCAGGAGGACTGTTCTCCAGATATTTGTTAAGTATTGTTGGTGTATAGTGTTACTCAAGTCTTCTATATACTTATTAATCTTCTGTCTAGTCATTATGGATAGTCAGTTGTTTGAATTTCAAACTATTATTTTTGAATTGTCTATTTCTTTTTTCAGTTCTGTCCATTTTTGCTTCAGGTATTTTGGGGCATTATGATTAAATGTATACATGTTTTTAACTCTTACATCTTTATGATGAATTGGCATGTTTTATCATTATGAAATATGGCTTTTCTTCTCTGATAGTGTTTCTTGTATTAAAGTCTATTTTAAATAATGTTAATACAGCTACTTCAGCTGTCATAGAGTTACTGATTTCATACTTTACCTTTTTTACATCATTTTGCTTTTTATTTATTTATGTATTTGAATATAATGTGTGTCTATTATAGACAGTGTATACTTGGGTCTTGTTTCTATCAAATCTGACAATCCTTTCCTTTTATGTGTTGTGCTTGGTTTATTTGCTTTTCATGTATTAAGTATTGCTACAGTTGGATTTATGCCTGTCATTTTTCTATTTGCTTTCTATTTATTTATTTATTGCTGTAGAGTCTTGCTCTGTCTCCAAAGCTGGAGCGCAGTGGTGTGATCATAGCTCACTGTAGCCTTGACCTCAGAGGCTCAAGAAATCCTCTTGCCTTAGCTTCATCAGTAGCTGGGACTACAGGTGCCTATCATGATGCCTTGCCAAATTTCTACTTTTTGTAGAGATGGGGGTCTCACTGTGTTGCTCAGGCTGATCTTGAACTCCTGGGCTCAAGACTTCCTCCTACCTTGGCCTTCCAAGTTGCTAAGATTACAGGTGTGAGCCGCTGCAACCAGGCTCATTTTAAATATATTCCTCTGTTTCTCATTTACTGTTATATTTTGTGATATATAAATGGTTTTTCTAATCTATCATTTTAATTCCTCTGTTGTTTGTGTTAATATTATTTCTTAGTGGTTGCTACAATAATTACAATATGCATCTCATCTAATCATAATCCATTTAAGAATAGTACCAACTTAATTCCAGTAAAATATAATATCTTTATTTACTTACATACCCTTTTCTTCTTCTCTTTACTTTGTGCGATTACTTCACCAAATATGTTATAAATCCAACACTATAATATTATAATTATGTTTACACAATAATATTTTTAAGAAAAGGATTTTTAAAGCAATGTATTTTTTATTAAATTACATAATATAGATTATTATGTTTACTGTTTATGGCTTCCTGCACATTCTCTCTTGAATTAGAGTTAGAGTTACTGTCTAGTGTTACGTTCCTTTGGCCTACAGGGTTTCCGTTAGTTTTTCCTTTAAGTCATGCCTGCTAGCCATGAATTACTCGAGTCTTTGTTCATCTGAGGATGTCTGTATTTCATCTTATTTTTATTATATATATATATATATTTTTGAGACAGTGTCTCGCTTTGTCACCAGGCTGGAGTGTAGTGGTGCAATCTCTGCTCACTGCAACCTCCGCCTCCCGGGTTCAAGAGGTTCTCCTCCCTCAGCCTCCTGAGTAGCTGGGACTACAGGCACGCGCCACCACGCCCAGCTAATTTTTGTATTTTTAGTAGAGACAGGATTTCACCATGTTGTCCAGGATGGTCTCTATATCTTGACCTCATGATCTGCCCACCTTGGCCTCCCAAAGTGCTGGGATTACAGGCGTGAGCCACTGTGGTGGTCCATTTCATTTAAGTAGCTTTGCCGAATATAGAATAGTTGGCTGACATTTCATTCAAACAATTTGTCATTGCATTGGTTTCTGGCCTATTTTATTTCTGGCATAAAAACAGTCATTAATGATATTGTACATCTGCATATATGTTGTTTTCATCTTGTTGCTTTCAAAATATTTCCTTTGTCTGTGGCATTCAACTTAACTATAATGTGTTAAGATTATTTGTGTTTATCTTATTTCAATTTATTCTACTTGAGATTTACTGAGGTATTTTGAGGTATAGAAACCAACACTGAAAGAAATAACAAAGCTTCTTGTTTACTCAGCCATTCTTTGCCTGACTGAACTGGAATACTGACAAAACTTGAGAGATTTGGGGTGACATAAGTGAATCCTGTCAAAATTGCCATGAACTAGCCCTGTTTTTGCATCATGGCTTAGAAACTATGTGAGCAGTAAGCTGGGGAAATCATTTGTTACATATTATTATTATTTTTTCCTCTCTCAGGAAACAATGTCCTCACTGTCTAATGTTCACTCTTCTCAGAGTCATTGTTTTCTATACTTTGTTAATTTTGGGGGGGGGGGCAGGAGGAAAAATATGGTGTCTGTTACTCAATTTTGCTGTAACAGAGGTTTTTTTAATTAATAAACTTTATTATATAGAGCAGCTTTAGGTTCACAGCAAAATTAAGCAGAAAGTGCAGGGAGTTTTCATATACCTGCTGTCCTCACACATGGCAAACTCCCCCAGTATCAACATTCCACATGGCAGTAGTGCATTTGTTACATCACTGATGAACTTTCATTAATGCATCATTATCACAAAACGCCCAGAGTTTAAAATAGAATTTACTCCTGGTGTTTTACATTCTGTGGATATAAATAAATGTATGATGACATACATCCATTATTATAGTATCATACAGAATATTGACAGACCTAAGACTTGTCTGTGCTCTACCTATTCATCCCTTCAATCTTTTTGTTTGTTTGTTTGTTTTTAAGAGACAGAATCTCACTCTGTCACTCAGGCAGGAGAGCAGTGGCATTAGCATAGGTCACTGCAGCCTGAAATTCCGGGGCTCAAGCAATCTTCTTGCCCCAGCCTCCCAAGTAGCTATGACTACAGGCGTATGCCACCATGTCTAGGTAACTTTTAAAAATTTTTCTTGTAGGGATGGGTTCTTGCTGTGATGCCCAGGCTAGCCTCAAACCCTTGGCCTTAAGTGATGATGCCATATCAGCCTGCCAAGTACTAATATGACAGACGTGAGCCACCATTCTCAGCCACTTTAATTGTATTATCTCCACATTTTGACTTTTCCAGAATACCGTATATTTGGAATTACACAGTATGTCTTTTTTTAAGATTGTCTTCTTTCAGTTAATAATATTCATTTAAGTTTTGTCCATATATTTTTATGGCTTTACAGTTTTTTTAATGCTAAATAATATTTGATAAGGTTTGGCTGTGTCCCCACCCAGATCTCATCTTGAATTGTAACTCCCACAGTTCCCACATGTCATAGGAGGAACCTGGTGGGAGGTAGTGAATCATGGGGGCAGGTCTTTCCTGTGCTGTTCTTCTGACAGTGAATACGTCTCATGAGATTTTATGGTTTTAAAAATGGGATTTTTCCCTGCACAAGCTCTCTTTGCCTGCTGCCATCTATGTAAGATGTGACTTGCTCCTCCTTGACTTCTTCCATGATTGTGAGGCCTCCCCAGCCACATGGAAGTGTAAGTCCATTAAACCCTTTTCCTGTATAAATTATGCAGTCTTGGGTATGTCTTTATCAGCAGTGTGAAAATGGAAAAATACAATATTTCATTGTCTGGATGTACCACAGTTTATGTATCAATCTACTAAAGGACATCTTGGTTGCTTCAAACCTTTGGCAATTGTAAATAAAGTTGTCATAAACATCCATGTGCAGGATTTTGTGTGGATATAGTTTTCAGCTCCTTTGGGTAAATGCCAAGTGGCATGATTTCAAGATCATATGTATGGTAAGAACATGTTTACTTTTTAAAGAAACTATCAAACTGTCTTCCAAAGTGGCTATACCATTTTGCATTTCTACCAAAGATGAGTAAGTTTCTGTTTCATCACACCCTGGCCAGTATTTGGTGCTGTGTTTTGAATTTTGGCCATTCTAATTGGTGTGCAGCGGCATCTCACTGTTGTTTGAGTTTGCAATTCCCTAATGACATAAGATGTTGAATATCTTTTCATATGATCATTTACCTTATCTATATCTTCTTTGGTAGGGTGCCTATTCAGACATTTTGCCCATTTTTTAACTAGGTTTTTTGGGTTCTTATGGTTGAGTTTTCAAAGATATTTGAATATTTTAAATGACTCGCCTTTATCAGATCTATCTTTTGCAGATATTTTCTTTCAGTCTGTTGCTTGTGGTCCAATGATCTTGATAGTGCCTTTCTCAAAACAGAAGTATTTAATTTTAGTTAAGTCCAGCTTATCAATTCTTTCTTTCATGGGTCATACTTCTGGTGTTGTTTCTAAAAAGTTAACACCAAACCAAGGTCACCTAGTTTCTCTCTGATGTTACCTTCTAGGAGCTTTATAATTTTACATTTTAAATTGAGCTCTAAAGTTCATTTTGAATTAATTTTTGTGAAGATCATAAGGTCTATATCTAGATTTACATTTTATTCTTGCATGTTATGCCTAGTTTTCTTACCACTATTTATTGAAAAGACTATCTTTGCTCCATTGTCTTGAACTTGCACCTTTGTCAAAGATCAGTTGAGTATATTATGTGGGTTATGTCTGAGTACACTATGTTGTTTCATTGACCTGTTTTTTTATCTTTTACCAATACCTCACTATCTTGATTGCTGTAGCTTTTCAGCAAGTCTTGAAGTTGGGTAGTGCTGTCTTCTCACTTTGTTCTCCCTCAACATTGTGGTGGCTATTCTGGGTCATTTTCCTCTCCATATGAACTTTAAAATCAGTTTGTCAAGATTCACACAAACACACACAAAACTTACTTTCATTTTTGATTGTAATTACATTGAATCTATAGATTAAGTTGGGAAGAATTAACATTTCAACAATATTGAGTCTTTCTACCCATGAACCTGAGATATCTTTCCATTTATTTAGTCTTTGACATATTTCTTCAGAATTTTGTAGTTCTCCTCATATAAATTATATACATATTTTGTTAAATTTATGCAGAAATATTACATTTTGAGGATGCTAATATAAATGATAATGTGTTTTTAATTTCAAATTCCATTTGTTGATTGTGGATATATGGAAAAGTAATTCAATTTTGTATATGAACTTCATTTCCAGCAAACTTGCTGTAATTATTTGTTAATTTCAGGAAGCTTTTTTGTTGATTCTTTTGGATTTTCTACACAATCATGTCATGTGTGAACAAACACAATTTTATTTTTTCTTCCCAATCTGTATTTCCTTCCTTCCTTCCTTCCTTCCTTCCTTCCTTCCTTCCTTCCTTTCTTTCTTTCTTTCTTTTCTTTCTTTCTTTCTTTCTTTCTTTCTTTCTTTCTTTCTTTCTTTCTTTCTTTCTTTCTTTCCTCTCTTTCTTTTCTCTCTCTCTTTTTCTTTTCTTTCTTTCTTTCTTTCTTTCTTTCTTTCTTTCTTTCTTTCTTTCTTTCTTACTGCATTAGCTAGTACTTTTGATATCAAGTCGAAAAGCACTGGTGAGAGGTAGTATACTTGCTGTTTTCCCGATGGTAGTGAAGAAGTTTCAAGTTTCTCATTATTAACTATGATTTCTTAAAATGTTCTTTACCAAGTTGAGGATATTTCCCTGTATTGCTAGTTTTCTGAGAGACATTTTGTTTTAAGAATGGGTGGTGTTAGATTTTGTCAAATGCTTTTTCCTGCATCTATTGATAAGATCATGTAATTTTCCTTCTTTAACCAGGTGATTACATTAATTAATTGTCAAACATTGAACCAGACTTAAACACTTGAGATAAATCCCACTTGGTCATAGTGTGTAAATCACTTTACACATTGCTGAATTTGATTTGCTAATATTTGGTTGAGGATTTTTGCACCAATGTTTTTGAGATATATAGATCTGTAGTTTTGTTTGTTTTTTCTTATAATCTTTTTGTCTGGCTTCGGCATTAGAGCCATGCTGGCCTCATAGAATGAGTTAGGAAGTATGTCCTCTGTTTCTATCTTCTGGGAGAGAATTAACATAATTTCTTCCTTAGCTGAGCCTGATGCTTTATTTTTATGAGGTTATTAATTAATTTAAAAATAGATGTAGTCCTATTCATATTTTCTATTTCTTCTTGTGTGAGTTTTAAAAGATTAGACCTTTTAAGGAATTAGTCCATTTCATCAAAGTTATCAGACGTGTGGGCACAGGTTTGTTCATAATCTTCATTTATTTTCCTTTTAATGTCCATGTGATCTGCAGTGATGTCCCCTCTTTCACTGCTGATCTTAGCAATTTGTGTTTTTCCTCTTTGTGTCTTAGCCACCCTGGCTAGAGGCTTATCAATTTTATTGACCCTTTTAGAAAATTGGCTTTTGGTTTAACTGATTTTATAAAATCAATTTTCTATTTTAAATTCCTTTAATTTTTGCTCTATTTTTATGATATCTTTCATTCTTCTTACTTTGCATATTATTTGCTCTTTTTTATAGTGTTCTAAAGTGGAAACAGATTACTAGTATTAGATCTTTCTTTTCTTTCTTTTTTTTTTTGAGACAGAGTCTCACTCTGTCACCCAGGCTGGAGTGCAGTGTCCCAATCTTGGCTCACTGCAATCTCTGCCTCCCAGGTTCAAGCAATTCTCCTGTCTCAGCCTCCTGAGTAGCTGGGACTACAGTCATGCCACCACGCCTGGCTAATTTTTGTATTTTTAGTAGAGACGGGGTTTCACCATGTTGATCAGTCTGGTCTCGAACTCCTGACCTCAGGTGATCTGCCTGCCTCGGCCTCCCAAAGTTCTGGGATTACAGGCATGAGCCACCATGCCCAGCCAGATCTTTCTTATTTTCAAATACATGTAATCATGTTTTAAATTTCTCCCTAAGCACTGCTTTTGCTGTATCCCACAAATTTATATATGTAGATTTTTGTCCAAGCTTCCTGCCTCATAACTCCCATAATCCTCGTTACTATCTTTTGTTATAATGCTAGATATGTCAGGACTCAGAAGCAGACCTCAGGAAAAAAATCTCTCTGACTTTCTCCTGCCCTCCTTTTACTTATCCCAAGGCAGGACTCTAATCTTCTTCTGCCTTTCTGACTGTGGGTCATAAGACCCTCATTCCAGAAAGGGTCCCGCCTCATACCCTGCAGTAAGGAATGCTGATGTCATGAAGTTTCCATAAAACCCCTATAGGACAGGGTTCAGAGAGCTTCCGAATAGTTGAACACATGGAGGTTCCTGGAGAGTGGTGTAGCCAGGAAGGGCATGGAAGCTCTGCACCTTTCCCGAGTACCTCACCCTATGCATCTGTTTATCTGTATTCTTTGTAACATCCTTTATAATAAACTGGCAAACCTAAATGTTTCCAGTTTCCTATAGTTCTGTGAGCCACTCCAGTAAACTAATCAAACCCAAAGTAGAAGTTGTGGGAACCACAACTTGAAGCTGTTTGGTCAGAAGTTCCGAAGGCCTGGACTGGTGACTGACGTCTAAGTGGGTTAGTCTTGGGGACTGAGCCCTCAGCCTGTGGGATCTGATGCTATCTTTAGGAAGTTAGTGTCAGAATTGAATCAGAGGGCACCCAGCTGATGTCTGCTGCAGAACTGATTGTTTGCTTGCTTGTGGGGAGGAGTCCCCACATATTTTGGGGTCACAGAAGTCTTCTGTGTTGATTGTTGTGCTAATAGAAGAGCAGAGGAAAAACATGGTATGAGAGTTTTTCTGAAACAATATACAAGACTGGAAACTTGCAGTCTTTGCTATTCTTCATGTTACTATTATTTTTACCTCTGGATTCTCTGCATTTGGATTTTTCTGGTCGTTCCCAAGAACTATGTGGATTACCTTCTTTTTCACTAGCATACATCACCCATCCCAACATAAATTATTCTGCTCTGGGATGAAAGAAATAATGGATTATTTTTGTGCATACTGAACTGATTACACAGTGCTGTGAGACTGGAGCAAATTTGGCTATGATTAGATTACATATTTCTTTTTTCTGAAACTCTGTAACTTTCCTATTCTGCAGTAAAGAATTTATTAATTTAGCAATAAATTATTAAGAACGTGATATGTAAAATGTTCAACCAAGTAGATGTTTTGGATATCTCTTCTAATCATAACCTTCTTATGTATGTATCTATAATGACAATATCTGTCAAGTACATGTGAAATTAAGTCTGATCAAGTAATTGAAAAATGAGGAAAGAACATTGTGATTGGATAGGAGGATGTAAAGTCATACTTTTTAAAAATAATAGCATACATCATGGGCATATCTGATGTAAACTTAAAATAAAATCCTAAGCCTCCCTCCAACTGAACAGATCCCTCTCTTGTCAAAGGGAACCCCAGAAAAACCTGAAAACTGAGTTCCCAGACATGACTGGAAGGGAGTTCAGACATGCTTCATTATATCCCTCTCTTTTAGATTTAGACACAACAACTGATCAACATTAATATTAAAATAGAGATCATGGCCGGGCGCGGTGGCTCACGCCTCTAATCCCAGCACTTTGGGAGGCCACGGCGGGCGGATAACAAGGTGAGGAGATCGAGACCATCCTGGCTAACACCGTGAAACCCCGTCTCCACTAAAGATACAAAAAAATTAGCCAGGCGTGGTGGCGAGTGCCTGTAGTCCCAGCTACTGGGGAGGCTGAGGCAGGAGAATGGCGTGAACCCGGGAGGCGGAGCTTGCAGTGAGCCGAGATCGCGCCACTGCACTCCAGGCTGGGAGACAGAGTGAGACTCCATCTCAAAAAAAATAAAAAATAAAAAATAAATAGAGGTTATAACTCTGACAGGATAGATTCATTGTGACATAAGATACCAAATTATAAACAGGACCTAAGGCCATGCCAGGCAAGGATTAAGTCATGCACACCTACACTTAAAGAATAAACTATGTTCTAATTGCCACAAGATTTTTCTTTTTCTCTAACAGCTACACAAGCATTGGTCTGAAGATAAGCAATTTTAAAACAATTACAACTTATCCAGCTCACAGGCACTGACTAATTGAACGCCAGCCATAACTATAGCTTTCATTGGACAAGAGACTGATTTCAGTAACTTTCTCCTGATAAGAAGATCACCAACCCGACCATGGACTGCTTTTGGCAGGTTTATAGAAATTGCACACTTGCATGATCTCAAGTTCTGAAAAGACTTTTTGACACATAGGACCTAATTGTAACACATTTAAATGTTAAGTTTCCACCCCAAGGTGAACGTGAGTCATATGTTACATACATGAAGGTTGTCGGGACAAACTTCATGAATATTCATAGCCCCTCCTGTCACCTGTTGAATATGTGTGTTTAGCAAACCTGTTCAGCATAAAACTCCTAGCTCAAACCTTCCTCCTTCAAAGTGCCTGTTCCTGGTTTTTGCTGGAGGCATGCTTCCTTGCCTATGGTATGGCCACCTTGCAGGCTGTAACCCTTTGTAAAAATTAAAAAAGTCTCCTCTCCTTTTCTAAATGTATACATATTGTGTTTTTTTTTTTAGGTTGATAGTGGAGATAAACATATTTTATTTGTTTATTGTTTATTTTACAACTCAATAAGAATGTGTATAGACATGGATATATTAACATCATCATAGCATTAAATACATTATTTTGAATACAATTTAGTCCAAATAAATTTTGCAAAATTTAATGATAGAATATTTTAAAATCAATTCAATTAGATGGTTTTCCAACATATGCCAAATGTGAATGACTCCACATCCTAAATCACAATTTGAAACTTTTATCTGCATTTTGATTTTCTTAATCCAAATGCTTGCTGCGCATATCCACTTTTCCAAATTCATCTTGTTTAAAAGCTAACAGCTTGTCTTCAATCTCAATTTCTCTTCTGCTCCTACTTTGTTACTTGTTAATGGCAATGATGTAACTCAATCATTCAGCATCAAAACCTCTGATTTATTATGGGCTTACGGTTATTCTCAATGTCTGAACTCATAGATCCTAAGATTATACTCTTTATTGCGTGGATCTTAGTATTTAAATGGTAGATACTGTAGAGGGGAAAATTGTAGTCTGAAGAAGAGTATGGAGCACAGTTTTCAGACACTGGTACATTCTCAGATCTTGAAAATAAAAGAAATTTTTCAGAACCTAAAGCAGCACTGTTTAAAAGAAATACAATATAAGCCACTCCTAGCCACATGTGTAATTATATTTTTTATTTTTATTATTTTTTTCAGAGGCAATTTCTGACTCTGTCTCCCAAGCTGAATTGCAGTAGTACAATCATAGCTCACTGCAGCCTCAAACTTCTGGGCTCAAGCGATCCTCCCACCTTGGCCTGCCAAAGTGCTGGGACTACAGGCGTGAGCCACTGTGCCCAGCCATGTTATTTTAAACTTACTAGTAGCCACATTAAAAAGAAAATAGAAAAATAAATGGGTAAAATTAATTTATTATATATTTTATTTAACCCAATATATCAAAAATATCATTTCCACATTTAGTCAGTATATAATTATTAAAGAGATATTTTAAATTATTTCCTTTAGACCAGGTCTTTGAAATTTGTTATGTATTTTATACTTAGAGAATATCTCAGTTTCCACTAGTCACATTTTAGAAGCCCACTAGCCACATCTGGCTAGTGGCTACTATATGGAAGAGTGCAGACCTACAGTTTCTTGCCTTCCTGGAATGTTGTAGTCTAAAAGAAGGGGTCTATGAGAGCAAAGCCTGGAAACCGAACAGCAGAAAATGTGAAGATAATGAGTAATTTTGGAGTAACAGATTCAACTTCAGAAGACATAGAATCAGCTCATGTTCACATCCAAAAAGCAGGTAAGATCTGGAAGATACTTAAACCAAAACGTAGAATCTGTATTTCTTCTCTTTAGAGACACCTTCAATTTTTCTTAGAATATTACAAACATACTTCTCAGTCTGGACTCTAGACCCTTTCTTCAACTATGTGTGTGTAAGTATGTGTATAGGTAAATAAATCCTCACACTGGGAAGTCGAGGTGGGTGGATCACCTGAGGCTGGGAGTTCGAGACCAGCCTGACCAACATGGAGAAACTCCACCTCTACTAAAAATACAAAATTAGCCAGGCATGGTGGCACATGCCTGTAATCCTGGCTACTCAGGAGGCTGAGGCAGGAGAATCGCTTGAACCCGGGAGGCAGAGGTTGCAGTGAGCCGAGATTGCACCATTGCACTCCAGCCTGGGCAACTAGATCAAAACTCTGTCTCAAAAAAAAGAAAAAAAAAAAAAAAGAAAGAAAGAAAAAATAAAATCATAGATCACGTACAGATCTTCAATTTGCTTCTGTCACTTCATCATAAATCTTGAATGTCTTTTCATATTATTACATAGAAATCTATCTTAATTAATTAATTAATTAATTTTTTGTTTTTTGTTTTTTTTTTTTGAGACAGAGTTTCGCTCTTGTTGCCCAGGCTGGAGTGCAATGGCACACTCTTGGCTCACTGCAAACTCCGCCTCCTGAAGTTCAAGCAATTCTCTTGCCTCAGCCTCCCTCAGTAGCTGAGATTACACGTGCCCACCGCCATACCTGGATAATTTTTGTATTTTAGTAAAGACAGGGTTTCACCATGTTTGTCAGGCTGGTCTCGAACTCCTGACCTCAGGTGATTCGCCCACCTTGGCCTCCCAAAGTGTTGGGATTACAGGTGTGAGCCACCATGCCTGGCAATCTTTCTAATGATAGCATTAAATGATATATCTTTTCTCCCAATTCAGACCAATACTCTCTCAATAAGTATTTATATTATTTTGAGGTTTCCACAACTAAATGAATTGGAACTATACACATTCTTGTTCACACTGGGAATCTTTCATGCCAAATAAAACCTTAAAATGTGAGTTGCTGATTCAAAGACTGTGAGCATTTAAGTTTTTGTTAGTCACTGACAAATTGCCTTTCTAAATGGCTAAAAATGTTTACACCTCACTCACGTAGAATTATGTGTCCATCTCCTTTCACAATGCACTGCACTACAGGTTATCAATCTTTAAATAACGTTGCCAATCTAGTAGCCAAAAATGACATCACATTAAAAAATTTAATTTTTTTTATTATGTCAAAGGACAAACAAGTGTTTTTATAATTCTATTAGAAATTAAAGCTCTTTTATAAAAGAATTGTACAGCTTTATATTAGATTGCTTTTAAACTTATTTCAACAGTATTTTATGAATATTAATACTTTATGTTGTAAATCTTACAATACTTTATCATAGATTGTCACTTGTCTTTTATTTTTGCTTATGATATATTTTGCTGTAAGACATTTAAATTTTATGCATTAAAATACATCAATCTTTTTTTCTTTTTTGGCTCAGGATTTTGAAACTTGATTGGGAAAACTTCCTACCCTAAGACTCAAAGTTTTCCACTATTTTCTTTAATAATTTTAGAGATTTCTTTCTTTAGGTCATTATTCCATTGAGAATTATTGTTTTAAATATGATGTAGATAATTTATTTGTTTTTTTAATGTACACCCAATTTTCTTGACGTCATTTAAGTTGTTTTGTGTTGTTCTTTTAATGATATATAATCTTAGACTTGCGACATTTTGATTCTTCAGTAAGTTTATGTATTTTCTGCATATTACATTTCTCTGTGGTCTCCATATCTCACACTTAAATTGCACTTGGCTCATAGAAAATAATAAATATTTGCTCACTGACACAATAACCAGGTTGATTAAATTCTCAGTATTAATAATAATAATGCCTCACATTTACATTGCCTTTTGTCATACACAAAGCATTTACACACAGATATTTAATTCTCATAATAACCCTGTGAGTTAAATGGGGCAGGTCTCCACTTTACAAATGAGGAAACCAAGGCTCAGAAAATGAAGTGATTTGTTCAAAGTCACACTGCTACTGTGGGATGAGTAACGAGCCAGAAAACAATTCCACATCCAGTGCTTTTACTCTTATTCCCAATCAAACCTGCTCAGAGATCATGCACATTCAGTCATTTATTTGTTTTCAACAATTATTAATTGAGGACAGGAACAGGACTCTTAGTTGTCAATCCAACATCCATCTTTTGCCTCATTTCTAAAGGAATCCTATCCTCATTATGTTCAGGTATGTACCCGTTTCATGACAATGTTCAGAGGAAAGATGGATACTGATAGGACCATTCACATGATAATCCCATTCCCCTTCCAGGTGACTTATTGGGAAAGGTATGTCATTATTTTTGATCAATGGGTTGTATGAGGAAATCTGCTTGGGTTAAGGGGCTTCTGAATCTCTTCCTTCAATCCAAAAAGAAAGGGGACACCAGATAGGACAGTCCTTGATCTCTCTGCAGCACAGACCAGAACTGAATGTGACACCTGGAGCTTCTATGGTCCTCCTGCCGCTGAGCCAAAGAGGAAGTCACTATGGAGGAGAGCAGACCAAGGGAACTGTGGGAGGGGTGCTGTGGCCTAATCACCTCTGAGCTTCTCGAGATGCAAAATAAATATCCTAAGCGTTCATGCCAGTGTGGATCCAGGCATTTTATAAATTGTAAGGGAAAATATTCTAACTGATACAAAGGCCCTGAGTGCACACAATAGAGAGACTGGAGATGCAGAGATCACTAACAATATGTTTCAAAGAGTATTCTTTTCATACAGGGCTGCTGAAGACCAAGATCCTTATTGGAGATGCAGAGATCACTAACAATATGTTTCAAAGAGTATGCTTTTCATACGGGCTGCTGAAGACCAAAACCCTTACTGCAGTGTCCAGTACCTCCACTCAATCAGAAGTCACTGGAGCTTTAGGAAATGTGGGAGCTTTTGTTTTGTTTTGACTTTCATCTTCTATGGGACCTGCACCTTATTTAAATCGAAGAAACACTGTTTTGTAACACGCGTCCTCTTGAAAGAACTTGTGTTTAGCAGACATCATACGCAAAAGCCTTTATATTTATGTATTGCCTGCTAAAGAAGGCTTTATTTCTGTGAAAAGAAGGCTTTCTGGAAGGGTGCAGTGGCTCACACCTGTAATCTCAGCAATTTGGGAGGGCAAGGCAGACGGATCACTTGAGCCCAGAAGTTCGAGACCAGCCTGGGCAACATGGCAAAACCCTGTCTCTACAAAAAATACAAAAATTAGCCAGGCATGCTGGTGTGTCTAGGATCCCAGCTACTATGGAGGATGGCTTGAGCCCAGGAGATGGATGTTGCAGTGAGCGGAGTTCGCGACACTGCACTCCAGCCTGGGCGACAGAACGAGCGCCTGTCTCGGGAAAAAAGAAAAAAAGGCTTTCCAAATTTGAGACCCCTGAGCTATAAAAGTTGTTGTTAGAGTCTGAGGGTCAGAGAAGCTCTCATTGAAATCACAGCTTTCACTTATCAGCTGTGTGATCTTGGGCCACTCTCATCATGTCTCTTAACCTCAATTCTCAACTTAGAAACAAAGAATAATAGTAACCTTCAAGCATTGCTACAGGATTCAATATGACATCGCAGGTAAAGTTTCTGACAGAGCTTGCTCCATGAGAAATACCTGAATTACATTTTTCTCCATTTTAAAAAAATTGGACCTGGTCATTAATGGCATACACTGCCGTTGGTGTAGTGGACTTGTAACAGACTCCCAGACCCCAGAGGCCACACATTCTTTGGGTCACCCCTCTTGGTTGCCTCTGGGCCCACTGACTGCTTGGTGCTGCTCCAGGGGTGGTGAGGTTCTTCTCTCAATGCTTTTTCCCAGGTAAGTCACTTATGTTCCCCCAATTCATATGTTGCAGTCCTAATCCCCAATGGTTGTAGTAGGAGGTGAGGCCTTTAGTAGGTAATTAGGTCATTAGCGCGAAGTCCACATGAAGGGGATTAATGCCTTCATAAAAGAGACTCCAGAGAGATTTCTCACCTTTCTTTCCACCACATGAGGATACAAATGTTAGTCTACAATCCAGATGTAGTCCCTCACCAGAGCCTGACCATGCTGGCACCCTAATCTGAGATTTCTAGCCTCCATAACTGTGAGAAATAAATTTCTGTTCTTCATAAACCACTCAATCTAGGGTGCTTGGTTATAGCAGCCTAAACTAGCACAGTTGGTGTACACTTTCTCTGTACAGTCACCCTACAGCACTTTTCTGAAATCCCTCAAGGAAAAAACCAATGTGCAGAGTGCAAATATTTCCCGCTGCAAGACCTCCAGAGTTGGGGACTTGTAACAGACACCCAGACCCCAGAGGTTACACATTCTTGAGGTCACCTCTCTTGGTTGCCTCTGGGCCCACTGACTGCTTAGTGCTGCTCCAGAGGCGGTGAGGTTCTTTGCTCAATGCTTTTTTCCAGGTAAATCAGCCGGGTCTTCTTGCTGCTGTTGCATGTCACCTGTCTGATGTCCTCTCGCCCCTCAGAACTGCCTCCTATTATTACCCTCCTGCTACTCTTTCCCCTGGTAATTGTTGGTGGGTGCCCTCCATCTGCCCTCTCCCCCCAGCTAATTGCCTTCTGGTTCTCCCTTCCCCTGGTCACATGCCTGGCTCTGCCCTCCTGTCACCCTTCTTACCTGCTAACCTCTGCTTGATTTGCTGCCTGGACATAGGCAGGCTGGGCCTTTCTGCCCTTCATGCTGCCTGCTGCCTGCTGGTTTCCCGCACTGCTCCATCCACCTGCTGCGTGCCTGGGGTCACCTTCCCGCTGCCTGCTCCACCTGTCCCTGAGTTGGTTGATTTTGCCCCCTGAAAAAGCACAGATGGGATCTCTCCAGCTTCCCTGTGATTGTCTAATGGGGAAGTGGGATGCAAATGACTGTGCAAAATAAATGGAAAGGAAGAAAAGCCAAACCAAACTGAACCATACGAAAACAAAACAAACATAAACACCCAGATAGGGATTAAGAACCCAGAGTAATTTGGCTAAATAAAGTTATGTCTGTCTCAGAATCCAGAACATAGATATAAGACAAAAAGAGGGAAAACATACTGGGAAATTGATTAAAATAGGCTCCACAGTGCATGTAAAGTAGTCAAATTTTAGAGGTAAGTGCTGGGGAGTAGAGATTCTTCTTCTACATCTAACTTTACAAGTAAGCATTAAGCTTTGGTGATACACAGACCTGTTCATTGGCAATGATTGCCTTTTCCTTAGGGGCATAATATACTTGTACTCAAGGGGCCTTTTAAAAATGCTGCTGAATATTTGCAATTAATATCTGTTATTTAGCCTTTCATATCTGTTTTAGATGTCCTATTGGCACTATAAGCTCAGAAATTCCTTTTTTGGGTGGTGCTTTTCTTTGATTTTTTTCTTTTCTTTTTTTTTTTTTTTTTGACGGAGTCTTGCTCTGTTGCCCAGGCTGGAGTGCAGTGGCACGATCTCGGGTCACTGCAAGCTCCACCCCCCAGGTTCACGCCATTCTCCTGCTTCAGTCTCCCGAGTAGCTGGGACTACAGGTGCCTGATACCATGCCCGGCTAATTTTTTTGTATTTTTAGTAGAGATGGGGTTTCACCATGTTAGCCAGGATGGTCTCGATCTCCTGTCCTCATAATTCGCCTACCTCGGCCTCCCAAAGTGCTAGGATTACAGGCGTGAGCCACCGCACCCAATCCTCTTTGATTTTTTTCTAATTGTTTGTTTAAACTGACACTAAACACTCACAAATTGGGCACAAGCACAAGTTAATAGAATATTTATTGAGAACTTTACTCCCAAAGACAGAGTTTCATTTAGAGCAGAGAAATTCCTCTTATGCTAAATATTAATCGTGTCACCCAGAATATAATTTTTTTTTTTTTTTTTTTTTTGAGACAGGGTCTCTCTGTGCTGCCCAGGCTGGAGTGCAGTGGCAGGATCATAGCTGACTGCAACCCCAAACTCCTGGGGTCAAGTCATCCTCCTGCCCCAGCCTCCTGAGGAGCTAAAACTATAGAAGCATGCCACCAAGCCTGGCTAATATATATATATATTTTTAACGTTGTAGAGATGAGATTTTGCTATGTTGCCCAGGCTGGTCTTGAGCTCCTGGCTTCAAGTGATCCTGCTGCCTCAGCCTCCCAAAATGCTGGGATTACAGATATGAGCCTCCACACTTGGCCATTTTTTTTTATTTTTGAAGTTTTATTTTTTTTAATTGATGCATAATAATTGTACGTATTTATGGGGTACAGTGTAATGTTTCAGTACATCGTGTAATAACCAAATCAGGCAATCGGTATGTCTATCATCCAAAACACTTGTCATTTCTATGTGGTGAGAATATTCAAAATCTTTTCTTCTAGTTATTTTGAAGTATGCAATACATTATTGTTGACTATAGACACCCTACAATGCTATAGAACGCAGGAACTTATTCCTCCTATTTAACTGTAGCTTTGTACTCATCGACAAACGTTTCCCCATACTCCCCTCCCCTTACTCTCCAGTCTCTGGTAATCACTATTCTACTGTCTACTTCTATGAGATCAATCTTTTGAGGTTCCACAAGTACATGAGATCATGCAGTATTTGTCCTTCTGGACCTGATCTATTTCACTTAATATAATATTCACTAGATTTGTCCAAGAAACAAATGACAGAATTTTGTTCTTTTTATGGCTGAATTGTATTTGACTGTGATACATAACACATTTTTCAAATCTTTTTATTCATTGATGGACACTTACGTTCATTCAATCATATTGTATTAGGCCATTCTTGCATTGCTATAAAGAAATACTTGAGACTGGGTAATTTATAAAGCAAAGAGGTTTAACTGGCTCACAGTTCTACAGGCTTTATAGGAAGTGTGGTGCTAACACCTGCTCAGCTTCCAGGGAGGCCTCAGGAAGCTCACAATCATGGCTGAATGCAAACGGGGAGCAGACACATCACGTGGCAAAAGCAGAAGCAAGAGAGGGAGGTGGGAGATGCTACACACTTTTAAACGACCAGATCTCTCAAGAACTCATTCACTGTTATGAGGATGTGCCAGGGGATGGTGCTAAATCATTCATGAGAAAACAGCCCCCATGATCCCGTCACCTCCCACTAGGCCCCACTTCCAACATTGCAGATTCTAATTGAACATGAGACTTGGGTGGGGACACAGACCCAAATCATATCACATACCTTGGCTGTTGTGAATAGTACTGCAATAAACATGAGAGAAAATATTCAGAAACTATGCATCTGTCTATGGATTAATATCCAGAATATGTGAGAAACTCAAACAATTCAACAGCAAAAAAACCCATATAATACAATAAAAATGGGCCAAAGGTCTGAATGGACATTTTTCAAAAGGAGACATACAAATGGCCAACAGGTAGATTAAAAAAAATTCAACATCACTAATCATCGGAGAAATGTAAACCAAAACTATGAGGTATCACTTTACCCCAGTTAGAATGGCTATCATTAAGATGACAAAAAATAGCAAATGCTGAGGAGAAGGTGAAGAAAGGAAAACTCTTACATTTGATTGGTAGAAATGTAAGTTAATACAGTCTTTATAGAAACAGTATGAAAGCGCCTCAAAAAATTAGAAAGAGAACTAGCATATGATTCCGCAATCTCATCAATGAGTATCTATCCAAAGAAAATGAAATCAGTGTGTTAAAGAGATATCTGCCCTCCCAAGTTTATCACAGAGATCTTGTGTATTTGAGTGTGAAGGTGGCTCAGAGAGTCGTGTGTCAGGTCTCTTGAGAGAAGAGGTAGGCATGAACACTGGTTTCAGATGTAGAATGTAAGACTTGTTTATGGTCTTCGTCTTCATGGCTAATGGGTAGTTCTTCATTTACAGCCTTCTCAAGCAAGAAATATTTGAAGACACACATACCCTCATCCACAAAGATTACACTGTTACTCTCAGTTGGTCCAAAATTCTACTCTAAAATAAAATGTATGTGTTATTTCCAAAAGGAAGTCTTGTCATGTTTCTCCTCAAAATGACAATTAGACCAACTAGATGATTATTGTATTATTTAGTTCTTAAAATTTATTTTCTCTTTCTACAATCCTTTGTATAGTAATATTAACAATGACAACTAGTCCTAGGTTGGTTTTCCTTGGCCTCAGTTTCCCCATTTTTAAACCAAAGCAGAGGTCAGGGGAAACCATATGTTCTCTGTGATTCTACTGAGCTTCATGATATGGGAATACTTTTGTATTCTAAAATTCATGAGACTTAAAATTATCAAGTTAGTTCTAAAAATGTCCATGGTCCCCATTGATAATGATAGGTTACCAACGACTACTTTTGACAGAATTCTTAGTTCTCATATACTAAAATATGAAGAAATAAGGCTGTAGAAAATCCAACAGTTTTGGGGGAAGATAAATATAAAAATTAAGCTCCAACGATATGATGAGAGACGTAGAATCTATTGATATGAATAGAAAGTCTGGGGGGTGGGGGAGGAAAACTTTAACAATATCAAATCCTGTAACTTTATTTGGTGGATATGGTAACCAACATCTCAAGAATGCAATTGACTTGCCTAGTGTTAGTGCTAGTACAGAGTTAGAGCCTTTGCTGTCTAGTTTTGATCCATTGTCTCATAATCATTTCTTTATGTAAGATTTTTGCATCACCCACTTTTACTCAGTCCTCAGTATTTGCGCTAGTGATAGTAATAACTATTGCAATAAATCAAAAAGTGTTGCTGATTTGGCAGATGTGAAAAGGAAAAAAAGTGGAATTTTACTCCTTGGCGTAATTGAATAAATGTGAGATCAGGTCACAGTCCATATCATGTGAGCAATGTGAGTGCTGATGTCTTCAAATTGACATAAGAATCATTTACTGCCTATCCCCCATCTCACAGTAATTAAGCACATTGTCTCCATTGCTCAACACTATTTCAATTTTCCACCACAGGTATTTTTAATTGTCTTGAGTCTTAAACCAAAGGAGAAAAATGAAAATAAAAGAGCTAAGAGCTTGTTCCAGTGAATGACTGTTCAGAGAGAAAAAGAGAGAAGAAAAGTGACACCTATATGCCATATTTTTCAATTCAAATTAGATTTAAAGAATTTTATGTATGTATGTATGTATTTTTCTATTTTCTTTCATTCTTTTTTTGACAGGATCTCGTTCTGTTTTCCAGGCTGGAGTGTATTGGCACAATTGGCTCACAGCAGCTTCAACAGCCTGGGCTGAAGCGATCCTCACACCTCAGCCTCCCGAGCAGCTGGGACTACAGGTGCATGCCACGACACCCAGCTAAGTTACATATTTTTTGTAGAAATGGGATTTTGCCATGTTGCCCAGGCTGGTCCTGAACTCCTGGGCGCCAGCAATCTGTCTGCCTCACCCTCCAAAACTGCTAGGATAACAAACGTGAGCCACTGTGCCAGGCAGATTTAAATAATTTTAAAACTCTTGTGAGAGATTCCCAGTCCCATCTAGTACAAAAACCTTCCTATAACCTTTCTCCACATGGTATTTTAGACTTGGTTTGGATATATCTAATGTATGAATCTCATTCTTTCATTAGGAAGGTGTTTTACCCCTCATTTTTAGCAACTCCTGTAGATAAAAATTGTCTGATTATAACTCACTTTCATGTTTCAAGTGTTGGTTCCTAGTTTTACCTTCTAGAGTGGCTGTGTTGGAGCCTGGGCCTTGGGGAACCCTCTGAACACCTTAAAATTAAAATAATTTTTATTTTGTCATTTCACATGGAAGGACATGGAGAAGGGTAATTTCTATTTCTATATCCAAAACACATATGACAGTCTAGATTACCTAGGCTGGGACCTTGTGGCACTGTATGTGTGCTCCCATGGAAACCTTGCTATAAATGCTGGCTTTATCTTTTGATGCTATTATGTTCTTATAATTAAGGTACACCATTGGCTAAATTGGCTTTTGTTGGTTGATCTGGGGACTGAATCATTACTAACAATGAAAGGTATTACATTATTTCCTGTACAAATGCATTCTGAGCTCTCTATATGTGGTTAATCTGGGGAATATCACAAATCCCTAAGAAGGGAACTGACTAGATTCCAGATTGGCCTGATCCCTGCACAAAGCAGAATTGTTATTTCTCATGATTTAGTCATTGTATGCACATTTATTAATGCTACCTTAGGGTTTATCTGTGTTACACTTTAACCTATATTAAAGTAATGGTCAACTATATATTCAGGATTTTTCTTTATATTTCTTGCCTCTAGGCTACTCGAGGCTTCCTTCAGATACAGAGTAATGGACTGGGCGTGGTGAGATAGGAGGATTGCTTAAGTTCAGGAGCTGGAGACAAGCCTGGGCAACATGGCAAAACCTCATCTCTACAAAAAAAAATACCCACAAAAATTAGTCAGGTGTGGTGGTATGCACCTGTAGTCCCAGTTACTCAGGAGGCTGAGGTGGGAGGATCAATTGAGCTTCAAAGGTGGAGGCTGAACTGAGCTGTGATCATGCCACTGCACTCCAGCCTGGTAAGACAGCAAGATCCTCTTTAAATAAAAAAAAAAAAAAAAAAAGAGTATTGGCTAATCTGTTGGTCACAACTAACATAACTAAAAATACTCATCAAATAAATTTTCCAACATGAAATAATAATAGGGTTAAGTAAAACTTGCTTTTCTACATTTGCGCTAAAGAACAGAAAAAACTTTTCCATTGAATATCTCTTTCTTCTAAGTATGTGATTCCACAAAATAATCTGATAATCTCATAACGTTATAAATTGCTGAACAAATGAGGAAACAAATAGAATAAGCTTTTTACCTCTGATTTTCAACATTTAAAAAAAATGTTTCAAAGCTGGAAAGTATTTTCTGTTAAGCAGCATAATATTTTCAAAGATACAGAAGGAATCTCACATCTGTTCATTTATTAATAAACATTCATCAAGTGTTTATTGAGTGCCTACTATGTACCAATGCCTCGGGTGTTGGCTATATGGCAGATAACTAAGCAGAATTCTTCCCTGTCTTCATGGACCTGCCAGACAAAAGAAATGTAATAAACAAGGACATTTGGATAAAATTACAGTGTGTATTGAATTGCAGAGTATTCTAAGAAGGGACTTCATGCAGCAGGAATCAGAAGTATAAAAGTTTAAGCCATACACAGGCTTTATAAGAAAGGACAATTGAGGTGTTACCTTGGGTAAGTACAGCAGAAGCAGGCTGGAGATTAAATTCCAACCAATGATTAGGCCGCATATAGATAAGAGTTCTAATTAATGATTTTTTAAATGTTCTTTTTTCAAAAAGAATTTTTTATGGTTTACATAAAGAATGTAGACATAAACGGTGCAGTAAACAGTCAGTCTTTACAGACTTGTCTTGCTCTTTAAAAAGACCTACTTATGTGGCTAGCACCTGTCTGGGATCTGATAACTTAACTTTTAGAATTTTTTTTTACATTACTAACTGATGTCTGTCTTGTATGCATGAGGTACCAAGTCCTGCCATATTACCTCGTCTAAACTCTTTGTGCAAACAATGTGATTTATGGTGAACACCTGCTTTCCTTCTGGGAGTGTAAATTTTGGTAATCGTGACTGGTGACACAGGCAAAGAGGACCTATGGGATCAGCTGCTAATAAAACCTCTGTACTCTAAAGAACACTGGGAAAAAGCACTGCACATGTGCTGCTGTATTTCATTGCTAGAGGAAGAGTACATTGTGTAACCACCCTTCTCCCTTCTCCCCAACCCTGTGAGAGAGGACTTTGGAAGCCTGTTCCTGAATTCTGCCTGATGCATCTTTTCCTCTGTTGATCCTTCTGTGTACCCTTTTGTTGTAATAAAACACAGTGATGACTGCAATTTCCTTGGAGTCTTGCGAGTCACCAAACATGTGGGTGGTCCTGGGGCTCCTTGAAACTACACTAAACAAAAACAGGCAAATAAAATAGAAATATATATAAAAGTATGACTAAGGAAAAAAGACCATAGAGTCAAGCTGTCCACTGCTCAAGTTGATGTTATTATCAGGCTTCGCTTGAGTATGCAGTCTGACTCAGGTTTTTGGCAGCAAAAGCAGTAAGAAACATTTGATTATCTTGCTCACATTTTCAGAAAGGACAAAGCAACAAATTACTTGGGGTGTAACATGGTTTGGATGTGCGTCCTCTCCAAATCTTGAGTTGAAATGTGATCCTCCACGTTGGAGTTGGGCCTAGGGGGAGGTGTTTGGGTCATGGAGACAGATCCCTCATGAATGGCTTGGTACCCTCCTAGCGACAATGCATTACTGCAAGATCTGGTTGTTGAAAAGAGTCTGGGACCTCCCACTTCTCTCTCCTACTCCCTCTCTCACCATGTGACACGCTGGCTCCCCTTCGCCTTCTGCCATTATTGTAAGCTTCCTGGGCTCCCCACCAAAAGCAGGTGCCAGAAATATGCTTCATGTACAGCCTGCAGAACCATAAGCTAAAATAAGCTCCTTTTCTTTATAAATTACCCAGCCTTAACTGATATATTGTAGCAATGCAAAACGGACTAACACTGGGTGATAACTTCTTAGCAAGAGAACCCTAAAATAACTTTTTTCATGTGGAAATTGTTATAGGAAGTGTGTCCCCTCTTAACATGCTTGTTTCTATCAACTTCTGTAACAGTGATCTCTTAACTTGCTTCCTAACTCACTGATAATGCTGTGTCTCAGTTGTCTTCTCTGTGTCCTTTCTCTCTCCAAACACACATTCCTAGAATACAGTTGTCCTGAAAATGGTACTAACTATAAACTCACCAAAAGATCAATAGAAAGAAACAGTTTATCATGCACAGCTAAGTTTATTAGACTTACTGCAGTCTAAGAGAAAACACTGTCTTAGTAGTATCTCAAAATCGAAAAAATTAGGGAGTGGTCATTATAGGACCTTGACTGAGTGATTTTGGGAGTAATCTTGGAAGATGAACTGGCTAGAAGTGGGCAGAGATTATGACATAATAGTTTTAGATTGGTGGGCCCAGGGAGGTGAGGATCTTCAAGTGAGCCTGCACAAGAAGCTGTTTTAGTTGGTTCATGACCTTATTTTCCAGGACTAAGTACAGTCAATCCTCATTATTCACAGATTCATTATGTGTGTATTTGCCTACTCACTAAAATTTATTTGTAAGTCCCAAATCAATGTTTGTGGCACTTTCATGGACATTGGGGATCACATTCTAGATATATCAGAGTGGGAAAAAATTGATTTGCTTAATGCACATATTCCCAAAAAAGATTGAACAAAGCAACACTCTGCCTCTTGCTTCAGTTCTTATAATGTAAATACCTGTCCTTTGTGGTCTATTTCATGTCATGTTATTTTGCATTTTTGTGTTTTTTTGTGAGTGATTTCTCTGTTTAAAATGGGCTCAAGGCATAGTGCTAACATGCTTTCTAGTGTTCCTAAGCCCAAGAAGGCTGTGATGTGCCTTAGTGGGGAAAAATATGTGTTATGTAAACTTCCTTTAAGCGTGAGTTATAGTGCTGTTGGCTATGAACTCTTTGTTAACGAATCACCAATGTGTGTGTGTGTGTGTGTGTGTTTTTGTACAGGCTTTCAGGAACCTAACCCTGCCTTTCTTCTAGCAGCAATGATTCAATATTCACCAATTCAGTGTTTACAGTGACTTTATGTAACATAACCACTACAAATAATGATAATTAATTTATTTTTTGCTAAGTTTTCTTAATGCCTTGTCCCAGTATTTAACACAGGGACAGTAAAAGCCGCTGCTTCCAGTTTTCAGTTACTTTTAAACCATGCCATTAATTTCCTTTGCCTGTAAGTGCTATGCAGTGTATGGCTTGGCATGGCCTTTTGTTTGGTCATTTCTTGCAACGAGTAACTCTATTTTTGGCTCCTAGGAAGGTGATTTCAATGGAGTAGAGCTCAGAATGTGTGTCCAGCCATCTCTCAGGCACTGATCTTTGTGCCTGAGTGGTGCATTGAGCATCACTAAAGATGTCTCCTACCGTATGGAGCCCTGCTTCAGCAGCAGCTACAGAGTTCACTCCTGCTTTTTCAGAGGTGACCACACCAGGTACCAGGTGAATACTAATTCTGCAAACTGGAGCTTCTCCATTCTTTTGAAATTCTTTTTATGGAAAAATTTCAATTGTATTTAAAATTCATTCATATTTTTATTTAAAAAAATCAACACTACAATTTGCTAATGAGAAAAATAGTTCACAATATTTAACTATAATTTCAAATCTTAAAATTGTTTCTATAGTTGTAAAAAATGATTTGATATTTTTATTTCCAATTGAACAAAGTTCCTCATCAAAGGTGACTATGAATAATGTGAAGGCATCATCACTGAAAGGCAATTACATGGAACAATTACAACCTCATATACATATAAAAAGTTACATTCACAGAAGCTCAAGCTTTTCGGTAAAAAGGTAAAAACATTTTACATGCAAGTTTTACACAAATTGAATATTTAATATCTTTCTTGATACTTTGTATTTATTGTTTTTAATTTTAGTGGCTGTGCTTTTTCTCTTCTTAGACACCCCCCTCCCCACCCACCCACTGTCCACTGCTGAGGCCGCTAGTCCCTTCCTATCTGACATGTTGCCTGCTGATGGCTCACAGCTGAGTCTGTCCTTAAAAACTGGCTTCTTCCAAGGGAGCTGCCTTGGCCAAGCTTATATTCACTTCCTGGAGAGTACTTTATAGCCAATGACTAGTTCATGTGGGAGTTACAAAGCCCTGGCCCTTGTGCCACAATTTGGAAAAACTCTGAAGAGCCATCCCAGTTGCCAAGGCCTCTGTGACACCACATCCCAGTTCAACTCTGCCTCATTCTACATTTCTAACTTCCTAACAGGTAGTAATCTGGATACCATGCCCCAATAAACCTCCCACATGCAAATCTTTGCCTCAAAATCTGTTTTCCAGGGAACTTGACTCTAACTACAACAGTGAACTTAGTTTTCCTAAGACCCATGCAGCCCAAATTCATCTGAACTTACCATAGTGTCCCCTTCAGATTTTATCACTTTTCTATAGGTTGTCATTTTATACAAAAAATCAGGAAATGTTATTTTTTAAAGGCTGACATAATATTTTAATATTTTTTAAAAGGGAGGCTCAATATCTATGAACTCCCATTTCTATAAACAAAAAGAGCTCTTTCTCCCCCCAAGAGGAAAGTGCTATATGCTGTCACGGCGTCTACATTATGTGTCTAGTTCCCATGCACAAGCTTTCATACTTGTGACATGCCAGACAATCTTCGTAAGTGTCTAAGGGGTCAGCTTCTGGGTCTTCACCTCCAGAGGACTGGGGCACTTCTTCTTTCTAGTCACACAGGTTGGGCAGAGCTCTTCACATAGCTGGCACCAATAATTTCCACTGAGGTTCTTTTTGCCACCCATCAGGTGGCATCTCTATATCCCAAGTAGAATTTGAGAGGATACACTAAGGTACTATGCTTTTAAAATGTATTTGACATAATTTAATGTATCATTCCAATAAATATTTAACCCTGGAACTATTTTTTATACCAACCGATACCCTTATGGGCACATATTTCAGAAAAGTAGACACAAGCCAAGCCCACACCAGGTGTTAAGAATGGGCTCCAGTGGAGATGTGCTTGGAGTGATGGACTTTAGTTCAGGATGTAGAGTAGCCTCTGGAAGTTCCCAGTTAGCTTAGGTGCAGTGTGAGTGGATCGTGGGGTTCTGAGAGCTCTCCACATCCGTGGCAGGGGCAACTTGTTAAGGCTTGGTGATGGGGACAAAAACGCTAAGGTGCAGGGTCTAGGCAGCACCTGTTAGTGCTCAGGTCAGCAGCTGTCTCCATAACAAAGCACTTTAAAGAGCATTTACCATGTGTTTCACACATCAGCTATTAGATAATACCAATGCTCTGGGGACTGTATGGCAGGAAGATGCTCAGGAAATGTCATTCTGAACAAAGGAGAGCCGAAGAAATCTTATTCATTCCTACGATGTTTTAGTACTATCTATATGCTGCTGACGTCTAAATTACTAGATGTAGCTCAAGTTTTTCCTATGATTTCCAGTCTAGATTTGCATATTTAATTTTTTTTTACATCTCCCTGTATATTTCTCATATGCTTTCCAGATTTGATATATTCAAACTGGAACTTTGGATTCTCTTCCCAGGGCTTGACACCCCACAAAATGCCTAGCCTACTAGTCTTTTTCACAAGAGCGAAAGTCACCACCAGCAGCCATTTGCTAAAGCCAGAAATATGGAACCAAGGTCTCATTCCTCCCTTTCTTTTCTATCTTCCCTCACTAACCTATCAGCAGGCTTTGTCCATAGAAAATGAGAACTTTTCATCCTTCTATTTTCGTTTGGTCACCACGGCTCTAGCTAGGACTCTTAGAGCAGCTTCCTCAATGGGCTCCATTCTTCTGCTCATACTCTTCTGACCTGCCTCCATAGAGCAGCAAAGCTGATTTTAAATGGTCAATTCAGTTTGGCATGTCTCATGCTAAATATCTTAAATTAACTACTTTTGGCCTTAAGAGAAAAATAGAACCCTCTCAATGACCTATAAAGCACCCATACCTGGCATCTACCTACCTTTTCCACACATCTCCTACCACTCTACACTAGCCTTCTCCTGGTCCCATGAATACGCTGAGCTCCTTTCCTTCTCCTAAGGTCTTTGCACATGCTTTTCTTTCTGTTTGATGGGCTTCTACCCTATGCCCAGCACATTCACCCTTAGTAAATGACTATCATCCTTGAGGCTCCATTCAGAATAAATGCCATTCCTTCCTCAGGTGGCCTTCATCTATCATCATCATCTCTAAAGGATTCCTTATTCTTATTCATGCTGTCTCTCTTTTAGCCTGTTTTCATTTGTCCTTCATAGACTTCATCACAATTTGAAATGACTTCTTTTATTTACTTGTATATTGTCTCTCTGTTCTATTACAATGTAAGCTCCATAGGGAGGGGGTCTGTCTGATCATTTACAGCCATATACCTAGTGCCCAATATAAACCTTGGCACAGAATTGGCATTCAATAAATATAATTTGGATTAACGAATGATTAACAAAGTGAGGACTGCAGCTCATGCCTATATGATATACTTAATCTGTAGACCCTGGCTTAACTGGCCTGACTTGTAAACTAATCAGGACAAGATAACTCATACCTTGAAAATGATATTTCTCATATAAAATCACACTAATTTGAAACTTTCTTTTAGCAAAAGGCACAAAAGCCTTAACAGAAAAATACACTTCAAAATATAGAATTTAATAGCACTTCTGAGAAATCAACTGAGCATGATATTTTCTCATCATTTAAACCTTGGTTGGGATTTGAATTTCAGAGAAGAGATTTAGTAAATAGCAGACATCAACCAAGCAAGGAAAATATATCAGAATATTAAAGAAAAAAAATGGACTGATGAAGTATAGCTATAATTTCCAAGTCAACTGTGTCTTTTGACTATGATCAGCAAATAGCTATCTAAGTACGGTCTGTCGATCAACATTCTCTATGAATCACTACTATCTGCAAGTCATTGGGTAAATTACTGAAGATACCAACATGTAGTACAAAGGGTCTCACCACCAGGAGCTCAAAGTTAAGTAGATGAAATACTCATAATCACCTTTAAGGCTCATCAAAGATATTTAGAAAATTCTGCATGTGATCCATAAAATCTGTTCAACCTAATAGTAAGCCAGGATTAAGCCTTTGTACATGCGAGGCACTACATCCTCCTCACCTGGACCTGATTTAAATCATATAATTATGAAATTTAAGCAGATGTTGTCATAAGATAAGACTCTTGGGGACTTTGCGAGGGTGTCAATGCATTTTGAATATGGGGAGACATGAATCACTAAGGGCCAGAAGGTACACTGTAGCAGACACACTCTCAAATGATTCCTGCCTCCTGGGGTTCAAGAGCTTGTGTAATCCCTGTGAGAGTGGACAGGATCTGTGATTTGCTTCTAAAAAATAGAATATGGCGGAGTGATAGGATGGACATGATTACATGTATGTGATTACTAGACTGTGTTACATAAAATTATAGTGCCCATTTTGCTAGAGTCTCTCTCCCTCTCTCCCTTGCTGGCTTGACAAAGCAAGCAGCTATGTTGGTGGCCCATTGACAAGGTATGAAAGGTACTGTCTGGGGTTAGAGAACATTGCCAACCATTGTCTGTTGGCAATGAGCAAGAAAGTGATGCCCTCTGTCCTACAGTAAGAAACCAAATTCTCCCAACAATCTCATGAGTGAGGATGTACATCCTTCCACAGTCAAGCCCCAGATGAAACTGCAGAACTAGACAATACTTGGTGTGCAGCATGTGAAATCCTGAAGCAGAGAAACTAGGTAAACTGTCAAGACTCCTGAACCACATAAATTATGTGTTTGGTTAAGTATGTGTATATTAAGCTGCTTAGTTTGTGGAAGTATAGTTCCGTAGTAATAGACACTAACAGAGAATTGCCCTCCATTGTTTCTGGATCTTCCTTTATTTTCCCTGACTCATGGGCCGGTTATATTTGTGTTCAGCTACATAACTAAAAGTCCTGGTTTCTGCAGGATAACCATCACCAAGGTCATAGGAAGCAAGAGTGGACACAATTTTCAGGCTTTTTGGTGGATTCTAGCTATCTTCATAGGGTTCCGGGCTGCTCGTAATCTTCAGAATCCAGCATTAGACACTAGAACAACCTTGTGAAGGCTGGTTACCCACAGGCTTCCTCTGACACTTTGTGAAGGCTGGTTACTTTTAGGCTTCCTCTGATACTTTGTATGGCTGAACCCCAACTAATAGAGTATGTGCTAGCATGGAGTTGGCATGGAGTTATGGGTTGGGGAATACAGCATTGATGAAACATGGTTTCTCCCCTTGACAATAGGCTGGTGGGAAAGACAATTATACAAACTGAAAAAAAAAAAATCCAACACAAGATGGTAAGCTGAAATGAATTGCAACATCAGTTGCTTTGCAGCTGTGATGGAGAAATGACCACAGCGCCATGGAAACCCAGAAAATGATGCTCTTTATTCCTATAGAAACACAATGAAAGAGTGACAGAAGAGCCATCATTTGTGATCCATAAGTTTCATGAAGTTGATTCCTAGGGTGCTGGGGTTGTAGAAAAGTCACTTTGTGATGGATTATATAAGACCTTGTATGCTAAAGTAAGGAGTTATGATATTTTCCTGTTAATCATTACAAACTATTGAAAGTGCTTCAGGAAGTTAACTCTATAAGAAATTTAGAAAACCAGTTGGAGAAAATCAAAGTCTGATGGTAGAGAAAATTACAAGTATGTTACAATAGTCAAGGGAGAAGAAGATTACAGCTTCAACTAAGAAAGAAGAATGAAGTTAGAAAGAAAGAGATGGAGATATTTCTAAGGTGGACTTTTAGAATTCAATTTCTAAAGTAGTGGTTATGGGAAAGATGAAGATTTTGATAATTATTTGGAAATGTATATATTATGAGATAACATGGATGTGATTCCATTAACTAAATCGAATAAGCACTTCTTTATCCTTCAGGCCGGAGAGTTTGGGAAAGGGGTCAGAATTTCCTGTTTTCTTCTCTTTTTACCTCCTTAGCACATTTGTAGGGTAACAGGAAGGAAGGGTAAATGCAGAACAGACTGGAATTAACCAAGAGTTGGTATATTGGAAAGCGGGGTGATGAAAGATGAAATATCAGGTACAGATTTAGAAATATATTTTTTGGAAAACAATGGCTAATTTTTTGAAACTCGGATGTAAAGAGTTTAATAAGCTATAGAGAAATAAAAACATTCATGCATTATTAATGGGGAAGTAAAATTGTGTAGCTACTTGGAAAAACATTTTGGCAGTTTCTCAAAAAATTAAACATAGAGTTTCCATAAGACCAAGCAGTTCCACTCCTAGGAATATATCCAAGGAAATAAAAATATATGTTAGGCAATAATGTGTACAAATATTTTCATACCCATATTATTCATAATAGCCAAGAATAAAAACAACTCAAATGTCAAAAAGATAATGTCACTCAAGTGACAAAAACATAATGAAAAAAAGGATAATGAAAACTGTGTCGTGCATACAATAAATTCTCATACAGCCATAAAAATAATTAAGTACCGATTCACGCTACAACATGGACAAACCTTGAAAATCTTATTTTAAATGAAAGAAACTAGATGCAAAAGACCATATATATATATATATATATATATATATATATATATATATATATATGTAATTCAATGTGTATAAAATGTCCAGAATAGCAAGTTCACAGAGACAGAAAGTAGATTAATTGTTGCCAGGGCTGGGGGGAAAAGAGAATGAGGAGTGACTGATAATGTGTACAAGTTTTCTTTTCTGAGACAGTGAAAAAGTTCCAAAAAATTACATAGTGTTGAAGGTAGCATAACTCTGTGAATGTATTAAAAATAACTGCATGATATACTTTAAAATGGTAAATTTTATAGTATTGTGAATTATTTCTTAACATAATTTATATATATATATATATATATATTTAAAAGAGAATATATGTTGAGAGGCCACCTACTTGATATCCTTCATTTTCTTTGAAGAACTTGCAATGATAAAATTTCTAAGAATTTTTAGGAATTCTTGTCACTATACATGCATTAAAGAAAAAAATAATACTTTCTCTCCTTGCTAAGTCTCAGTAAGTCAGAATTAAGTCATTGGAGGCTGTCTTTTCTAGTATTCAGACTCTTTAGAATGTTGTATCACAAATAGTAATACAAGTATATAGACAATCTTCTTGAGATCTGGAGGACCTGATTCAGTTGGGCTTCAAGGTAAGCCCTGAATAATTCTTTGTTCATGTTTCTCATGTCAATCGGCTAGAATTATCTGTGATTCAAATCCTGCTCATGTCTTTAGAATAGTCTACAGTACAAATTTTATACTAATGCCTCATAAGATGAATTTGACCCAAGGAGCTGTGTTTTAAAACAACAAACAAAGGATCATTGGTCTCCAGGAGTGAATTTTGTTCTATTTTATATATGTTAGTTTTATTTACTTAATTTCTAAACTGGAATTCAGAAGAGGTCTCATATTCAGTAATAAGTCTCTGACTCTTCCAATTTTGACATTTGTACGATACAAACAAACCAACCAACAAAGGAAGGATTCAGAAATATGAAGAATGCAAATCCAAATTTCTTACCAGGGCTCTCAGATTTGATTTAAAATATCTTAACAGGATCACTTTAGTTCATACTGATATGTAGATTCATTGTCAGATTTAAGACTTAGGAAGAAATAATAGCTAGGCCATGGGGAAGGATAAAAACTGACTGTTTAATCAAGAGAGAGGGAAAGAAAAAAATAAACTGATGTTTTCTAAACACCGAGTGAAAATTTAAACAAACAACTTATCTTCTAAGGATACTCTGTTCAATATTCTTCCCTTGTGCTATTTTAATATGGCCATTAAAATAACTGTGTGCCTTGTTTTGTCACCCAGAGAACAACCTTCACATGGCATTCTTTGGGTACAGAACAGTGTCATAATGAATCACTTCCTCCTCATTAATGTCTTTTACTAAGTGTACAAAACATTATACTTCTCATTAATGTCTTTCATTAAATTGAAAAAACCCTGAATGCATATATTTCTATTAAAACCAATGGGATCCTAAATTCACATGCTACACATTTTTATCAGCATACCCTAACCATAGCAAGGCAGAAATAGTTTCCTGTTATAACATCAAGACAAATTGTGCAAAGTGGGAGAGCAGTTTGGGGAATGGGCTATGAGAACTCCCAATCCCCTCCTGTACATCTTCTAGTAAGCAAAGGCCTGTTTCAAAAACACCACTGATGATAGAGAGTTTTCTAATTACTCCTTCACCAAGTTAAGTACTCCAGTCTGCTTCATTCCATGTATTTCCACACAGGAGGTGCACTGACCCATCTTGCATTTTTCAGAGTTCACACCGTGTTCATCTCTTTTTGGCCCAATTCACCTGGTACTTGCCTGCTCACCCTTTTCAAAAGCTGGCAGATAGGGAGCTTAAAAACAACCTTAATTGTTCAGGATTTCTGCTAGCCTTAGATTGTGGCACCCTCTGCTTCTCTTGGACTGGAATTATTGCAATTTTAATTATGGGTATGATGTGTACATTTTCAACCATAGAGTAACATCCCAGAAGACAGGGCCAAGTCTGGCTTGTTCAGCATTGTATCTGGTACATGGAGGTACTCAATATCTGTTGATTGACTGGCATGGACTAGAAGAGCAAACTGGGTAACTTGTTGCCCATGTGCATAATATCACCAAATTTCTGGCACTCCCCTCACTCTAGGATGGCCTAATTTCATGTTGCCAAGGAGTGGGGAATGCTGTCGGATAATAGGATCAGAATTCCAAACCCTAAAGATGGATAGTGGCAACCACCTTCTACAGGGTAGAATACTAATTACTACTAGATAAGAGATTTAGGCTCTGTCCTTCTCATGCTTCCCTTTTCATTTTTGATACTTATTTTTATGATTTTGTTCCTCGTCTAATTCAAGATTTGTCCTATATGGTTCCATGACAGCAAGACTTAACCAGAAGTTAATGAAGAAGCAAAGGTGAATTTGATATCTGAGGTGGTACATCTGTGGTTTCTGACTATGATCATCCCTCAAATCCAATTTTGCATAAATAAACCAGGTTCTGGTAAATAATTAATCTCTGGGAACTTGACTTCATTTTTCTCTTTCCTGTAGACAGGTCTTACCAATCCCAGCTTAATAAGCACCTAAAATAGGACAATGGCCCAATTTTTGTAGACGTACTTTCTATGTTTAATGGGTGTTAGGATTTAACAGCACTATAACTTTCAGAACAGTTTTCTTCCTCATTTTTTACAAATTTTATCCTTAGAATTGAAAATCTTGCTGCATTTCAGTCCTTCTTATAGCTGCATTGATTAGTCTTCTAGGAAGCGCAGCTGTGGCAATAATCCTGTCTCTGCATCTTTGCAAGCAGGAGGGAAGGCAGGAGATAAGAGTTGCCACAGGGAGTCTATATTTAATCTACAACTGGCTTATCCAAGTGTCTTATTGCTCCCCGAGGGTCTCACCACATGCACTATTGTGAGAAAAAAAATGACACAGACGGAAGGAAAGAAAAGTTCACCTAAGATTGGTCTTCAACTAATTAATTCAGTTCAGAATTGGCACAGAAGTTTTTGCTTTACTAGTAATGCAGACTGAAGAAACTAGATCTTCCTAAGACCAGCACAGTTTACCTTTCTGGCCTGCCTGTGGCTGATGTGGGGGAATGGCTGACCTTGTTCTTGGCAACAATCACTAAAGCTGCTGGGAGGCATCTATAAATGCTACCACCAGTAGTTCCATCAAGGAAACCCCACTGATCCATACTGCAGATTTTTATGGACATTCACACAGTGGAACAAAGTAGGTATCTGAAACAATTACAAAATCAATTATGAAAACAGAAATACATAAATAATTAAAACATAAAATAAATAAATCTTCAGCCTCTAAGGGAGGCATAGAAAACAGCTACTCTTCTTTAAACACAACTTTAATTTTCATTCCATTGCTTACAAGAACACAGTGATTGTCTACCTTATCCACCTGACATCAAACCAAAAACATGCCTGCCTTTGCAACCTCTCTGTCATCTGGTCTCACTCTAAATCTTCAGATATTCTAAACTGAAGCCTCGGTCTTATGTCACTATCACGAAATAACACCACATTATACCTACTTGAAAATCATTGTGCTATTATCTTCTCATTGAATGGCCTCCTTCCTACTGTGTGTCTCTCTGAATTTCTTAAGAATGAGCTAAAATTCATCTTTTTCTAAAACTTCCATTTTTTTTGTTACTACTTCCTTCTCTGAACACCTTTAGCATACCTTATTATTATTGTCATTCTATCACAGAATTAGAATGCAATGAGTGGGGAGGTTGAAGACCAGGTAGAAATGGACTAATATCAGCTAAGACTGTATAATTAATGTGTTCAGCCTAACCACCAGATGCTATCCACATTGCTTTTGAACAATGAAGGATTAAATGAGTAGTTCTCAGTTTTTTTATTTTACTAGACAATCACCAACATTTATGCACAACCAATTTTTCACGTTATATTTACATTGTATTCTCCTAGAGAAAAGGTAACACATATTCAAATCACTGAGTAAAACTTCCTTTAGAAACTAACATTCACCACCATCCCCACTCAGTCCTAGGAATGATGACGAACTAAGGGGACAGAGATAATAGAATTTTCTTTGCGGCCAGCAGAAGCTAAACAAAATGTACAGTTGACACCTGAATGTATAAAACTTACAAAACACAAGAAGGGACTAAGATGATAGGCCTTGCCATTTTAGTCATGTGAACTTTTATACTGATTATTTTGTAGGGAAGGCTGATGCATACCTGAAAAAGAGAGGGACAGGTACCCTGCATGAAGTAAATCTTAAAACACTGCTAGAAGAAAAGATTGCTAGAAGAGAAGGGTGAGAAAATGGTGTCTTTCTTCTTGGTGAAGTGTGAAAAGTTCACAAAGTCAGGCCAAGAGATCAATACATTACACTCTTCCCCTTCCCCTCAGTTCAGATTTGGGGCAATTGTTTAAATTGTTCACTATTCAGGGCAGCGAGTTGGGAAATCTATCTGCAGAAAACCACCTAGTAGAACACTGGGGAAGCTGAATCCCTGACTTTCTTCTCTTTTTGTATCACAAAGGGATCCTATCTTTGGGTACACAAGAAGAGAGTATCTCCAGCTGTGTGAATACTAAACTGAAAATACAAATATGTTATTTGTTCAATGCTATTCAAGCTGCAATTCCATAGAAAATCTCTTGCTGTAAAAACTAAAGCCAGATGTTCTCCCACCAAATTTAATATTAGCAGGTTTTATTAGTTTTCAAAAATGAGTCAGTTAACAGTAATTTTTCAAGATTCCATTTTTCTCCTATAAATCTTAGTTAAATATTTAATGTCTGTCATAGTTCATCCTAGTACCAAAAAGCAAGTAAATAAGTAAAATGAAATAATAAGAAGCCAACATTGAAAATTGCTGATCCTCCCAGTAGCTGATTACTAATGTAATCTAATGAAAAAAATGTTATTTTTATGCGTAAGTGTAATATACTCAGTTTCTGATAGGTAGTTCATAAGATACAATGGTATTACCAAAAGAAGTGCCATGGACTCTGCCAGATGACCAAAGTTAAAAATTTAATGCCCAAGATTTTATTAAGTATATATAATGTAGATGTTGCTATTATCTATGGATTATTTAGAAGTAGAGACCAAAATAGTTTGCATGTGTGTTTCTGTGTAGACAAACCTGAGTTCATATCAGTCTCTCCTTTCTAACCACTATACTGTCAAAAAATTCTTCAACATCATAATTACCATCATTAACTAGAACATAAATTTGTTTGACCAAATACTATGTTTATGATACAAAACAGCTAGTCTTTCTCTTTGAGGTTCTGAAATTTCTATTTCACTTTTCTTTTGGTATAACTCACTTGACTGATGTTTTCACCTCTCTTTCAGATGCCTCACCTATAAAATATTCTTTCATTTGTTTCTTTAATAAATAGTGATGTATAAAGACAATAATTATTAATATGTTTCTTCCAATTTTACCTAATCCTGTGATTTTGTGTAAAGAAAATATAGAACCAAACTGAAAAAAGAGGGAAGATGTATGTGTGGGTGATAGTATTGAGTGTTATATGATGTTTTCTCTACATACACAATTGCACTTGTACAGATGCACCCTCCCTTACTGACTACTCTTCCCTTTGATTTCCACGAACTTATACTTATTTGTTCACATATCTCTGACTATTCTTAGTTTTTGCTGCTATGTTATTCTCTTCCACCCAAATATGAGATACTGGAATTCCTTGATGCTTTCTCTAAGCCTTCTTCCTTCTCATTACACATTTTATTCTTACAATATTACATGCATTCTCATGACTTGAATTATTACTTATTATATTAAAAATACATTCGCACATCTAGCCTCAGATCTTAAACTCACTGGTTTGTTCAACATTTAAACCTTTCTTCTCTCTTCATCAAGCACTCCTTATTACAGTGAGTATTTTGTGACCATGAGACTAGTGTAGGAGCTACACGTTATTCATTTACAAATATTCTTTACTCTTTATTTGTAATGATAAACACATTCATGATTATTTAATATTTAAAACAGAGTAAAATAATTAATGTGTGGTTATTAACAGCCTTCTTCTTTCTCTTATCAAAGTAAATTTCATTTTTGCTCACATATGTTTCTAAACTTGTTATCTGCTGATTTTAAAAATTGATAAAGTGGAGAATTGGGGAAGTGAGTGAAGCAAGCTTGATTTATATTGTTGAGGGCAGACTTACTATTGAAAAGAAAAGAAAATTTGTTGTTTTTGAGAGTGAGGGAGTCATATTTCAAGGCAGACTGCTTGGTTGAAGATAGTTGGGGGTAAAGTTTGGAATGGGATGAAAGAGACATTGGTGCGTCTACCATAGATGGAAGCTACTGAGAAAATAAATAGACTCAACTTTCTTTAATTCTGAATTTACTTACTTGTTTAATGCCTTTCTTTTCTATTCAACAATAAGTCCCACAAATGGAGAAACAATGTCTATCCTCCTCAATACTATATTACTACTACCTATCAATAGTCCTAAATTATTGGATGTACTTAATCAACATTTTTTATTGATGGTTGAATTAATTAGTGTTCTTCAGAGAGAGAAAAACAATAGGAGATAGACAAATAGAAAGATGGATAGATAGATGACACAGATACAGATATAGATACAGATATAGATATAGATAACAGGGGATTTACTAGGGGAATTGTCTTACACAATTATGAACGCTGAAAAATCCCGCAAGAGGCTATCTGCAAGCTGGGGACTCTGGGATGCTTGGAGTGTGGCTCAGACCAAGTCCAGAAGCCTCAGACCCAGGAGGTGATGATGCAACTCTCAGTCCCAGGCCAAAGGCCTGAGAATCCAGAAGCTACTGGTGTGAGTCTTGGACTCCAAAGGCCACATGTCCTGGAGTTCTGATATCCAAAATCAGGGCAAGAAAGGTTTCACAACTTCAGAAGACAGAGAAACAGGAAGAATTCACCTTTCCTCTGTCTTTTGGTTCTATCTGGGTCCAAAGCAGATTAGTTGGTGCCTGCCTTCATTTAGGGTAATCTTTTCCACTCCGTCCATGGACTGACATGCCAATCTCATTTGGAAACATTCTCACAGGTGCACCCAGAAATAATGCTTTACCAGCTCTCCAGGTATTCCTTAATCCAGTCAAGTTGACACCTGACATTAAATAACACAATGGTTAACAATCTGTATGCATGTTTCTCAGCGACTTAATATGCTATAACCATGAGGTTCAGTATATACTATGGGGACACAGATGAATGAGAGAAAGAGTTTTGACTTCTTGAGGTGAGGTTATACACATATAACCTTACTAGGTTTCAATTAAGATTTAGATTGAGGGCCGGGCGTGGTGGCTCACGCCTGTAATCCCAGCACTTTGGGAGGCTGAGGCGGGTGGATCACGAGGTCAAGAGATCGAGACCATCCTGGCTAACATGGTGAAACCCCGTCTCTACTAAAAAATACAAAAAATTAGCCTGGTGTGGTGGTGGGCGCCTGTAGTCCCAGCTACTTGGGAGGCTGAGGCAAGAGAATCACTTGAACCCGGGAGGCGGAGGTTGCAGTGAGCCAAGATTGCGCCACTGCACTCCAGCCTGGTGACAGAGTGAGACTCCGTCTCAAAAAAAAAAAAAAAAAAAAAAAGATTTAGATTGAATGATACTATTTTCAAAACTTTAAGAAAAGTTCATTTGTGCGTGAGTAGTCAGAGAAGGCTTCTCAGAAAGAAAAATAGATGAATCTAGAAAGAACAAAAGTAGAATGAAGGAAAATCTTTTAAAACCCTTTCTAGGGAAGAGACAAAATTGTATCTATTATTTCAGGAGTTCGCGCTTCTTTGAGTTCAACATTTCCACATTTGTTGTACCTTGAACCAAAGTCCAAAGAGAATCATTTTGTCTTAAGTCATGGAGTACAGGAATTAATGAGAGGACTTTTAGTATATGGCAAAGCTGTAATTTTCTTCTAATGAAATAATCTTTCTAAGCTTCATTCATCTTTTGTGGAAAGATTTTTCTGTAAAGGACCAGATACTAAATAAGCTATTTAGTAGAAAAATTTTCTAGGTTACATACTCTCTCTTGCAACTACTTAGCTCTACAATTGTGATATGAAAGAAGCCACACACAATATGTAAACAACCAGTGTGGCTGTGATTCAGTAGAACTTTAAATACAAAAGGAGGTGATGAATCAAATTTGGTCTATGGGCTTCATTTGCAGATCTCTGGTGTATAGCGATAAATATTTTATGTGATAGTCATATGAAATAAATAATATAATAAATAAAAACTGCTTAGCACAATGCCTGGCACATAGTATAACCAGTGAATAAATTATAGCTATTATGGTCATTAGGCCAAATGTGTTTTATAAGATATTTGTTTACTCATTAATGTAATTGTTCATCAATATTTACTTAGTCCTTATTGCATGCCATGTGCTTTATAAGTAGATATAGGCATGAAAGATAATTATAAAAAGGAAAGTCACCCATTTTAAATAAATCAGGAGGATAAAAATAGTATAAAGAAAATTCTGCTCTGGCCATGAAAGAACTGGTACTATAATTGTCCATCCACCTTAAGCAACTAGATAAGTAGATACAAAATATAAAATAACTGTTTTCAGACACCAGACAACAGGCAGCATAGAACCATAAATTATTTTTTAAGAACTGGAACAAATAAGTTGAGCCATATCATTACCCTTTCTTTCTCCTTAGAGGCCCTTTTAAAACCTTGGTGCAAGAAGGGGAACCCCAAGAAAGTAATAGTAGTCTTAGTAAGTTGAATATACAAACGTCAGAGGGCTTGGAAGGTGGATTGGCTTGAATTTACAGGACAGAATATTATAAATGAGGGAAGTAAGAAGAAAAAGCTTCAGAAATCTGAAAAACGTTCCTTTGAGCTAAATAAATGAAGATATGTGTCTGTGTGTGTTTGTGTGTGTGTGCATGTGTGTATGTGTGTACATCCCAACTTATGAGGTCACTATATGCCTAATACCAAATGCTTTGGATCATACTTATTTTTCTTTATTTCTTTTGTTAATGACCAGAGCTGGAAAAGAAAATTACTATATCTCATCCTAGATTGCAACTATTAGTTTGGTGCAAAAGTAAATGCGGTTTTGTCATTAAAAGTAATGGTGAAAATGGCTATTACTTTTGCACCAATCGAATAGCATCTAGAGGCAGCCGTACTGCAATATCCTGATAACAAAGAATGTGCCTCTAACTATAATAAGAGCTCATAGAGCACAAGAAAACTGTTGAGGAATCCTTAGTGTGCTGATCAGTCCTGAGGAGAACATTGGGCTAGCTTCACCATTGTTAAAATTATTATCTTAATAATAGCAAGTTAACATATTTTAATGCTACATCATAATGTGTGTTCAGGTAATTAGCTCAATTCATCCTCATAGACTTAACAGATACAAGATGAACACATTTGTTTTTTTGACTCCTTTCTGTCCATAACACTGTGCTGCCTGAGCACTTTCAAAGAGAAAGCTTATTCTGCTTCAATTATTTTCCAGGTTATCCTAAAACTTATGACATTTATATGTAACGTATACAGTCTAATGTTATCAATATCCATAGTCTTCCTCACAATAGAACTTTGAACGCCACTCCTAACATCATATTTTAATTGTAACTTTTTATCCTGCAACAATATTACTTTTATTATAGTTTTTCTGTATATTTTTCCACATATTTTTCCTTTGCCCTTTATTTTTACTTACATCTTAATTCAGGAAGAAAGTCTGAAGTACATCCTTCATTATTTCCTTTAATGAAGGCCTGTCAGTGGCCAGCTTCTTCTGTTTTTGTTTTGTTTGTTTATTTGTTTGTGTGAAAATAACATATGTTTCATTCTGATTTTTGGACGTTAATGCATATACAATTTTAGAATATATGTATTTTTCAGTATATTGAAGATGTATCATTCTACTGTCTTTTTGCTTCCATAATTATAGAGAATGCAACTACCAGCACAACAGTAACTCCTTTAAGATAATCTGTCTTTTCTTTTAACTTGACAGCTTTAAATATCTTATTATATTTATTATCTTATAGTTTCAGTAGGATGTGTACAGGTGTAACTGTTTTTATTTATCCTGCTTGGAATTTATAGGACTTTTTAAATAGGATTTTTTAAATCCTTAGATTCAATCTTTCACAAATTCTGAAAAATTCATAGCTACTGTCTTCTCAAATGTCCCATTTCATTCATGATCTCTGTCTTCTTCTTGAATATTAGATAAATGTTAGGCTTTCTCAATCTGTCTTCCTTCTCTGTTAAACTTTATTTCATATTTTATATCTGTTAGTCCCTCTGTGCTCTATTCTAAATGTTTTTCTTACAAATTAATTTCTATTTAACTAATTCTCCTTTCATTTTTGTCTAATCTGCAGTTAAATTTCTCATAAAGTTTTTCATTTTAATTATATTTTTATTTTGTAAGTTTTATTTTACAAATTTTTCTCATCTTCAGTATTTTTTATCTTTTTAAATATTTAATGCTATATTTTATTTATATAAATATACATTTTTTAAAAATCTCTGGTAATTCCAATTTAAATACTTCATGACTGTTGTTTCTCCTGGTCCTCACTTATGGTATCTTATTTCCTTGAGTATAATAGCTCATTTCCTTTGGAAAATTTTGTGATCATTTAAGGTCTGAGATGAAGATACGTTCCTCTAGAAAGCACTTTCATCTGTTTTTGTGAGCACATGTTGCAGCCATCAGCCTAAAATCACCTTAAACTAAATTCATGGCTTGAGTTTATTAGGATCACCCAGAAGTTAGGAATTTACGTCCCAATTTTACCACTCCAAGTCGTGGTTATGAACTCTTAGAAATATAGTTTATATTTGATCTCAGATACAAGGTATTGTCTTTTTCAAGGTATTTTCTCCTGTGCATATATGCTGTGTGGAATTTGAGAATCACTTATTCCTGGTTTATCCCTAAATGGAAGGTAAAGTACTTTGGAATCTAAGATATTTTTGAAGGAGTATGGTGTAATTAGATGCCCTGCTTTCAACAGGACTTAAGCTTTGGTTTCTGCTTTTTATAAAAATAAAGTCACTTTTATGAAGACTCCTGGCTGTGAAGTCAGACTTACTGGCTTTAGATCCCAGCTCTGCTACTTACTAATCATTTTCCTTGGGAAAATTACTGAACTTTTCTGTGTTTCAGTTACCTCAACTGTAAAATTGGTGACATAGTAATGTATCTTCTATAATTCTTGTATTAAATGAAATCACACAGGTAAAGTTTATTTTAAAAATTTGAACATATAATTATTGAATTAATTTTAGATGGATATAGTTTTTTATCCAAAGTGATTTATATGCAACTCTAGTTGAAGTGTTGCATTTATTAAAATAATTTTAATAAATATATTTTTTATGTTCTGTAGGCAATAAGATAAAGTTGTTACAACCAACACAGCATGGTACTGGCAGAAAAACAGAAACATAGACCAACAGAACAGAATAGAGAATTCAGAAATAGACCCACACACTTATAGCCAACTCATTTTTTTACATAGAAAGCAAGAACATATACTGGGGAAAAGACAGTCTCTTTCATAAATGATGTGGGTTGGATATCCATATGTAGAAGAATGAAACCAGATCCCATTTTTCACCATTAAAAAAAATCAACTCAATGGATTAAAGCCTTAAATCCAAGACAGAAAACTTTGAAACTACTGGAAGAAAACACTGGGGAAATGCTATAAGACATTGATCTGGACAGAGATGTCAAAAACACAGGCAACAAAAACAAAAATAGACACACAGAATTACATCAAGCTAAAAAGCTTCTGCACATCAAAGGAAATAATTAACAAAGTGAAAAATACAATCTAGAAAATGGAAGTAATGTTCTTAAAAGATGAACTGTCCATCCAAGTAGAAATAAATAATCAGAATATATAAACAATTCAAAGAACTCAGTAGCAAACTATAAAAATAAAAAATAAAATAAAAAACCCTCAAGTAATTTGATTAAAAAATAGGCGAAAATCCTTAATAGACATTTCTCAAGAGAAGACATGCAAATGGCCAAGAGGTATATGAAAAAATGTTCAATATCACTAATCATCAGGGAAATGCAATTCAAAACCATATCACATTGAGGTATCATCTCGACTCAGAATGGCTATTATCAAAAAGAAAAATAATAAATGCTGGCGATGATGGGGAGAAAGGGGGACATATGTACACTGTTGGTGGGAATATAAAGTTGTACAGCCATTACAAAAAATAGTATGGCGGTTTCTCAAAAAAATGAAACATAGAACTACCATGTGATCCAGCAATTCCACTGATGGGTATAGGTACAAAAGAAAACAAATTAGTATACTGGAGAGAGATCTGCTCCCTATCTTTATTTCAGGACTTTTTTCAATAACCAAGATATACCACCAAGCTAAATTTCCAACAATAGATGAGTGAATATAAAAGATGTTATATAGAGAGATAGATTATGGAAAATAAGATAGGCACAGAAAGGCAAATACGGCATGTTCTCATTCATACGTGGGAGCTAAAAAAAAGTGGATCACATGGAGATAGAGAATAGAATGGTGGTTACCAGAGGCTGGGAAAGGAAGGAGGTGGGGGCGTGAAGAGAAGTTAGTTAATAGATAGGAAAAATAAATGAGTTCTAGTATTTGATAGTACAGTAGCGAAATTATAGTTTTCAATAACTTTTTGTATATTTCAATATAGCTAGAAGAGAAGAATGGTAATGTTCCAAGACAAAGAAAAGACAAGTGTTTGAAACATTAGAGTGAAAGGAGGGCAGGAGAAAAAAAAAAGAAAGAAAGAAAACATAAGTGTTTGAAGTGATGGATGTCCTAATTATCTTCATTTGATTATCACACATTGTATACATATATTAAGCTATTATATGTATGCAAAAATGTGTATAATTATTATATACCAATTTTAAAATGTTTAAAAGAAGGGAAGAATATTTTATCAAAAATACCTATAAACACTTACAGGAAAAAAGTCCATCCATGCAGAAAATATTTTTCTGGATATATTTTTCTGGATCAAAGTATTATAGAAACAAAACAGGTTAATGACCTGTCTTTTCCCCAACACTATGTAACAAACCACATAGGCAAACAGGTGCAGCATAGATTCACAAACAAACAGAACTTCATGCATATATATGATTTAAATGATTATGTGGACATCTTGTTGTGGCCTGGAGTTTGCTTATTTTTTTCTCTTTGCATCTGTGAAAGAATATATACATACACACACATATGTGTGTGTGTCTTTATAAATAAATGTATATATATACATTGATATGTATGTATAAATAAAGAATGATTTTGATGTCTTTCCCCAAACGTGGAGATCATTTGAACCTTACGCTATCAGAAATTATAGACATCTACCCTTCAATATGGGGATTAATGAAGATTTTGTTTTATTTTATTGTGATTATTATTATTACTTTCAGTCCCAGCCTTGAAATCCCCAAGGGATAGTTCTAACACAGCTCTGGCCACAATGCCCTGGATGCCCTCCTCTAGCATCTGCCTTTAATCACAGACAATATGGTTTGTGTTTAGAATCGAATGACTGTCATCATCTAGCACTAATGTTCTCTGTCACAGGGACTTAACAACCCATTTGGGGAACACTCTCAGAGACTTTCAAATTCAATATTCTCTCCAAACTCCTGGCTTTTCATTAACTGTGCCATGTGGGTTTCCAAGGCGTGATGCCCAATGGTATTATTTTTCCAAAGAGGTCATAGGAGAGAAGTGTTTTTTTTTTTTCAAGTGCATATTTTAGCACATCTAAACATGCAAACCCACTGTAGGCCCTCTGTAGAAGTCTGCGTTCACAGAGAGCCAACATTCAGGACTCAACCTGATTTTACAATAGAAAGTGCACATGCTTTTGGATTGCATAATATGCAATTACCCAGCACATGATTGAACTGAATTACAAACTGTTGTTGATTTTCTTCATGGAGCTTACTTAGCTCTTTGGTATATATTTTCTCATTAGCTTTTCCCTGATTTATTCATGATATTTTTATGCATATAAAGGGCAGATTGTTGAAGTTCACATTGCAATGCCAAATTAGCAGTTGAAAAATCGCAGTTATGATGTGCAAATGATTATCTAATGTTCTGAAAGTATGCTCTAGTCCTTAATACAATTGTGAAGCTGTCAATTCCATCTTTACAATATTTCTCGCATCCACCTTCTCTTTACCTTTCCCGCAACCACCATTTCAGAACCTCATCATCACTTGCCTAAAAATTTGTAATATTTTCTAATCATTTTCCCCACATGTAGGCTAATCCCTTTGAAGCTTATACTTCTTAAAGCTGCAAGATTGATAATCTCAAATCACTCTCCTGGTTATGTTACTACTATGTCCAAGAGGAAAGATAGAAAGAAAATAAGATAAAGGAGAAAATTAGAAGGAAAGTAATAAAGAGAAAGGTGACAAGAGGGCAAGAAAGTTTCTGTGGTGGGGGGTGGAAATAGGGAGTGCAAACAGAAAGGGAAAAGGTTGGAGAAAGAAAGAAAAAGGGAGAGGAAGATAACTGTACATGTGACAATGGGAAATCGGCAGTGTTCTGTTCTGTTGGTTTCTGTCTCGTATTACCTTTTGTTAATAAGACCCAATTTTATGCAATTGGAATATAGGCAGATGATGGTTTCTGCTGTTACACAGTTCAGTGGCACATTTTTATTTAATCTTCCTAACTAGGTACTTCTCCACCTGTGTATCGCTCTGCTCATCTAAATGAAAGGCTATTGTCCCTGCACCCAAGCACAAGACAATATAATCAGGCCAATTTCAAATATTTATGGGAAATAGAAAGGCATCCTTCTTCCACCCCCTCTCTGCAGGGGCCATTATTGATTGGATGGTGATGAATTAGTGAGACATGCTGTAAGGATTGGTAGGGGTACAGAGGACATACATTGTTAGTACCCATTATGCCACATGCATTTAAAGTCTAAGGTATTCAATGACAGAAGAATGTTGTTTAGCAGCTTTAATTTTCCCAAAGTATAAGAAATTGTCTGGGTTAGGATATGGGAAAAAATAAAGAGATCACTCTACACATTGGAAGTGGACATGATGTTTCTTTCTTTTTTTATGATTCTAGAGGCCAAGTCACAAAGAAAAACCATAAAGGCAAGCTTTAAAAATTCTGAATTATATGATAAAGATTTAGTGTCTCACAAAATCAAACTGGAAAAGTAGAAACCTTAATAACTACTTTTAAGAAGTTAAGGAAAGAAAGAACTGAAAATGTTATAGGAATACAGTAATGTTTATAGCAATAAAACATACAAAACAATAAAATGTTTGAAACAGGGTCAGCAAACAGTTTATTTTTTAAAAGCTATGAGCAGAGAAGTTTAGTGATTTGGCTTTACAAATCATTTCATCAAATTGTATTTCAAAGTAATATAAGCTGAAACTAAGGGTTAGAATATAGAGGGGAAAAGAGCATACTTCTCCAATTACAATAAATGTTGCTACTTTTGTCATCTCCTTTCTAATGACACAAATTTCTGAACATGGAATTGAAAATATGTTTATTCTTTTGCCAATATGTATTTATTATTATCTCATAGAAAAGAGTATAGCAGTTACTCAATTATTATTGTTTGCATGAATAAATGACAATTACATTTGTGAGTTGCATAGCGTCCTCACAATTCTTAGGGACAGATAAAATATCAGATCAAAAATTTCTGTTATTTATAATAGTGATTAGCTTAAAACATCTGTTGAATTGTGTTTTTGTATCTAAAATACATGTGAAAATTAAAGAATGGGAAAGGTATTGTTCTTAGAGGGATTTTTTTGTTAAGGAAGCACATCTTGGCATTAGTGCTGGAAAAGAGTACTTCTTAAAATGTAAATGATCTGTTGATTGTAACTTACAGTTAAAAGTGAGTCTACAGCAACCAAGATGCTTTTCAGTAAGTGAATCAATAAGCTTTGGTGTATCCATGCAATGGACTATTATTTAGCAATAATAAGAAATTAGCTATCAAGCCATGAAAAGACACAGAGGAACTTTAAATGCATATTGCAAAGTGAAATAAGCCAATATTAAAAGGCTACATAATGTATTATTCCACCTACATGACATTCTGGAAAACAAAAAACTGTAGACAGAGTAAAAAGATCTATTGTTACCAGAGGTTGAGAAGGAGAGGGAAGGATAAATAGGTGGAGCACTAGGGATGTTTAGGGTAATGGAACTATTCTGTATGATACTGTAATGATGGATACATGTTTTATGCATTTGTCTAAACCCTAGGACTGCACAACACCAGAGTAAACCGTAATGTAAACTATAGACTTTAGCTAATAACAATGAATCAATATTGGTTCATCAGCTGTAACAAATGTACCATACTAATCCAAGATGTGTGATAGAGGAAAGTGTGAGGGTGAGAGAGAAGTTATATGGGAGCTCTTCATACTTTCTACTCATTTTTTTATATAAACCCAAAACTCTTTTAAGTAAAAAAGCCTATTATTTTATTTTAAAGTAAAGCTACAAATTAGATATGGCAGAATAACAGCCAAGGCTCTTCCTTAGTGAGCCTCCTCTATGAATGAGGCCCAGGAACAAAAAATTATATTAAAAAAAAAATCAATAAAATTAAAAGTTAATTTTTCAGAAAGATAAACAAAATCAACAAACCAATAGCTGCAGTACTTAAGAAAAGAGAGAAAAGAGTCAAGTAAATAAAATCAGAAATAAATAATGAAACATCACAACTGATACCACAGAAATACAAAGGATCATGAGACTGGTATAAAAAACTGCATATAATAATAATAATAAGATGATGACCTGGAAAATGGAGAAATTTCTAGAAACATATAACCTACCAAGACCTACTCACAAGAACATAGAAAATCTGAACAGAACAATAATAAGTAAAAGATTAAATCAGTAGTAAAAAGTCTCCCATTAAAGAAAGGCACAGGACCAGCCGGGCGCAGTGGCTCACGCCTGTTATCCCAGCACTTTGGGAGGCCGAGGCGGGCGGATCACGAGGTCAGGAGATCGAGACCATCCTGGGTAACACGGAGAAACCCTGTCTCTACTAAAAAAAATACAAAAAAATTAGCCAGGCATGGTGGCGGGCACCTGTAGTCCCAGCTACTCGGGAGGCTGAGGCAGGAGAATGGCATGAACCCAAGAGGCGGAGTTTGCAGTGAGCCAAGATCGTGCCACTGCACTCCAGCCTGGGTGACAGAGCGAGACTCTGTCTCAAAAATAAATAAATAAATAAAATAAAATAAAATAATAAAATAAAATAAAATAAAAAAAGAAAGGCAAAGGACCCTGTGGCAGCGAACTGCTGAATTCTTCCAAACATTTAAAGACGAATTCATATCAATATTTCTCAAACTCTTTCTTTCCATTTTTGTATTTTTATTTTCATATTTATTTATTTTTCTGAGTCAGAGTCTCACTCTGTCGCCCAAGCTGGAGTACAGTGGTGAGATCTCGGCTCACTGCGGCCTCTAACTCCTAGGTTACCTCAGCCTCCCAAGTAGCTGGGATTACAGGGGTGCACCACCACACCCAGCTAATTTTTGTATTTTTAGTAGGGATGAGGTTTCACCATGTTGGCCAGGCTGGTCTCAAACTCCTGACAAAAATGATCCTCCCACCTTGGCCTCCCAAAATGCTGGGATTACAGGCGTGAGCCATTGCACCTGGCCTCACACACTTTCAAAGAATTAATGAGAAAGGAGTACTTCTAAGCTGATTTATGAGGCCAGTATTAATCTAATACCAGAACTACAAAAGGAAAATGAAGGGAAAAATATGCAGACCAAGAGCCTTGATGAATGTAGATGAAAAAATCCTGAAGAAAATATTAGAAAACCAATTTCAACAGCACAGTAAAAGAATCATTCACCAAGATAAAGTGGGATTAATCCAAGAAATGCAAAGATAGGACAACAAATTCAAGTCAATATATGTGATATACCACATTAACAGAATGAAAAACAAAAGCCAATTGATCATCCCAATAGATGAAGAAAAAGCATTTAACAAAATTTAACATACTTTCATGATAAAAACTCTTTTAACAAATTAGGTATAGAAGAAATGTACTTCAACACAATAAAGACCGTGTATGACAAACCCACAGCTAACATCATACTCAACAGAGGAAAGTTGAAAGCTCTCCTCCATAGTTAGGAGCAAGACAAGGATAACCACTCTCACTACTTGAATTCAGCATAGCACTGAAAGTCCTAGCCAGAATAGTTATGCAAGAGACAGAAATAAAAGACATTCAAATTGGACAGGAAGAAGTTAAGTGTCTATTTTTGTAGATAACATGATCTTACATATAGAAAATCCTAAAGACTCCACCATATAACCTTTTTAGATGGAGTCTTGCTCAGTGGCCCAGGCTGGAGTGCAGTGTCCCGATCTTGGCTCACTGCAAGCTCCGCCTCCCGAGTAGCTGGGACTACAGGCGTCCGCCACCACGCCCAGGTAATTTTTTGTATTTTTAGTAGAGACGGGGTTTCACCGTGTTAGACAGGATAGTCTCAATCTCCTGACCTCGTGATCCACCCGCCTCGGCCTCCCAAAGTGCTGGGATTACAGGCATGAACCACCGCGCCCGGCCCGTATACCTCTTAGAACAGATAAATTTAGTAAAGTTACTGGACACAAAGTCAACACACAAAAGCCAGGAGGATTTTTATGCACTAACAGCAAACTATCCAAAAAAGAAATAAAAAAAAAATCTAATTTACAGTAGCTACAACTATAAAATACTTAGGGATAAATTTAAGCAACAAGGCAAAATAACTGTACACTGAAAACTATAAAACACTGATGAGAGAAACAGAAGATACAAATAAATGGAAAGATATCTCATGTTCATGAATTGGAATAACTAATATTGTTAAAATGTCCATACTTCTCAAAGCAGTATACAAATTCATAGCAATCTCTAAAAATTCCAATGAGATTTTTCACAGAAATAGGAAAAAAATCCTAAATTTTATGTGGAACCAAAAAGGACTCTAAATAGCAAAAGCAATCTTAAACCAAAAAATAAAACTAAAGGGATCACTCTGCCTTACTTCAAAATATGCTACAAAGTTATATTAATTAAAACAGCATGTTTTTGGCATAAAAAGAAACTCATAGACCAATGGAACACAATAGAGAGCCCAGAAATAAATCTACACATTTATGGCCAATTGATTTCTGACAAAGGCACTAGGAACACACAATGAAGAATGAACCTCTCTTTAATAAATGATGTTGGAACAACTGAATATCTATACCCAAATGAATAAAATTAGACTCATATCTCTCCCTATATAAAACACTAATGCAAAACGCACTAAAGGCATAAATGTTATACATGAAACTATAGAATTACTATAAAAAAGCATAGGAAACATGCTCCAGGACAGTGGTCTGGACAAAGACTTTTTGGATATGACCTCAAAAGAAGCACAGAAAGCAAAAGTGAAACAGACAAGTGAGATTACATCAAACTAAAAAGCTTCTGCACAGCAAATAAAAATATCAAAATAGTGAAGAAGCAACCTATGAAATGGAAGAAAATATTTTCGTATCGATTATATGATAATGAATTCATATTGAAAATATATAAGAAATTCAAACACTTCAATAGCAAAAAAAAAAAAAAAAAAATCAGAAACGGGCAAATAACCTGAATAGACTTTTATCAAAAAAAGATGTACAAATGACCAACAGGTGTATAAAAGATGGTCAACATCACTAATCATCATATAAAAATTAAAACCACAATGAGATATTACTGCACACTTATTAAAATGGCTATTACTAAAAAGACAAAAGATAAGTGTCAGTGAGGATGTAAAGAAAAGGCAATCTTGCACATAATTGGTAGGACTGTAAATTAATACAGCCATTGTTGAAAACAGTGTAAAGGTGCCTCAAAAAATTGAAAGTTCAACTACCATATTATCATCACTCCCACTTTTGAGTATATATCCAAAGGAAATAAAATCTGTATGTCTAAGAGATATCTGACCTCCATTGTTTATTGCAGCACTATTCACAATAGCCAAGATATGGTATCAACTGAAGTATTTACTGACAGAGGAATAGACAAAGAAAATGTGGCGTATGTACACAATGGAATACCGCCTTAAAAAGAAGAAAATTCTGTCATTTTTGACAACATGGATGCATCTACAAGACATTGTGTTAAGTGAAATAAACCAACTGCAGAAAAGCAAATACTATGTGATTGCCCTTATATGTGGAAGCTAAATAAGTTGAACACATAGAAGCAGAGAGTAGAATGGTTGTTTATAGAGGTTGGAGAGTAGGGAGAGGTCGGGGGGAGATGTTAGTTAAAGAATGCCAAATTTCATTAGATAGGAGGAATGAGTTCAAGAAATTTATTTCTTTTCTTTTTTTAATTGGACTTCAACATCCAGGATATATCTGCAGAACATTCAGGTTTGTTACATAGGTATACGTGTGCCATGCTGGTTTGCTGCACCTATTGACCTGTCCTCTAAGTTCCCTCCCCTCATCCCCCACCCACAACAGGCCCTGGCGTGTGTATTTCTCCTCCCAGTGTCCATGTGTTTTCATTGTTTAACTCTCATTTATGAGTGAGAACATGCTGTTCCTGTGTTAGTTTGCTGAGGATGATGGCTTCCAGTTTCTTCCATGTCTCTGCCAAGGACATAATCTCATTCCTTTTTATGGCTGTGTAGTATTCCATGGTATATATGTACTATATTTTCTGTATCCAGTCTATCACTGATGGGCATTAGGATTGGTTCCATGACTTTGCTATTGTAAATAGTGCTACAATAAACATATGTGTGCACATGTCTTTATAGTAGAATGATTTATATTCCTTTGGGTATATACCCAGTAATAGGATTGCTGGGTCAAATGGACATCTATTTCATAACATGGCGAATATAGTTAATAGCAATGTATTATTGAAAATTGCTGAGATAGTAGATTTTCAGTGTTCTCACCTTAAAAAATGAAAAGTATGTGAAGTAATGCATATATTAATTAGCTCAATTTACCTGTTCTGCAATGCATGTATATTTCAAAACATCATGTTTTACATAATAAATATATGCATTTCTATTTGTCAGTTTAAAAAATAAATTCAAAAATAGGAATGTTCATATGCTCTGAGCCACTACTGCCACAAATTGACAAATAAATATAAACATATGTGTTTGAAGTTAAAATGTGCAAGGAATACCAGTATCTTTTCCATGATTCCCAGCTTATATCAGCTTTTTCTATTATTTGACCAAGCATAGCTCTCAAATACATTGCATGAAAGAACAGCTACTATATTTTATTATTTTATTTTTTATTTTCTAGAAGAAAACCAAACAGAATTCCTTCAATATGTATAGGAGAGAGGGTGAGGCATATATTGAAGCATTTCTCAATATTCTGCCGTTTATTTCTGAAGAAAATAAAAACACACAGATTACGTTCCATAACCAAGGAGATTACTGCTTTCTCAGTGATAGATACTAAAAGGGAAGGTAAATGACCTTCAATTGCCTTCTAATAGGAAGTGGTGTCTATAACAGTTGCTTTCAAGATGTGGTCAACAAAACTCTGGGAAATCTTTAGAGTTTTCTTGGGGATAGTAATGGAGACAAAAGAAGAAGACAGCATATACAGGATGCTGAGCCTCTTACACCCACTTTAACAAAACATCTCCATTTTGCTTGTTTTATATAGAGTTAAGCGCATGATTTTCTTCAAAAAATGCTTTCTTGGATAAAAAATAATAATTAGAAAACTATTGGTCTAGAGTTTACACTTTGAAAATTCAATCTAATATAAAAATGGCATATGTCACAAAATCAAATCTAGGAACAACCATTTAGAACAAAATTTAAACAAGTGAGATAATGCTAATACAAAAGGGATAAAGGTGAAATATGCTAAATTGATTTTGTAAATGTACACTGAAGAAAAAGTATTGCAGAAAAATAAGTCTCCTAACAAATGAGAGCAGTCACTGAAAAGCAATAATTTAAAATTTTGAGATATTAGGCTCACTTAAATCAATTTAATAATATAAAAGAAAATTAAATTCGGTTCACTGAAAGGAATGCAAAACACCTTTTAAAATGTATTTATTTCCCTATGGAAATTTATACCTGCAAAATTTGATATGACATCACTTCTAGTTAAACAATGAAATTTAGTTGCATTTTTAATGAATCATCTAAACTTCAATTAGATATTTGGGAACATAAAAATAAACCAAGGATGCACTCCTTAAAAAAATAGGCGTTGAAAGTTGCATTATTGTAGTAGGCAATTATTCTAATAGGCAATCAAATTATTCAAAGACAATCAAGGTTAGAGTGTAACAGTGTTGTATATATTCCCTCATGGTCTCTGGAATCCAGTTCACATTCCTTAGTCTAACATTTGGTGCTTTCCATTAACTAACACAACATTCATTCTTTGCTCTTACTGGGAAATAGTTATTAAATATTCACTATTTACATGGTAATACGTGATATAATATATATTCCCTGTAAGCTTTTATTTATATTATTATCTTTCTTTATAAAAGATATCCCCTTTTCTTTTGTCAATTAAAATTCTATTAATTCTCTAAAGTCTATGTCAGGTCTTGTTCCATGGAGCTCTCTTAGAGAACGGAGACCCAAAGATGTTCCCTTTTCTTCTGAATTCTTAAAACAAATTATGAATCTTAAAATATAAACATGTTTAAAATATGTATTTAAATACATACATACTTCATGTTATTTATATTCTCTAGAACTTCATTTATTCTCTTATCTCCAACCTAGTTTTAAGTATTTGCTAAATGTTTAATGAACACATATTTGTTGAGTACTAAATGAATTATAATCCCTTGAGGTTAAGATCATTTTCTACTTTCTGCTGTTTCTTTCAAAAACTACCATATAACCTGGCAGTAATATAGCATCAAATAAATGTGTGTTGATTTTCATTAAATAATTAATAGAGTGAAAGGGCTTTTTCAAGTTAAAAATTCTCTTGACATTATTTTTCCAAATGGTATTCCATCTTTAACTTCTAACAATTTAACCACTAGTAAAAGATGTTTGCTCCAGTAAAATATGATTTGTAATCCTGATTTTTGTGTATACTGTTTATATTCTAGGACTATATGATCTTTCCCTTTTCATAAAGAGTATTACACATAGTGAGTGGTGGGTAAAGCTCTGGATGTTGAATAATTATTATAAGGAACATAGTGCAAACCCACTGTTACACTATACATTTTTTGAGAAGTATCACTTGAAGATGCCAACGTAAATTGTTTTCACAATTATTTTATGATCATCACCATATTTCACTCTATTTATTTAAAACTTTATACTTTAAAATGACTTTCCCAGCTGTTATTTTTAATGGTGTTATCACAAGAACCTACATAGAACATGTGTTGAGGGGTATTGCTTTTATTTGTTGTGTGGGGAAAATGAGCCTAAAACCACTCAACTCATCACTGTGAAGTAGTACCCAGTTCTCATGCCTAGTCCCATGATTTAAAGACTATGGAAAATAATTAAGGTTTAAACTCTGGAAAGCATATACATGTTCTTAAAAATATACCAAATAGTTTCTTTTAAATTTTCTTTTAGAATCTTTCTAGAAAATTTCCTCTTGTTCTCAGCCACAGGTTAATACTCACTGTCAGTAAAATTAGTCCAAGAATACACATTAGTTAGTATAGAAGCCCAGATGTAACACAATTTTCTGACTTAACCACTGTGAACCATCACTTCTTCTGAAACATGGTGCTTCTTTAATGCCCTACTTGGCTTTAGATTTGAATTCAGTACTTCCTGTATATCTTCATTTTCTCTTTTTGGGTTCTAGCCTTCTTTATGACAGGGACTAATATACATTCCAATGTCCCTCACTGCCTCTAGCCCAGTGACTTCAATGGGGCAAAATTTTAATACATGTCTGCTAAAAACAAAAAGTGTGTGTGTGTGTGTGTGTGTGTGTGTGTGTGTGTGTGTGTGTGTATAGAGAAACAGAGGAATAGTCAATGTCATAATCCAGTAAACTTTCAGGAGACTTGGGATGGGATTCAAGGAATGTGAAAAATTTGCATATTTCCAGAATAAGAAAAAGAGATGGAAGAAACAATATGACCAAAAGTATGGAGACATGATTGAGAAGAACATTCTGGGGACAGAGAGAAGAATTTGGCTGAATCATACCATTCGGATTAGGAAACTAAGTCATTCTTATTTGATGAACCATACTGTGAAAGAGCCCCTTTTCCTTTCTAGCTTATGATATTCAGCTATACCTCCTTCTGTTACATGTATGAATTATTCATTTTAATCATGTCCTCCACCACACCTGAGCATTATTACCACCTTCCTGTTGTTCTTGTGCCTTGGAAATCATAAATTCAAGTAAATGACTCTATAATTAGAACTTTCAAGCTTTCTCACAGCCTCAAGTTATTTATTGTCTTAGACTTTATAGAAACTTTTCTTCCCTTTATACCTGTATTCTCTAGTCTTCAAGGCTTCTTCTAGTATCCACACCTTAGATACCCTGTCTCCACTTTATGAGTAATCAGATGAATTACTTTCACCTGCTCTCTTGCTTCTCCATTACATTGCAAAACTCAATTTCATGCCAATCCTGTAGCTACATTTTGTTTCCACATACACTTCTGAACACTAATGGAGAAGATATATAACCATGTAGATTCATATTTTCCTGAATTTATGATCATCCAGACTACTTTTTAATACCACTTGAGAAGCTCTCTTTTCCAAATCTTAAAATGTGTATGCTTCTCAGTTTCTCACCATAACTTTCTGTCATTGAGATTTACGCATTTATCTACAGGCAAGTCTGTATCTTTTTCCTTCCTCCCCTCCTTCTTTCCTTCCTTTCTTTTTCTCTTTCTTTCTCTATTTCTTTCTCTATTTCTTCCTTATCTTCAATCTTTCTTTCACTCTCTCTTTTCCTTCCTTCCTTCCTTCCTTCCCTCCTTCCCTCCTTCCTTTCCTTACTTTTCTTTCTTTCTTCTAACTTAAGGCTTCCCTAGTCTTAAAAGTCAACTTTCAACCTATGCTCTTTATCCTATCCATTTTCTTTCCTTTTAAAAGTTATTCCAAAAATGACTCCCTTCTATATTGCCGATGTCTCTCTATTGACCTGTTTTTGGTCACTAGTTTAAGCCTTTCTACAGGACAGATTAAAACTAGAAAAACAAAATGTCACATTGGTCATCATCTTCCTCCACTTTCAGTCACTTTTAATTCCTCAAGTTTAGCCCAAGTGTCTGGACAGCATAATCTAGGCTCTTTCTTTCTAACTCATCCCATTCCTACCTCACAGAACAACAAATCCATTGCCATCCAGTTTATGTAAACTCCATGCCACTGAAGGTCTTGAGCAAATGTCAGTAGTGACTTCGTGTAACAAAGTCCAGCAGAAATTTCTCAAATATTTTCATATTTTCTTCTGGCTTTTACAATAGCTATAATAATATTGACAATCATGTCTTTATCCTTGAAACTCTTTACATCTTTTGCTTCAGTGATCCATTTCATTTTTGTAACTCAGCTGTTTTGGTTATAGCTACAACCAACACCTGAGCACCATTGTAGGTGATGAGGATACTAAGATATAAAAAGAAAGACAAGGTTATTTCCCACAAGGAACTCCTAGTCAAGTGGATGAAAAAAGACACAATATAAATAAATAGACAAATTGGTAGATAACTCATATTTATGGCAAATTCTAGGAAAAAGAAAGACAAGGAATTGAAAGACAGATTTACAGGGGTGGACAAACTTAGATCCAGAAGTTACAGAAGTTCTCTGTGAGAAGTGTAAGATGATTAAAATAACACACGCTGTTATGATGACCCCGCCCTGTGAAGTAAATGGAACTGAGCTAGTTTGTCAGGATATGGTGTAGATCATGCCACTGAGGATGCACAAAAAAACAACCCAGTGACTGGATGTGAGGAAGGAGACAAGATTTGCCATAAGATAAGGCTGGAAAGATGAAAAGGCCAGATTATGTAGGGCCTTGTGGGCAGGGAAGGTGAGTAGGTTTTACTGTAAAAGCAATGGAAAATCTTGAAAATTGCTAGGCAGAGGAATAACCTGACTGAGCGTCTGTTGTTTGGGGGTTACTCTGGCTGCTGAGGGAATTACTGATAGGAAGGAGAAAACAATGGCTTTCTCCTGGCATCCCTCTATATTCTCTGATAACATTTCCAGCTACTTATTAATTTCTTCTACTGACTCCTACACGTGTGTTTCCTTATGCTTTATTTTCAAACCAATGTTGTTTTTCTCTCTTCATGCATTATCCCTTGAAAATCCCACCTAGTATCATGGTTTTAACACATACTGATAGCATAAAGATTTCTAAATCTAAATCTCTTAGACATCCTCTTGGCTTCTGTCATATACATCTGCTTTCTAACTGAACATATTCATTTGAATATCCATAGCAGCTAAACTTCAAATGCCCAGAATAGAATTAATTCTTTCATCTTCCATAGACTGACTCTTTCTATTTATTTTTATCACAATTTCAGCAAACTGAAATAGGAATTGTCAGTCCAAACCCAAAACATGACATTCATTTGGAGTTTACTCCCCCACGATATCTAACAAATCATGAATTCTCACGTTTCTCATAAATTATCCTTGAGCCCTTCTGTGTTTCTTCAACTCTACTCTAACAGCTCAAATTCAAGCTCTCATTCTCCCGCTTTGGTCTTAACAGCATTGAGTTTCCATTCTTGTCCTTTGTATCTAGACTTGCCCTTCTCAATCATATTCTTCTCAAGCTTTCTGAGCTTTCAGCACTCAAATTTGAAGGCACAGATCAGGCTCAACAAAGCAACTCAAGCTGCCGTAACAGGAGAGGAGGGGTAGCCAGAGACAGCAGATTACCAGAGGCTCTCCTGAACTTCACTGATGAACCACCTTCTATTTCTCCCTGGTGTTGCTGCCTTTGTGCATGCTTGTGTCTTCTCCCTCTGAGACTCTTGCTAGAGTCACCCAGTATACATTGTAGATCTGTTTCTCACATTTCTAATTCATTCTCCATGGCAGTCTTTATAATATATAAGTTTGATTAAATTAACCCTCAGTTTATATTATTATCTGATGGCTTCTCATGTCATACGAGTTCAGGCTCACACACCTTAGCTTGTCTCAAATAAGCTTTATCTAATAGTCCTAACCTTGCATTTTGACTCTACTGTCTTCCATTTTTCTCTTCATTGAAACCACATCAGGACCCAGTATTATCTCAAGTCTTGTGCTGTTTTTTTCTTCTCTGAATTGAAATAAGTGCTATCATTCTATTATTGGAAGATTCACAATCATATTTCAACATCAACTAAAATGTAATGTCTGCTGTGGAATGTTTCCCTTCATTAGACAGAGTAGACACAGACTGCCATCAAGTTATAGAGGAAGGAGCACCCAACACTGCCCAGCAGCATGCACCCTGCTTTGCATTATAGAATTACAATTACACTTTGGACTCCCCAAGGTCAAGGACCATGCTGTATCTTATTTGTACTTTTATTGCACATAGTGCTGTATTTTATCATTTTAAAAGTGTATAACACATGTTTATAGAATGAATGAATAAATAAAGAAAAGAATGGATGAATAAAGATGACTGTAATCATAGGATTATGAATAAATTTAAATAGTACTTGGGTAAGATGAATAGAGAAAATAATGAGACTAGTAAAAATGAGATTCATTACTTGAGAAAATGCATATCAGTGGTAAAAATCGATACGAAAATAAAAGCAAATAGGCCAGAAAGAACTTAATGGTTTTACCAGGTGAAATAAAACAAAATGATAGGATAGAAACACCAAGTGGATCACATTAAAAAAAGTTATAACATGTGGTGTGTAGGCAGAAAGTAAAAAGATATCAGAGTCAAAAATAAGATTAAAAAAAGAATGTGAAGAAAAATGCCAAGTTAGAGGCATGATGAAATTGCAAAGAAATACACAGGAAGAAATAGAAAAACACACACATACAAACCCTGTATGTAAGCCTGTATTTTAAACTTTGTGAACACTTGAATGTAGGTTAAAAGAAGATACATACTACTGTTGGGAGAGGACACCAGAGTTAGACAGGTTTGAGTTGAGGCATGTTAAAAGGCAATAGAAACCAGTTTCTACTAGGATTTTTCAAAGAGTAATTTGTCCTCTGTCTTTACCGAGATGCAAACCCATTTCTAGCCTTGTTTGGCCGTCTCATTTCCAAGAAAGACTTCTGCAGAGTGAAAAATGCTTGACTTTTAAAAATTATTTTTTTTTTTCAAAAAAATCACAACTCACAGAAAAGCTTGAGTTGTGGTACCAAAAAAAAAAAAAAAAATTCATTTTCCTAAACAATTTGAGAGGAAGTTGCCAGCTTGATGGCTAATTTCTGCACAAGATTCTGGTGTATATTGCCTGTAGATAAGCACCTCCTCCTGTATAGCCAAAACACAATATCTAAAATCATGAATTAGTATTGATACATTTCTGCCATCTACTCCTCAGACCCATTCAAATTTTCCCAATTGCCCTTGTAATATCTTGCCTGCCAAATAATCCCTTCAGAATCATGAACTCTCTAGTTGTCATATCTCTTCAGGCTGCTTCAGTCTGGAAGAGTTCTTCAGTCTTTTTCGGTTTTTTGTTTTTTTTTTTAATTTTTTGAATGTTATTGTCTGTTAGAAATATTTGAACTATTTTGTAAATTGGCCCTCAATTTAGGTTTGCATGAAGTTTCTTTGTAATGGATTCAGGTTATGTTTCTTTAGCAGGAAAAATCTCATAAGTGTTGCCACCTCCTCACCCTATCAAATGGTGCATAGCATTTATTTTTCCCATAACTGACAATGTTCATTTTTATTACTTGATTAAAGTGGTGTCAGCCAATCTTCTCCAAGTAATGTACTCTATTACCCTTTGTAAGTAAATATTTTGTGAGACTAATCTGTAACAATGTAAAGGTCTTATTTCTCATCAAATATTTATAGTTATTTTTATTTATATCTGTATGTGCTCATAGTTTAGTGTTTTATTTAATGGGGTTATCAGCAGCAGCATAACCTAAGAACTTGTTAGACATTCAAATTACCAGGCCCTACATCTATGTTTATCTAATCAGAAATTCTCTGGGTGAGACCCAAGTATGTGTGTTTTAACAATTGCTTCAGGTTGTTGTGATGTATGCTAGAATACTCCAGAACCACTGGAGTACTGAATCTGTATCTTGGCTGTATATTAAAATCACCTGTAGGACCTTTAAAAACTACAGATTGTTGCATCTCATTGTCAGAGATTAACCATAAATTGCTCTAAAATGGGGTTCACATGTCAATACTTCTTGTCTCTTAAAGGGATTCTACTGTGTACCTAGAGATTAAAACCACTGGAGGATTTTGTCTGAAGCAGTGGTTCCTGAAACTGGCTCCACCTCATCAACATCTAGAGAGTGTTGAAAAATACTGATGCCTGGGGCTTACCAATAGAGATTCTGATTTAATTAATCTGGAATGTAGCATGAACATTATAATTTAAAAATATTAGAAACACCTGGAGAATTTTTAAACCTATTGATGCTCAGTTCAAGCCATTCTTTCACATTAGTTATATCAGAAACTCTAGTCATGAGATCTAGCATTTTAAAAATTCCCCAGGTGATTACAACATGCACGAATTTGAGAACCAGTGGTATGAGTCCTTTTATATCTCACAATGCACTCTTCCATAACAAGGATACTTGCTTACTGAATGATAAAAATGCTATCTTGTACTGAAGCCATAATGTGTATTAGCATGGTGCTAAGAACTTGGCATTTAAATGTAATTATCACAATATCTCCCTGTATTTCAGGTATTTTCTCACCATACAGATGAGGAAATTGAGACAGGACAAGGAATTACCTTGATCCATATTACAAAACCAGGAAATGGAAAAGCAAACATTCTAACCTAGCCTCTGAGACTTCAGAACATTTGCCCTTTGCAATTACACCCCATCTCTTCTCACTCCTTATAGGGGATGTTTGTCTTATATGAGATCATTTACTTAATTTTAACAAACATGCCTGGATTATAATAGAAAGGATTCCATGTTTCAGATGTGCAGAAATCAAAAGAACAAAATAATGTGGACACAAATTTCAGAGCTCCAAGGTGCATCTCTACAGATGGAGTCCTGGGTTTGGTAGTATATTAAAAGTCTAACACTTCATGATGACTCAGCAAAGAATAATGGAGTAGGGTAAACAGCTCAGGTTTTGGAGTCATATAGAGGTTTGCTGAATCCTACTGAATGAAACATACATTGGTTACATTTTGATGAGACGTGTGAAAGTTGGTGGTTAGGGAATAGGTGAGTTAGGAATGGTGAGATTGTGGAGAAAGTTTGGGAAGGTTTCAGATTATGAATTTTAAGTCTCAATTACGCACAATTCTCCTTCAAGTCAACCCTTAGCTAACATCTTTTTCACAGAAGAATCTGGCTACAGATTTTAAATTCTTTTTGTTTTTTCTATCAAGTTATAAAGTTTCTGCCAATTCTTTTTCTGATTATCCAATGTTTTACGTTGACTGGTTGCTGAGGATTTTCCTTTGAAACTTTTGAAATAAGGTGGTATTTATTTTCTGGCTGAAATTGTGTTCTTTCCTTCCAATAAGGAAATGAAGGGTTTGAGGAGAAAATGAACTAGTTAGGTGTTTGTATCTTCCTAAGGAGGAGACAGTTCAGTGGCAACAGAGTGTATACTGAAGTAAACGTTGTATACTATTGTTTTTCCATGTCCTTGTGATAGAAAAGAAAACATCATCTGGTCCCAGGATAACTTAATAAATAAGGGAAATGGAATGGCAGGGACAATAAACCGACATTTTCTTTTTTGGTTAAGGTTGCTGTATGTCTATCAGCTACCTTGTACACTTCTAAGACACAATCTGCAGCATTCATAATTATGAAAGACCTAGCTTTATGCTTGAAGTTACTCAAAATTTTGATCGCTTTTGTTCCAGTTATATCCATTACATGATGTGTTATTTTCTGTTTTTCTGAATGGCATTGAAGGTTGCTCTTTGTAAAATATTTGTGAGGGTGGGCACAGGAAGAAGGTTGTGGAAAAAAGAAAATGTCATCAAATAAGAACTGCAAAATAACACCATGAAAAGAATGTCATATTGTGAGAGGCACGGATATGGTAGATGGTCCTTATTCAATGAAGAGTGAATCTCGGCCTAATGACCAGATGGCAGAGCTGAACACAGAAATTCCATATGTGTGATGGCAGCGAGGGACGGCCATTGACATACTTGCTTTTCCAGCCAAATGCCTCAGCAGATGCAGAGTTTTACACTTTAACATTGCAATATGGCACTAAAACCCAGGAGAAGAGTTAGATGCAAGATTCAAAGCTGATTTAAAGTGGCAGAGTTTAAATCCAATCCTATCCTATTAGGGTGAAAGCTATCAAACAGAAAGTGAGGGGAGATTGGTGCTCTCTAAGATTACATCTTGGATCTGCTGATTTTTTCATGTGTACAAAGAAAAGCCAAACCTGGTCATATTAGTTATAGGTCCCTTCCCGTCCTCAAGTCTTTCTAAAAATAAATAAATAAAATAAAAATCAAATTTGAGAAATGAACTATTAAAGGAAAGCAGCATTAATATGTTCTCTCTTGATTCTCTAAAAGCTCATAATATGAGTTATTTTCCACTTTGAATAAACTGCGAGATGTACTTGAAAATTGTATTTCTATTCTTTTTTCTGTGCTAGGAGCTCTAGGCAGCCATTATTGTGCAAGGGGGATCGTGGCTGTGCTGCACTGCCTACAAAGCCCTAAGAAGAATTTAATAAATAAGTTAACAACAACCACAGACTCTTACTATTTGTAATATATGTATTCATTGGAATATTGGCAAGCAACAGAGTTTTCTGAAATTATTAAGCTGTGGGCTGGAATGTCATTTGCAGCCTCTTTTCTTGGGTCTCAGTATTCTTCCACAAGGGATGACTGCCAAAGGCTGAGCTACAGCAAAGGCATTTCCCCAAACACTTCCTCAGTTGAGCAGAGAAAGACATTCTTTCACACTTTTGCATTAACTTGGCCAGGTTCTTGGTGTTGATAAGTTTTTCAAGGTTCACCGAAGGCAATGGTGTGAGTCCACTTTGGTCCTGTCTTGACATGCTCTTGCAATGAGTTCTAATGTTCTGTTGAGAAGAGAAAATGTCCTCTATGACAACTGCCTTCCCTTTTACTAATATTCATCTATTTTTCTACATAAATTTAAAGATTCAGATATAAAAACTGCGATCTATTCACAAACATGCCTGGTATATTTGGCATTTTCTTCCTAGTGTTCCAATAATTGTTACCTCATTGTATTAGTTCGCTTTTACGTTGCTGATAAAGACATATCTGAGACTGAGAAGAAAGAGGTTTACTTGGACTTATAGTTCCACATGGCTGGGGAGGCCTCAGAATCATGGTGGGAGGTGAAAGACACATCTTACATGGCAGTGGCAAAAGAAAATGAGGAAGAAGCAAAAGCAGAAACCCCTGATAAACCCATCAGATCTTCTAAGACTTATTCACTATCACAAGAATAGCGTGGGAAAGACCAGCCCCCATGATTAAATTACCTCCCCCTGGGTCCCTTCCAAGACACTTGGGAATCCTGGGAGATAAATTTCAAGTTGAGATTTGGGTGGGGTCACAGTCAAACCATATCATTCCGCCCCTGCAACCTCCAAATTTCATATCAACACATTTCAAAACAAATCATGCCTTCCTAACAGTCCCCCAAAGTCTTAACTCATTTCAGCATTAACCCAAAAGTCCACAGTCCAAAGTCTCATCAGAGACAAGGCAATTCTCTTCCACTTATGAACCTGTAAACTCAAAAGCAAGCTAGTTACTTCCTAGCTACAACGAATGTACAGACCTTGGGTAAACACAACCATTCCAAATGGGAGAAATTGGCCAAAACAAAGGGCTACAGGGCCCATGCAAGTCTGAAATCCAGCGGGGCAGTCAAATTTTAAAGCTCCAAAATGATCTCCTTTGACTCCACGTCTCACATACAGGTCATGCCAATGCAAGAGGTGGGTTCCCAGTGTCTTGGGAAGCTCCACCCCTATGGTTTTGTACAGCCTCCCAGCTGCTTTCATGGGCTGGCATTGAGTGTGGCTTTTCCAGGCATACGGTGCAAGCTGTTGGTGGATCTACCATTCTGGGGTCTGGAGAAGAGTGGCCCTCTTCCTGCAGCTCCATGAGGCAGTGCCCCAGTAGATACTCTGTGTGGGGGCTCCCACTCCACATTTTCCTTCTGCACTACTATAGTAGAGGTTCTCCATGAGGGCCCCACCCCTGCAGCAAACTTTTGCCTGGGCATCCAAGCATTTCCATACATCTTCTGAAATCTAGGTGGAGGTTCCCAAACCTCAATTATTGATTTCTGTGCACCTGCAGGCTCAATACCACTTGGAAGCTGAGAAGGCTTGGGGCTTCCACCCTCTGAAACTACAGCCTGAGCTGTATGTTGGCCCCTTTCAGCCATGGCTGGAATGGCTGGGACACAGGACCCCAAGTCCCTAGGCTGCTCACAGCATGGGGACCCCTGGGCTCAGCCCATGAAACTGCTTTTTCCTCCTAGACCTCCGGACCTGTGATGGCAGTGGCTGCTGTGAAGGTCTCTGACATGGCCTGGAGGCATTTTCCCCATGGTCTTGGGGACTAACATTAGGCTTCTTCCTACTCATGCAAATTTCTGCAGCCGGCTTGAATTTCTCCCCAGAAAATCAGTTTTTCTTTTCTATTGAATAGTCAGGCTACAAATTTTCCAACCCTATATAAAACTGAATGCCTTTAGCAGTACCCAAGTCACCTGTTGATGCTTCTGCCAGATACCCTAAATCATCTCTCTCAAGTTCAAAGTTCCACAAATCTCTAGGGCAGGGGTAAAATGCCACCAGTCTCTTTGATAAAACATAGCAAGAGTCACCTTTACTCCAGTTCCCAACAAGTTTGTTATCTCCATCTGAGACTACCTCAGCCTGGATTTTATTGTCCATATCGCTATCAGCATTTTGGGCAAAGCCATTCAACAAGTCTCTAGGAAGTTACAAATATTCCCATATTTTCCTGTCTTCTTCTGAGCCTTCCAAACTGTTCCAGCTTTTGCCTGTTACCAAGTTCCAAAGTCTCTTCCACATTTTAGGGTATCTTTTCAGCAATGCCCCACTCTACTGGTACCAATTTACTGTATTAGTCCATTTTCAAACTGGTTATAAAGACATATCCAAGACTGGGTGATTTACAAAAGAAAGAGGTTTAATTGTACTTACAGTTTCATGTGGCTGGGGAAGGTCACAATCACTGTGGAAGGCAAGAAAGAGCAAGTCCCATCTTACATGGATGGCAGCAGGCAATGAGAGAATGAGGAAGAAACAAAAGTGGAAACCCCTAATAAACCCATCCAGTCTTATGATACTTGTTCAACACCATGAGAATAATATGGAGGAAACCACTCCCATGATTTGATTATCTACCACCACGTCCCTCCCACAACACGTGGGAATTATAGGAATACAATTCAAGGTGAGATTTGGGTGCAAACACAGAGTCAAACAGTATCAGGTGGTGAAGTAGAATTTGATAGTACAGATCATTTCTCTGAAATAGACTCGATACTTGCTCCGTAGAAATGCTCCCATCATGTTCATCACAATTTGCCCCATTCTAACCCCCACCTCCTGCAAAAGCAGTCTCTGATCACACTAATTACCTACATTTTCTCTCCCTTTTTAAACTCCCAAAGTAAATGGTTTAAGATAATAAGCAATAGCAATGAGTGTGCTCCTAGTAAAAATAGTAATAATAAATAATTAATAATTATAAGCATGTACTACATTTCAGATACTGCATTAAGTATGCATTATCTCATCTAATCTTTCCAACTATTCTATGGGGTAGGCATTATTATTTCCTTTACTTTTAAAAACCAAAAAAAAGCTTAAAGAATATATTTTAAGGAGATTTTGTAATCTCTCCAAGATCACAGATCTACAAAATGGTAGCACTAGGAATTTAAGGCTGTTATATTTATTTCTAGAACACAAACATTCTTGCTATGTAATTATATAAAAATATGAACATTGGATTCTTAATTTGTGTTGAAATCTCTTTAAGCTAATATTCACTATCTGTCTTAGTCTATTTCATCTAATATTTGAAGCTTTTCGAGTCACAAGAGCACAATCAAACTCTTCTATATTAACTCCAGAACATGGCCTTATTGCATATTTCAATGTGCATTTGTTTTTAGATGCCATTTTCCTTACTTGAGATTTTCTTGCACACCTCACCCATTTAACTCATGTTTACCTGCTCCTCAAGATTTAACTCAGTTTTCATCTCCACCTCGAAACTTCCTCTGAATTCTTAAGCCCAGAATGACCAGTTTATCAGAAGTAGCTTTAAATCTGTCCACCTGTGTTGATCTTCCCAGCAACAGCCCGAGTCCATGTTGCCAACATTTCTTACCTAGACCACTATAAAACTCTTTAATTGGATACACTCTTCACACAGCGTCTCCTCTCATTCCAATATATCTATTTTTTTTTCCTGAAGTGATCTTTTCAAACTGTGTCACCCACCCTGCATCCATATTTTAATGGCCTTTCAGATAAAGATCTATGTCATTAACATAGGCTATATCCTTGGTTCCTGATGAACTTACTGAGTTCAGTTGCCCTAGGCTTAACACATTTTGTGCTCAGTCACACTGGCCTTCCTTCTTTGACTCTTCCCTGTCCTCCTCTCTCTTGTTTACCCCAAGACACCCCACAGACCACTCCTTCTCCCTGTGGCTACTCCACCTCTGCCAAGTTTACTCTTGTGCATCCTTCAAATTCGGAACTCATTGAATATAAAAATAAAGTCAGCAACCTCCAAGTCATATACTAACTTTTGGCCAAATACTAAAGCCTGTTGTAGCACTGAATTTTTTTTCTAATGTGCGTTAGATTAATCATTACTTTGAGTAAACTTCTCAGTATTTAAGACAGAGAACTGAGTATTGGTAGCTTTCTTCCTCCCTGGATGGATTTAGAGACCAGAGCTCTTACCACTTAAAGCACATTGCCCAATCGCCCAATTTCCTATTGTCCATGCCTACACACCTAGGGTGTGTTGCCTACCACCATAAGACCATCGAATATGCTCTCTTATGTTGGGACCTTGACATTCCTCCCATTTGGTAGTTCCATTTCATTGATCACAGGCAGAGTTATGTGACCGCTTTGACCAATTGAGTATGGTGCAAGTGAAAGTGATGTTCTGTGACATTAAATCAATCAAACATCTCTATTTATTAGCTTCAAAGCATGGTCTTAGCACACAAGTAAATGACACACACTTTCCTCTTGCTCTATTAGGATGCTCACTCTTGGAATCCAGTTGTCATTGCTATGAACAGGCCAATAGAAGTGTTATATAGAGAGGCCACAATAGGAGTTCTAGCTTTCAGTCCAGCTTAGGTCCCTGCTAACACTCAGCATCAGCTGCCACATTTATAAGTAAGAATACTACCAAGTGATTCCAACCTCGAGCCATTGAGCAACCTACCAACATAATGGGGCAGAGATAAGCAAATGAGCTCTGCCTGAGTTATGAGCATAATTAGATGGTGGTTTTACATCAGTCATTTTTGGACAGGTTTTTTATGTAACAATAGTAATTGGAGCAACACCTTAATTTTAATGGTGATCCTTGAATACACTGCCCTCTTTCAAACAGATAAAATCCACAAGACATCTAAGGAGCACAATATTGACCCAAAGAAATGTCCATTTCCAGTATTGTACTCTCCTTTAAAATACATATATATATACACACACACACATATATGTGTGTGATATATACATATATATGTATTATATATATTCCTTTTTCTCATCTGTAGAGTATTTGCTATGTAGCTGCTATTAGTAGATACCTAAGTCTAAGGTCCGTTTTGAAAGCCCTGGCAGGCTCATGTTAGGGTCCAGGAAAGGGCAGCATGGATTTGGTATCTTAAGGAAGCTTAGATTTAGAGAGGAAAGCTAATTCTTTTGGGGCATTTTCTTTCCTTGTCTTCCATTTACCATAAAATGATTTATCTTTAAATTCAGCTTTTTACTAGTTAAGTAACTACCGTCAGCCTGCTTAGAAGTTTCAGAGAGAATTATTAGCCAATATTCAGGCTAGGATTAGAACGTTTATTTGTCTGGAATAGTGTTTCTTACATAAACTCCTCTGAAACTTGCAACTGAGATGGGCAGAAGGACTTCACCTGATTAAGGATACAGAGAATCTGTTTTCTGACTTTCTCCTTAAAGACATGTTTAAGATTATCCTGTTCTTTTCTTTGCTTTTGCACACAGCTACCACCTTGGTTTAAGTCTTTCTTATACTTTCTCTCCAGGATACCAGAAACAAACAAACAAACACACAAAAACCAAATGGGTTCCAGGCTTTACCCACCTCATTCCATTCTGCCATATGATGTAATTCAAAGCCATTAATAAAATAATTAAAAGATTAGGAGTAAGAATACCTGAGGTAAAGTCCTGATTTTGCCCCTTATAAGATAGGTAAATTAGATTAATTCCTTAACTACACTGATCCTAAGCTTTATTATTTGTAATAAAGGGTTAAAATAGTGCCAACCTATAGAGTTGTTGAGAGGATTATATAAACCAATGCACCTAAATCACTTAGAAAATACCTGACATGCGGTAAGAAGGGACTAGTTATATAGTAAAACTAAGATGTATGGAGGTCAAGCAATGAGAATATAAGAGGGGCATTTATAAAAGAGTAAGAATTAGGTCAATATACATAAATCACCTGCTCTAATGCAGGAACTATGCTAGAAATATTTTAAAAATTGTATATTACCCTATCCATTAAGGCTTGAAAGTTTCAATCCTAAGAGACAGAGTCAATGGTGGACATGCAGGAGAAGTTGCAGGGGAAGATGACTTTAGGTTTGAACATTTTGACTTGAGGTCTGATTGATTCATCTACATAGAATTGTGAAGAACTGAAAATTTCCTATTACTGATTGCTGGAGTCTCCCTGCTTCTTGTCACTGGAAAATTAACTGTTTATTTAACTATTAAATATACATCGCATTAATTAAAAAATTATGTTGTTCTGTGCTTGATTCTTGTTTTGCTTTACAAACTAGATTGAGAATGCCTTGAGGACTATGCTTTCTTTGTTCCATCTGCTATATAAGCTTTTCTTAAACAATTATTCTGTAAATATTTGTGTCAAGAAGAGTTTTCCAAAGTTTAGAATTAAAGCAAAAAGAAAATAATCTGTTCTTTCAACATCATACTGGGGCATCATTTAAAAGGCTCACACAGGACTATTTAATTCTCTTGGAGAATGCAACGTATTTAGCTTTGCTTTAATTAAAGCCCAAATATTTTGAAGTAATATATTTACTTATAACTTCCATACAAATAGAAAAGGCAATTTCAAAGATTATTACCTTTGAGGACATTAACAAATTTTGTACTTAATCTAGCAATTTTACTCCTAACACTCATTTCGTAAAATGCCTCAAATACTCAGTTTATCAAATCCTTTTTGAACCAGCTATATGAGATTATTGGTTTCCTCATTAATAAGGTAGGAAATCTTTGGCATTTATTTATCTTATATTTTCATTGAAGTGATTTTTTAATTTTTGAAAACTATATTCTGAATCTTGTTAGCCACGTATGAACCAAGAGTTAGAAATTTATTGTGGATCATTGAATATAGCCAAATACTTATGACTATAATTGTCCCTATTACTTTTAGATGTATCCCATGATATTTGAATTATAGAATTTTCCTTTTTCATATGCAAATATATTCTATATTTCATTTTGATTTATTCAATAAACCTGTGGGTTTAAGAGCACATTTGTAGGTTTCTGAACATATGATATCTTTCTAGTTATTTTTTATTATTAATATTTAACTAAACTGCATTACAATCAGAGTCAACTCTACATGATGTCGATCATTTTAATTTTGATGAGACTGGCTTTATGACCCAGGATATGTTTTAATATTGGAATTATTTCACGTATACATAAATGTAAAGTCTATAGTTACAGATTATAAATTTAAATTGCATCTATATTTTAAACTTGAAAGTAATTATTATTATTGTTTTCTGCAGTAAATATTTAGTACAAGTTACTGGTTTCCTTGTTCTTGCATTTCCAATACTTTGCTTGGTATGATTTTTCTTTTGTCTAAAGAATAGTCTTTAGTATTTCTTTTAGTGCAATTCTGATGATAATGTTTTATTTTTGCTTTTTAGTTTTTTCCCCCTTGTTTTAATTTTTCTTATTCCGGAAAAATAAGTTTTGCTGGATTAAGAACTCTAAGTTGGAAATTGTTTCAGTCTTTTAATAATATTTCATTATATTTTTACCTTCTGCGTTTTCTGTGTTGAGTTCAGTTGACAGTTTAATTGACACTGTTTGGAATGCGTATTTCTTGTTTGCTAATGGTTCTAATATTTTTATTTGTTTTTAGTTTTTGACAATTAAAATTCAATGAGCTTGGGTATGAATTTATATTTTGTTAGGATTTTTAGAGCATTTTTTGTGTGTGGCTTATTGACTTCCATTAGTCTTAGAAATTACAGCTACTATATCCTTAATTATTACTTTTGCTCCTTTATCTCTCTCCTTTTCTTATAGAATTCTAAGCACAAATAAGTAAGACTTTCTTACTGTATTTTTTATTTATTTTGTACTATAATTTTGATCTTTTTTCTCTCTAGTCTTTATTTTAGGTATTATCTTCTAGTTCGCTAATTATTCCCTTCAGCTACTTTTAATGTGTTGTTAAACTCATTCACTAGGTTTCTGTTTTAGGTCATTGTATTTGTAAGTTCCAGGATTTCAATTTTTTGGTTGCATTTTCATTTCTCTGAAAAAAATTCTCTACGTTCTTCATGATAGAAACAGACATTTTAAAGGCCATGATTAACTATTCTAATATGTGGCGACTTGGAAGATACTTTATATAGTGTTTATTTTAGGATTTTTTATGAATATAAAAAGTTTTCATCCTATTTTTAACCATCGAAGTGAGTGTTATTATTGTTTATTACATGTTGGAGACGGTGAGAGGAAAACCATTTGCAGATATATTTGAGACTTAGAATGATGTGTTTTGTTCCAAAGATGATTTACCTTTGTTCTTGCTAGGCACTTGGAAGCGCTAGAAATTTAGAGTCTTCTCCCATTTGGGGAGGTGATGTGTATGAAGCTGGGCTGCAGGCTTCACCAGCCTTTCTATTTTCTGGGTTCACCCTTATTGCTCTGATGCTGCTATTCTGGAGGGTCCTAATCCAAAAGAAGGTTTATCACCATCCTTGAAGTGCTTGGATATCAATATTTATATCACTAGCATTTCTGGGATATTAAAAGTGCTCACGTACCTCCCAGGTTCCGCCTTCTGGATTCGACACACTCTCCCATTGGAAAAGCAGCCACAAATGCTAAAATAAAATTCCTAAGCCACCTCCATTCTCCCCTCGTAACAGGTTAGGAATTTCTCATGATTCTGTTAGCTCTCAGCTGCTACACACACACACACACACACACACGCACGCACACACACATGCACACACACACACACACACACAGCATTTCTAGTTTCTAGTTGTAGTTGGAATATTGGCCTGAATTAGTCTACTCTCACCAGAAAATAAAATCTTCCCTCCTCTCTTTCCCACATATCTCTTATCTGATCAATTGAACTTTTTAAAAATCAGAAACTGAATACTAACGTCTTCAAAGATCCGAAGTAAATATCACAAAGTGTATATACTCGTTTCTTTGATTCATAGTAGATTAACATAGGACTGTGATTCAAAGATTATTTACTGTAATATTACACACATCTGTACTAAATTTTCAGTCTGATTTTCTAGTCCATGAAACATTACAACAATAAATTATGTCGGGGTAGGAATAAGAAGCAGAATGACTTTGCTGGAGGTAAGCATTCTAACTGCAGCCAAATTAATAGTTGTCAAGGCAGAGTTAGTCAAAATGTGAAATAGCAGATAAATTCAAAAGAATATAGCAATGAAAGGAAAAAAAGTCCTGCCTACCTCAATACCATCTAAAAGCATTAATATGTAGTAATGAATATTTATAATCATGGCTCCATGCCCTGCATAAACATACCAAATGTTGCCTAGTGAGCTCTACCTTTAAAAGGTATTAAGGTTTGTGAAATATTTTAGTGTGAATTTTTTTATTAATTTAAAGCTTAGATTGGCAAATTTCAATTGTATTTTTTATGAGCAACACCCTTTGTGATTGCCACTGCAAGAGTTTTCTTTTTCCTGCCAAATTACCTTCTTAAATGGCCGATAGTAACTAATCTTTTAAATCCATGTTTCTGTATTGATTGTAAAAAATTATCTTCTATTTTCTGCATGAATATATCTTAAATCTTTAACTATTCTTGAACTTGGAATACACTCTTCAAGGCCGTTTTTTACTTCACACCAAATAGCACTGAGCTGTTTTTAGTACAGAAAGAAGAAACAAAATATCGCTGGTACAGCAAATTTTTTTTTCTTGCTGAGTCTTATCCATTTTGGCCAGTGGTACATACTGGAGTCTTTAAATTATGACTTTTCTGTTTATATAACTATGATGTATAATAAATTGAACATCAAGCTGAGTGGATACACTTTATTTATCTATTTACTTTGATCACTAAACTAAACCAATCTAGTACCTTATTTGACCTCAGCTAAATTCCCAGATAACTGGACGTATTTCCAAAGAGATGGGAATTTGGCCAAGAAACACTCTTTGATCTGTTCTACCAAGCAAATTATATACATTTACAGATAAAAATGAAAAAGAGAAAAAAAGAAGAAGAAGATTTGCAAACCCAGCATATTTTGCTAACACAGACCACTAGTCATCCATGCTTCAAGGAGTTGGCCTTAGCAGTGGTGTGTCACCTTTTCTTCCTATTAAAAAAGGTCATTTTTTATTGTGATTGTCTAGCAACTGTTGCTGGAAATAATAGTGTGTAATATAACTGTAGATATCTTGAAAAGACGTTTGAGATTTATATCTTTCTCTTATATTTTATTGAATATAGAAACACTAGTATTTGAGAAACTTAAATGAGCCTACTCTTCTAGTTAAAAAGCTAAGTGTTTAAAAAAGGCTATTAAATATATCTAGCCCTCATTCCCAATACCTAAATACTACATATTATCTTAAGACACACGTGCATTTGAAGTCAGAAAGGTAGACAATTTCAAAATGTCTACTATGAGAAATGACTGAGAATTCCTCTTGGTCTTTAATGCCCAGGTGTCAAAGATGCTAGTCGTTCTACAATGTGCATGACAGTCACTCTTAGAAAAAAAACAATTGAATAAACCCAGGTGATGGAACACTGTTTTTGAAAAAAAAAATAATTTAGGAGGAAGAAAATTCTAGAAATTTACAGCAAGGAATCTGTAGGGGAAAAGTGTGAATATCAAAATATCTTGAACACTCAAGAAACAGAGCAAGGGCACTGAGTTTCTGGAGGTTTAAAAGATTGAGAAAAAGTTAGAGATATGAACCTTATGGATGAAGACATTGAAGATAATTTATCCCAGGCTGGTTTTGCTTCCTGGAAATTGAAAAAAGACTAACAAGTTGGGATTCAAAAAGTTTTTCTGCCAAATAACAAAATTAAAGTGAGAGATTTTATGAAATCTAAATAGAATTAATACTGACAATGGCTCTGAAAGTGCAGTAAACTCTAGTTTTGGAAAAACTCTTGGGGAAATTAGTGCCTACAGATAATTAGGCATTTTCTCCTAGTGTCACTAATTTATTCTATGGTCCCTCGAACAGGATATCCTTATTCTGAGGCATTGAATCTGGTTCCTGGAACTCCCAGCATCAGAATTCTATATGAAATTCTGGGTCTTATAAATGTAATCTAGGAAACGTCTCTTCCAGCAATAGCAGACCAGATTATTTTGAACTGTGATTCCTACTGAGGTCAATTAGAGATACTGAACAAAATATTAAAAGTAGAAGTATAAGAAAACATTAAAGAACATCCAAGATAGTAACAATCTGGGGAGCCAATATCTTGGAGAAAGTAACACCCAGAAAGATGAACTCAGTTGTTAGCATTGCTTTTCTCCTCTAGCCATTTCCTTATTCCGAAAGCTACAGTGAGTGGACAAGGAAGCTGAACGGTATTTTCTGCAGGCTTGCAGTGACAAAAATTGTAATTCAGCCACTTCCAAGGTGTCATTTTTGAAAATAATCTGTCATTATTTTCTGACTATTTGATTGTTTTCAGTTGAATTGAAATCAAGTAAAATTGTGCAGTTTCATAAAGTTTCTTCTTGTTTAATCCTGTATTAAGAAATAGCAGAGAGAGCCAAACTGTTTCCATATAAACTCCCACACTACAACCTCTTTCTGAGACTGAGCAAGCCTATTTCTGCTAATGTTTTCACTCTTCTGTTGTTAACTAGTTTTTTTTCTTCACTTAATTCCCACTGTAATTAATGGGAATTAACATCTGACCTAATACTCTCACAATATTCATAAATTTCTTAACTAAATTTCAGTAAATGTTAAGCTAATGGAGGCCTGTGATTTTTGTTGTAGTGTTTTCTTTAATGGGCCTGGTGACTTGTACAAGGCTGAGTACCACGTAAGTCATCAGTAAATGTTTCTTTAATTTTTCATTAGTTGACCCTATACAACTTATTGTCTATGCTATTTATTTCAGCATAAGATCGCATAGTTGCTTAAATTTTCTTATTCAACCCACATTTCTTGAGCTCCTACTGCATTTCAGGCACTGTGCCATGATCTGGATGTACAAAACACAAAAGAGAAACAGTCTTCAAAAAGCTCATAGCCTAGGGAAGAAAGAAAACATACAAATATCACATAGGCATACTTAAATTACTTAAATTACCCTAAAGCAAATGAGTATAAAAATGCCTGTAATATATAGTAAGGTAGTTCTTTTAGAAACAGAACATTAAAATTAGAAAATGGAAAACATTAGTGGCAGACACATGGTATTTATAACAGATGCAAACAGCAAAAATTATCAAATCACCAAAATCATGTTATTTTGAATGTGCTGTTCTTTAAATTGTTAAAAATGATTGAATATTGTGGAACCTAGAAATACTGTTTACTCCCACCCACCACCCTCAAAATACTGACAGTAAACATTTAAAATAAATGTTTTGTAGGTAACAAAGTGTAAGGTTTGGAACACAGAGCTGAGAAATATTTGACACAATTTACATGGGCTTACAATTTTTTAGGAGAAATACAGATAATTATTTGGAAATGGCATACTGCATCCCCAGCCCTTCCACTGTCTTCTGAACTTCCCCACCCTTCACATGCACTTTAGAATAGTCATCACTATTGAGTCTCCAGAAGTTGTTTGAACAGGACATTCTCCCATGTCACATAATTTTGCATCTTCTTTTGTGTAGAATCTTTTTTCCTCATCTTCATTCCACTCTCAGACCCCTCTCTCAACTCACTCCACATTATCAGTCAAAACTCAGTATCTCCAGGAATTTTTTCTTTATTCACCCATACTGGACACATATCAAATAGTTTCCTTTGTTTGGATGATAGAGAGTGGATGACAGTGTGCTAAAAGATAAACCTAGAAGGACAGGAAGCGTCTGGATGATGGATAGCTTTTTAAGTCATTTTGAAAATTTGAACTCTACCTTTGAGCAATGGGAAGACATTAGCTTTAAGCAAGGAGTGGACATTCTAGTTCATTGATTTCCACCTTCCTGTTACGTTATCCTGATCAAATTCATATTTGCCTAAAATGCTAGTGAGAATATTCTGAGGGCTGAAATTCAAAGCCTATTAAAATTATGTTCAGTTACATAATCTTATTGCTAATCCCTCTTATGAGTTTTAATCTCACATTTATATTTGTTTGTGGGCAATTTCTAGTTAAATATTTTTCACATAAAAATAGGCTCATGTAATGTAAGCTTTTTAGCAATGTCTTTGTATGACCTCATTTCAGTTAAAAGTGATTTTCAATTTCTACTCTTCTAAAATTAATTTTTGTTTTTGTTGAAGTGTAGAAAAATTGTGAGCTAAGAAGTAGCAAACCTACCTAGAAGTATTGTCTCGCTACCCAGGCAAATTGTTTAGACTTTCTGAACCTCACTATTATCATCTACATAATGAAAAATTGAAATAAGAGACATACCACGGCTACTTTCAGTGCAAATTTTTTTTTATTTTTTAATTACCATTTCTTCAACACCCTCATTCAATCCTCTTAGCTGTTTTGCATCAGTCCAAGGAATATCTAATACACTCCTGTTTTTTCATTCTCATTGCTACTGGTCCCTGCCTACAACTTACCATGATTCTACCCTCTGTTAAAATTAACACTATTATTATCACATCTTTGAGCAATTACACAAGGCCCTACACTGGATTATCTTAGCCTCTGTCTTCTTAGTCTGTCTATCTCAAACCAGGTGTATAACTTACATTACTGCTCTTGTCAAGAGGTTTATCTTGCTCATAGGATAAAATTAAGACCTACAAATTAGGATCCAAATCCTTCTCAGATGCATTGTTCTCCATAATTTCCTAATGTTTCTATGTCAACCTCTGGTCCAACCCCAAAGAAAACCAGAAGCTCTTACTTTTTATACAACTATTACTTCCCTCTCAATGCAAAATTGTTCTTTCCATTCCTTAAAGGGTAATCCCTAAATCTCTGGAGAAGTCCTCACTGATGAACTCCATCCAGGAAAGCTACTTGTATCCCTTGAACACTTACAGCAGAGTTTGTATTTTCCCCTAGCCCCATATTGTTTTGTTAACCTACAGGAAAAAAATTCATATCTAGTATGATCTCCAAATACATAACACTGACAATACGGGTTTTGAGAGTTAAAACAAGGCAAAATAAGGAGTCAACAATTAATGTTGCAACAGCTCCCAAGTACACTCTGCACTATAGATTACAACACTGTTGATTTTGTTTACAGAATACACTTTACTTAATGTATTACCCTATTGTTATGATGGGGGAAGATGCTGTTAACTCTATTATTTAAAAACAAAACAAAACTGTGCTTCAGAGAATTTATGTGGCTTGCCTAAGGATTTACAGCTGGAAAAGTAGAGCCGATGCTTGGACAGATCTCCTGACATGTAAGTTCAGGGCTTTCATGGTAATCAGTCAATATGTGCATCAAATAACTTGCCATTTTGTATGCAAGTAATTTTTGAGGTCAGAGAATATATCTTTATCATTATATGCCAGACTTTATCAACAATGTTTGTTGTAATGTCAACAAACGTTTCCACTAGCTCTCTGTTAGAATTCTTTGTCTCATATTAGTGCCACTTCCCTGAGTCCCAATGCTTTTTTTAAATGACCAGAATTATAAAGCTGAACCCAAGATATCACTTGTCTGAAACATCTCATTACCTTCTTCCTTCCAGCCACACTTTACCTATGGAATTTCTTTCTGAAAAAGCTGATATTAGCTAGTTATGTTGGAAAGGAACTGAACTTCCATCACATAAAGTATTAATTGCTGATTAGGCTTATAGTGTTTCAGTTTTCAGGGAAATTTCCAATTTAACTAGAAACAGTCCTGTAACCTGAAGGGACCAATTTCTAATGGAATTATACCAGATAATTTGGTGAAGAGAGAGAGGAGATGTTTATGAGTGAGAATTCCTTCAAACCACATTCATAGTGATTGCCTAGTTGGCCTCAATCTAAAGTTAGATATGGTTTCAATGTAATTTTTTATTCCCTGTTTGCTAACAATTGTCTCTACGTTGTGCACAAAGATAAAGTAGTTGGAATTTCAGAAGCTTTCAGAAAGAGACAGGCTGGTTATATTCTTAGATGGTTTAGGACATTATTGCATAATTTCATTTCAGCAGAAGCAGTCAGTAAATATCCACTAATTCAACATTTGCAGAGGGAGACAGAATACTTTCCCCTTGTTCAACTTTGCCTGCTACCAGAGCATCATTTTTCTTCTTTCTTTATTGCCCTCTCTTAAAATATATAGCTATTTGGGAATGGTTGAATGTATATTTGTAAACAGATGTATGTAGAGAGTGTCCACACGTTAAGTAGAGCTTATGAATTATTTACATGTAAATACGAATGAGTTTATTAGATCTCTTCACTACAGCAAGTTTTGAGGAAGCAGTTACAAAGCACCAGAAAAGGCAGAAGGGAGTGGTTTAATGAAATAGAATAAAGCATTCAGGAAGGGAGATAAAATGGGAAATGCTAGAACAGAATCTTTGCTTTAGCCTCGAGCTGGCAAAATTTCACCACTGACAAAACAAAATGGTACCATGAAACCATGAAATCAAGAGGGTGACCCAGACAAATCTTCTTGTCAAATGGTGTGTTTTTCCTGTTCAATACATCATCTCTGGTTCTTTATTTTTTCTGAAATAAATTCTCTCAGAGAAAACACACATTCTAGAAAATAAAATGTTCAAGCTACAAAATGACATCTCAATTACTTGCACATTCAATCATTCTTACAAGTAAAACAAAATTGATCAATAATGTTTGCTGTAGTGTGCCCCATTAAGCAGCTTTTCTTCCTACTATATCTCCATAAAGCTTTCTATTCTCAGGACAAGGATTGAAAGGATAACAACAAATATATCACGAAGAAGAAAAGTATATGGTGTGTTAGATCTGTTTATGCTAATCCTAATTTATCTCATCCAAAGTGAGTAAGATGGGATTCTGAAAGCATCCACTTCTCATTCATGAACTTGCTTCCTACTCTAGAAGTTGTCTTTCCTGAGATGCATTTGTAAAAAAACCATAGTTATTGACCTGATATCTCAGAAGTTCAGTTTGCTCTTGATTTCTATGGCCTTATTATATTAATTTTGACGTGTCATCTTGATTGTTTCTTAATCTATATTATTTAAAGTTTCCTCTTCCCTCACCCCTCCCTCCGTAATACATTTTGCTACAGTTTTAGCGATGGTTTTACATATGTATCAGGAAATAAATTTAAACTACCTACCTAAGCAAACCAAAAATAATGTTATTATCATTTCCCTTTTTCCTTCCCTTTGCCATTCAGATTCAAACATATTCTTTAATACAATTGCAAATAGACAACAGTAATAGCAATGGATAATCTTTTAATTGATTTTTGTAACTCTGATGAATGAGAAGAGGAAATAATATTATCTATCATATATTTATTCTCATTTCATCATTACCTTTTGGTTCTTTCTCTCTTCTACTCTCTTTCTCATCCCCCTTGGGACTACAGACTTCTAAAACCACTGATGCCGGTGCCAGATCTGTAGTATGTACTCAAGAAATGATTGTTGAGTCAAGGAATAAACTATATTCTATAACACCCCATCTTCTCCATCAGCATTGGTTTACAACCATTGTTAGCCTTTTTCTACATCTTATAAATTTGTTAAGCTCTGTGATAACATTATATTCAATATGATTTATATTTATTGGGCACCAATTATGTGCCAGGTACTAAGCATAATTAATAAAACAATTAATAATCTTGGTTATTTTGGTGCTTTCATTCCAGTGAGAAAAGAGAGGAAATAATTAAAATTAACAAGTACAATACACTGTATGTACATTGAATATAAATGTAGAGGAGAAAAGCAGGGGAAATCAATAGGGATATTGAAAGGCGCTTCAATTTAGAGATCGTCAGTGAAATCCTCACTAACAAGGTACTATTTGCAAAATGGCTTGAAGTAGATGAAGAAATGACCTATGTCTGTAATGAGGGATACACCAAACTCAAAGGCGCCTGGAACATTCAAGGAAAACCAAAAGCACTGACGTGGCTGGAGTAAAGAAAGCAAACGAGAATGTAGTTGATGACTGGATCATGCCATTATGGTTCTCTTCGTAACAAAGCCTGTATTGGTCTGCTTGGGCTGCCATAACAAAATACCCTAACCTGTCTTAGACAGTTCTGGAGGCTGGGAAGTTTAAGATCAAGGTGCTGGCAGATTCACTTCCCGGTGTGGGCTCTCTTCCCGGTTTGCAGATGGCCTCCTTCTCGCTATGTCCTCACATGATGAAGAGATTGAGAGGGAGCTCATTGGTGTTTATTCTTACCAGACTACCAGTTGTTTTGTACCAGGACCTTACTCTTTGAACTCATTTAACTTTAACAACCTCCTTATAGACTTTGTCTCTAAATGTAATGAAATTGGCTGTTAGAACTTCAACATATAAATTTGGCGGCGGCGGGGGAGGGGAGGGAGTGTGTGTGCACAATTTAGTCCATAGAAAAGCTCTAAGGAGCCATGAAAGGCCACTCACAGGAGTACCATCCCCTTGAAGTTTTCTGTGCACTGGGCAAATAGCTATTGAATTGCACATGTTACTCCAAAGACCAACAGGCTGGAGGGCACTTGGTGTCTGCTTTCAGTAATTTTTAAGGAATTATTTGTACACCTGCATATTCACTCTTGAATCTTCTACCCTCTGTTACTTATTTCAATATCTGTATTGCCCTATTCAAGATGTGCTTGTGTATATCTTGATCCTCCCTGTGAAAGAACATATAAAGGAGAGAAATACCCTTTTCTCACCCATTTCAAGGGTCATATATGACTTATTATAATATGTCTTATTATAATAAGACAGATTAACAAGAGAAAAGCATACCAAATTAATTTAAACAAATTTTTACATGACATGGGGGACTTAGAAATAAGGACCAAAAAACCCAGGAAAAACTTCGTATTTTTATGTTTAAATTCTATGAATAGTGGACGGTTGTGTAGAAGTATGATGGGTCAAAAAGGGCATGATTTAATGCTAATTACCTGGGAGTGATGGGGTGTGTCAGAAAGGTTTGTCTGTTCAGATATTTCTTGTCCTCCAGATGGAGGTCAAGATCCATCCGACCTATGATCTACTTTAAGCGAGGTTAGTCAGATAACTCCTTTATGGCTAGCTCTCACACAGAAAGCCAGAGGAAGGTCAGATTGACCTTCTTGTTTCTACCGTTTTCTCAATTGTCAATTTGCCCATATTTGAGAGTATTATATTCTGAGCCCAAACATGCACGATCTTTAAGAATCATCTTTGATACTTTTCCTAACCACAGTGCCCGGATCAGGGCTGAGGTCACTGTGGAAAGTCAATAAATATCTTTACTACAGAGATATTTAACTTTTTTATTTTTTCATTAGGAAAGCTTTCATAGCCATGGTATAGTAAAATATTCATAAAATACAATTAGAGCTCTAAATGTGTTTTTAATCTCATATATGCATATTCACGTGTGTATTTGTGTGCACTTATAATGCAACAACAGCTATGACAGAAGCAAACATTTATATATAAGATCATTTTGCTGTCCAAGATATTATGGTGATCATTCCAAAATTGTGTTTTCCCAAGGATAAGTTTGGATAAATAAAAACGCTCCATGAATATTCAGCTGTGCTTTTGGATTGAGATTTCTACTGTTCTGAATAAATTCCAAAAGCATTTCTACATTTAAGGTTCTATTACTTCTTGAAAGGCTAGTAGCTCACTGTAGAAAAGAGAGTTTGATTTGCTGATGCTTTTAAGGCAGGTTTGTGAACTCAGTCAAAGATATCAGCTAGAGAAATAGTTGTGTTGTAGGTATGTTTTCTGCCTTTGAGCATTTCTACACAGTTAAAACTTTTCACTTATAAAATATAAGATAATCATTCTTACCAATTTTGTAATCAATTAAATATAGGATGGATACATAGATATATTTTATCATTTATAAATTACATATCATTTACTAGATTTCAAATACAAAATATTTTTGGAAAACCCAATAATGAAATTATCAAACTGGCTCTCAAAAGAAAATTATAATAAATGACTGCTTATTAACATAAGAAAGATATCAGAGATCATTTGTTTTGAATACAGGAAATATATTTGTATTCTATTTCTATCACAGTCCAGTTTAGTGACTTTGGGAAAATCATTTTTCTGTTTCCTTGAAATGTTTATTTGGAAAGAAAATGAAAACTGATTAATATGTAATATGTTTATGTAATAATGTAATATGATTAACATATTAACATGATGATGTTTTGGGGAAGATTCAATATTATAATGTAATGTAATAATAATGTATATTATTATTCAATAATATAATATAATGCCTTCCTTAAAAGCACTGGCAAATCAAACTCTTTTCTACAGTGAGCTAACCTTTCAAGAAGTAATGTTAGTAAGCTGAACAACACTATTCAAAACTAAGATAGCTTTTAAACCGTCTAAAGTAGAAATCTTACCTTTAATAACTTTGAAAAAGTTTCTCCTCTTACTGCGGGAAAGATAGATAATTCAAATCTGTGATTTAAATATAGATCGTGAAAATGAAAGTCTGCACATACTAGAATATGAGAGGTTCAAATTGCTCTTTGTCTCTTTCAAAATTGGCTACTGGTAGAGGAAGTCATCATGCATCAAAAAATTTTACCTAAACTTTCCTTTTTTAGTTTCACAATGTCCCTTGGGCATGACGATTGGGACCAGACAGACATCTGGAATCACCCATTATCCTGGCTGTGATTTGGCATCTCCCAGGATGGTCCATATTAACATATCCCTGGATAGCAGAAGTTATCATATGCCTTCATAGCATAACTTGTGCATTTTGGAAAGCATTTCTGAGAACAGATTTTTTCAACAATGAACACGCCAAAGGCTTGACATGAAAAGTACTTATGCCTAATGTCTGTCATTCTCTCTCTGCCAGTTCATCTTTCCTGGGCTGGCCCTCTGCCACACTGGCACCTGAAATGCAGCAAACAATGTGGCTGGATGCTGAAGGTGTGACCGTAAGTTGCTGTTATCTTCCAAGCAATTACCATATGGTGCACAATTCAGCTCTTCATCTCCCTGTTCGTTGAGAGAATAATAACAATGACAATAATTCTATTTAATAATGTATTTTATCTTTATGGCCTATTTCATTCCCATATTTCTGTGCCTTTGAATAAATTGATGCAGGGAACCTTAGGTAACATTAAAGTTTAGTCACCTCTGCAGAGTAGGAGGCTATTGTATATAAAACAATTCTAAAGCAGGCTTGATGAAGGAATGAAGGGGATTAGCATATTGAAACAGGATTAGGGAGAATTTTTTTTTAGAAATTACCAAGTGAAGCATGCCTTTATACAAAGCAGGCCCCATGTTCATGTTTCTGCTTTTCAATATCATTCCTAATAAATATTCTGTGACGTGTCTGTATAAACTTCTTTATTTATTTTAGAGGAAACTTCTGCAAAAAGTAGAATGCTCTCCTAACTATGCCTTGGGTTTTCTACTAGGCCATTATGAGAGCTTCTACAATGCTATCATAAATATTTCTTGGGTTTTCTGCTAGGCCTCAGATTCAAGTTATGTGACTGTTGATTTTACAAAACTGAACCACAATTATCACAAAATTACAAACTAGGAGATTACTGTTTTAAACTTTATAAGGAATTGGGTAAAAACTGAGATATGTTTTAAAGTTTATTCACCCAACCAACATTTACTGAATAATAATGTGTAAAAGATTCAATGTTTGTCTAAGTTTTAGTCCCAGAAGACGAGGTCTTTGCATCATCATAATGAAGACTGAAAATTAAATCAAAGGTTGTGATCCAGGATGAGAGGGGCTATGGTAGAGCATATAGTAAATTTGAGTATCTGTGAAGTCTTTCTGGAGAAGATGCTCACTGTGCTTTACTTTATAAGGGGAAGTAGAATTAATTTTATAAAACAGAAGAATGTTTATCATGTCAGAAAACATGCACATAGTTATGGAGGCCTAACCTCCACTACATAGTCAGGAAACTAAAAAACATAGATGAGACTAATGTACTATTTGTTATTAAATATATCATCCCTTTTCATTTTCAGAATAACCCTATCAAATGGAAAGTACAGGCATTCTTTTTTCCATTTTATGGAAGAGGACATGACTCTTCCACAGTTGAACTTAGATCACTAAGTTACTTGCCCAAATTCAACTATAATGACAAAAACATATAGCCTTGAGATTCTTCATTTTGTACTCTGTATCATGCACTACCTTGCACTAATTCACATTCCATGAGAAAGATGGGCTATGATAAAGAGACACAGGATGATAAATTCATAAAATAGGAAGAGACTTTTGAGAAATCTCCAGAGGAGAATATGCAGCCATTCTCTTTATTGCAATCTACCGAGTATTTCTTCCTGGCCCCATAGCCACTGTTTATTTTTATTTTTCTGTTTGCTTCATAAAATTAATCACTGAAACCTTTCACATATTTAAGTACTAAATAGCCTTTTCTTCCAAGGGATACAAATATAACATTGAATATAATTTCAAAAATTATTGTTGGATAACTTCCCATGTACAAAATATATTGGAGTTCCTAACAAAGTATATGGAAGGTTACAAATGTGAGTGTGGAACTTTCAATTCCTGTAGAAGACAGCAATTTAGTAAGGAATACTGACTGGAGAAGCTCTAAGTGAAGATAGAACAGGTACAAACAGCATACATGTACATTGGGAATTTCAAGAAAAAATTCTAAATTCATTGTGAGGTTACATAGAAGATTTATTAGAGGAAGGAGAGTTGGACTGAAATCTAGAGAAAGCCATAATTTCAATAGATGTTATAGGATCAAAGTGGTTGCAGAGAAAGGGAAGAAAGGGATCAAAAAAACCTAGGACACATTTTATAAATAGAGTAATGAAGTGAGAATGTTAATATGGTGAAAGATACAACTGGAAAGCTTAGAAACTATAGAGATATTTATATTGCAGATAATTATTAGGAATTAAAAATTGTAGTTGTATTAATATTGATTTATTTTCCTCTGAACATATAGATTATTTATATGTATTTGTATATAGATCTATGATATAATGATATAGATAAATGATACAATTATATATAGTGATAAATATGAAACATTGAAAGCATTTTAATCTCAATTTCATCATTTATAGATGAAAAAACTGATGTCTGAAAAATTATGATGTTTATACAAAGTTAGGAAGATAATTAGCAACAAAAACAGGCTATAAACCGAGTGTGAATTATCAAGCCTCTAGGATGGCATTGTGCACACACACAAAAAACGTCTTTAAAATGGCATAGAAGAGCTTCCTAATCTATTCATAATTTACATTTCTGGTTTCATTTCTGTCAGCATACTCCATCCTATTCTTACTTGTTTTCTCACTGTTCCTGAGCTCCCAGCCTATTTTTCAAACCTTAAAGCCATTGCAAATGCTGGTCTTTCTTCCAGAAAGTTCTTCTTTGGTATGGATACTCGCATATATCTACCCAATTCTTTGAAGAAAAAGAATTGTGATATGAAGATAACCCTGACCCTAACTTCACACAATGACATGGGGTTGTGATAGGTAAACTTTTAACTGGGTGATATCTGGATATTACCATGAGATTTATTTACTTATGTAGTTATAATTTATAACCTGCTTGCTTCCAGAAAGGATTTGAGTCAGCTAGCTAAAAGTGAAAATACTCAGAAAAATCCTATTTTGAAGTTCTTTGATGTGAAAATTATCCTGCATGAGTTGGCATGCCAAGAGTTTCTCCTCTGATTTCTGCCTCCATGTCTGATCCATTTCAGCAGCGCAATTGCTTGATGAATTTTTTTTTTTTTTTTTTTTTAAGGAAATTCAACTGAACAACTCACACTCTCAGAAATGCTTTGATTTTACTTTGGTTTGTGCTCAGGGCAAAGATTTTGGCTTTGCCTTTCTCCTCCACAGTTGTGAATTCATTTTAAATAAAACGCAAAAGGAAATCAATGTCCAGTGTCTTGGCTGAAAAATAAATGAAAACAAACATACAGGATGAAGTAAACATCCAGGCTTCTGTAACTAAACTCAATAATAAAAAAAATGTGATAAACCTAGAGGACTCCATTTCTCTCTGTTTGGAAATGCCCAAGGGCTAATAATTAGCTAGCTAAGATACTCTTCCTCTTCATTGCTGGCCCTAACATTTTGTGCATGAGGTAGGAGATCTTAAATTTTTCTATAAGCATTTACCTGCCTATTGGTTGTTTTCTGATACTTTAAAGCTCTCTCTTCCTACCCTTCCCTCCCTTTCTTTCTCCTTCCTTACTCTTGAATTTGGGTTAAGGTTATTGAAAGGCCCTCTTGATGTAACATACTGTTACAGTGATGGGACTTACAATGCATTATAATGAAGCCAATTAAAACGTAGATCAATTTTCATACGAAATTCTGTAACAATTTAGTTATTTAACTTAAAATGTATTTTTTTGTGTGTGAAGTCTTAAGCAAAAAGCACAGTTTTCAGGTGCATCCAAAAGCTGCAATAGTAAGTAAGTAATCTGTGGCTATTGTATTAAAAAAAAAACATCAGATGAAAAGAAGAGCTTAAGAATGATTCCCTTCTAACATGCTCACAAGGGCAATAAAACTAACCAACCTCAGTTGAAAAATTAAAGATCAATTTGGAATTTTAAAGCTTGTCAAAGGAAGAAGTGAGAACTCCATAAAATATCCAAGAGAAAGACATAAGAGCAAGAGAAGAAAGCCCAGAAGACTGAAAGGAGCCTTGAAAGAATCACTTGAATCTGAACCTGATTTGAAATGAGGAATCCTGCTAATCATTCTTTGGTTCTTGATTTCTGGGGTTTTGTTTGTTTGTTTTGTTTTTTGAGACAGAGTCTTGCTCTGTCCCCAGGCTGGAGTGCAGTGGCGCAATCTCGGCTCACTGCAGCCCCTGCCTTCTGGGTTCAAGCAATTCTCCTGCCTCAGCCTCCCGACTAGCTGGGACTACAGGCAAGGACCACCACGCCCAGCTAATTTTTGTATTTTTAGTAGAGACGGTGTTTCACCGTGTTGGCCAGGATGGTCTCAATCTCTTGACCTCATGATCTGCCCGCCTTGGCCTCCCAAAATGTTGGGATTATAGGTGTGAGTCTCCGTGCCCGGCCGATTTCTGTTTTTTTTTAATATAAAAATATTCTTCTTGGTTCCTGCCTAATTTAATCACACACTCTGTCCTTCCCTGGGACAAGCATTGGGTTCTAATTCACTCCCAAATGTTCAGGCCAGACTAGCAAAACTATGCCATTACTGAATAAAACTTAGGCCTTTAAATTTTCATTTATTCGACAATTTGTTTCATATAGGTCTGTATATTCACAGCGTTTCCTCTTCCAACTTCTAAGAAATCTGAAAGAAGAAATGGGAAATGCTTAGAAAAGCTATGTTGGTTTAGACGAGAAATAATCAGGAGGATAAAAAGGCCTTGGACTGGAATAAAAAAATAAATAAGAGACTTAGATGAAGTAGATTGTGACAAGGTGTTAGGAGAAAGATGAAAAGGGTTTTGGAGCATTTATAAACTCAAAGAATTTAACTCCCTTTGGTGTGCCTTTAAGAGACTTCCACAAAAATTTACATTGTATTTTGGTATTTTTTGGAAGTCATGTTTTGTGTTTTATTACTGTATCATCATATAGGTCTAATAACACTGAGGAGATGATACACAGTTCCTGCCATCGTGAAATTTGAGGTGCAAATGGTAAGGACCACCCCCGCCACAATAATGACAAAGTGCCATTAAATTTACATTTATTATCTCATTGAATATTTTCTGTGACTTCTCTTATTATCATCGAGACTTGTACAGAATGTCCTTGACTTACAACAGTTTGGTTTATGATTTGGGGGGTTTACAATGGCCATACAATCATTCCATTTTTCCTTTTCAGTACAGTATTCAATAAATTACATGAAATATGTAACACTACTATAAAATAGGCTTTGTGTTAGATGATTTTGCTCAACCGTTGGCTGATGTAAGTGGTTCTAAGAGCTTTTAAGGCAGGTAAGGCTAAGCTGTGATGTTCTGGAGGTTAGTTGTATTAAATGCATTTTCAACTTATGTTGGGTTTATAAGGTTGTAACCCCATTATAAATAGAGGAACATCTGTGTTGTTTTTAAGGCTCTTGCCAATCTGAGGGAACTGTTCATGGACAGGGTTAGGGAGGGTGAGTCCTCTCTATCCTCATCACACTTTGCCATGTATCATGTCTGTGTTTCATGAAGATAGAAAGATTTGAAAATTTGAAGACAGATCATCTTGATTTCAACTTTTGAATTTTTATCCTTACTTCCAGGCTTAAAACACTCACTTTAATGCATGATATTATTATTTAGATTTGTCCACAGCTGTTAAGTAAATTATCCATAGTATTAGAAAATCAGTTAATACATAAAAATATAAAGAATTACTCTTCCTGGTCATGTAGCATGGATTTTATAAACTATATTTGACTGTTACATTAGCCATGACCTGATTCTCAACAATCATAGTTTCTATCAGATGTCATGTGCTTCCTAACGTTTGCTAATTGATAGTGATAAGTGACTAGACTAGAGCACTTAGTATTTGCCAAGCCTCAGTATGAGCATTTTCAATATATTAACATATTGAATCCTCCCAGAAATCCCTAAGGCAGGTGTCATTATTACCACCATTTACAGATGAGAAAACTAAGTAAGGCAAAGAAGCCTAATTAATGTGCATGTAGCCTTACTGCAAATGGAATAACCAGGATTCAAACCCAGTTTTGTGGCTTGTAATTGGTTTTTATGATTAAATCCCCTTCCATATTAATGCATCTGTTGAGCTTAGGATCATCATCATTTCTATTCTAAGGTGCCAAGCAGCAAGTTGGATTGATACATGCTAATGTGTTTAAGGAGAAACTTGGTGATGTCTAGTTCCTTTGTCCCAGACACTTCTCTGCTCTTTATATTTCAACAATGGCCTCTTAGAGAGGTCATTTATATTAGATTCAGAATTGGTAAGAGTACCTTTATGTAATTTCCTCATTTGAATCCTCCTAATAATCAGCTGGTGAGATGAGTACCATTACCCCTTCGTACCAGCAATCTGGCCTAAATATCAGAAAGCTTACATTATCTGCTGGGCCACAGAGCTGGTCTGTGCTATAGTCCAGAATCAGACCACATTGAATATATGTATATATATATGGGCTTTTTCCACACTATCATATAGACTCTTCTCCATAGCCTTCAAGAATGTGCAGTCCAGAAAATATCCTAATAAAAACCTTTTACAAGACAAGAATAATAATTAAATGTGAAGCAAATGTTATAGAGGAAATTTAACTGCTTTCACCTTGCAGAGCTCCAAATATTCATCCTCAAAATTAGGAACAGTCTCAAGTTTGACCATGGGTTTTTTTACTGTTTTTTTCATAAAGGAATTTTGGTGCAATAATGAATTGAAGTATAAATTATTTCAATGATTGACTGAATCAAATTATAAAGTAATGTTGTGATAATGAATTTCTAGGACTGAGAAAAAAATGTTTACCAAGAACATCAAAAGCAAAATGTGTAGGCCTGGCTACTAAAATATAAGCAACCTTCCTCAGCTGAAAAGACAAGCAAACATTGAATTATAGAACTTTCTTCTATGACATACCTCTAACAGAACAAAGAAGATTTTCAACTAAGAACATAATCTTGATCCTAAAGAAAGTGAGATAAGACTTTTTCAATTCTTCATTATTTGAGTAACTTATGAAATATGTATTTTTGTCTGTTTAGCAATTTTGAGAAATAGAGGTCATAATAAATTCTACCACCTTTGCCAACCCCTCTACCACACATCACTGTGTTTTGGTTCTGGAAATCAAGAAATTAAACTTATCCCTATGATGTCAAAATTGGTAAACTTAACAAAACTTGAGATATGAAAGATATGTTACATTTCATGCTCAAATTGAACTAAAGCAAATATGAGATTCAATTAATTCTCCATTTGCTTTTGAAGGTATGTGTGTATATCTGTATGGCTACAAAAATAACAATGTAATTCAATTTGTGGTTTAGCATTTTCAAGTGATCTTATTTGATTGATAGAAACACACACATATGTATATGAAAGATATTTTGTATAAATAAGGGCAAAGGAAAATCATATTAACTGAGGCAGGCAAATGCATTTAAGCACTTATGATACAAGTAAAAATTAAATAAATGATTTCTTGTAAGAAACAGGTCTACACACTAAACAGACATTGTAACTCTCTTATTAATTATTGACTGATTTATCCCACAGTCAGATTGATGTTGAGATTTAATGTTCTGAGTAAGTGAGAAAGAAACATAGATTCAAGTGATTATTTTAGAATGTGTAGTAGTTTGAATCAGAGATTTACTTTTGGGATTGAAAGACAGAATGGGTTAGAGATAGGGTAAGAGTAATACAACTTAAAATAAAGAGAGTAAGAGAAGATAGAAAAGTGTAGTAAGTTAAATCTGCATAGTAGAAGCTGCTGGGCAATTTCACTTAAAGAATCAGATGTTGTATCAACAATACCCAAAGACACTGAATAACTGACACATCTCCACTTCATCTCATATTGGGTGCCTGACTTCAAAAGCAATTTTACATTGGCTAAATGCAATTTGATATAAGAATATAAAAATGACAAAAGCTGCTATTTGGAGTTTCAACAATAAAGGAGCAGAAAGATAATTCCATAACCTGATTTTCTCTGTCTTCATGCTAAACAAAAGCTACATTCACCTGCTCTTCTATGTGACTATGTTGTGGCTATGTGTATGTGGACTCTGCTGTCTCTGTCTCTATCCCTCTCTTGTCCCCTCTCTCTATTATTAATTACACTTAAATTTTATTCCAAGATCTTGCTTTTCAACCACTTAAATATTTCATTCTGATTAGACTGAAAAATTCAGTGCAAGATGTGTGTGTATATGTCCATATTGGCATGGGTATATGTGTGTACATGTGTGCCCTGAAAGGGGGTAGCGTGGGTAAAACTGATGACAAAGATGGATGGAGAAGTGTAAAAAAAAAAAAAAGAGAGAAAAGAAAAAGAGAATAGGATAAACAGCCTCTGTTGCCAGGATATAGATAGAAACAGTCTTTTAGGTCTTCTGCAACATTTCAAGCAGCCCTGTGGCGGGAAGAAAAGGTGGAACTCAAACTGGTGGAAAAGGAATTTGGAGGAAATGGTGTCATCACCAAAGGCATCTTTACCAGGCTCTCTCCTTTGCCCTGAGCTGCAACTAATGACCTCACCAACTTTGGCATCACAAAGGATTGTTAGATTAACCATTTTGACGTCATTGATAAGCAAATTCACTATGATACTGGCTTAATCTGATTTTTAACACCCACCTTATTTAATCAACCAGTGTTTTAGCTGTAATGACTGTTAACTCCCATTAAAATTGCTAAACCAGCATAAATGGTCAAATTTCTCCAAATGATTTGAAAGAGGTTGTGGATAACTCAATGTGACAAATTTGTGCTATAGCTAAGCCTTGTTAAAGAGGTGAGAGCATTTTTACCTTACTCAATTTATAAGAATCTAATAAAATTAACTTTTTGGTGAGTGAAACTTCTTTATGAAGCTAATTGCAGGGTTCAGGAGAAATACCCAGGTTTGGGGTCAACCACTTGAGATCAGGCTACTTCCAGAAATGCAGTCTAACTGGCTGGAGAAGTGGAGTGTTATTAGTCCATTTTCACACTGCTATAAAGAAATACCTGAAAGAAAAAAGAAAATACATATCTGAAACTGAGTAATTTATAAAGAGAAGGGGTTTTATTGGCTCACGGTTCCACAGGCTCTACAGGAAGCATGGCTGCGGAGGCCTCAGGAAACTTACAATCATGGCGGAAATTGAAAGGGAAGCAGTCACATCTTACATGGCTGGAGCAGGAGGAAGAGAGAGAATGCGGAGTTGCTATACACTTTTAAACAATCAGCTCTCCTGAAAACTCACTCACAGTCATGAGAAAAGCAAGGGGGAAATCCACCCCTATGATCCACTCACCTCTCCCCAGGCCCCTCATCCAAATTGGGGATTACAATTCAACATGAGATTTGGGTGGAGACACAAAAATCCAAGCCATATCTTGGAGTTATAAACTATAAAAATTGAAAGGAAAATTTACTTGGGCTATACACTATTTACAAATAACTAAGTCATTTTTCAGGAATTCATGATATGGACTTCAATAGGAAATTTCTTTTATTCAAACATAGCAAGGATGGTTTGTGGGCTCACATAGGAACTTATTTCAGAAGGGCCTTAATATGGTTTAAAGTTTTGCTGTTGCCATCTTAAAATTATTAATTTTTGAACAAGGGACTACATAATTTTATTTTGTACTGGGCCCTTCAAGTTTTATAACCACTTTTGCACGGCTGGTTGGGGTGGGGGGAGAGGGTGCTACTGGAAGTATAGAAAAAGGGGATCTAGATATTGAAGCTATGTTTGATTTCCAATTATAATTTCATAAACAATAGAATCAGCTCAAAATCTATACCATTCTCTCCCAGGACTAACAACTTACGTATGCATATAAATGTAAGGAATCTCTGGGCTCACTTTGCTGTGGTCTTCTGATCCTTGTGAAGGAGGAAAATCAAAACAAAAATTCTGAGTGTATAATTTCATTAAAATCTTCATCCTAAACTTTATACAGTAGTAGTTTATATAGTAGCAGATTGTTTGGCCGAATACCAGAGATAGTTATACAACCTGGACAGTTCACATTCACTTTCCTTGTACCTAGCAGGGAAACTTGTTATTGTATTTTCCAGAAGATTGAATTGTTATAATTACATTACGTGTTATAATAATATTCAAATAGCTCCCAGTGTTTGGCGGACACTTATCTGTATATTCTCAAGGGTTTCTTTTTTTTTTTTCCTGTCTCAGAACACTTTAGTTAGCCAAATGCGGGAATATTGGAGAGTCCTTGGAAAGAGGAGTTTCTTGATCTATTAGACACAAGGATATCATTAAATTAAGATAACAAATGGAAAGACTGTCCTTATATTTATGACCCTAAGAAAAACCACTTTCATTGTCAACTGAGGTTACATTTTTATCAAATTAGGAGAGGTTAATTATTAACATTTTTCTCAGTGGTTAAGGGCAAAACTAGAATATGACTTTTTAAGTACAAGAGTTGTAATTTACTTTTTTCGTTACCTGAAGATAGAGCTTTTTTTAAAAATAAAATCAAAACAAACAAGCGAAAACTCAGTTTTATTCTATTGATTTTATTTCTGAAACATCTCTTGATCTTTTCACTACGTTTTATTACAACTGTCATCATCTTAGTATAAGCCAGAGTCATATCTAACCTAAGCTACTGGCTAAAATTGATGCCTTTTCCCCTCAGTGTCACTTCACTCCAAGTTATTTTTTACGTTATAGCCAATAGGATCCTCCTAAGCCACAAATCTGATGAAATTACTTTTCCAGTAAAGACAGGGTTCGAATGGCTTCCTGCTTTTCTTGTAATAAAGTTCGAACTCCCTAGTTCTGTTTCTATCACTGTCTAACACAGATCTCATTTTTTATTAGTATTTTCAAATTCTATTTTCCTGACTTAAGGGAAAATTTTTTTCTAAAACCTTTAGAGCCACTGGTTTTACAGTGTGGAACCAAAAAGCAAATTTCTTATTTTATGGGGTTTGTACTTTAGTGATTAACATATTAATATCATAAGAGAATTAATATGATACTGTTGGGTAGTCCTTAGTGCTATGACAAAAACTACAGCAATCAATATAGAAGATGCTGATGTCAGTAAAATGATGGATTAGGACATTCTCAGCAAGACTGGAAGAGAGACCATTTTTTCCAATTCACAGACACCAACCCAAGGATATAAGGATTACAAAAGATCAGGCAAACATGACACCACCAAAGTAAACTAATAAAACTCTAGTAATCAATTCTAAAGAAATAGAAATTCATAGACTGTCTTACAAATAATTCAAAATGATAAGCTCAAAGTAGCTCAATGCGCAACAAGAGAACAGAGAACGACAACTAAACTAAATCAAGAAAACAATATATGAACAAAATTTGATGTTCAATAAAGAAATAGAAACTGAAATAAAGAACCAAATGAATGTCATGGAGATGAAGAATATAATAAATGAACTGAGAAACTAAATAGAGATACTTCAGCAGTAGTTGTATTTTTAAGGAGGAAAAATAATGAATGAACTCAAAGATAGTTAATTTGAAATTATTCATTTAGAGGAATAAAAACAGAAAAGATTGAAAAAGATGAAGAAAGCCTATGTTACTTATAAGACACTAAAAAATAAACCAACGTTTGCATTGTAGGAGTTCAAGAAGGAGAAGAGAAGGAGGAAGACACAGAAAACATGTCATATAAACCATGTCTGAAAACCTTTAAAACCTAGGGAGGGAAATAAACATTCAGATTTCTGAGATCTAAAGGTTGCCAAATACCTTCCATGCAAAAATATCTACATTAAAATACATTATAAATAAATTATGAGAAGCCCAAGAAAATAAAAGATATTGATGGCACCAAAAGAAAAGTGGCATGTTACATACAGGATAACCTTCCCAAGACTATCAGTGAATTTCTCAGCAAATACTTTACAGGCCTAAAAATATTTGGATAATATATTTGAAGTACTGAAAGAAAGCAAAACAAAATAAAACTCTCAACCAATAATACTATCCTAGTTTGTTTGTTTGCTATAAAGGAATACCTGAGGCTGGGTAATTTATACAGAAAAGTATAATTTGGCTTTTATTTGTCTCATGGTTCTGCAGGCTGTACAAGAGCATGGCATCAGCATTCATCTTATTGGCTTCTCGGGAGGGCTTCATGCTGTTTCCACTCATGGTGGCAGGTGAAGAAGGGTCAGCATTTCACTGCAAGAAAGAAAGAGAAGGAAGTGCCAAGCTCTTTTCAATGACCAGTTCTTGAGGGATCTAAGAGTAAGAACTCTCTCTCATAAGAACACATCATCCTACCAGGCCCAACTTCCAACATTAGAGATCAAATTTTAACATGAGACTCAGCAGGACCACCCAAACCATATACAAATTATAGCAAATATTTTACACAACAAAATTGTCCTTTAAGAAGAAAGGAGAGAAAAAGAGGCTACAACAAACAAAAACTGGGATTATTTTAGCACTAGATCTGCCTTATAAGAACTAAAAGTAATTTTTCAAGATAAAGCGAAAAGATTGTAAACAACAACATGGAAGAATATAAAAGCATAAATCTCATTTCTGAAGGTAAATATAAAGATAAAAATATTGTTATACTGTAATGATGGCAGGCAAATGATGTTATACATTAATTAATAAATTAAATGAAAAAAGTAGTAAGAATAATTGTAATCAATATAGAAAGAAGTAAAATCTGATCTTAATTATATAAAGTGTGTGTTTTTTGCATGTGTGTGTTTAGAGGTAAAGCGTATAGTTTCTTTAAACAATTGCAGATAAGTTGTTATCAGCTTAAAATAGGCTGCTGTAACTATAAAATTGTCCTATGCATATAATGATACACACACACACACACACACACACACACACACACACATATATATGACATACAGTAGTTACAGAAAAGATTAAAGAGAAAACAATTAAATCATACTACTACAAAAAATTGCCACAGATAAGAGAATAAGAGAGAAACATGGGAATTACAAAACAAACACAAAACAATCAGCAAAATTGCAATATTAAGGTCAATCCTATCAATAATTACCTTAGATATAGATCAAGTAAAATCCTCAATCAAAAGACATGAAGTGGACAAAGTAGATATTTTTGAAAAGAGCCAAACAGAAATTTTGCTGTTAAAAACATAAATACTGAACTAGAATATTCCATAGAAAGCTTTAACAACAGACTCAATAAAACTGAAGAAAAAATCAATGAGCTCAAAGATTAATCATTTGAAATTATCCAGTCTGAGGCACAACAATAACAACAAAGGAGTGAAGAAAGTCAGTGGGTCTATGTGAAACCATCAAGCAAACCAATTTACACATTATGCTATTCCAGAAGTAGCAAACAAAGAGAAAGGAGAATAAAGCTTATTGAAAGAAAAAAAGAATAACAGAAAACTTCCCAAATCTGACAAAGGAAATTATTAGATCCATGAAGCTCAAATAAGTGTAAATAGAGGCTATATACACAGATCTTTTCTGAAACACAATATAAACAAATTCTCAAAAGTTAAATACAAAGAGAATTTTGAAAGCAGCAAGAGAAAAGCAAGTGAACACATACAAGGAAAACTCCGTAGGACTATCAGCACATTTCTCAGCAGAAACCTTGCAGGTGAGGAGAGACAGGGATAATATATTCAAAGTTCTGAAAGAAAAGGAAAGAAAAACACTACCACCCAAGAAAACTATAGCTGTCAAAAATATCTTTCAGAAACGAAGGCAAGATAAGCACTTTCACTTTCCCAGGTAAGCAAAAGCTGTGAAAGTTCAAGGCCACTAGACTTGCCTTACAAGAAATACTAATGAAAGTTCTTCCAGTTGGTAAACAAGGCCACTTACAACATGTAACATGGGAAACTGTAGAATTCACTGTAAAGGTAAGAATATGGTGTAGTTCAGAACACTATAATACTGTAATGGTGGTGGTTAAATCATTTTTAGCTTTGGCATAAAAGTTAAAAGACAAAAGCATTAAAAATAAGTATAGGTACAAAAATTTGGTAATGGATACATATATGTAAAAGATGTATATTGGGGTATATACAACATAAAACATGGATGAGGAGAAATTAAATATAGGATTTTTGTATATGGTTGAAGTTAACTTGTTATCACCTTAAAATAGATTGATATAAGATATTTTATATAAGCCTCATGTAATCAAAAAGGACAAGCCTATGGTAGATACACAAAAGGCAAAGATAAATAAATCAAACATAGCACTGCAAAAATACCAAGGTCCCTCCTTAGTGGAGTAGGCAGCACATCAGTCTCATAATCAAAGCATAGCACTGCAAAAATATAAAATCCTAAATTAGGATAGCAAGCAAGAAATAATGGAACAAATGTACTACAAAACCATCAGAAAAAAATTAACAAAATGGCAGTAATGAGTTCTAACATATCAATAATTACTTTAACTGTAAGTGGATTTAATTTTCAATTAAAAGACACAGTGAATGGATTAAAGAAACAAGATCTAACTATATGCTGTCTACAACAGATTCACTTTAGCTTTAAGAAAATACATAGTCTGAAAGTGAAGGTATAAATAAAGATATTCCATGCAAATGATAATGAAAAGACAGTAACAGTGGACATCATATCAAAAATTGTCACAAAAGATAATTAAGGTCATCATGTAATGATAAAGGAGCCAATTCATGAAGATGAGATAATAATTGTAAATACATATGCACTGAAGTTTGGAACACCTAAGTGTAATTCAAATATTAATAGAACAAAAGTGAAAAGTAGACAGCAATGCAAAGTCCCCTTAGTAAGGGACTATGATACCCTGCTTTCGACAATGGATACATTATTTAGATGAAAATTCCTGGAATAGAAAACGCGAGAAGAAACTCAGAGAGAAACCTAAAGGAAATTTTGTGTGGTTGCAGCAGTGTGAACACAGGCAAGATGGGTTAAGAAATGTTGCTGAAAATGAGATCATGCAGACAATTGCAGGACATGGGAAGAACTTTACGTTTTAGTCTTAAGTACAATGGGAAACTACTGAAGTCGAAGTGGAATCATCACATTACCTTATTAGGTTTTGGAAAGTGCATCTGGGTTACCTCAGGGGAATATACTGTAGAGGAAATAGTGGCATCAGAAAGCCCAGCTGGGAATTAGGAGTTCATTTGCATAGTCCAGGAAAGAGATTCATACAGTTTGAGCAAGCTGAGGGTAGTTTGATTTGTGACAGAATTCAGCGATAGATTTTAAGTGTAATAAAGCCAGGCATCATGGGTACCCACAAGGGTTTTACCCAGTAAGTAGGTAAATGACTGTAGTATTTACTGAGGAAGACATCAAGGAAGGGGAAGATATTTGTGAGTTACTGAAGGAGGTAATATACAGTTTACTTTTAACATAGAAAATATCACATATTTTGGTAGAGATTTTTAGATGCTCCCCAAGCACATTCCTGCTAGAGAAATACAGGAACATCACATTATTCTGCCTTATTTATATCTTGTTTGGAACTCTAAAATGTGGGAAGAAGTGATATAAGGCACTTCTGAGCTGTCTATCTCTGTATCTCTCTGTCTCTTTGTCTCTTTTCTGAATATCTACCAGTAAAATGGCTGACATAGTACTGACACACAGTGGAAGGGGTCCTCTTGGAGGAGAGTTACTCAGAAAGGCCACCTTTATTAAATTTTATTACTCAGAGTCAATAACCAGACAGAAACCATAAAGTAATAATAAGAAGAAAGATATAATATGAAAATTATTAAGTAAAACAGTAACAAGAGCTTGGCTAGAAAGACTTATGAGAATTTTAAGGAATAGAAGAATAGCAAAACACAAGGGGTAGCCTCTATCTTTAGGACTGAAAGAACACTTAAGAAGAAACTCTCACCCCAGGACTGAGATTCTTAACTTATAGAGCTGGTCCTGCCCTTGACTCATTGAATGTAAAATTCGCTGTAGTGACACCCTAGTACAGCTTGATGGAATGCGCACTATCTGGATCTTGCTAGAAATTTAGCCTCCAAGGTGTCAAGAGGGGCAAAATACCTCATTTAAGGCACTTTGCTATTAAACTACTTAAGGGGATTGATGGCCCCAGGTGGGTGGGTGCTGAATAGCTACTATTCACATCTGTAGCCATATCCCGAATAAGCCTTCCACATGCAGGAGACAACACTGAAGAAGGTTAGGTACGGCAGGAGACTGACAAGAAAGTGCATTGAAGCCCTCAAATTACTGCCTTCTATAATGTCTCCCTCATGCCTTCTGCTGACAAAGCTTAGCACCATATGAACTAGCAAAGTAAAGGTATTTGAATAACTCAGTTTTAATTTTTAAAGATCTGGAAATTAAGGGTCAAGTTGGAACTGAAAGAGGATAAATTGATCACTGTAAAATTACTCTATTATCTTCTGTCTTGCTTGATGCTTGATTTCATAAAAGTTAACTATATATTTTGTTTTGTTCTTCTAAATAGATGTTCTTTTTTTCCTCTCTGAGACTGTCTTCAATATATTCCTTAGTTTTTATTTATCTGAGTAAGATATGCTTTGATGTTTTTTATTTTGTTTTGTTTTGTTTTGTTTTTTGAGTCTGGGATAATATTCATTCTGTTTGGTGTTCTCTGAGCTACCAAGACCTATGATTTGGTGTCAATGACTGATTTTTAAAATTTATCAGTTATTACATCTTCAAATATGTTTTCTAACCTATTCTCTGTCTTTTCTTCTTGAACTCTAGTAATGTGAATTGAAGTTTTGGTAACTTCCTGTAACTCTTATATGCTCTTTTTTTCTTTTTTTCGTTTGTGTTTCAATTTGTATAATTTCTGTAGACCTATCTTCAAGTTAGTTGATTCTTTCCTCAGATATATTATGTCTAGTGATGATCCCATAGAAGACATTTTCTATGGTAGTGTTTTCCCAGTCCAGCACTTCCACTTTTTTTTCTCTTACATCTTATCTCTTCTATTGAAATTATCTCTCTGATTTGCATGTTTTACATCATTTCCACTAAATCCTTTAATATATTAGTAATAATTACTTTAAATTTCCATCAGCCAGGCATGATAGTTCATGGCTGTAATCCCAACAACTTGGGAGACTGAGGCAGGAGGATCTCTTGAGGTCAGTGGTAAGATACTAGCCTGGGCAACATAGTGTGACCCCACCTGTAAAACAATAATAATTAAAAAAAAAAACAGCCTAGAATGGGGGCATATGCCTGTACTTGCAGCTGTTTGGGAGGCTGAGGCAGGAGGATTGCTTGAGCTGAAGAGTTCAAGGCTACAGTGAACCTTATTTTGTCACAATGGCTCTTGCCTATAATCCTAGCTCTTTGGAGGCTGAGGTGGGAAGACTACTTAAGACAAGTTCAAGACCAGCTTGGACAATGTAGTGAGACATTGTCTCTACAAAAAAATTTAAAAATTAGCCAGATGTGATGGCACACACCTGTAATTCCCAGCTACTTGAGAGGCTGAAGCTGAGGAGAGAGGATTGCTTGAACCCAGGAGATCAAGGCTGCACTAAGCCATGGTCATGCCATGCACTCCAGCCAGTCAACAGAGCAATAACCTATCTCTTTAATTTAAAATCAAACATTTTTTAAATTAAAATAAATAAACAACTTTTTAGTCAGGTAGTTTCAACATCTTAGTGATATCCAAGTTTAGTTCTAATAATTGCTTTATCTTTTCTGAATATCTTTTTCTTTTCTTGCCATTTCTATGCCGTGTGTGTGTGTGTGTGTTGGAAAGTTGAACGTGTTATGTAAAGCACTGGAGACTGTGGTAAAATGATTTTTATGCTTGAAAATGGGCACAACCTCTACTGGTATTTTGAGGTAGGCTTTGAGTTAATCTAGATAGGAATTGGGCTGGGTTTGAGATTTGTTGCTGCCTTGGTTCTCCTTTGTATTGACGTCTCTATGACAACTTCAATTAGACTAGGTATTGGTTTATCAGAACAATGTCTTTTCAGTTTTGAATGTTAGGTCTTTCTGTTGTACTATGCCTCAGAGTGGGTCCCCTTGTTCACTCTTTTTTCTCTATCATCTCTCTTGTATCAGTATTCTGCTGTCACTTGCTTTTGAAGCTTGCTAGCTTGGTGGGAGAAGGAGTGTTTTTTCTTTTATCCTGATTACTCCTCTATTAGGGAAACACTCCTTCCCATTGATTTTGCTGGTGTGGCTCTCAGTTTTCCTGCCCTTCCTTCAACTGTAGTTTTTGGTCCCACTTACTGCTGTCCCCCTCCCTTACTTACAATTGTCCCCACTTACAATTGTTTCCCCCCACCTTTCTTTTCTTTTTATCTCCCAAATGCAATGATTTTTTAAACAACATCCTAAAGGTAGCAGCATGTATAATCTGTTTTCTTACAGTTTAAGGCTGTTAGTCCATAGCAGAGGTGGGGGAGAAGAACCCAGGCAGAATTTCTTACCCCTCCTTCAAGGCTGATATTCCCTTATTTCAGTTCTACACCACAATGATTTTTTTTTTAAGAATTTTTATAAACTTTCTCTCTGGTGAAATTTGTGGCAAGAGGATATGGACCCTCCAATTTCTTTGGCTCTCAGGGGTTTCACACTGTCATGGAGACTCACACTTGGCCTTCTCCAAACTGCCAGCTCTTCTAGCTGAACTCTTGACTGGTGTCTGTTGCGTCTGCCCAGCGTGAGAACATGCTGACATCACTGTTGTCCCTGAAGACATCAATTCTTTTTAGATTTTGAGACCATCGTTTAGTCCCTGACTTTCTTTCTCCAAAGAAATAAGAAAAATGGTTGATCTTTGAAGTTCGTCTGGTGTTTGTTCTTTGAAAGAATTAGAGCAACCAGCAACCCTTCTTGCATTTCTAATACATGGTTCAGAAGCTCTTAATTCCATATGGCAGATTTTAAAATAATTACTAAATACATACTTATGAACATGGATAGGATTGATCTCCAAATATTATTAAGTAAAAAATAAATTTGCTAAGTGATGTATATATTCTACTGAAAATTACGTTATTTAGAAAACACACAGAGCAGTATGAGATAGTGCTTATGTATATATTCATATTTTAAAAGTATAAAAACAGACTGGAAAGGTACACAGCAATTTTATGATAGTAATTACCCCCCGGGGAGAAGATAATAAAGAAATTTCACCCTTATCTGCAATGTTCTATTTCTTTTATAAAAAATAATTACTTTATTTTTTTATTTTTTATAAACTATTACTTTAATGTCTGACTAGCACATCAACCGAAGTATCCTCAAGGCCAAAAGCATCATATATTCCCTATGATGTGCCAGTATGAGCTTAATTAGTGACTCAGTTATGGCAGCCATTCTGAAGGCAGACAATATTTCTGTTGCAATTATTTCAAATTTATACATTATAGACCATATGTGAATTTCATATATTTTATTTTCTCCACCACTACATCAATGTCATGTGCTTTTGGGGGGTGCATTTTTCCCACTTTGAAGCAGACCTGACGTACACTTGGAGAGACCCTATTCCTCTAGAAAGTGTTCTACATAAATGCTTTCATAAGAAATTACTAACCCTATCTTAATGTTGACTGCATATAAACATCTTACATTTATTAAATTAATGATCAAATATATTACATTATTCACCTCCTAACATGAGGGGTCACTGCATAAAACTCTTCAATTGATGTGATAAGGAAGAGCGACATGCCCAATATTTACTCACTGCCAGCAGCCTATATTATTATATTATTTAGAAAACACACAGATCAATATGAGATAGTGCTTATGTATATTAGTGCTATATTCTTGCTGGGAAGATAAAGGCTACACAATTGTAGTAGACAAAATCACTATATTGGGAGAAAGTATGTTGGAAGAACTATATGCCCATATATATATATATATATATATATATAAACATTAATCAGTAAGTAATAAAAGTATCACCATTCTAGTCTACGACAAGTTCCAGAAATCATAAGTGGGAAGCATGTCATCAGGCAAAGCTATTGGAAGGTCTTCAAAAGATTAAATACAGCACCAGTGGACATTCCCAGGATATCTTCAAAGGAAAGCTATGAAACATTTCTTCATTATTATCTTCAATTACTCTCTTTCAGCAGCATATAGTTAAAGATATTTAAGGAGTGGTTAATGATTAAGAAAGGAAGCAATTGTAGGAAATTTTAAAAACTAACTTACATATCATTTTATTTGTGTCTAAAGTGTATTAAAATGAGATTACTATAGTATAAAAATGTAAATTATTAAAATTTAATAAAATAATCATTAGTTTTTTCATATAAGTTAGACACATTTAGTGATTGATTTACACTGAATACTCTCCCATTGAAGTGGTACAAAAGGCAGTGCATAGTTGTGGCTATAATAAATTAAATTAGTGTAAACTATTTTGAATGTTTTTTAAATAACTCAAGTAACTGTGAAAATAACTGCTTTTCTCTGTGACATGAAGCAGATACTAAATGCTTAGGAATTGAGAGAATGAACGAAGTCAATGAAGGAAAGTCAAAAGAACCAGGACTATACGGGTCCCAAGAGGATTTAGATATCCACTTTTATAATCTTTAAATATCTTGTTCTAGAACTTAATCTTTATTATCAACATCATGCCCCCCAAATAATAGCAGTAAGTACAAAGAAAAAACAAAGAAAACTGCAAAAATCCATTTGCCTCTCTTTGCTGAGCTCCTAGTAGGACATTTGTATTCAGCCCATCCATGTTCCCTCTTAACTCTCTTCCATGCAGGAGTGCCCACTATGCCCCTGTGCCCAAGGGACAGCAAATGAAGTGCTGAAATGGAAGATACTTCACATCTCAGATGAGTCTGATGTCATTATTACTAGAAAACATAAGCAATAAAAATCAAATATGAATAATCTCAACTTTTTTCCCACAAGCCTCCCTCGCCCTCTGCCTACAGAGATTTAGTCCAGCATGCTTCCACCAGTTCCTGCCTCAAATATGCCAGTGCTGACAGTGACAAGTCTTTATACTAGGCCCTGCTGTAAGGGGTCAACTCCTAACTGCAGTCAAGACCATTAATATATCACAAGGGTTTTAATTTCCTGAAGAGCAAAGAATAAAACGTAATTAGAGAATCATTTTACAGTGATCCTGAAACCCATACTACATTCCATGGAGGAAATATGCAATTAGGTGGAAGTAAAAGAAAAAGAGAAGAAATAAGACAAACTTATTGTTCCCTAAATACGATAAACTGACAACAAAAAACTAAATGTGATAGACAATTCAATTTATTGTCTTTGATATAATGAGAAGATTTCTGACTGACCATAGTAGAATAAATCTCCTTTCTCAAGGGACGAAGTAAGTCAAAAGGAAGGATATTTCATAATCAGCATAAAGTTATTGTTGTTGAACAGTATAGATAAAAGATAATTTAGGGCCAATTAATATTACATCTTCATCCTTGTCTCAGTCAGGTAAGAGTGATGAGATATCATCTTGGATTTACATTGTAATAATGTTTGTAGGAGACATGGTATGGATAACAGCTTTGATGACTCCCAGTAAAATTATTACTTGGATTTGTCACATTAGTAATTAAAATGTTTTTCTATCAAAATCAGAACCTTCACTTCCTATCAAGATGGAGTAATAGGGACCAAATTTACACTCCCACCTGAAATAACAAAACTGAAAAAAAAGAAAAAGAAATCACAGTTCTCAAGATGTTAGATATTAGGTGATGAAAGGCTGTGATCTTTAAGGGATGAGGGAAAAAGCTGAGTTCTATAATTACTTCAGTTTACTGCCTAAGGAAAAGAATGTCTAGGCTGCAGTGCAAGCAGGAAGAACACAGGCAGTGACTAACTCTCCCCCTGAATTGAGAAAATAGACTGGAGAATCCAAAGACGCCAACTGAAGAGGTGGCCTGCCGCTCCACACCTGTGGGTGTTTCTCGTCGGGTGGGACGAAAGACTGAGAAAAGAAAGAGACTCAGAGACAAAGTATAGAGACAGAAAAGTGGTTCCAGGGTACCTGCGCTCAGCATATGGAGGACCCGCGCGCCAGCACCGGTCTCTGAGTTCCCTCAGTATTTATTGATCATTATCTCTACCATCTCAGAGAGGCGGATGTGGCAGGACAATAGGGTAATAGTGGGGAGAGGGTCAGCAGGAAAACATGTGAACAAATATCTCTGTATCATAAACAAGGTAAAGAAAAATTGCTTTGCTTTGATGTGCACATACATAAACATCTCAATGCATTAAAGAGCAGTATTCCCACCAGCATGTCTCACCTCTAGCCCTAAGGTGGTTTTCTTCTATCTCAGTAGATGGAATATACAATCGGGTTTTACACCGAGACATTCCATTGCCCAGCGACAAGCAGGAGACAGATGCCTTCCTCTTATCTCACCTGCAAAGAGGCCTTCCTCTTTTACTAATCCTCCTCAGCACAGACCCTTTACGGGTGTCGGCCTGGGGGACAGTCAGGTCTTTCCCTTCCCAGGAGGCCATATCTCAGGCTATCACATGGGGAGAAACCTTGGTCAATACCTGGCTTTCCTGGGCAGAGGTCCCTGCGGCCTTCCGCAGTGTTTTGTGTCCCTGGGTACTTGAGATTAGGGAGTGGTGATGACTTTTAACAAGCATGCTGCCTTCAAGCACTTGTTTAACAAAGCACATCCTTCATAGCCCTAAATCCATTAAACCTTGAGTTGACACAGCACGTGTTTCTGGGAGCACAGGGTTGGGGGTAGGGTTACAGATTAACAGCATCTCAAGGCAGAAGAATTTTTCTTAGTACAGAACAAAATGGAGTCTCTTATGTCTACTTCTTTCTACATAGACACAGTAACAGTCTCGTCTCTCTTTCTTTTCCCCACAGCCAACATGGCTAGAGTTTGAAGGGTAGAGAGGAGAAAGCTTAACAGAGAGAGAAATCAGAACATCTGAAGAGAATTCTTTCTGATTATTCAACAGAGTCCTGGTCACAGCATATGTGTAAGGAAATTACAGGAAGTCAGAGAAAGAACCGCAGAAAAGACAAAATGGAAAAGTCATCCAGGCATACACAGAGCTGGCCATAGTGCCTGCAAGAGTGGCAAATGTCACAAATCATGAGACCTCTAGAGTAGTAAGAGGGTCTTATCACAAAAGTGGGGAATAATAAGCCCATAGGAAATCCTCCTCTGGTCTTGCCCAACACAGCTTTAAAAAGTATGACCAAAAAGAATCACACTGTTCAAATAATTACATCACCCATAAAAATTTATATTTACAAAAGTATAAAAATATCCACACCCAACAGGGTAATGTCATGATGCCTAACATTTAATAAAAAAAAATTACTGGTCTTGCAAATAAGCAGTAAAATATAATCCATAGGAAAAAATAGATTCATCAAAACTGAGCCAAAAATTAAACAGGTAACAGAACTGGTGGACAATAACATTAAAAAATATATAATTCTATTCCATATGTTCAAAAAGCTAGAGGAAAAATTAAGCATACAAAGTAGAGACACGGAAAGTACAAAAAGACATAAATTGAGCCTAAAAAATACAATGACTGTTATAAAATATACAATGGATGGGATTACTCAGAAGATTAAATGAGGTAGAAAAAATGGTAAATTTAAAGACATAGCAATAGAAATTATGCAAAGGAAAAGGAAAAGAGTTTAAAAAGAAACTGAAAAAATAATAGAGTAAGTCCAGCAGCAGTGAGCAGTGGAAGAACTTCAAGTTGTCAGTTAGTAAGGATATAGGAAATTGGAACAACATTGTCAATCAACTTGACATAATTGAGGTTTATAGAACACTTTACCCCAACAGCAGACTTCTTTTCATGAGCACATGCAACATTTACTAAAAGAATCTGGTTCTTTTTTTGCATAAAATAATAATTAATTTTTAAAAATTCAAATTATAGAAAGTATATTCTCAGGTCACAGTACAATAAAATTAGATAGGAATAACAGAAAGATAATGGAAATATGTTAAGCAACTGAAAACTAAACTACACATTTATAAACAACTTAAGAATCAAAAGTAAAATCAAAAGGAAAAATAGAATATTTTGAAATAATAAGAAGCAAAATCTCAACATGTCAAGTTTGAAGAATGTAACTTAAAGGGACTTATAGGGAAATTTTTAGCAATAGGTAGCTATGTTAGAAAAGAAAAATATCTCAAAGGAATAACTTCAATTGCTACCTTAAAAACTGAAAAAAGCAAATAAAGACCCAAACAAGCAGATAAAGATAAAATTATAAAAATCACAAGGGAAATCAATAAGCCAGAAAAAAAGAACACTTGAATAAATCAATAGAACAATAGATTGTTCTTTGAGATGATAAATGAAACTGATAAACCTTAGCTAGATTGATTAAGAAAAAAGAGTAGATACAAATTGCCAATACTAGATATGGAAGAATAAAGATTATAAAAGATTGTGTAGACATTAAAATGATAATAATAGAATTTTGTGACCAGCTTTCTTCTAATATATTCAACAACTTGAAAAAAAGGTACAAATTTCTTGATAGGCACCAACTAGCTACACTTAGCTGAAGAAAATAACATTATATCCATTAAATAAACAAATTTGTAGTTGAAAACTTTCCCACAAAGAAAATTCCAGGCATAAATGATTTTTAAGGAAATTCTGTCAAACATTGTAAATGTAAGAGAAATATTTTATGTCTTTCTTTTACATAAATGTAAAAGACAGAAAGAAAATGTAAAAGAAAGAAAGAAAATGTAAAAGAAAGAAAATGTAAAAGAAAATATTTACATTTTCCAAAATGTCTCCAAATAATTGAAAAGGAGAGAATATTTCCAAACTCATTTTATAGAGCCAGATTACCCTGACACAAAAACTAGACAAAAACAGTGTAAGACAACTAATACCGTGGCTGACTGCCACTACTACTACTTGAGACCGTCATTACGGGACTGAACGAAAGGACCAAGGTAGAAATGAGAAAAAAGTAACTATTTTAAGAAAAGGCAACATGGGGAGAAAAAGAGAGCTTCCTGCTTCTAGTGAGCAAAGGCCGCCCCTGAACTTCTACAGGTATTTATTGAGTAACAAGAGCAAGGAGGAGGAGGTAACAATTGGCCAGCTGCTTAATTGATCACAGGTTTGTATTGTTACTGACAGATTTCAATTATGGCTAATCATAAGAAACACTTGCGCCTGGGTCCTAACTGCCCTCAGCCTTCCTTCTGGGTGGCATATGAGGTTTGTCAGTTTGCCAATATTCTGCATTTATGAGAAACAGATTGCTGTTTACTCATATAGACTCCAGTGGTATACTGAGTTGATCAAGACCATCATTCTTTCGGGCTCCAACATAATATCTCTTATGAAAACACATAAATATTTTAAACAAAATATTTGCAATCCTAATCTAACAATAAATTAGAAGGATAATACATCACAAGCAACTGGTATTTATAACAAGATTTTGAGACTGTTTTATCATTCAAAAATAAATCAATGTGATTTATTGTATTAACAGACTAAAAAGGAAAAAACAGGTGATAATATCAACAGACACATAAAAAGCTTTTGATAAATTCTACCACGCATTTGTAGTAAACGTTCTCATCAAACTAGTACCAGAAGGAAACTTCCTCAGCTTGATAAAGTGTATCAGAGAGAAGACATACATCTCATTTTTTATGGTGAAAGATCAAACACTTTATTCTCTAAGATCAAGAACAAGACAAACATGCCTGCTGTTATTTCTATTTAGCATTGTAATGGAGGTTCTTGTCAGTAGAAAAAAATACAAGAAATACATATATATATATATCAATCATCTAGATTACAAAACAATAATTAAAACTGCCTTATTTTCAGATTACATAATCATCTACATAAAAATTCCTGTTGAATCTACTTAAAGAAAACCCCACTAGAACTAATACGTGAGTTTAACAATATTGCAAGATTCAAGAGCTATATACAAAGACGAATGATTATCTGTATACTAGAAAGAAACATTCAGAAATGAAATTTAAAATAATATTCACAATAGCATGAAATGTTAAATATTTAGTAATATATCTTATAAAAGATACTATACACTGAAAAAAGTAAAATATTGCCAAGAGAAACTAAGAAGACCTAAAATAGGACAGATATATCACATTCATTTTCAAAAGATTTAATATTATCAAACTGTCAATTATCCTGAACTTGTTTTATAGATTTAATACAATCTACATTATATTTCCAGCGACTATCGGTGGACATTTCCAACCTGATTCTAAAATTCATATGAAAATATAAACGTCTTAAAATAACAAAAACAAAAAAAAAACTGAAAAAGAAGACAAAAGCTGTCTAGACATAACTATCTGCTTACAAGATCTATTATAAAAGTTCAGCAACCAAGAGAATGTAGTATTAGCATTAAGACTGACAAATATAATATATGAGAGAAGATACAAGGGAAAAAAGATTGACAAGTTCATAAATAAAACAGGTTTAGATCCACACATGTGATCAATTGATTTTCAACAAACAATAATCAATTTAATAAATTTCACAAAATGGTGCTGAGACAATTGGATGTTTATATGTATGTAAAAAATAGAAAAAGAATTTTTTTTCATTCAAAATATATCATAACATAGATTTAAATATAAAAATTTCAACTATAAAACTTCTGGAAGAAAACTCAGAAAAAAACCTGAGGAAACTTTGTGACATAGGCAAAAATATTTTAGAAGGAGGAAGTACTTAAAAAGATAGTATCTGAACTTCATCAAAATTTAGAATTACAGCTTTTTGAAATACATTGCTAAGCAAATGGAAAAAAAAAAAATAGATCGAAAGTCCAAAATAGATTGTGATTTGCAAATCACATGTCTGATAGAGGAGTTGTATCCAAAGTATATTTAAAAGCACTCAAAATTCAATAATAAGAAACAAACAACCTGATTAACCCAGAATTATTTCTCTGGCTAAAGATCCTTAATTGCAGCTGAAAAGTTCCTTTTGCCATATAAAGCAATATATTTATAGGTACCAGGGACTAGAACATGAAGATCTTGTGATGCCATTGTTCAGCTGACCACAAGCAATAACTTATAAGGAATTTGTAAAGTCGAACATTTCTTCAGTAATATAATGTGCTAAAAGTCAACCAAGTAGTGCTGTCAATGTTCTAAATGAACCACTTCATGAACCAAGTATTTTATACTTAATCAAAATATCAACAAAATATATGGTTTTAAAAATATTTTGTCAGACAGGTGAGAAGTGGGTATATTTATTTTTTATATACTTGTTTAAAAATGATGTGTTTGAAGAAAAATGTAAAAGACATACAAGAAAGCAGGTAACATAGAAATTCCAAAATATGGACTACGCCAATGGTGTAATAAGGGAACATCCTGTAAAACTGAATATATTCCTAAAATGTAATTGGTACACAGTATAACAGAAAGTCAGAGAGCTAGAGAGGATGGCTTTAGGGAAGAGGTGTGCTTCATCCATAGTTAGTATGCTTGGAGGATGGACGATCTCAGGAATCTAATAGAGGATATTGACCCTAATATCTTAGAATGAGAGCATCAAAACTAATGCCCTGTGTATCAACACAACTAATCAACTTGAGCTATAACTATATAAACATGTATATTTATACACACAAGTAAGAGAATCCATATTCCTTTCAAATGTTTATGTATCTGTCACTAAAATGGTGGACCATCAGCCTATAAAGGAAGTCTCAATAAGTTCAAACTGTTAATATCACACATAATATGTATGAATAAACTTCAAAAAAGTTCATGAAAAAATAGAATTAAAAAATAAAAATATAAAATAAATAAACTGTATTTCTCAATGTAAGTTTCATCAAGTTCTAGACACTTTTATAAGCAATGATATCAGCCATTTAGTTCATTCTTAAAGAACTGAGGGTCCTAGAAATGTAACAATGTCAATACATATTTTTTACATTATTAACTAAAGAAAAGTGGGTGTCTTTAAAAGATTCTTTAAGATTAGGAAACAAAAGGAAGTTAGAAGGAGCCAAAAATCAGCACCATATTGTGGCTGTCTAATGATTTCCCATTGAAACTCTCATAAAATTGCCCTGCTGGTGAAAAGAATGAGCAGAAATATTGCCATGGTGGTGAAAAACCCTCGATAAATCTTTCCTGGGAATTTTTCTGCTACAGCTTTGGCTAACATTCTCAAACCATTCTTATAATATCAGATGTGATTGTTCTTTGGCCCTCCAGAAAGTCAAGAAGCAAAATGCCCTGAATGTCCCCAAAAAACTATTTCCATTACCTTTGCTCTGGCAAGTTCAATTTTGCTTTGACTGGACTACTTCCACCTGTTGGTAACCATTGATTTGGTTGTGGTTTGTCTTCAGGATTGAACCCATAAAGCCATGTTTCATCTTCTGTTGCAACCCTTTGAAGAATCCTTCGGGATCTTGATCCCTCTTTTTGAAAATTTCCATAGAAAACTCTCTCTTGACTGCAGTTGATCTATGTGGAACACTTTTGGAACCGATCAAATGGAAACTTTGCTCAACTTCACTTGTACAGTCAGAATTGTGTAAGCTGAACCAATTTAAAAGTCTATAGTGTTGGCTGTTGTTTCTGCTGTTACTCACTGGTCCTCTTTAATTAGGGAACAAACAAGATTAACTATTTTCTCTTCAATTGACTTGGATGGTCTGCCACTGAAGACTTGTCTTTTCTTCAAACAAGTTATCCACTGTAAATTGCTGATTTCTTCGGGGACATTATCTTTATAAACTTTAATAAGGCATTAGTGATTTCATCATTCTTCCACCCAAGGTACACAATGAATTTGATAGTCTTGCTTCAATTTTAGCAGAATTCATGTTACTCTTTTCAAAGTAATGGCATATTCTTCTTAGATACTACTCAGATATGTCATAACAAGTTAGTATGAGTTTACTTTGGTGCAAAAAAATTTGAAATCTATGCATAGTTTTTTTAATAATATGAATTTTCTAAAAACTTTTTGAAGACTCCTCATATTTTAAACATAATCCTACAGAGTGAAAAGCTAGTAGCTAAAAATAGCTAAACAAATTTCATATGCTGAAGAAATTAAGTAGCATATAATTAAATATTGCATGGTTAAAAATAAAATAATAGAAAAATTCAGAAACACATAGAAATAAATATTAATGTAATACAACCTGTCAAAATTTGTAAAATGCAGCAGAATATTTATTTATTTATTTTTATTTTTGTTTTCGAGATGGAGTCTCGCCCTGTCACCCAGGCTGCAATGCAATGGCGTGATCTCGTCTCACGGCAACCTTTGCCTCCTGGGTTCAAATGATCCTCCTGCTTCAGTCTCTAGAGTAGCTGGGATTACAGGTATGCACCACCATGCCCAGGTATTTTTTGTGTTTTTAGTAGAGATGGGGTTTCACCATGTTGGCCAGGCTGCTCTCGATCTCCTGACTGCGTGATCTGCCCACCTTGACCTCTCAAAGTGCTGGGATTACAGGTGTAAGCCACTGCACCTGGCCAGAACCTTTATATTAAGATTAAAAAAAAAAAAGGGACATGAATCAAAATAGTTAGACATTCAACTCCAATACTGGAAAAATAATAATTATATTAACTCCCACAATGAAAATAATAAAAATAATAAAAAATGTAAAGGCATAAATCAACAAAATAAAAAACAAAAAGTGTGGAAAAACAAAATAAAATGCTACTTTTATGAAAATGTTAGCAAGATAGAAAGAACTTGGAAGTTTTGAAAGACTGCAAGAATGAAAAAGTAGGCCAAAAATACAAATAAAGAAAATACAAAAATAGTGAAATAGTTACACACATGTCAGAGACAAAAATAAGAGGTCTGTTATTAAAATGTGTGTGCCTTTACATTTGAAAACCTAAAAGAAATGCATAAATTCCTAGAATAATATAAAATGTCCAGTTTGATAAAATAATTAGTGAAAACCCTATCAAATAAATAAAAATCTTGGTGAAAACCCTCTCTTAATTCTAAAATTCAGGCACAGCTGACGGCTATCAAATTTTAAGTAACAGATCATTTCTATCTTATATAAATTGTTCTAGGATGTAATAAGAGTAAATTGCCTACCTTACTTGTGAAGTGAATATAATTCCTGTTTACAATATGTAGATAGACTCAGTATAACAAAACATAAAATAAAAACACAGGCTAATTCTATGTATAAAGAAAACAAAAATTATACTAAATAAAAGAACCCTAAAGCACATTAAAATTATATTCCATAATCAAACTTGGTTTATACAAAGATACAAGGATGATCCAATAAATAAAATATAATATAATTTGTCTTTATAGTAGAATAAAATATTTAAAAGTTATATGGTTATCTCAATAAGTGTCAAAGAAGCTTTTGATAAAGTTTCATATCTCCCAGTAGTAAAACACATTGTCAGGATTCAGATCTTAGCTTTGAAATACCATTCTACAATTAATGGAATCAAGAATTCTTTTAGAAAAGGCAGATTCTAAAGCTGAAACAGAGAACATAGAAGATGGGCTAGGAATAGCTTGTTAGCTGGAAAGTTATTTTATTTATGAAAATAAATAAATAAATAAATACTGGGTCGGACATGTCAAAATAACCCAGGAACCAACCTGAAGGAACTCCCAGTGGCTAAATTTCAGTTTGAAGCAATAACAAGCCACAGGAAACGCCTTTGCATTGCATTATAACCCAAAGTATAAATTAATTCTACATGAAACCATGCTGATATAATTAAATGATTAAATTAATGAATGATGAAGAGATGAGTCTTCCTAACAAATGAACTTCAAATGATCTATATTGATATTCCCCTCTCCAGGAAGTGGAACTTCATCCTCCCTATCCCCTTTGGGTGTGGAAAAGGTTTGATGTCTTCTTTCCATAGAACAGAGTGTTAAAAGCAGTGGAGGAGAAGGGAGAGGCTTACTTTTCAGTGGAGAAACCTGGCAACAAAATCTTAAGCAAGTGACGGAGGTTAACATTAGTAGTGATGGCATGTGATTATTATATACTGCCTGATGCGATGTGATGGGAAGGGCACTTCACCTCTGACAGATTCTTTCTAGAAACCCATAACTTCAGTCTAATCATGAAAAAATAAATCAGACAGATCCAAATGGAGGAAAATTCTATAAATTATCTGACGAGTACCTCTCAAAATTGTCAAAGGCATGAAAAACAAAGAATAACATTAAAATTATCACCATCCAGAGGAGACGAAGAAGACACAGCAACTAAATGTAATGTAGCACCTGCTCTGGGTGGTGGAACAGAAAAAGGACATTAGTGGAAAACTGGTGATACTTGAATAAAACTTGGAATTTAGAAACCGTAACGCATAGTGATTCTTAGTTTTGACAAAATGTACCATAATAATTCAGATCATAAATTAAAAGAATATTTGGGAACTCTCTGTACTATCTTTGCAACTTTTGTGTAAACCTAAAGTTATTCCAAATAAAAAGTTTATTTAAAAATAAAGCAAAGCAGCAATAAAATTCATGAGCTGTACTTCTGTGACCTGTATATTTTTCTAACTGTATATTATTTTTCAATTAAGCATCTATTTATAATTTAAAAAGCAATTTTTTCAAAGAGAAATAGTCATGAATGCCTTCATTTGGCGAGGGTTCTATACTGCAAATGAATAGCAAAATATTGAAAGAATATTAGATTTACTCTCTTAAGATCAGGAACAATATAGAGATAATATAATAATATAGAGATAATGCTATTACTACTGTTGTTAAGCATAATAGACTAACCAGAACTCAGCATACAAAATGTGTTTTCTATAATAGCAACATGATTTATCAAGTACTTAACAATTTATTCTAATCAAAAATATATAAAAATTTTGACGGAAAAAATTTAATATTGCAGTATAAAGCAGATAATAAAAATTGATTCCATATGCTTGGGTTAGATGTTTTAATTGTTTTTCTTTTTGAGACAGAGTCTCACTCTGTCACCCAGGCTGGAGTGCAGGGGTGTGATCTCGCCTCACTGCAACCTTCGCCTCGCGGGTTCAAGCAAGTCTCCTGCCTCAGCCTCCCAAGTAGCTGGGACTACAGGTGCACGCCACCACACCCGGCTAATTTTTTTGGTATTTTATTAGAGACGGGGTTTCACCGTGTTGCCCAGGCTGGTCGCGAACTCCTGAGCTCAGTCAATCTGCCTGCCTCAGACTCCAAGATGATTTCATTTTTTAAAGATACTAGTTCTAACATATTATGCATATATTAAAAGCAATACCAGTCAAAAGTTAAATTGAATTTTTAAAAGGAGCTTGATAAATTTATTCTGAAATTTATATGGAAGTATAAACTCAACCTTGAAAAAGTGTGAATTGGGATGGGGAGACTCCCTGTAAGAAATGATGACATTGTCTAATAGGCTGCTATATCAAAAATTTAAAAATGATGACATACTACGGTGATATAGTGATATAAACTAATGTTGAATTAGCACAAAAACAGACAAATAGACTAATGGGGACACAGAACAGAGTTTAGAGACAGACAACTTAAATACGGTGAGTTTGAGAATTTAATGCATAATGAAACTGATGCTTAAATTAGTGAGGAAAATAAAAGATGTTTCTATGCTTTGCAATATAGAGATAAATAAATTTAGATATCCAAAAGACCATTTACAAATGGACCCCCAAATGATTAAAAGTTAAAACTGTTAAATCAGTGGGAGCAGATATAAGAAAACATCTTTATAATCTTGTGGTTAAATATTTACTTAGAAATTCCCAAATCATAAGCTGTAAAATTAAAAATTTGGATTTTTACCGAACAGAAAATACCATTGACAAAGTTTAGAAATGCATAACAAATTGGGAGAAGATATTTTTGATTTCTAAAAATGACAAATATCTAATATCTTGAATATGAAAGATTTCCTGAAAATAAGTAAGAAAAAGACAATAACTACAATCGAGAAATGGGCAGAGGATGCAGGCGCTTTGGAAAAAAGAAGGCCCAAATTCCAGCAGCATATGAAGAAATGCTCAAATTCATTAATAACTAGAGAAATGCAATTGAAATATCACTTTGCATGTATGTACAGATATTAGATTAGACAATGTCAAGTGTGGCCAGAGATGAGGTGATATAAGTGTGTAAGTGTACACAGGCCTAATTGTTCTAGACAGCATTCTGAAAGATGTTCATTGATTGGCCAGTATATGAGCTAGCAGTTTACCATTTAGATATATATTCCAAAGGAATTTTCACATGTTTCAAAAGGGAGCATGTAAACAGATGCTTACCACATTATTGTTGTGTGTAGTAGTGGAAGTCTGGAATGCATCCATGACCTGCAGAGTGACCAGGTCAAACATGGTGGATACACTCCACGGAGAACTCTGCAGTTTGATGCAAGGAACTAGAAATTCACAAAGCAGCAAGAATGCTGGTGACATAAGTAACAGATTGACATCTATAGAAAAGTGTAATATACACAAATTTAAAACTTATATTCATGGCCAGGAACGGTGGCTCACGCCTGTAATCCCAGCGCTTTGGGAGGCCAAGGCGGGCGGATCATGAGGTCAGGAGATCCAGACCATCCTGGCTAACACGGTGAAACCCCGTCTCTAATAAAAATATTAAAAAAAAAAAAATTAGCCGGGCGTGGTGACGGGCGCTTGTAGTCCCAGCTACTTGGGAGGCTGAGGCAGGAGAATGGCGTGAACCTGGGAGGCAAAGCTTGCAGTGAGCCGAGATCGCGCCACTGCACTCCAGCCTGGGCAACAGAGTGAGACTCCATTTCAAAAAAAAAAAAAAAAAAAAAAAATCAACAATGCACTTTTTGCAAGAAAATTTACCAACAACAAAAAAAAAGGTGTACATCATATATTTAAGTGAATGCCCTTAGGGAAAAGAATGGGAGGAGGGAATGCTAATAACAGAGAAAGTAAACTTAAAAATCTATATCTGAGGGAGGAAAAGGTCAGTGAAAAGAGCAGCTTCCTTTAAGAGTTAAGTTATATAGTTAGTAGTCGATCCTTCCCCATTTTACTGCAATACACAACAACGCTTGTGTTACTTTGACTCCCATGGAACGGTGTGATGGTTAATAAGATATCATGCTATGTGTTTACTTCCTTCATCCTTAAATCCTGGAAAACCCCAGACTCACTTCAGGAGTCGTGATGCAGCTCTTCATTAAGCAGTTTAAGAAAGAAGGAACTTTTAATTAGGTGTTTTGATACAAATTCTAACTAATAATGGATTATATAAGCTTTCTGCTCTGCAATAGTTTCTACTACTAAGTGAATCCTTTGAGATTAGCTCTCTCTGATAGCCTAATAAATAAATGTATGTATCAGAGAGGCTGTGTGAGGGAGCATTATTCCTTTTATCCACTGCTCTAATTTGTTTACCCAAATGTGACAACGAGATGAACAGTTTTGCAAAAGCTTGACAAGTGCTGATTTATCTCCCTTTGATATTACTTTATGAACATAACAGGTATTTTCCCTTTTTTCTGTTTGTGAAAGTTAATGAGAACACATGGACACAGGAAGGGGAACATCACACTCTGGGGACTGTGGTGGGATGGGGGGAGGGGGGAGGGATAGCATTAGGAGATATACCTAATGCTAAATGACAAGTTAATGGGTGCAGCACACCAGCATGGCACATGTATACATATGTAACTAACCTGCACATTGTGCACATGTACCCTAAAACTTAAAGTATAATAAAAAAAATTACTAATTAGATTTGCTATTCTGGTTGGATCTGCTGGAATGATCTTTCATATAATGTTTATTACTTTTTATGAAGGAGATATGTGCTTATTATAGAGAACTTGGTGTATATGTATAAGAGATATAACTTGGACAGTCATAAATGAGAGTCGGAAAATGTTTCCTTAATTTTTTCTAATGTATCTAATCTTGTTCCTTAGTAGGCAACATATTCTAATCTACTGAAGGGTATTCATTCTGCCCCAGAAATACTTTTGTCAGCAAAACCTAAATATCCCAATCATAGACAAGTTCAAAATTTAGTCACTTTGGTTTAAGTACCATGCTCTGTCTTCAGAATGTATCTACCCCACTCCCACCCTCATCTCAAATCTTGAATATTCTCTTTGCTTCACTTTCCCTTGTGTGTTGTTAGGTTGGCTTGCCCACCATAGACTTAATCATTTTCTTTCACGGTAAGTGTCATAATCCATATTCCTCTTGTCCCACTACCTGTATGCCATGTCTTTGACTGCTTTTTCCACATTACACATAAATGTGCAAAACCCTGTAGTTGTGTAATAACACTTAATAAGTAGTAAAGTTTTTTCATTACATTCTTCTTTCCAAGACATCCTTATCCATTTATTCTTACACACATATTTTATAATCACTTTGTTAATTTTCAAAATAATCCTGCTTGAATTATTATTGAAATTGCATTATACTTTTAAATTCATTAGAGAGAATTGGCATTTTTACAATATTGTGTTTAAAATTTATTTAGGATACATTTATATCCATCAGAAAAGTTAGTAATGTTTAGATAACTTCCAATTGACTACTTGTTAACTTTTTTCTTAGCTATGTTTTTTTGTGTGCACTTGCAAATATAATTTTATTATATTTTATAATTGGTTATTATAATTTATATAAATTTAATAATTTTTATATATTTTCTGTATTTTTCTACCTAATTATGCTACTTCAACAGTTCTGTTTTCAACAGATATTCTAGCTTTACTGAAAAATAATTGTTATCATCTAAAATTTGTTATTTTTTTCTCTTCAATTATTACCCACTAGTATTTTTCTTGTCATATCTGTTAGAATTTTCAAAAAAAGGAGACAAATAGCTTGATCCTAAATATTAATGTAATTGGCTCTAGAAATTTATAATTACATACACTGTTGGCTGTTAGGTTTAAGTGGTGGTTCTGAAGTCTATTATATTATAGAATTATTAGTGGTATCTGATTTTAATTTCTCCGAAGGCTGCGGAATCTCTGGGGATTTGAGGGGAGCTGTGGGTATATGAAAAGCAAATTCAGGGAATGGAGAATACATACAACAATCCTTTTTTCATTAGAATGAAGCTCTGGTCAAATCTGTGCTTTAGAAACTTTAGTAAACTGCCAAGAGGAAATGTTTGTGTTGGTGACTAAGAGTGGTTTGACAGACAAACAATAAAGACGACTAGACCAACACAAAGCATGCATTGGCTATGGAAAGATAAAATGTAAATATATATTAAAGATTGACTACGGGTCATACATTATAGTAAACAACATAATTGTCATCAAATATTTAAAAGGTAAGTGTTGGTGGTTTTTTCTTACCAATTTCTCCTCTGTTCGTCTGACCTCTCTTTATCTTTTTCACTCTCTGTCTAACACACACACGTACACACACACACGCACACACACTCCTGAGAGAAAGATCCTATTCTTATTTTAGGAAACCAAGTCAAGAACACATACAGTAAGTTGTACAAGTTACCTAGTATTAACACTGGCACTGGGATTAGAGACTTTTTTGTTTTAGTGTAAAATAAGATTCCTGACACTGCACCACATTTGATTTATATGATAACTGAAATACAGCACTATGGATCTATGTAGGAGAAAGAGAAGAATTTCAGCTGAAGAAATTCAAGAACACTTCCTGTGTACAGTTTAGGATGATTTTAACAGTAGATAATAGTGGAAACAAGGGATTTTTCTTTTCCAATCATTTTAATTTTTGCATCCTATTAACATATGTTAGATCAAGGGAACAAGATTGTATTTGAGAAGTCCACATGGCATGTGTAAAATCTGATAAACCTATCCTGATGAGTACCATAGATCTCTGTGACCTAGCTGCCCTTCCCTTATACATTTATATATATATATATACATTTTTACTATACTTTAAGTTCTAGGGTACGTGTGCACAAAGTGCAGGTTTGTTACATATGCATACATGTGCCATGTTGGTGTGCTGCACCCATTAACTTGTCATTTACATTAGGTATATCTCCTAATGCTATCCCTCCCCTCTCCCCCAACCCCACAACAGGCTCCAGTGTGTGATGTTCCCCTTCCTGTGTCCAAGTGTTCTCATTGTTCAATTCCCACCTATAAGTGAGAACATGCGGTGTTTGGTTTTTTTGTCCTTGCGATAGTTTGCTGAGAATGATGGTTTCCAGCTTCATCCATGTCCCTACAAAGGACATGAACTCATCCTTTTTTATGGCTGCATAGTATTCCATGGTGTATATGGGCCACATTTTCTTAATCCAATCTATCATTGTTGGACATTTGGGTTGGTTCCAAGTCTTTGCTGTTGTGAATAGTGCCGCAATAAAACACTTAGGCTGATTTGTTTCAAATGCTGTTACACTCAGTAGTAAACCTGATGTAATTATTTAGCAAATTCAAGACATTTACTGCTGTGAATGTGAGTCTATGGGGGTAAATATATGTATGTGTATGTGTGTATATATATGTATGTATATAGGTATTTACTATTCATAACCTCAGATTGTATAGATATTAGATTATTTCATTATATATGTATAAATTTGTGCATGTATTCACACATTATGTTTGTAGATATAATGTAATATATATTGCCTGGATTCACTGTCAGTTTTAATTATTGAATACCCATTTTAGGTCTAAATAAAATCTTAGAAACAGTCTCTAAGGCCACATGCTAAGCATGTTGCGCCTGTCCCTTTTCTGATGTGTGTGTGTGTGTTGTGTGTGTGGTGTATGTGTGTCAAATGAGTGGAGTGATAATAGAGATTTGTGGAGGAATATAAGCTGCATGAATAGAAAGAAAATATACAGGAATAGAGTTGCATTTCTTTTATTATTTTAGCTTATGGCACAACATATAGATTATTTAATTTTAAATGACAATGGTCAAAAGCAACATGAACTAATATTGGTGCATAGAAAGGGTTTCTTTGGTTATTGGATGGGTATAAAATTTCCCATGTAAACAGTTTAAGGAATGTGGCATTTTATACTTAGAGAATATGAGAACCAGGGAGACGGCATAGCTGTCCTTAAACATTTAAAATGTTGTCATGTAGCAGAGAAAAAAACATGGATTCTGTTTCATCAAGCAAGTAAAAGCCAAATGATAGGAGTTACAGTGGAAAAGAGTTTAAGGCTATAACCTCTTTGTTTTTCTGGAGAAAAAAATTCATCTTAGCAGGCAGTGAGTTTCTTGTTACCAGAGGTATTCAAGTTGAGTTATGACAATAACGTGGATCAATTACAGAGGGGATTCAAGCTCTCAGTGGAGGATGGGATTAAGTAATCCATGTTTTAGTTCATTTTGTGTTGTTGTAACAGAATACCTGAGACTGGATAATTTATAAAGAAAAGAGGTATATTTAGCTCACGGTTCTGTTGTGCAGAAAGTTAAAAATTGGGCAGCTGCATCTGACAGCTTTTGGGGAGTTTCTCATGCTATCTCAAAATGGAAAGGGAGACACCTGTGCAAAAAGAACAAAACACTAGAAGCAACCTCGATATAACAACCAACTCTTAAGGGAATTAACTCATTCCTATGAGAACTAACCAGAGCTGCAAAATAATAATAATAATAATAATAATAATAATAATAAATAAAAGACATTAACCCAACCTAACGACTGAATCACTTTTTAAAGTCTCCTCCTCCAAGTGCTATTGCATTGGAGACCAAGCCTCAACATGAGTTTCCGTGGGGACAAACCATATTCAAACTATAATAATTTGTGATATATTCTGATGCTGCATCTATCATTATATTAAAAATCCACACACAAATCAGTTTCCTATTTTCTTTGATGATAATTTCATTCATGTTCAGCACCAATTCAAACCTCAAGGCTTTTGCAATCAGAACCAATACCCTTTTCAACATTCAACGGTTTTCTCCTTTTTAAAAAAAAAAAAAAAATCCCTTTGGCTAACATAACTTCCTGTTTTGAAGAAGGGAGAAAAAAGCCCAAAGGTACCATACACATCAAAAAGCTCTTGAAATATAACATTTTGATGAGTTAAGAAGTAAAGCAGTAAGAAATAAGTATGGATTAAATGTCTCTTAAAAAAATGGGCATTAAAAATTGATGGAACAGCACCTGGCAAACCTCACTGAGGATTTTGCCAAGCCCCCAGTATTTGAAATATTCTTTGTTACACTTGACAAAGTCAACCCCGCTGAGTGTCTCAAAAGATATTGCCACTATAGGTTGGCAAAGCAACCCATAAATACACAGTCCAAGTTTTCAAACAGTTTCTTTAGTTCAGAAAAAAAATACAGCCAAATTCCTTCTAAGTGAATGAGGGCTTCTGGACATCTTCCAGTTGGGGAAAATAAATTTGGAAAAACACAGCTATTGAAAATAACATCCCTGATATAATTATTGTCCTTCTAATCAATGAAAAACTCATACTTCAATTTTATATAGTGTATTATTGTGTACCTGTTGAGTTTTTATTTTATTGTTGTTTTATCCCAAAGGAATATATTTCTTTATATGTATTACTCTTTCTACAATCACAACATTACTGTCATGACATTAACTTGCTGCCTTCTTGGCTGATTATCTTCTTTTGTCTCTCTTTTCTGGAACCTTATATGCCCTCCTCTCCCCATAAACTGACCACTCTCCTTTAATCCACATTATCTCAGCCTAGAGGTGAACTCACTTTAATCTTTTCCGTTTTCTGTTGCCTGGACCACCAGCACAAGGGTCGGATCCTCAGCAACCACACTATACTAAGAAGTGAATTCTTTTTATTCTGATAAACATTAATATTTCTATGTTTAAGCTACTGTTAATTTGAGTATTGGGTTATACACAGCCAAATTTCCTTCTAATTGACATATCAATGGGAACAGAAGTTAGGCTTCAAATGAGCCCAATTTATCCATCAAACTCATCCCAAGTAACTTCTGCTCCAGAAAACATTAATTGGTCCCCTCAAACAAGTAACATTTTCTTTTCTCTGTTCTCTCATATCATTTCACTCATGTCATTTCATTCAAATGACATTTACAGTAGTGCTGTGATTATTGGATTATTACTATTTGTCTCTTTCCCTTACTTATTCTATGAGAATGGTGTATCCAGAGAACAAAGAAAGTGCCAGAGGGCCTGGAATGCAGCAGGCAATCAATATATGCTGAATTAATTTATGAATAGAAAGTTCCAGGAAGATAGGTAACCAAATGATCCACAAAAAAAATTTGGCAGTAAGTAATGTGGCTCAGAATGCTGGCAAGACAGTGTCAGTGATTAGGACAAGGATCTGTGAGGGAGGACCAGACAGGGGGTTACCAAGGCAGCACCTGAGCAAGGTGTTAATAGAAAGAATTGGACCAGGCATTGAGGCTGACACATGGATGGGCACCTGGTCAGAGAACCAAGTTGTCAGTACATTATGGCAATTGGTGCCAAAGGTTATAGAGGATTGATGCAGCTTAAATTAGGGATTCTTTAATACCTTATAGGGTTAGATATGCACTGTCAAATACAGTAGTACTTAGCCATATGGGGCTATTGAGCACTTGAAATGTGGCTAGTCTATATTGAAATGTGCTGTGAGTAAATTACACAAAAGATTTTTTTTGAAGATATAATACAAAATATAGCTTATTAATAGTTTAATATTGATTACATGTTGAATATATGTGGGTAAGATAATATTAAACTTAATTTTACCTTTTAAAATCTTTTTAATAACATGGCTACTAGAAAATATAAATGTGTACATATGGCTTGTATTTGTGGCTAGAGTTATATTTTTATTGGACAGTACTGTCTTAGATTAAAAATATGTTGGTCTCAGATGAGAGAATGTTGGAATGTTGTTGACACAAAAGAAAAGCATTAAAGATAAGAAGCACCAAAACATTTTCTTAGGATTTTGGTCTCTGCCTGCCCTAACCTCACTCAGTTCACAGCAGCGATAAAATGATAACAAAAGACTACTTCTTTGCTCATTCCCTAAATCGTTAGAAAGTAGCATTTGTCTTTATGTTTCTAAGATTTGGGGTACTTCAGAATGCTTACCTAACTGCTTTTCAGTTTTATTCTACACACATGCTTCATTTGATGTCATATATCCTATGACATCAATTAAAATCCAGATCAGGCTAGATTAATGCTACAAATATGCTTCCATTCCCACTTCTACGTGAAGACAAAAACTCTACTAATCAATTAACACCTTTTTCCCCCACTGTGAAAGAATATGTTTCAAAGTCCTTTTTCAACTCAGCACTCCAAGAATGTTACAATATTTTAGAGTACAAATACAAGAGTAAACCTTTTTGCCACTCCTGAGACATATATTGAATGTTCCCCAATCTGCATCCCGACCTTAGATCTCTTTGCTGAGCTCCGTACACAGAATGCAAAATTAATGTTGAAAGTGAATTCAGTCTTCTTCCTCTCCTTCCAACTCCCTCCTTTTATGTTTCCTCTCTTGCCACCATGAATGGGACCACCTGCTGTATATTTCTCAGGGGAGGGGCCTTGGACTGACCCAGTTCTCCCTCATTTCTCACTTACAGTTCTCAAGAACAACTAGAATGTGCTGGGAATGCAACATCCTGAGATTGAGAGAGACTGTCCTGAAAAGGCTGCACTCTGTTCCAGGGCTCCCCTAGAAACAATGTGTTCTTCTACCCTTGAGCCCAGTGGTCACATTATCCTGGGGCATAAAACCTGGAGAGGAGCTGCTCTTTGAGGTCCCTTAGATAGGTAAGTGAGTTATGTGCAAATGAGATATCATCCACCATGGGCAGCTTTCCTGAGCCCTAGAGGATCAGCTCACAATGAATGCTACACTTTTGTTGTCCCCTGCTATCTATCTGCAAGTAATCAATCTGCTGCATGTAACTTGTGTGTGTGGTTGTCTTGTTTCACCAGACTCAGGTAAGTTGGGAACCGGTGCACAGTGAACCTGCTTCCCACCATATCCTTTCAGTTGTTAATGCACATCTCAACATTAACCTTGACTTGTCTTTTTCCTTCACCCCAACCTGTAATCAATTATAAATTCTTGCCAGATCCACTTTCTAAGTATATACTTAGTTGTTCAAACACTATTGATTGCTACTCAAATTCAGGGTTCTGTGATTGCTTGTGTAGGTTACTGTAGTGAACTCAACTTTTGGTCATTTTCAATTCATCTCCAATTTTAAAGCCAGAGTGATCTTTCTAAAACTCGTTGTTCTAATTTTTGTTCTGGAAAATATTTCCACTGACCTTAAAATAAAGTCCAACTCCATTATAATGCTTATAAGTGTCTCAAGATAACTCTCCATGTTTTTAATCTACCTTCCCATCCTCTTCCAACTCTATGCTTCAGTCAGGGACTTCCAATATTTTGTGCACACCTTAGCTTCCACCTACTAATTCCTCCTCCTATTTTTGATGTACAGTTTATATTTTATAAAACTCTTTGGGGATCTATATGCTCTTCATTACTTCATTCAACAAATATATTTTGAGCATGTATCATCTGCCTGATGCTGGTGAACAATAATACTACTATTCCTATACACACACAACTATTAATCCGTTGGAAAGACAGTCATCAATAATTACACAAATAGCTATCTAAATATTATAATAACTACAAGATAAAATGTAATTATTAAACATTCTTTACATCTACTCACCTTGGAGCAGATGTTTTTTTCTTGGAGGGAAAAAAATCAACACACATACACACATTTGCATGGCCTTCTGTAAATATATAAAGCCAACATCATCAGGCAACCTATTGCATGGAGAAAAAATATAGCTGCATCTTGAGTGTGTGTACACATGTGTGTTGCTAAAATGACCACTGATTTTGGCATACAAAGCTCAAGGGAAGAGATGGAACAATTTTCCTAAGGTACCAAGACACTTATGGGAAAAATATAACTAGAATTCAACTTCTCCTCTTTAGCAGTTAAAATTCAAGAAACTTGTCAGAGTTGACTGAATGAATCTGGCTGATGTTCACTAGCAAAGAAAAGATCTTTTAAGGTAAGTAAGTCACTGTGAGGAAACAATACCAGCTGTTGATCTGGACACTAAGTAAGGACTCAGAACTCAAGAGGCAGAACTAATATGAAAAACATGTACCTGAAACTTGAAGCTTCCAGGTGGTCAGTCTTATATTCATAAAAACTCGGCTTTGGAGGACATGAGTGTAATCTTTTAGCACAAGTATGGGCTAAAAGTCATCTGGATTGAAGGCGCATAACCATAGTCCCTTGTGTAGAAGCTATATTTAACAGAGATACCCGCGGGCAAACAAAAAAGTTATTACTTGGGGATCTCAGTAGTCTCTCCTTTTATGCCCAGCATTTGGAATTACTCTTTTTAACTGAGTAATCCTTCAGGGACTTGGGGAATTCAGGACCAAGCGGTGTCAGGAGACAGATAGGGAACTTGCTACTAAGAAGAGCATGTGAGAAAAATAATTGTGTTATGTTGGTCTTTGTATTCCAAGTTAGCGAAGTATATTACACCAATTGCATTAGGAATTGTGGAAATTTCTGTAAAAGAAAGGTAGAAAGAGTTAAGGTAAGTATAGAGTTTCCTCTAGGAAATGGGAGCCAGAGATGTGCTTGAGCAGCGGATTGTCAAGATTAGACTTGCATGTGAGGTGCAATTCTGTGCGTAGGAAGATGGATTTTAAAAGAATGAAACATTGACTGATAACTAGTGTTGAAAAAAATTAGGGGAGGGTTATTTACGTAGTCACAATGTAGGATGATTTGTAATAGTCTACTCTCCTACCAAGAAAATTACCTTCTGTTCTCTGTAATATCTAATAGATAAGGTAGTCATAGAAAACAAAACAGAATAAAGCAAACAAGCAAGAAAACAAAAACAGAACGGAGTCAAAACAAATCTTGTACAACATATATATGAGAGTCATCCTAGGATTTTTTCTGTAATTCTTCCCTCTGCTCTTATTTACTCTCAAAAAGTAGAGTTATGAAGAAGCTTGCCCACACTTCTCAGATGTAATTGGAGAATGCAAATTTAAAAGCCAATGGAGTTTAAAAAATACCCCAAGATAAATTGTTTCAAGTCTCTTATTTACAAATTAAAAGACTCAAACTTAGGGAGAAAAAGTGGCAAATTGGGAATCACAGCCCAAGTCTTCTGTCTGATTCTCAATAAAACAATCTTGTAAGTTTGTTTTGTTTTGTTTTGTTTGTTTGTTTGGAGATAAGCTATCTGGGACAGAGTGAACCTTTGCAGACCGTGAAAGGAGAAAGTGCTGATCATTTGCTTTCTCCAGGCCAGGCTCCATAAACTGTAATTGGGCAGATCTGGAATGGCTCTCAATTTCTCTGTTGCTACCAAAGGCGTGCAAGGCTACTCTGTTGACACTGATGATCAGAGTACTAGCAGAGGGCAGCAAAGGCACTTCTCTACGCATCTCCTGAGACAAAACTTAGCATGCCTTTCTGGGTACAGGAAAGAAAATCCAGCTCATTAAAAAAAGAAAGTTTCTCTGACATTTCGCTCCCCTCTTTGCACATTTCGCCTCTTGTCTTCATTTCTCAGCCTGACCCTTTCATCTCACCTTTGCCCAGAGGGTCAACATAACTTCACTGGTGACACTGATTTTTCTAACAGCAGCATTTCTAACCCAGTAAAAAGTATCCCCAAAGCACAAAAGGTATCAAATTAAAGTTCTTCTCCAACAACTTCATGTTGTGGCTAATTCACAAAGGCATAAAGTGAAGAAATGTGTTGTTTTGTTTTTGGCTTTTGCAAACAAGTGAATGCTCATCTGCCCTTGTCTTACCTCTTGGCTTTTAGGAATAATCACTTTTAAAATGAGATGTTTCTGAATTAAAAATTTGCATCCATGCATTTGTTCTATAGTCTAATATCTGTCTTCACATTTTTGCCACTGTAATTATCTTTTTGATAACTCTGTATAAGTTCAAGCGCACTCAAGGAGCCAGATCTATGCTTTAATTTATTTACTACGTACTTTAATTTATTCCTTAATTTTATCATGGAAAGTTTCATACCTATCAAAAGTAAAGAATATTATAATTAACCACCATGAACACCTCACCTATGGTAAACTTTTCTTAACTCTTCCCCAATCCTGTTTTATCTATATTACTTTCCTTCCTTCCCCTCATCCTGTATTACTTTAAAGCAAATCCCAGACGTCATATATTTTTTAACTGTAAATATTTCAATATAAATATCTAAAAGGTAAGGAAATAAAAAAATAAAATCATCATCCCACTGTGCTACCTGGAAGAAAAAAATCATTCCTTTCATTATACAAGTCAATTATCTTAAAACATGTTTAAAATTTTAATTATTTAATCAATATTCAAGAATGTGATCGTTGATATTTCTGTATTATCTGTTAATCTATATATTGTTCCCTCACTTTTTCCCTTTATGGAAAATTATTTGTTTCTTAAAAATTCAAATCTTTGGCATGTAGAGTTGCTCACAGTCTGACTTTTTCTGATCACATTTCTCATAGCGTGGCTTCATATTTTCTCTGCCTTCTTCATTTTGTAAAATTGACCAATTTTTTGTTTCCTTGTTTTTTGAGACTGACTCTTGCTCTGTCGCCAGGCTGGAGTGCAGTGGCGCGGTCTTGGGTCACCGCAACCTCCGCCTCCCAGGTTCAAGCTATTCTCCTGCCTCAGCCTCCTGAGTAGCTGAGATTACAGGCGCCCGCCACCATGCCCAGCTAGTTTTTTTTGTATTTTTAGTAGAGACAGGGTTTCACCATGTTGGCCAGGATGGTCTCTATCTCTGATCTCATGATCCTCCTGCCTCAGCCTCCCAAAGTTTTGGGATTACAGGTGTGAGCCACTGTGCCTGGCCAAAACTGACCAATTTTTGATCGGGACAGTTAATTAGATTCAGGTTTGATTGTTTTGAAAATGAGACTTGTAGGTGGTGTCATGTACCTCCATCATGAAGCACATAATACTTGGCTGTCTTTCTTTCTACTACTGAACTTTCTTCCGCAAAATTGATTTTGTCGAAGACCTAGATAATTTAAAATTATATTAACATTAAATGTTCTTGTGGAAAATTCTTAACTGTTCCTTGTACATAATGACTTATATTTATATTACTAAAAAAGCTGTCTTCTTCTTTTTTTTTTTTTTTTTTCAAGACAGTCTTGCTCTGTCTCCCAGGCTGGAGTGCAGTGGTGCGATCTTGGCTCACTGCAATCTCTGTCTCCCTTGTTCAAGCAATTCTTCTGCCTCAGCCTCTTGAGTAGCTGGGATTACTGGCACCCCCATCATGCCAGGCTAATTTTTGTATTTTTAGTAGAGATGGGGTTTCACCATGTTTGCCAGGCTAGCCTCGAACTCCTGATCTCAGGTGATCCACCTGCCTCAGCCTCCCAAAGTGCTGGGATTACCAGCGTGAGCCACTGCACCAGGCCAAAAACTGTCTCCTTTATAACAATCAAAGAGATATAAATGAAGGAGAATAGACAGGGAAAACTGATAAGAAGGCAGTGAAGTAAGTGTCTTCAAGAAATGATTTTAAAAAATAAATATGCAACTGTAAAAGGTATAAATAACTCTGGGGTTGGCATTGGAAGTACATTTATGGACAATGCTCACTGACCTAATCATAGCTCAGCTCATACTTGAATCACACCCAAAGAAAAATGGCTGTGTTGATGTTGAAGATGCAAATTTCCAATTATGGATAATTTTGGGTTCCTGGAAAAATCTATTAATGTACATATTTTTGAAGTACACATATGGACAAAGTATACAAATTATATCCAGCTTGAGGAATTTTCTCAATTTGAATATGTTATGTAACCAGTACCCAAACCAAAAACCAGAATGTAATCAATAATCAAAGTGATTCCTTATGCCTGTTCCAGTCACTATTTTTGTTTCAAGGGTAATCATTATTCTGACTGTTAACACATTAGTTTTGCTTGTTTCTAAGCTTTATATGAATGGAATTATACAATATATGTTTTGTGTGTATGGCTTCTTTTGTTCAACATTTTGTCCACTAAAAATATTTATGAGGTTATATAGAGTTCTCTAGTATATATACATATATACTATGTTGTATAATTATACCACAGTTTATTTCTCCATTCTACTATTGATGTGTAATTGAGTTGTTTCTAGTTTTTCACTATTATAAATAAGACTGTTATAAACAATCTTTTATTTGCCATTTGGAGAACATACTCGTAGATTTTTTTTAATATATGCCCTGGAGTAAAATGTATGGCCTGCATGCATAAGTCAGTTTTACTAGATATTGCCTGAGTTTTCCAAAGCAGTTGTACCAGTTTACACTTTCACCAGCAGCACATGAAAGTGCCAGTTGATTGACATCTTTGCCTATATTTGATAGTTCAATTTTACACTCTAGGCAATCTGACACATTTTAGTGGTATCACAGTACAGTTTTATTTTTCTTTTATCTAATTTCCAATGAAGTTAAACCCTTATTTTTATTTCCAATGAAGTTAAACCCTTATTTATTGAAATATCCCCTTTGTGAGTAGCTTGTTCAAGTCTAATGCCCATTTTTCTGTTGGGTTGTCTTCTGTTCTTATTGCTTTCCTAAGGCCTTGTGTTTATGTTTGGAATTACTTACTGTAAAATTTGAGGGTAAAGAAATATAAGGTGTTACAAGAAAAAATAAAGAGGTAACTTCTATAAATTTCGTCAGTTTTTACACAGCCAATTATAGTTATGCACATTAGCTACCATTCTAAAATTTTCCTAAAACATTGTTCCTCAGTGACAAAAAGAGTTTTACTTAATTCTACATGCATAACTAAACTTTTTTGTATATAATTTTCTTACTAGCAGTTTAATGATTCTACTTTCCTTCTAGTCACTCTTGGACAGAAAGTGACCATCAGAGGCTGGGAATACTTCTTAACCCTCAGTATCACTTTTTATGTTGTTGTTATTCATTTGCATCTTCAGTTAAACATTAGAGATCCTAGTTAGGTCTGGTGCATAAAATTAGTTGATTACTAATTCAGAACTACAAATTACATAAAAATCATTGATTTACTGTATTAAGCAAATTTATGGAACTTTATGCTCTGGTATATAAAAGTAATCAGACAAAAAATCAGAGAAAAGGAGAATTATATAGGCTGCAATGACAAGGTAGTTGTGTGCTTGAACCATTCATTTCGCTTTCCTGGACCAATGCCTTTGTATTAAAAATAATGATTCTCTTCCTTCATAGTTTGAAAATGAGTTAATATATCATATAGAAAAATATTTTAATGAAAGTGGCATTACATTTTTAGGTGGCATTGTTAATCTGACAAATAATTTGTAGGTTTACTGAATGCTGCAACTAGAATATACATTAGCAGTAGACTATTTTAAAGATGAGTAAATTAAAGTTTAAATTAAATCAGTCATCCAAAGTCTTATTGCTAGTTTCTGAATTGAAAACCTTGTCTTTTTTTTTTTTTACCTGTAATTTACAAATGTTGAATTGCAACTACGTCCCCACAACCTAAAGCACGACTTGAAACTATTTGTTATTCCCTACTACAATTTGTAAACAGAAAACTGAAGGGAAAAAACATAGTTAAAAATATTTAAGTTGGTAAAGCTTCCGTTTTGTGGAAAATATGAACCATTTAAATATCAACCAACAAAATTATAAATAAAATACAGTTATTTTATTCATTACTCCAGGTCCAAGAAAGAAAAATATTATTGAGAGGAAAAATAAGAAAAGACCAAGAGAGAAAGAGTTTTCTCTTTATTTGCTTGAGTGTCCAGAAGTTATTTCCATAACATAAGAACATTGAGTTGTATAAGATCTGGGAGGTTCTCCAATCTATTACTTCTATTTTATGGATGAGGCAAGCAAGGCACTGAAAAATAAAGATATGTTTCTGAATCATACCTTTAAGGGAGGAGCCCTGAAACTTCCTAAATTGTAGCCAGTGTTCTTCTTTGTGAGGAAGAGACATTGAGTTAGAGAGCTGAAAGAGGAAAACCCTGCTTTGGAATACACTGGAGTGAGACTAGTATCTGTGAGGCAGCACTACAGTCATCATGGTACCAACTTCTGAGATACCATGAAGTGCCTGATTATATGATTCAACAGTTAAATTCTTAGGAAACACGATATGAAAGACACCGAAACAATTTAGTAATTAATTGAGGCATAGAAGTCAAAAAATAAAAGACTAAAGTTTTGTTCCACTTTTAGAGGTAGGACACATGAAAGCAAACGACACCAATGACTGATGAAAAGATTAGCACAAGTGGGAATAACCCAATGATTTAGTTAGCAAGGAAAAATTAGATCAAGTGATAATTAACTCAGTGAATCAATACAAGTAAAAAGATAAAAGAAGAATCATAATTTTTCTAAAAACTCAGAATGAATCTTCTCAACAATATGATACATAATACCAATGTGGAACTGTAAAGAGTTTGATAAAAAAATAATTAATAGCTACAGAGTAATAGCAACAGTGGCAAGAATAGTTAAGACAGAGAGAGTTTTATTTAACAGAAAAATAATTTATATAAATATTGTGAATTCTGGAGAACTGTTACCAGCAGAATACATACTGAGGCTTCCATCTCTCAAAATGACCCCCATGGCCATCAGCAAAGCTGAAAAAGGACAAGGTAAATAGGGACAACGTTGAAAATGTCTATGTTCATCCACAGTAATCCCTAAGTGAGAAAGAGGAATTACATGGGAACTGATCATGTGATACATATGTTCCCATCAATAGCATGCAGAACTATTTTGTTATTTACATATGTGTTTATTTGACTTTTAAGTAGCTAGAATATTGCCTTAGTTTTTTGTATGTTTGTTTTTGACTTTGCTTTTTGGTCCAGCCCCTTCGGTTTACGTTTCTGAGTTAAAATGTTCCATTCAAAATTTGATGAAGTTATCATATATTGGCTATCTGTGTGTCTGCCGAGACACAAATTATGTGAATGCTGGCTCTAAAATTAATATCCAAAATGGTGAGCTGTTTTCAATATTACAAAGTAGTTACCCCCAGCCCTTCTCCCTAAAACATAGCTCTCAATGGGTGAGCCAAGTCTCATATTAGTAAATTACAATCATCTCTTAATGGGATATAAATCTTTTGGTTTTGAAATACCATTTTAAAGTTGTCATTAAAGCATGATAGATTACCAGTTCTTAAGACATTTAATGACTCAGTATGAAATTGACCCAGTTGCCAGTTTGATAAGGGAGCAACCTATTTATAACTCCTTAATGAACATTAAATGTCTTTCTGGAGTGATGAAGTATGGTTTAGTAATACAAGAGGTCTGAACATGGCAAAGGAAACTGGACATTCCTGTAAGGTTCACCCTCTCTTCTGGGCCCCCACAGCCCACCGTATGTGCCACAAGAGGGGCCAAGTGCCTTGGCTGTCTCTGCTGGGAAGCTTAGCATATTCCAGAGAACCAGTTAAGTAACCCTAATTTTAATTAAGTTACACCAGACTTCCATCACCAGAATTTGAAACCTAGGCAATATTTTAAAATATTTTATTTCTCTTACCACTGTATCCAATAAGCCATTAAGTGCCATTCATGCTACTGCCATAATGTCACTCCTTTTTTTCCTTTTCTTTTAATTACCACCACCCCTGTCACAATGCAGGCATTTAGCTCTTCCTTATACAATTACTGCAATCTTCCTTCTAACTGATCTATGTCATTCATGCCTCTCCCATGTCCCATTAGTTTTAAATAAAGCAGAATGGTAAATGTAACATGTGATATTGATGAATTAATCCTCTTTTAAAGGCTTAACATTAACTCTCCATTGTCTGAACAGTAAAATTTAATATCTTGAGGTGACTGACTCTATACTTATCTAGCCTTATTTTTCTTCATTCCTCACTTACTCCAAGATCCAGGCCAGTTTTTCTAACTTTTTGTTGTTGCTGCTTAAACATGCATGAGAAATAGGCAACTCCCATTTATAATGGCGGCTCACCAAGGTAATGATACACTAACAGAGAGGGGAAGGGCAAATAAGATCAGATCACAAATTCCAGAAAGGTGTATCCTGTCTATTTATCTTGCAGGTCCCTTTTTTCTTTTCCTCCTACCCTTCTCACTTTCTTCAAGATTTCTCTATTCCTTCAGCCTATAATGACAATCCCTCTACTTTTATTCAGCCAAATTGAGACTTACCTTAAATTTCTTATTAAATGACAAAATAGAAAATCTCAAATTAAAATAACAAAAATGTAATTTTTCAAATTGTGTTATAAATAATATTATTAAAAATTTTAGTAGAGACTACTTTGATAGAGACAAACTAGATTTTGTTCATCAAAATCTGTTCTCTATTTTGGGACCCATCTGGGTGCCATTTCCCAGCTTTTCTAGCAATTAGGCTTAACCAGGTCTCTCACAAAGAATGTAAACAGATAATGCTATGTGCTACTTCCAGATCTATAAAACCTTTCAATGAATTCCTCTCTGTGTGCTTTTTCTGTGCTCTTTCTCCTCTGCCAGTTAAAAGAGGAAGACGACAATGGCAGAATTAGCAGATGGAAAGAGCTTGGAGTGGTGGTGGGGGTTCTTTAATAGGGTTTTCAGAGAAACAAATAAGTAAGATTTGACAATATACACACACACAAACATACACACACATATGTAGTATGTATATATAAACACAAAAAATAAAAAAAAGAAATTTATTTCAAGGAATTTATTTATGCAATCGTAGAGGCTAGTGTGCCTGAACTTTGTAGGGCAGGCCAGCAGGCTGAAACCTGAGGCCAGAGCAGATGCTGTAGTCTTGAGGCAGAATTTCTTCTTCCTCAGAGAAGTCTCAATTCTGCCCTGATTGTCTTTAACTGATTGGGTGAAGCCTGCCCACATAGTGGAGGATAAACTTCTTTCTTTAGTCAATTGATTGCAAACGTTAGTCATATGTACAAAGTATCTTCATAGCAGCACCTTGATTAATGCTTGGTTGTATAACCGGGCACCATAGCCCAGCCAAACCGATGCATAAAACTGCCCATCACAGGGTCTGTACATGACAGTGGAAGTGAGCTCCTTTAGCAATCTGGCACCTACACAGAAATGTTATGTAAGCATGAACTAAAAGTTTATTGTTTTAAGCCACTGGAATTTTGAGAGTTGTTACCTTAACCAAACCTATCCCAAATAACATGCAAAATATTGCTAGATAGAGATCTTTCCAGTCCTGCTTCAAAGAACAGATAAAAGTAGCTTGTAATTAAGCATTGCATGTTGATATGCTAGTAAATTTTACTCTGAGGTTCAAGTTGGTTTATTATCTTTAGCAAGTTAATCATTTGCTAAAGTGTGGATGATGCTTTAATTTGCCCAAGATGAACACATTTTTCACGGTACTATTTAAAGGTGAACATTCATCAAGCTTCATTTTGGATTATCACCTCTTTGAAATTAGTGGAGTGAATTTTACTGAGGTTTTAAAAATGTTGTGATTTTGGATTAAATGTTTCCAGAAGGGAGATAGCTATTAGCTTGGCTAAACTTGATGTAGTTCTCAAGCAGTTATAGGGGCAAAGATGCAGCGGTCACATGATTTTAGGATGTAAACCTCAAAATTGCAAAGGCAATTGCTTGCTTGATTTGGTTGATATTCAGCCAAAATCTATGAGCTCATATTCACTGGTATTAACTGTATTTACTACTACCAGGATGAAATTCAAATCATTCAATGTGTAGCCCTAATAATAATCCTATTTGACTAGGGGCTGCTTCTTCAACATTATTTCCACTTAATTTATAATCAAGATGTTCAATTAATAATTTCAGTGCTTTACGCAGTGTTAAGTCAGCTGAAAAATATGTGATTTTTCCACTTTTCATTTTTTCACAATGCTGAGGAATGCATAATAACCTGACAAAATGGAGATGCCAAGGAAAGCAATGATTACTAACAGACTAATGAGAAAAGGAAAGGATTTTAAGAGAAAAGCTGAAAAGCTGATGGAGTTCTGTAAAAATGTGAAGGCACAAAACTATTGCAAAAATAAGGCAGCCATGTCTACAACACTGTTTTAGTTATTAAACATTCCTTTGGAAAGGAAAATTGATTTAGAAAGAGGATAAATTGTCACTTCTTTGGATGTCTTTTACATGGAATCTGCTAGGGATCTGCTGAAATTGCTTGGATTTGCTAATTTTTATTTTGAATATTATTTCTTTCTCCATTCCCCATCTCTAGTGTTATTTTCTATACTTTTAAGCTAATCAATTGAAAAATACTAACTAGGTTAGTTCAATTCTTCATTAATTTGACTAATAGTTATGTAAAACTTTTCTTTCAGTGCTAAAAGGATGAAAAAAGATATAGTGAGTCATGCAATAATAATTACCATTTATTGAGTCACCATGATAGGTGCTTTACATGCATTATTTTATTGAATTCTCACAATCTTATGAGGTAGCTACACACAAAATTCTATAAAAGAGGAGATTCAGAAAAGTTAAATTCAAGCTGCATTTTAAATCTAAGTAGATTGGAGAACTTACTTTGTAAATGGAGATAACAGCTGTTACTGGGAACTGTGACTAGTTTAGTTTGACTCCAGGTACAAGCAGCGTAGATTTGTGAAAGGAAAACCTAGAAAAGAACTTGAGAGCTGTATTCCACATATGCTTCTACAATAAACCCATACACATAAGCATTTGGCTCAAAAAAAGAAAAAAAGTACAATGACCACGTTGTAGGTATTTTAACTACTGAATCATTTGAGCCAAAGTGATATACAGTTGACACTTTAGCATTTAAGGGAGAGTGAATAAAATAGGACTTATTTAAATATTCACCATTTATATCATATTGGGAATATTTCCCCACTTAGCTAGTATAACTGCTCAGGGTCCTTGCGTGAATGAAACCTAGCACAGTGAGGCAACTCCCTTGAGGGAAACATTCACATCATGGCGGGCCTCAATGAAGCACTATTTATGGGTGGGCACCTGGAGCCGGAGTAGGTGTTGGAGGGGTCTGGAGGGTGCTACACTGAGGGTGTTGGGCACATGGGAGAGGGGTGATTATTACAGGATAAAAGTCACTGGAAAAAAGAAGCATGGCATAACAAATTTACCCAGTCACAATTTACCCATCCAGGCTTTGTTCTGTTTTCTTGTATACATCAAGGTCTGTATGAGAAGGAGGCCCCACTTAAAAAAGAGGACTAAATTAGGAACCGTATGTTTGATACTTCACAGCTCAGTTCTAGCCTCACCTAGGAGATTCAGAAATGATTTTATTTTTCCCGATCTAAGCTTAGAGCAGTGTTACATTAAATAAACTGCTTCCGAGGAACAGCCGCTACTTGAACAATAACAAGCTTAACAGGAAAATAAGAGAATTAGACATGATCATCAGAGTGAAAGTTTTCTTTTTCTTCTTTCTTCTTCTTCTTTTTTATTTAGTTTTTCTTTTTTTATTTTTTTCCTAGAGGGAGAATTGTTAGAACTCTATCGTTCAGAGAAGTGATGTATCCAGGTAGAGAGAAGAATATTTTGGAGGGCATTTAGCAAAACTCTCCATTTATTTTCACAATGAAAAAAAACTTTATATTTATAAATGAGGGAACTGAAGCTCAGGGAAGTTTAGTTATGTGTCTAAGGTGACAGAAAATTAGTAACAGTTATTTTCAAACAAATACCCCACTATGCCACACTGCCTCTAAAATAAGTCTAGGAAGATAATTTTTTTTTCTAAAGATACGAGACCAATATGATGATTCTACATTAAAGATATGAAATTTTCTGTCGATGCAGCATCAACCTTGTACATGATAGGCTCTTACTGATGAAACAGGAAATTCATGATGGAAATTAATTCCCTTGATATCTAAGAAGCCAGAAACTCCTTGAAAGGTAAAACAAGAGATAACGCTGACTCTGTTGAATATATTCCAATGCCTATTGTACTGAAATAAGTTTAAACCTTTGACTGGACAAGGGATTTTATGGTTTTTCTTTATTAAAAGAAAATATTAAAAAGAAAATATTTTTTAATAGACATCTTCAGAGGTGGAAATTACTGTTTATGTAAATTTAGTTGAACTATTTAGAATTTGTTACTGAAGGGTAGTCTTCACCATTTCCAAGGTTAGGCGAAAACAAAATATTTTTCCTCAAATATTAATAATTTATAGTTTGCAACAGACTGCCCAGAAAGACTTAGGTACATATAAGGTACAATTTGAGGGGTGCCAAATGTTTGCAGTGTTCTCATATCTCTTCCATACCAATGTCACCAATGCTTGAGATTAAATCTCTGTACATTTCCACTTTGGATCTCAGTGTTTAGTCTTCCTGAGTTCATTTTTGAAATGCAAATACCTTCTATGAGTTAATACTTTGAGCTCTTATCAGTGAAAAAAATCCCCTGGAATTACTTATGAGTGAGCTGGGAGCATGGGAGCACATAGCCACCTAAGAGTAAAAAAAAAGAAAAAAAAGGAAAGAAGAACAGCAAAGGTAGGAAGGAATATAGTGAAAGCTGGGAGCTAGGGCTATCAAAAGTAAACCTTTAGGGCAGCATAATTTTGCCTGAAGCTCATTCTGACCTCAGAAAGGTCAATAGAGGTTGGTAGGTGTATCGGAGGGTTACAATGTGTTCACAATTGTTCTAAGTAACACTGAACATCAGAAGTGCTTTAAATTAACTTTTTCCCCTACAAAATATTTGATAATTGCTTATGTGATAAATGCCTTGATGTACTGAAGAATTATTCAAAATCTTTTTGCATTTAGAATAATGACTTTCAAAGTACTTCCCATCTTGTGTCAGTCAAATACACGTTGTTCATCACTGTAGGGGTATTAAGTATTGAATATGTAAAATCATAGGAAAGTGGCGACACTTTGAAATTTAAGAAATCCAGTCTTAGTATCTAATGACTAAGGCAGAAGGATAGATGTCTTGAATTTCAAGTGAGATTCTGTATCTTTCTTAGTGTGTGTGCGTGTGTGTATATATACACACACGCACACACATATATGTATGTATATATATCCATGATGACTTTTGAGAGCTCCAGAAAAGTAGAAGCATGTCAAGGCAAGCAGAATGATTAATGAGGCTCTCACGTTTTGCTGTATGCTCCATTGCACTCTGATGTCTGGCTTTTGCCCTATCACTCTAATGATGCTGCTCTTACAAAGATCACTGATGACTTCTTAGTCACCAAATAGCTGTCACCTGATACTGCTTTTGTCTCAGGCATTTATAGCCCCAATTACCTTACACTTCTGTAAACTCTCTTCTTGGCTCTAATGGCAGAAATGTATTCTGAGATACTTTCATTTCTGTTGCTTCCTGTTTCATCTCCTCTTCCCCTTTCTGACTTTTACATATGACTTTGTTCACAACATCTTGGTCCTGAGTCTTCCACTCTTATGAAAAATCATAAAGTCTTAATATTATATTTTAGCTTAGGAAGATATTATTTTATAAATGCCACTGAGGTCAGAAAGAAGTGACTTTTTGAAAGTGATAGAAGGATAATTTTCAATTGGCCAGGTACCACCCAAACTCATCATTTCGACCACTGCACTTATAATGACAGGTAATTCCAAAACCCTCTCTTCTCACAGGACCTCCTTTCCAACCACATCCATACAGTTTCCACCTCAGAAGTCCTAAAACAATCTTAAAATTAAGATATTCTGAAATTTATTTTCTTACCCCAATCTTCCTTCAAAATTCACAATTTCAGTTAATATAAGTCTTTTCATAATTCTCAATCAGACTCAGCCACTGGAATTTCTTTTGTTTTGCACATGTATAATAGTTACTGAATTAATTCAATACTTGATTCATAAGGTCTTTTGCAGCAGTATTTTCCACATTGGCAGAATACTGGTTCCAGCCCTTCTATTATTGTGTCTAGATCAATTCTGAGACAAATATTTCTTGGGTATCTAAAACTTATGATCGTAGTTCTAACTGTTATGGGAAATTAACTGCTCTATAGACACAGATCCCACCCTCTAGGGAGCTTATAGTCTAATCAACTGTGATGGGTATTTGACTGCCCTTTCTGCCTACTCTTCTCTCTAATATATGTTGCCTAGTAATTATTGTTTATTTGATCAACACACCATTTGAATTATGCTTTAAACACCTTCAATATTTATCTGCTTTAGAAAGATTAATGTCTATTTATTTGGGTTTTGAAGACTTCTACAGTTTCTTCCCAACATACTTCTCTAATCTTGTCACTTCTTTTTCTTTCTATAACATTTGCCTTGTCATTAGACTTTGCTATTCCTTGTCCCTCATTTGTGCTGCATGGAATTTTTTCTCCAAAATTATGGCTAGTAGTTCACCTTTGCTGTCCTATATCTAAAACTCATGGCTTTTCCATGGAGCCCCACCTCACTCCTTTGTACCACCTTGAACTTTTTCCCAGTTAGTCTTCCTTGCCCAGTCCCCATGCCTGACCACCAACACTGAGACCTCTTTTTTGTTATTTCTTTAACAAGCCACCATTTAAAACAAGCTTGTCCAATCCAGAGCCCATGGGCCACATGTGGCCCAGGATGGCTTTGAATGTGGCCCAACACAAATTCATAAACTTTCTTAAAAATTATAAATTTTTTGTGATTTTTTTAAAGCTCATCAGATATCCTTTGTGTTAGTGTGTGGCCCAAAACAATTTTATGTGTGGCCCAAAACAATTCTTTCATTGTGGCTTAGGGAAGCCAAAAGTTTGGACACCCTGATTTTATAAATCTATATGTTTTAATTATTTACCTCATTTATGTTATATCTTCCTGTTAGGATGTGAGCTCTAGAAGGGTAGGGCAAGGATTTCTTTCCATTTTGCTCACTGCTAATCATCTATGCCTGGAATGGCTTTTATCACATACCAGATATTCAATAAATTATTTTAGAATAAATAAATGGATGAATTAATTCAATCTTTCAGATCTTTGATTTTATAATCTGAAAAATGAAGACAATAATTAGAAACCAAATTATTTTTGCAAAGAACACAAAATCTAAAGAGATTTACCCATAAAAGATATTATCTCATTTATTAATTTTACTTGTTATATATGTAATGTAGGGATACCTTCACTGTGGAATTAATCACCTATCATTAAATTAAAATGGACTCTAATTCACCAAAATTTATTACCTAGTACCTTGTCTATAGAATCTGAAAGAGAAAATACTAGGAATAAAATATCTCTTAAATTAGAGGATCAAGGGTTGCCTTAGATTAGGAAGTTTCAATTTGTGTGTGTGTGTGTGTTTGTTTCTTTTTTTTTCCAGAATTGACCCCCTAAGGAGACTGTCTAGTGTTTCTTTCTATTGGCCTCTCTCATGAAATTTTAATATCACAGGTATACTATATGACTGTTTTTGTTTTGCAGCCCTTTGATGGCCACTAACTATTGTGATGTCTAAGAATTTTTTCTGGCTCCCTCTCCCCCACAAAATAATTTTTGCTGCTTGGGAAAGATATTACTTATACTGAGAATGTATGTCTTATTTAGTACAACAAATAGATTAACAAAGTCTCTGTTTGGCCTATGTATTTAGCCCAGATTAGAATGCGTGGGCTTTTACTGGCATGAACACCTTTTAAAAGCAAGACAAGGGGTAATTTTAAAAATAGAGCTTCAATGCCTAAGTAACAAAGCAAACAGGCCCTTTAATTTGGCTACTTTTCTATTTTAATATTTTTAAAATAAATAAACTAGCATAAGTCAGCTCCTGTGTTTATCAATGACTCCATGCTGTTGCCCAGTGTATCTCATACTTGAGTGAGACTCATAATCACATAGACATCTTGTGAACAAACAGATTTTTGGGCTGCACTCCCTGAGTTCTTGATTTGCTAGGTCTAAATTGGGGCCCAAAAACTTGAATTTTTCACAGGTTTCCAACTGATGCTGAGGCTACTTAAATCACACTTTGAGAACCGGTGCTGTACTTAATGGTGACCAGAAAAAAAAAAGTTACTAAATATTATGTTTAGAACGTTCTCCTGTTACAACAACTAAGCTATTTTTCAGGATTCAAATGGATTACTGAAAGTCATGACCAGATCTCTTCCTTGAAGACATTCAACCATTATGCTAATGATTACACAGTGCGTATACCAGATCAGAGGTCAGAATGGAGTCTGGTGCCTCCCAGCTCAGTGACTTCATAAATAAAAGACTGCCTTCTGGTGGAATCTCAGGCCAAGAAGTTATTTCTGGAGATCTTGCGTTTTTATTTCAAAGATAGCAACTTCTTTTGTACATGTAATTGCTATTCTGTTTCCCTTTACTTCCTAACGTGAACTAATTATTATCTCTCAAACAAGATTTAGAGGAGTCTGTGTAAAGAAATGTAAAGTTTCATGATTTCTTCTAAACCAGGATTCTAACTGCTTTGTTGTTTGAATCCTAGAAATGCAAACAAATGATTATAGATCAAAGTTGTTTGATTAACCTTGATATAGCCACAAAGAAACTAGAAAAGAAAATGAATTTTAAGGTGAGAGATGTAGAGAAACACATAAAGTGAGTCACACACTTTTTTGTTTTGTTTTGTTTTGTTTCCAGTTGGATTCTATCTGTGCTGAATGGGGCAAAGTCCACACTAAATTTGCCTACTCTAGATGAATTCAGTCAGTTGGAGGGTGAGTGCATGATATCATGATATAAATACAATTTTTTTCAGGGTGGAACCCAAAAGAGAGGTGGATTAGTCTTGAAGTTAAAATAGAAATATTTTCAAAGTCCAAACACATTTCCAAAGAATACAAAAAAAAAAATCAGTTCCTATTTGATACTTAACGAGTGCTGTACAACTCAGTGTATCTCAAACTGTGCCTTTGTGTCTAAAACAGCCATGCTACAAATTAGCACTGACTTGCCTTTATTAGGCACAGGGGTACTTAGCTCAGACTAGAATGCATGGTCTTTTACCTGCATGAACACCTTTAAGAAGCAAGACAAAGTGAAATTTTTAAAATAGAGCTTCAAAGCCTAAATAACAAAGCAAACAGAAAGCCCATTTGATTTGGCCACTTCTCTATCTTAAGGATCATGCTATTGATCCATTGCACGTAGATTATCTCTGATGCACTACTACTCATTGTCTGAGATAATCTTGTATTGCTTGCACTCCACTCCACCTGGCTTCTTGGATAAGAATGGCCAGGAAATGAGGGAGGCTGTGGCAAAGCCCTGGATAAAAACAGACACTGCTCTTTGTTTCTCATACCTCACTGTCTTCTCAGCTTTTCCTCCCTCTGCCTTTCATTTCTATGTTTGCCAAAGAAAAGCATTAATAGAGTAGAAGTTTTAGATCTGAAGCTGTTTTCACTGGCATTGATATTTTTTTCCAACCTATTCTCAGCTAAGTGGCAGGTCACTGGGAGACTGTCTATATGCTAAGTTGCTCTTTTGCTAAAGGCTTTTCTTGGTGGGGAGGGGGAGGATTATTATTTTTCCACTGCTGAAAAGCAGACATTTTATGTGTCCTTATTTTAGAAACCCTTTAAAGCTGTCTATTCCCATCTTGAGATTGAACAACAATTTAAAACGACCAGAAAGATGAGTCACATTCTGAATGTATAGAGCAAGTGTGCTTCATTGTATGCACCAATCTTTAGGCTATTTCCAATCTGGCCCTTCTTGTGCCTAGAATGGGCATCACTTCACAGCATGTTTAGGAGGAAGATTTATTATTACTTTTAATACATTTTACTAATCTTTAGCATGTTAATACCATATCATTCTATCTGATGTGTCGTTAGGCAATCTCATCAGTAAACCCTGCATCTCCTTAGTACTACAGTTTTTGCATGTCTTAAGTAAGCATTTAGCTATGTGAGCAAATACACACAATTATGTTCACATTTTACAGCAATTTCAACACCTACAGAAGCTAAAAATTGGAGATTTTTTTTATGCCCAATTACTCATTGTTCAGGAAGCAAACATGACAAGACCTGCTGGCCCTCTTGGGGATTGTCTGGAACATTCCTCTATATGGAAGCTTGGTGCCCAGCTATCATATAGCTCCAGATTATTTTTCCTTATTAGGAGAAAACTTTCTCCTGCCCTGGGAAGGTCTTGAACTTCCATGTTGTTCTTAAGCATGTAAGTCACATGGCATCTGGCCAGCCTCACTGGTATATCTGTCCCCTTAAGAAGAAATGGGGTCGTTTGCCTACAGCACAAGAAGCATGCAAGAAGTCCATCGCTTTGTGCTGGTTATCAGCAGGGACCTGTTAGCCATGGGAAACTGGTGCAACTACAGATTCTGATCTTGCTGAAATCTTTTTGTGTGTGAGTAAAGCATTTTTCAGACCAATGCCTTGTGGATTGTCTTCCTTGGCGACTGTGAACCTGCAGCATATGCAGCAGACTGAGGTCTCTGGGGTCTTCCTTCTAGTGATTGATTGGTCTTTGCTATCCTTCATGCAGTAGGAGTGCTAACTTGGTACTGGTAGCTGAATTGTTGTGTTCAATGCTTGTTAGGCAGAATTTCACAATTTTCAATACAGTTGCCCCCTCTTAACCACAGAGTATATGTTCCAAGACCCCCATTGAATGCCTGGAACCACGGATAGTACTGAACCTGACTGCCTTCAGTTGGGACACATTTTTATTCATATCTTCCACCCACAAATTTAATCCCTCTTCCATCTTCACTAAGCATTTGTCATGCGCTGTGGCTGAAATTTTTGTAGTTTGAGGTGTAACTGGTACTAATTTATTTTTCCTTCTCACAATTTCACAAGTATAAGATTTGTTGTTATTGTAGATCTTAGCAACCTCAGTATACTGCTTTCTTTTTTTTCTTTATTAATTCGAGATTTTCATCTTTTCATTTAAAGGAAGCACTTTACAGCCTCTCTTCGGTTTATCTGAATTGCTACCATTCCTAGTCTTGTGCTTTGGGGCCTTTATTAAATAAAATAAGGGTTACTTGAACACAAGCACTGTGATACCACAACAGTGTATCTGATCACAGAGGAGGCTACTAAGTAACTAATAGGCATGTAGCACAGACTGCACAGATACACTGGGCAAAGGGATGATTCATGTCCCATGTGGGAAAGGCAGGACTGTACAGATTTCATCATGCTACTCAGAGCAGCAAACAATTAAAAGCTTACAAATAGTTTATTTCTGGAATTGTCCATTTAATATTTTTGGACTGCAGTTTACCATGGGTAATTGAAGCCATGGAAAGCAAAACTTCAGATAAAGGGCAACTGCTATAATCTAAGGCAAGCTTTTAGTGTTTGTCATTGTACAATACTTAACAGCACCAGACTTCTGTCCCCCACATTTTCCAAATGTCATACCCTAATTCTTCCATCAGACTAGTTAATTTAAGAGTTAAACTGTGTCTTCTTGCCCACCTACTTGAAAAAAGCAGATTTTTCTTCTCATTGAAGATCATATTTTTAAAAATTTTGGATGGAAAAAAATGTTTTCTTCAATATGTCTTTCTTTTGGTGTGCCTAGATGTGTTTTTCTGTCATATAAATCATCTGTATCTATGAATAAATATTATATATGCATGGATTAATACATTTATATCAATAAATAGATACATATAGGTGATATGCATTCTTAGGTATCATATATGCACACATATAAACAAAGGTGTATGTAGAATACATTGTATGCACCTATATTTGCACTTTTTCTATTTTTTTCTAATTTTTAAATAATTGGAATATTGTGCTGAATTACTTTCAGTTTTTAGAGGGATATTTCAAACTAAAGTTTAGTCAAGTCAATAGTGGCCCTAACTTGTAGTTTCAACTTGAGATTTGTAAATGTCTTCAACTTTGTGAACTTACCTAACATCTATTCCATTCACAGAATTATAAATCAAGAATCATTATTATCTGGGGGTAATGAAACATTAAACTCAAATAGGAATATTTTGCACCTCAAACAAAGACCCTGAGTTAAAGGCAGATCCCCCATCGTCTTAATCCCTGCCTCCTCCAGACCTCTTTCACTCCATTCTGGACCACAGGCAAAGCCTTCTAACTGGTCTCCAGGATCTTCAAAGTGTAGTATTTGCTCTGACTACTCTTCTAGCTATCCTTATTATGATTATGTTTTGTCACATTGTCACTCCATGTAAAAGTTGTGCTTGCTTCTCAGTGTTTGAGGAAAAATGAAAATACCTCAGTATGTCATACACAGTAACTTTACAAACTGGGTTCACATTTTCCCAGGCCAATCTATTCCACTCTATTTTCTGCATTCCCTCTTTAGACCACATAGTAATGCTTACTTTTCCACAGAGAATTCTAGACTTTCACGTCTCCCTGCTTAGTCATGTCTGTTTAAGAGTAACATTCTGCCACATTTTCTCCTTCCCCAAACTAGATGTGACCTTCTTTGTGAGCATCCCCTGTTTTCGTAATTGTGTACATTTTCCATTCATTTTCTCAGTCCATATACATTAGGGTCTTTTCTTACCCTAGAGGTAGAGTAGTAGAAAAGACAAATTTCATGCCAACAAGGGGCTTGTACTCTTGTTAGAGAAGACAGGAGATAAATTCAAATAGTGATAAGAAAAAAGGAGCGTTTACAGCAACTAGGATGGTGTTGGCTGCCTGAGATCAGCTAAAAGGGTCTTTACCAAAGGTAATGCCTAATCCAAGGGTGATTCAAATTAGAGTTAGGAGAATGAGGCAAACATGCAGACAGCCAGTGGAAGAACAATTTTAGGTCGGGAAGGAGACAGTAAATGAGAAGATCCTAACATATTTGTTTTAGGAACAAAAAGAAAGCCTGATGGAGAATAGAAAAGAAGGAAATAGATGATCAAGTGACATAGGAGGGCGTTTTCTAGATCATGTGGGACATTATGTGCTGTATAGTCTATAAAAGAAATACGTTTATTTTATTCTAATTGAAATAGTAAGTTAATGGAGGGTTTTAAGCGTGTGTTTATGTTGGTGGGGCTGGGTGGATAGGGGAGGAGCTGATATACTCAGTTACATAATTTGAAACAATTATTCTGGCTTGCGTAAAATCAGTGGAGAATGGAGTATGAAAAAAGCAAGAGTAACTGGATGGGAAGCCCTTTTAGTAGTCCAGATAGCAGGTAGCAGCAGCTTGGATTAGAGTTATAATAATTTAGACGGTAAGTAGTGAACAGATTCTAAATGTATTCTGGGAGGATTGATAAGACGTTGATGGATAGTTGAGACAAATACTCCAATAATGATTCTTAGCAGCAGGCTGGATGGCAGGGCCACATCCTGAGTTAAGAAACACTGACAGGTTAAAAAAATAGTTTAGGAGTAAAATTTAAGAATTGGGAATGAGATATATTGATGTTGATATGTTCTTATATATCCAAAATGAGATATCATGTAGTTTACAAGTTTGAAGCTCAAAGAAACAGTTGAGCTGGAAATATATTCTTGAGGATTCAAGATTATGGAAATAATATTTACATTTATGAGGTTAGATTACTTTACTAAGGGATAAACTATGGATGAGTAGAAAGACAAAACCTAAGCCAGGATGTTCTAAGATTTAGGTGTTGAGCAAAGAAAAGAAGGCAGAAATTTGGACAGGTAAAATATAACTTCTGACATAGGAGAAAAAAATCATACAGCATCTAATAAGCTTATGAAAAAATATTTTTAAGAAGGACAGAATGCTCATCTATGTCAAATGCAAACACAAGTTTATTTTGATGTGGACAGATTATCACATGAACATGTCTCAAGGAGGGAGTCATTTGTGATTTTGCAAAGGGCTATTTGTAGAGTGGTGGAGAGTTAGTCAAATGACAGCAAGTTGAGGAAAAAATGGGAGGTGACAAAATGGAAACCATGAGTAGTGAAAACACTTTAATATTTTTCCTTTTAAGGGAAACAGAGATATGGAGTAGAGAAGAAGAGAATTACATCAAAGGAGGATTTTACAACACAGATCATAGTAAACTATGGCTTCATAATTCATGAAAAGATCTTCTATTAATATAGTAACAGGTAATTTGGGAAAGACGAGCAAGGAAATAATTTTTAGTCTATGTTTGGCCTCTAGTAGTAGGACAGCAATAAAGCTTCATGGCCCATCTGGGAGGGTTGGCTTTAGATAGAGGCAGGAACATTTGCTTCATTATAACAAAGGAGAATGGAAAACCATCTGGGCGGAGATGCATGTAAGATGATTGGCCACTTGATGGATAGATGAGGCCATTTTTTTCTTTGTCTATTTTCTTAATGAAAAACAAGATGTCATGAGCCGTGAGTGATAGATTAAAGAGTAAAATCTGTATGTTTGAGAAGAAAGCAGAATGTACAAAATAGTTTTCCACAGCAAAAAAGAATTAACTGAAAAGATGTAGTAAGATTATCTTCATATGTTCATAAGTTTAAAGTATATCAATCAGTAGAGTTATGTGATCTTCTTTAATCATGTTCAAATTCTCAGGCATACACACAGAGTAAGCAGTTAGACTTAACGAGGATTGGACTTTTTAAAGGGGGCACCTCCTTCTTTGAAGTTGCCTTGAAAGGCCAAAGAAAATATTTATTTTATGTGTAAAGCAAAAGCAAAATAAATCAAAACATGCAAACACAAAACCTCAGCAATTACTAATAACTAAGAATGAATACATGAGTGAATGAATGTTTATCCTTAGATTTTAGAAATTAAAGGAGAGGAACATACATTTTAATGCACTTATTTTATGGCTGAAATAACTGAAACCTAGAAGACAAATTACTCAAGATTATATGGCTTATTAGTGCATGAAATGAGACTAGATTCAGACACTAAGACCGATATTTTTTTTAGGAGAAATTTCTTAAATACATGGTCAGTACTTAAATTTCAACATCATCAAAAGTAGATAAAGGGGCAAGAATAGAGTTTGAGTCAAAATTTTAATACTGTTCATAAGACAAATCTCATCTTGCAAACTTGGAGCAAAGCACAAGCTTTTTCCCAATCTTTTGAAACATCGCAATCCTACTGTATTCCTGCCTAACCCCTTGTTTATTTGCAAAGCAAAAATTGTGTTGAAATATCATATAAGTCTGTGATTGCTCTAAGTAAACTGTAGGCTAGGGAATCTAAAAAATTGAATCAAAGTGTTATTTTCACAATGGGTTATGAAAAACCCTGGCCATATGTAGTTGCTCGTGGAAGTGGGGCAGAAATGAAGCACATCAATAAAACATGACTACAATTTGAGGGCCATAGTAAAAATAGTTTATGGTGTCAAGACCTAAGGGATTTTATCAGTGGAAGGAGAAAGCTAGTAGAGAATGGGTGTGGGGGGTGCAAATTCTTCTTAAAATTCTTAATTTTCCCCCATCCCATGATGTTTGCCCTTGTTATTTTACTTGTCAATATCAGAGTATCTACTTGGATCATAACAAGCTGCAAACTCCTAGTTCACAATTCTATTTCCAATGGTTACACTCAAGTCTTGGTCTTAGTTCATTTTTCAGTTTGAAAGATGTGTAAATTAACTTTACTCCTTCTCCATTGCTCCTCAGCTAAAGAGTTCTAAAGTGTCTTCTACACTCTGGAATTTAAAGGGTCACTCATTTATCATCAATAAACATTGTATAGTTTAGTCTCCTTTTTACATGTTATGTTTTCTTATTGAGTAATAATTCAGTTGGTTCCTGAATCAGAAAAAAATGGTAAAAAATAAATCAAATGAAGAGAGACTAAGAGGCAGAGCAATTTAAATGACCTTCATTTCCCATTTTCTTTTGCTTTTTCTGTGGTATAAATCTTACCTTAGGGTTTCTAGTGAGTGCATGAATGTGCTGTATGTCCACTTGTGTGTATATATGTGTATGTGTATGTTGAAAAGGAGAAGGACAGTGGCATATTAGTTTTATAGTTAACCATGGCAATGAAGTTACACTGGTAAAACAAAGAAATTTAGGCACAATAATGTCAAGAAATGTCATTTTTGAATGTCTTTAATAGAAAATATGTGCGTCTGTTGGATTCAGACATTTGGGGGCCTGGGAGGTGGTAAATTCTGAATCTAGTACTCCTTCTGCTTTCTTAAGCTTTCTTTTCTGTAAAATGTTAATATATTATCTATTTCCAGGTATGTCCACCATAGTCAAGGGTAAATAAATGTTGATTCCTTTTTTCTATTCCCTGTATCTTAGAGATGCTATATTATACAATTAGGTATTTTATTAAGTTGAATAATATGGATGTATTCATAAATCATGGCACTGGAAAAAATATAAAAGATGTGTGATATTAAACCTATCCCTAAAATACTTAAAATTTAACTGAAAAAAATAAGATATTCATAGAAATAATAATTGCAATTGTTTCAAATAATAGATGTTCCAAATACCTAATTAGCATTTCAAACACTTCATCTAAAATGGTAAGATTTTTATGCAAGATTGATGAAAATAAGGATTAAATTATACTTACAAATTCTAAGAGTAGGAGGGCGTTGTAGTGACTTTTTAGTTTAACCTCCTATTTTAAAGTGAGGAGGTCAAGACTCAGAAAATGATGTTATTTGTCCAAGGTGTCATTAGTATCAGAGCAATTAAACAAAGCAAGCATAGAAGTAGGGTCTATAGAAGTAATGTCACCACATTATATTCAGTGGAAGAGTATGTGTTTTGAGTCTGTTTAACTCAAATATGTCCCTTTGGCCCAAGGAAAATTGCCTTTCAGACTTAGTCCATTTGATTATAACATGAACATTAAAACAATTTAAACAATACAAGGTAATATAGTTTTGGTGTTGTATGAGAGAAAATAATTTATCTTCAAAGCTACCTAATAAGACATATTAGCAGCTGTCACCCCTTCAGTTGGGATAGTCCATAGACACAAAGGTTCAAAGACAACTATAAGGAGCTTCAAAAGCAACTTCCAAATTGATGGTTGCTTTAAACCAGAAGGGGCACAGTGTCTAACATCAAAGTTTGGCATTGTGTGGCTGCTGTTAATCAAAACCTCTTTGGAAAAAGGATGAAAAGTAGAAACATTAGAAGATCTACGAAATGGGTGTCCTAGTTATCAAGAGGAGTTAGAAGCCAACTTCTATATTTTTAGGGATAGCAAAAGCTAATCTTATGTGCTACTAAGGAAGAAACAAGTTAAGAATAGGCATTTTCCAGTAACATCATTTATGTTTCTTTGAAACTTCATGGAAGTCTATTTTTCCCTAGTGATTCCTACATTGGTGAGTTATTTCTCTTCCTGGCTTCAACCCCCTATCCCCACACCCTGATAAAAGAGAGACTCCCATTTGTAGTCCAGTAGAACATATATAGGTAAAATAGGAGGCATTCTTACTCAAAATGATACATAATAAACATATATACCTCATAACATGTGAAATGAAATTGGCAAAAAATATTAACAGAAAAGTTAAAATGAATTAATTGTTGACAACGAAATCTAAGAAAGTCACAATATTTCCTGTCTTTCATAGCTATATCAGGCAGCTTCTCATATATATATATATACATATATACACACACACACACACACACATATACGTATACATATATCCACTTCTATTTATAATCAAATATAATGCCAAATCCAACATTCAGGTATTATCCAAGCATATGTTTTAGGGCTATTTTCAAACACAGAATGCTTAGTTGAATAAGCTCTGACTCTCATCTGGGGTAACACCATCTTCTTTCCGAAGCTCTTACATGGTGCTTAAGTACAATTTAGTACTTAAATATGTAGTATCTTATAATCACTTGTTATTGAACCCCTGGGGTTAATCCTGTCACTTTAACTGGATTTTAAGCTTCTTAATGACAGAGCTTATGTTCTATTTTCCTTCTTATTTTGTGTCCTTCACAGTGACTAGTTTGGGCCTTGTAGATATGGCAGGGGCCTGAGGAGCACCCTATGCTCTCAATTAAATAAGCAGTCTAGCCTATACCTCTTTAATCCAAAAAGAGAGAGTCAACTGATGTTTTAAAGAATAGAAGAACCTTAAAACATAGTATAAATAGCAACCGAAATGTACTTTAAAAAGACACAAAACAAAATAACATACCCTCTTACTTTATCAATGGCCTGTAGTATGCCAGAGGGTGGGGTGGAATTTGGCAACACTCTTCTTACCTTGCCCACAGACATATTTGGTGACTCCTCTGAGTTTATGCCCTCATCTTTGTATAATTCTTAATATTCTAAATGAATTGTATGGTTCCACATTGAAGTTGCATTATTGTTATAATCCATAATCTGCCCATATAGTCATAAATATAATGGTCACTTACTATTTACTTCCTTCTAGAATAACTCCAAGTTACACGAGAAAAGACTTAGTTTTACATTAGAATTATTTCATCTCCGCAAGTCAGCACATAACAAAATCCCCACTAAGTCTTCTGATTGCACCCAGAAAACATGAAGAGTGCTTCCATGAAAGAGAGCCCTTAAACTTGTCAGATCTTACAGATGGAAAGTATTTTGGGGCACTGGGTGGCCTAGAAATGAAATATGACTTTAGCAAAGACACATAGTCAATTCTTCAAAATCTCATGGGTCTGTTAGTAATTGTGTAGTATCAGTTGGGTTACCTTCAGACAATGGGAATAATTTTTGCCTGTCAGAGGGACATTTGACAATGTCTGGAGACATTATTGTTTCACAACTTGTAGGGAGATTTCTACTGGCAGCTAGTGACTAGAAGCCAGGGATATTCATAACTGCCCTGCAATACATATAAAGGGGCCCCACAAGAAATAGTAAGACCCCATACATCAACAGTGTTAAGATGAAAAACCCTACCCTGGAGAAAAAAACAAAAAAGCAGAAGCAAAAGCAAAATTCTATGGTTCATATAATATTTCTCTCTTGACAAACTTTTGTCCATCTTTATTCTCTGCCTATGGTCACGTGTGTGTCCATTGCCAAGTCTAGGAAACTCCTATTGCCTTAGAATTCATTCCCACACTTCTTAAGTCTGGGGGAGTGGTGAATAGGGATGGGATTTACTGCCAGGAAGAGCAAGATTGAGTGTCATGAAAGTATCCAAATTCTATTATCTAAAGCACATTCAAAGATGCCCAAGATTCTATTCATCACTATGCTATTCCTTAGAATCATAGGTACAGAGCCAATCCAGTCCAGAAAACCACTTTAGGGATATTAGGGATTTTTGCTAGCTACATATAACACTCATAAAATCTAAAGCTTGTGTGGAAACTTCACCTACCCTGCTCAGGCTTCCCTCTGACCTATTCAATTTTCTAAGCCTTTGTATATTCAGCCTCCGTATCATGTCAGTGTTGTTGATTGCTGAGGATACTATTTGAACCTAAGTAAGAATTCTGTACTCTCACCAAAACTAACATCTGACAGATCATGAACCAAATCTGGATCTCTGAAGATAGTCACACGTGGGAGTCCAATTTAAATGTATGTGTTTTATCCCTATATGATATCAGTACAATTAGGTCCTGTAGCTGTGTTAACATTTGTAACAGGAAGTGAAGATTCAAGATAAAAATCTGGATGCTGTGTTTTAATCCACATAAGCATTGAAAAGTTGGTCATTCTTCCCCAAAAACTCTGCTCTTTTTATCCTTCTTCCCTGTCTCTCTTAGGTACACTAATGTTCTTTATTTTCTCTAAAACTAAGCTTGCCTTTAGTGAAGGATCTCTCATGGGGTATTGATACATTCATATTAAGGTAATTGAGTTGTTTTTCCTAAGGATATATGTGTTTTGAGTGATATGAGCATGAAGCATTAGGAAGCAGATAGAAAGGCAATTTTTGTGTCAGTTGACAGCTCACCTTGACTATAGACTTAGTTAACAAGTCATCTGGGGTAGAGGTTAATTTTAGGAAAACTGTAGAAGAGAAGTTTTCATAAATATCATAAAGCCAGATTTTGAAAATTTGTGGATTTTAGACAGAGGAAATAAAACTTTGAAGGGAAGTGGGAGGAGCATGACTAGGTAAGCATGTCTTGAAGTTGAATGAAGTGTTAGATGACAAGATGAATTGGATAAGAAAGAGATTATAGGCAGAACAATCGATTGTGTGTTAAGATATTTCTGTCTCTCTTCTTTATTGTATTCTGTATTTTCTCCAAAAGTCCTTTTTGTCTTTCTTCCTTTTACAACTCCTTCTCTTAAATGTACTAGATTTCTAGAGCTGTAATGTGAAGTATATACTCAGTGAGGATTTTTTGATTGGTTTATCTCGTTTCACCTTCATTTCAACATTAAGCTTCCTAACAAAAAAAAAAAAAAAAAAAAAAAAAAAAGAACAGCTACATTTACATAAGGAAACCCTGGATGATTCTGAGACATTTTAATTGAGTCATCTCTCCAAATGATTGCTGTCATCAGTAAACAAGAAACAGGTAGACCAGAATCCAAATTCACATGTCTGTTCTGGAAGTCAACAGTCACAGCTAGTACAAGGAAGAAGAAGGGGAAGTGGAAATGAGAAAAAATATGACTTTGAACTTCAGTTTTACACACATCATCAGATAAGATCCCACACCAACTTATTTCTTTAATACTTTGATCCTTTTTCACTCAATACTCAGTCACTCTAATGAAATTTTCCTTTTTCATATGGCATTCAACCTTTAATCCTTTCTTCTCTAACTCTTTAGTAGCAGACTTGATATTTCAGATATTTCTTATCAGTTTTTTTATCCTTAAGAAAAAGGAGGTACTTTAACAGAAAGTAAATGTTTAAAAATAAAGAGAAATAAAAGGGATATGGTAAACAAAATGCAATTTCTGCTAACGGCATATATTTCTATTAATTAGATGAAAAAGTAAGTGATAAAGTATTGCAAACATGTAAAAAGAAAATTCAAATAATTTTTTTCTTCATGCTTCCAGTTCTTTATAGTACATTACATCAGCTAATGGCAATTTGTATAATTTGTGTAATGACATAAATTGCCACAAACTCTCACTCGGTGAAGTGCTGTCAGAGTCATAAATCAGGACTCAGAGAATTAGCTTCGGGAAGCAAAGTCTATCAGCCTTAGGGTGAAAGAGGAATGGGTCAGAGTGGCAATCACTCAGTGAGCAACGTGCAGAGTTGAGGAGGAAAATGAATGGAATGGTGTGAGGAAAGCGTGACTGAGCTAGACCCTGATGAGCTAATCCTCCACATCAAATGGAATAATGCTTCATGGCTACATGTTGTTTTGCTCAACTTCTAAAATTACATTCCTTGACTTATGATTACTTCTCTGCAGGGGTCTAAGGACAATTTTGAGAATAAATCTCAAATCCTTTCAGGGACTTTCCAATACAGGGTATCTAATTTTAAATGAGAAAAAACAATACACATACTCAAACACACTTTTTTCTTTCCATCAAATGTTGTCTTTTCTGTACTGATGCACCTTGCCAGCAAGGGCCATGTTTGTAGTTCTAGTCAATTACAGAATTTGGCCTTCTTCAGGTACACATGGTAATTTACGTGTGGGCATGTGGTACACCTACACTTAAAAATACTGTAACAAATACTTTTTAATTTTTTATGTGTTTCAGAATCTCTCTCTCTATCTCTTTCACTTTATCTTTCTCCCTCCCTGCCCCTCAGAAATGTCTGTCTCTTTCTCTCCTCTCTCTCTCACACACACATACACACACACACACACCATGAAATTTTTATTGAGTGTGGAATTCTAGAAATTTAACATCTGTATAGTGCTTTAATGAATATGTATTCTTAAAGGTAAGGTAAAAAATATTATTTCTGTAGAAGATTGTTCCATATAAACTGTTACCACCTTCCTCACTCTGTGTGTGTGTGTGTGTATGTGTAAAGAGCTCTCAAGACTTTGAGATTTTACCCTATTGTCAAGGTAACATTTAGCCTGGCACAGTTTCAGGGATGCTAGGAGAAGATAGGAGACTTCTGGGTCAGACACAGAGGACTTTATTACTTAAGGGAGTAGCAGTAGCCTGATTGCATCAGTTCCATGAGCCTTAATTTCCACAACATGACATAGAACCAGATAATACAAAGAGGACTAAGTGAGTTACATTACAGGAGAAGAACCCTACGCATAAAAATCCAAATGTTTTTAATAGGCAATATACATACCTTCCATTTGTTTCAGAAGGAGACACTATTTGCATCTTCCAAGACTGCAAGCAAACTTGCTCTTGGCTCTAGAAGGAGGCAAAAATCTTTATCTTTCTAGGCAATTCTGTACATAAGCACACTTCAAAGGAAAATCCAAAACAAAGTTAGTCAGTGCCTCTGCTCACAAGAAGTAAAGAAGCATGAGACACTCGTGGAAAACTGTCTCTCAAAACTTTGTAAGCAGAGAAATGCTGTAATAAATCCAATGACTTTGACTCCCCTTGGGATCTGAATCTATGTTCTCTTTCTCCTGGAGAAATATTTCTCACCTCCGACTGCCCCCATTCTTGGAACTAATGAACTTGAGCTACCTAGACAGTGGAAAACGAAACAATACATTAACTTTGGTCTTTTAGCATTGGCAGAGGGTCTAAAGCAATAATCCATGACATTTATCTCTTTACCTTTTATTGTCTAAGCACTTTGTGAAATTATCTAGTTAGTTAATCTTCCTAACACCTTTGTGAGTGAGGTTAAATGATGCAGTTTCTAAAATAGATATATACAAATTATAACTTGATAGGCCTAGTGATATGAGTTTGCACTATAATTGTTCTTGGTGTTTGATGGGATTATGGCCATTTTATGGGCCACTGGTTGTAGTTTCTTCTACACGTCATCTGTTTTTATGGTCTAGCATCTGAAGGAACAATCCAAAAAGACTCAATGAAAACACTATCCCTTCTAAGTATCTTATAGCACGTAATCTTATCTATCTTATAACACATACTCATTTAAACATTTTTGTTTGTTTCTTACTATAACTGGCTTCGGTTATAATGCTAATTCTAGAAATAGTAATCTGAACAAATATTATAAAAGCTTAAGATTATATAAGAACTTGAAAGATCATGTGGGTAAGTTTTCTATCTTCAATGAGTAAATTCTTCAGAACTGATATTTCTTATTTTTTTCTAATATTTATTCTTTTCAAATAAAAGTACAGATTCATTAGCTTTTTTGTAAGAGACATAATAATACAATTTATGTTTAACATTGTTAATACAACCTAATGTTCTCCAGACTTTATAAGATTGTTAGTACAAAAGAGTCACAGTATCTCAAAATTTCACAGGCTTATGGGTTTTTCATATGTTTTACTTTTCATTGATGAATCTGTAAAAACTAAAACAAGAAGGCACATTTCATGCACTATAAATATTTGTTGAGTGACTGATTGTGTAAGCTTTTAACTTTCTACCAAGTCTCTCCACTATGCCAGCCACATTTACCTAGAAACCCATATATGTAAAAAGAGTCCACCATTATGAGTGACATTTCTTGGTCAAGCATTATCATTGTTTTCTTCTGTTTCCACCTTACAAACTTGCTACTTTCAGGAATTTACGTAGACATCCCAGACCTCTCATGTTTCCAGGCACATGCTGTGTTCTGTACAGAACAAGGAAGACAAAAGGTTTTTTTTCCTACACAATAATATATCTTGCTACTTCTGGGCTCTAGAAAAATTATTTGAATCTTTGTCACATAAATATTTGTGAGTTCAATTTTTCAGCTCTAGTCTAAAAGTATACTCTCCAAAGCCTTAGTTCTCATTCCTACAGTCAAAATAACAAAAGGACTACTCACTGACCATTTACACCATCTCTTCTCCCTTCTCTCTGTCTTGCTGTTTCCACACAAAACTATCCCCATTCTGCTTGTCTGTCATACCCATATACAAATTAACTTTTGCTTTAGGGGCCCTAGTTCCTCATATTCAGTCACATCTGAATCTTTGTTTAGTAGTCACCCATGTTTTGGACAAAGCATTTATTTCAACTATGCAATGGTCAAAATCTCTCTGAAGACATTTTTCTGAATCTCAAGAAAAGGACACGATTTAGTTTTCTGATGTACATCTAAATTTTCATAATTTATCAGGTCTGACATGGACTGTTGTTGATTATGGCACATAACACAATCATTTTTCCATTCTCTCTTCTTTTAATAAGACATCTTACAACCTCCCTTTTAAAAAAATTATGTTAAAATATCATGTTTTCCAGTAGAATCTGAATGACTGAATCTATACAGCATTTATTTTATTTCCTTTCAACTCAGTGATCACATTATCTGTTTTATGTAGATTTTCAAAAAATTCATATCCATTTTTTCATATTTGCAGTCTCTTTCCCTCTTCCAAATCCATGCAAATGATGATAAATGTGATCAGCCTCATCCTCTAAACACAGATTAGTGTGAAAAAAAAAGCGTGTTTCCTAAGAAATAAAAGTTCAGCCTGTTTTTGACACAAGTGTCAAGATGAACCAAGAATTGCCCTTGTGACAGATAATTAGGGAAAACTGTCAAGCCTGCAGCTTAATCCTGTGTACACCTGCTCAAAGTCAGCTCTGAAAACTGTGGGATCTAGGAAGACAATCTTTTGTAATTAGCCAAGGCCACTATAATCCATAAAAACATCTGATCAAATTGATTTCCAGTCCATCAAGTGGTATCTGTCAACAGCAACCTTACTGATCATCCCGAAGCTGTGACTACCTCATGTAAACCTCTAAGGTCATTTAAAGGTTCCTTTGCCTTGTAAATATAAAATCATTTTCACTTTTTGACAGGCTGCCTTTTCATGTAGGGTGGTAGGAAAAAGAAGAAGTAAGAAAAAAATGAAATGTCAAAATAATTCACAAACCATTAACATCGGGAAGGCAGAAATCCACAATTCACAAATGTCTATTGTAAGATCAGTATTCTGCTAAGGAGTAGCCAACAATATGCAGAGTTTGTGAAAAGAGAAAATTGTACCATCTCTGTTTCTGAACTTGAGGTCTTGACTTTGTTGTTCTGGTGTGTATGCTGAATATTCCACCCGTGTCCGTCTCGCAACTTGGATGTGCTGCTTCCATCTTCCTGTCCCACCCTTATTATTCTCTCCAGACTCTAATCTCTCATCATTCTCAAATACAGGGACTAAAACAATCTTCCACCGTCTCAATTTTGAAAAATGGATTGAGTCATGTCACTTGTCTGCCTCTCTCTTGCCTGCCATGTCCATTCTAATCCTTTTCAAAGCCTGGTGTCCTATGCAGTTAATTTCTTTCCCCACGACCACAAGTATTTCCTCCCTTAGATAAAATTATTCTCACTTATTTCAAAATTCTGGTCTCTAATAAATTTAATACATTCATCACCTCTGGATATCAATTGGACAAACTCTTATCCCTCAGTGTGTGTGTATTTATCAAAATGGTCTTACTGTTGCCTTTACTTAGTTTTCTTTTTCCCAGTCTCTCCATATCTCCTCTGTGCTGGCCTCTAGTTCTTGCAACTCTCTTCTCTTAGACTCTGCGCAAAGGCATTTTTCTGCTCTCTTCGTTTTCTGTTTTCTGAGACGCCACTTTTTAAGACCATCTCCTAAGTGAAGGATATTCCACAAAACTTCAGTCCTTAATTTTCTGTTTTTCTCTCTGCATCATCCTCATGACATTTTCTTCTTTCTCTGAGTTGATGATACTCATTTTTGTGTCTTCAGCAGCTTGAACATGTGTCCCCAACATTCAGATGCCTAAAGACACCTCCACTTAAAAAAATCTTGTATTTGTGCAAATCTCACCATTTTCAAAACTGAATTAATCTTGTGCCCACAATTAGATTATTTTTTCACATTAATTCATATTTTTTTCAATCAGGGAATTGTCCCTGGCTGGTTTCCTTCCCTTGTCTATATTCAATTTGTCACCAAGTCGTCTCATTTCTTGCTTCAGATTTTGTAATTGTCATATAATCAAAATTGCACCTCTTTTTTTTTAAACGATCAACCTAGTAAAGGTTACCATCCTCCTCCTCAAATTAAGAACAGTTCTGTTAGATTTCCTTATTGAGATATAATTCACATACCATAAAATTCAATAATTAAAAGAGAAATATTTTGTGATTTTTAGTATATCCATAAAGTTGTACAGCCATCGCCACTACCTAGAAGCACTACTGTAAGACATTTTTATCACCCCCATAAGAAACCTCATACTGATTGGGAGTCATTCCTCATTCTATTCCCTCTCTTCCCATTCTTTAGCCTCTCATAACCACTAATCAATAATTCTGTCTCTAAGGACTTGCCTATTTTTGATATTTTGTGTCAGTGGAATCATACGGTATATGGCCTTTTGTGTCTGGCTTCTTTCACTTAGCATAATGTTTTCAAGGGTCATGCATATTGTAACATGTATCGCTACTTCATTTATTTTTATTGCTAATATTCCACGGTATGGATATACCATCCTTTGTCTGTCCATTCATCACTTGATGGACATTTGGGTTCTTACCAGTTCTTGGCTATTCTAAGAAAATATGCCACTTACAGTAACCAGTAAAAAGACATGAAGATGTATATCATAAAATTGTGAAACTGGAAACGGAGAGAAGTGTGTAGACTTAGCATACACTTTTGGGAGTAGAATTAACAAATTTGTTGGTGGATTGAATAAGAGGGATGAGAGAGAGAAAATAATCAAAGATCGATTCATAAACTTATGGGTTCTATGGCCCTCCTTTGCTGGGTATTTTACTTAATGACAAAGAAAAACTTGTGCCTATGGAGGAAGTCTGGAGTAAGTCCAAAAGTTTCGTATACATATGTGTGTGCGTATATATATATGAAGGTCTACTGAATATTTCTATGTGAATGTCAAATGCTACAGAGCTAATACTAAACTTATAATTATGCCTCCTAAAGATACCCTTTCTGAATGTGGCTTTTGTCTTAGTTGTATATTTCACCATTCACCTTGTCATACATACTGACAACTTAAGATGCTTGGCCTATATCCTATGTCTACTCAGGCTCCTAACCATGCTGTTGCCACAATTAGTCATCACGTGCTACTGATTTCACCACTGAACTGCTATGTATGATCCACTTCACTCATCCCCTTGCCCTCGTTCCTATTATTTTTTTACATATACTCAAGTCTTTGACATATCTCTCTGCCTCTGGATTTGTACTCTTAAATTTACCATCAACACAACTTCCAGCATTATCTAGGTAAAATGTAATTCTGACCCGTCTTGATACTTAGAAATTTTCAGTGATTTCCTGTAGCCCAACCTGGATCCTGGGTTAGTACTCTCTGCTTCTCTAAATAAACTGCATGATACTATAATACAATATGGTACATATAGCACCTTGTATGTACAATCTGTATTGTAATGATCTCTTCATATATTGTCTTCTTTTTTCTTTTCCTAAGATAAAAATAGAAATTCTTGGCTAGTACTTAGAAGCTGACTCACTACAGGTCTCAACTAGTGCTATTGAAATGAATATATTGTACAGATTAGGCTAGACTGGTATAAAATAGATTTTCAGAAACATTATTCCTACTCCAAACAAAAATTAAAATAATAAAACTGTCTGTGGTCCTGGAGAAAGATACTTCATGTAGAGATTAAACATCTGAACTCCAGTACCATGAATGTCATCCTAATAATACCTATTGGACTGTTGTACAGCACAAAATTATAATACAGGCAATTAGAAATATTTAACAATTTAGTACTTGAAGTGAAAATGTTTACATTTTTTAAATCTTCATAGTGGTTACAAGAAAGTAAAAACAAGGAAAAATATTTTTATTGTGAATTGTCTGCTCCAACAAGAAATATATACATATATATATACACACACAAAAGCATATATAACACTGCTAGGAGAAATATATATTTAACAGAGTTCCAAATCACCTTTCAATGAAGCAAGCAACCTTTCCAAAGACAAATTAACCCCCAGTCATTCAGAAACCTGGTTATTACATTATAATTAATGTATTATTTAATCGCTTTCAGGCTGGAGTTAAACGCTGCCAGCCTCAAGGCTTATGGATTCAAGGCTATGAGATTTTTCTGAGTATGGAAAACATTTAGGAAATAGCAGAGTTTCCCATGCAAAGTGGAGTAAAATACAACAAAAGCCTAAAATATTCAGTGCTTAAAATTTAGACTGATTTTGTGGCTCTTTTCAGTTTTGGGGCTTTATAATCTTGTTCCTTTGGGTTAAGGTGTTAGTTGCTTTTCATATTCCAGGACTAGGTATTTATAAACGTCCTAACATCCACTAAATTCTTCCTGTATCTCCAAATTAGTGTGATGCACACTAGATAAGTATGCTAATATTCATCTCTCCACCTCTACTACTCTACCAAGACTCTATTAATTTATGCTAGCACCTTTAAGAGTTGATCAAATGCTACCTGCCTCAGGAAGCCCTTTTTAATGAATTTGATCATCTTTCTAATTATCATGCCCCTTTCTGTTCTCTGTAGATTTGAATTTTTGGTTTCTCTTTTATCTGTTTGTATCTGTTTGAACTTATGTTATGACTCTTCTCCCATTATTTCTTCCAGACTCTAAACGTGAGATTTGTGACATCCTGGACATGGCTGCTATGGACCCCATCTTTGAGTTCATCTGCAGTGAGGCTTGACAAGTCTCACCACACTGAGAGTTTCCCATTTTTTTTTTCTCATCTCTTTAGGAATTTTTTGGTACTCCAGGAGCTTGCTTAACCACAGGTAGTCATAATCTGGAAGTGCAGGGAAAGAAATAGTCAGAAGTAATCAGTATAAACATGACCCAATGATTCAGAAGCATTATTCAGTTTCTCAGAGGGCCTCCTGGAGTACTGAACCTCAGTTAATTTGCTTATCAATGTGCATTTTTAAATATTATTTCTTTCCTTGTTATTCTCACCAACTTTCTTATCTGTGATTCTTGAAGTCAACTCCCGTGTAAACTAGCTGTCCTTAATTCCTTGCCATAAAGTCAATTTTTGAGTGAATCTAATTTAAGACAGGAACTGTCCCACAAGTCCTTGTTGAATGAAACAGCAGAGTGCTGTAAGTGACTCAGAGTCCATATAAATACCAAAGATCTATGTCAGAACCAAGGAAGTCTGGCAGTCATATTGAAATGGAGGCTACATTTTTTTAGAATTGTCCCACCTTCTTGTTCTGAATTTTATTCCCTGCTTTCAAAATCTCTTTTTCAGAGCCCTGGTGTTATCATACTTATTCCACATTTCTGGCCCCTCGAGGCTGTTCTTTACCTAACTTATCTCATGGAAAAACTTCCAAAGTTTCTAATTTTTGCTTTACAATTTCCTTCCCTCAAAAATGTCTTATGGTACAATTCATTTTCTCCCAGATTTACTCTTTATAAACACATCCATGTCCAGATGCAAGACATAGTGTGTTATCTCTTCAGAGTAATTTGTCTTTTCATAGAGGTCTTTGAAAGATTCATTGCCATACCATAGGCTTGAATTAACATACAAACATAAATTCTAATTGAGGAAATTCCAGTCACTGTGTTGGGGTAGTAGAAGAAATAATTATTTGAAAGAAGGGATACATTTTGCATTATACCTAACATATAGTGGCTTATTCTAACTGCTTACTGGGCCGGATTTGTTATAGACAACATTCTGTTTATTTTCACATCTTCATTATGGTAGAAACAGAAATTTTCTCCAAATATGACTAATTTCTCCTCTTTGTTTCCTTTGCTGCCCTTCATTGTAGGTGTGGAGCAAGACTGGTTGAGGTGCAGGATGGAATAAAGCAGGAGGAAAGAGTCAACAAGTTCAATATTCTTTCTACATTTTGGAGTTATAGTTCCCACTCAGTAAGTGGGAAGTATAATTGTTCAACCCAAGTGCAGGAATTGATACATTTTAACTGCTGAAAATTTTGGATGCTTGTGCTTTTTCACCATTATTATTTGCAAATTCAGTTATGATTGCAGATTCATAAGATTCTTCAAATTTTCATGAGGATGTTTATGTAAGTATACTTTAATACAAATTTGAACTTTAGTTTAAAAGTTTTTTCGCATCTCTTTTGTCATTAAAGTTATTGGATTTTCCTGTGAGACTATCTAGAAAGACATGCAATTATCTTCCACTTTAAATGTATAATATAAATACCTATAATTAATCTATTAGTTATAATATATAGACTGACTATAAACGTAGAGTATTTGAATTTTTTAATACCTCATTTGTGAGCTAGTTTTATGGGTCAGTGTGAAACAACAGGTTTGTGGCCCCATTTTACAACTTGCTACATCATACCATAACCAATATTCCCAATAAAACAATTAATCAATATTCTGTTCTTGTCAACATCTAGACTAAAACATTTCAGCATGATGATGCACTCTCTCCTACTATTTGACATTGATCATAAATCACAACTCTTGAGTATAATCACTCAATCCATTAGGAAGGGAACCAATTGAACACTTACTCAACTCAAAATGGCTTAATTTTATCTATAAATATATTTCTTTAGGGTATCATTTTAATACCCTCTTTTAGAAGATGATCTGATTTAATATTAGGCTTATCCCTTCATGGTTGGTAGATTTACCTCTACCCTAGGGATTTGTCATTATTTATGATTTCTTAAAGCTAATCAGCTTTGAAAACTTCTTAAAAACTTCCCATGATATCTCAGAATCTCATTTTCTGATTTGGGCAATTTGAGCACATTAAAAGAGCCAGGAAGCTGGAGGAATTGGGGGGTATGTGTCAGACACTTTGCTAAGAACTTTATACCATGTTGTTTAACTTTTATAATGCCCAGAGTGGTGTTGTGTTTCCCAGAGGAAGAAGCTACAGATCCATGTTTCAGTGATCTGTATAAAGTAATATTGGTAGGAAGGACTAAACGTGTGGCTATCTGTCTCATCCAAGCCTGTGCTTTAACATTGAAGTAATTAGCCTTTTATGCTGGAAATCAGTTCTCTCTTTCTATGTCTGAGATCTCTCTCTGTCTTTGTCTATGTCTCTCTCTCTGTCTATATATATATATATATATATATATACACACACACACATATATATGCACATATATGCATATATATCTTTTTAGTCAGCTGAGTTGAGAAAGAGCATAAATTTTACTTTTTATTATTTATTAATACAACATCACTGGCCTCAAGGATTTAAACTAAGCAATCTCTTGTATGATTTGGCAAGAGGAAAACATATCCAATTTTTAAAAAATAAGTTTATTTTTAAATAAATTTTAAAATGGGAAGGACATACATATCTCTCCCATATCTATTTATTTTTGTTTGTTTTTCATTAGTGTTTTTCTCACATCTTGATTTAATCTGGGCATCAATCTTCCAGGCACAACTCACAGATCTAAGACATGTTTTTATGTTTGTTCTCTGCTATAGTCTTGTCCTTTTGTCTAAGCTAGCTCTCTCTTATCCAAGCTCATTTCAAGGTCCTCATACATTGACATTATTGTTTTCAATTAATTTAATTATATTTAAAAGAGATTAGGCCGGGTGTGGTGGCTCATGCCTGTAATCCCAGCACTTTGAAAGGCCAATGTGGGCTCATCAATTGAGGTCAGGAGTTTGAGACAGCCTGGCCAACATGGTGAAACCCCGTCTCTACTAAAAATACAAAAATTAGCCGGGCATGATGGCCCACCCCTGTAACCCCAGCTACTCCAGAGGTTGAGGCGAGAGAATTGCTTAAACCCAGGAGGCGGAGATTGCAGTGAGCCAAGATCCTGCCACTGCACTCCAGCCCGGGCGATAGAGCGAGGCTCCTTCTCAAAAACAAAACAAAACAAAACAAAACAAAACAAAACAAAACAAAACAAAAAAACAAATTAACTGTTCAGTTGATATTCAATAAACTACACATATTTAAACTGCAAGTTTCATAAGTTTTGATACACATAAGCACCTGCAAAACCATCACTGCACTTAAGATAATGAACCTCAAACTTTTCCTCATTCCGCTTTGTAATTCATCCCTCCCACAGTTTCCTCTCTCTGTATCCCAGGCAATGGCTGATATGTTTCCTGTCACTATAAATTAATTTTCATTTTCTAGAATTTTATACAAATAGTATTATAAAATGTGTACTTTTTGGTTTTGTTTTTTATACCCAGCATTATAATTTTGAAATGCATTCATTTTATCATATGTATCAATAGTTCATTTATTTTTACAATTATCATTTCATCGTATGAATATACCACAACTTTTTTATCCATTTACTGTTAATGGACATTTGTATTGTTGCCCATTTTGGGGCTGATGCAAATAAAGCCTCTATGATTACTCATATCTGAGTTGCATGGCCATATGCTTTTATTTTTTTTGACTCAATATCTAGGAGTAGAATTGCTAGGCCATATAGTAGACGGATATTTTAATTTTTAAGAAACAGACAAGCTGTTTCCAAATAAGTTATACCCCTTTACGTTCTGCCAGTAGTGCATAAGAGCTTTGGTTTTTCTACATCTTAGCCACTTGGCTATCTTTATATGTGTTTATTTGCCATCCATGTATCGTCTTTTATCATGTAAAATTAACTGCTCTTTTGCATATTTTCAAAAATTCGGATATTTTCTTTTTAAGTTTTGAGAATTATTTATTTACTTTTGATACAAGTCCATTATTAGATATATAAATTACAAACATTTTCTCTGTTTGTGGCTAATCTTTTGATTGTCATTACTTTTTGAAGAAAACTTCCATAGCCTGGAAACTCTCTCACAGAAGTGAGCTGGGACAATTGTAGGGCTCACCTCATTTAGTTGCTCTCTCTTAGGCATGTCCTTGTGCCTAATAGCCAGCATCTTGGAAACCAGTATTTCATATACTTTGTCTGCTCCTTTGGTTGGTTCAGTTGGAAGGTTAAATCAAGTGCCTGTATCTCCTTCTTGGGTGAAAGTGGGAGTTTTTAGAGATTTCTTTCTTTTCTACTTCATTAGGAGGATTGACAAGTACATTTTCAGAATTTAATCTCTGTGAAGCACCTAATACTTTGCAATGTGTCATTCTTTTTAGTTTTGATTTTTTTTTTTTAATTTTACCCAGTTGAAACCTCACCTCTAACTTTGAGCAAGACCAGAAGTCCAAAGTCACATTATGATCCAGGTGATATTTTTCTCTCTTCCCAATAACCACAAAGCACCTTAAGTGTATTGCTCAAATTCTGAAGGATTTGACACAATTGGCCTCTCCTAAAATGATATATTTTTCTCTATCTGTGTCTAAGACTCTGAATAATTCAGACTTTTTAAAAAAATCAGACTTCTCTTTTTACAAAAATCTCTTCCTAAGTTTATTTCATTAAGACCATCTGTATTAGTCTGTTCTCACCCTGCTATAAATACACACCTGAAACTGGGTAATTTATAGAGAAGACAGGTTTAATTGGCTCACGGTTCCACAGGAGATTTAGGAGGCATGGCTGAGGAGGCCTCAAGTAACTTACAATCATGGTGGAAGGTGAAGGGGAAGCAAAAACAATCTTCATATGGTGCATCAGGAGAGAGAGCGAAGGGAGAAGTGCTACACACTTTCCAACAACGAGATCGCATGAGAACTCACTCATTATCATGAGAACAACAAGGGGGAAATCTGCCCCCATGATCGAATCACCTCCCACCAGGCCCATTCTCCAATATTGAAAATCACAATTCAACATGAGATCTGGGTGGGGACACGGAGCCAAACCATATCACCATTTCTATGTAGATACTCTGAAACTATTTCTCTCCATTTCCTCTCTTCCCTGAGAATTGGATTTGGATATCCAAATGCCAATTCAACGTCTCCATTTTGCTATCTAATAGACATTTCAATTCAATCAAAATACTTCACCCTCAGCACTGCTCTTTTCTCTCATCCTCTGCGCCATCAATCAGCAAAACTTTGGGGCTTCACCTTGAAAATAAATCAACAATCTGACCATTTCTCTCTTTCTCACGAAGTCCAATTTTATCCTAAGCCACCACCAACTCTCACCAGTTACTGTAACTACTTCCCTACTTGCCTTTCTTTTTCTATCTTTACCCACCCTTGTACTTATACAATAGCCTTTTGGCTTTCACTTTTGCCCTGTGTAGTACATTTGACTCATAGTAGCCAAAGTTTCCATTCAAAACATAAGATCGCATAGCTGATTTGATTATGGTATTTAATAGCTTCTTGTTACACATTCTTGGATAGAATTCAACAGCCTTACTTGGCTCATAAGACTGTGCTTGTTCTGGACTGCCTCCTTCTCTAACTTGCTCAGTAATCTATAGCCTTACAAGCCCTTTTCTTTCTGATCAATGAGCCGAGCTCTTTCTTTTCTCAGTAAGTTGGTGTGAGCTGATTTCTGCTCTTCCTCCCTGTGTTCCCAAGGCTTCCCCATTCTTGCCATTTAACTCTTTATTCATGTCACTTCCTTAAAGAGACTATCCTGATTCCTTTAGCTAAAGTAGACCCACTCACACTGCAAGCCTGGCATCCACTACTCTCTTGCCTGCTTTGATTTTCCTTCTAGCACCTAGCACTATTTAAAATTATCTCAACTATGATTATTTATGTCTTTATTGACTGTTCCCCCCAAAAAATGAGGAAAAATCTTTCTCTTTTTTCTTTGCATAGCGAGTGCTTAAAATATTGCCTGACTCAATAAACATTGTCAACTAGAATAATGAATGCATAATATTTTCTTACTTTCTTTAATCTATTTACTAAATTCTAAAGTATGTCATTGATCATCATTATACTTCTCACTTTACTACTCTTTGGAGACATGCCTCCTTCCTCCTGGTGTTTGTCATTTTCGTTTCCTTCCAATGTTTTGATAAGGGGTAAATTTATTGCAAAGATATCTCTAATTCTCGACCCTATTGTCCAAATCTGCCCTTTTCCATCTGGCTTTGTAGTTCCTTCCACCACGATATAGTTTTTGTTTCCCTGTGCTTTTAATCTGATCTGAAATTATATGGTTTTGGCCAACAGAAGGCAGCAGAAGTGACACTGCCGGTTCTGAGCAAAAGAATAAAGATGCCTTGTGTGCTTTCACTCTTCCTGTCTCAAATTTTGTCCTTGCCATGTAAGCAGGACTGGACTAGCCTGCTGGAAGATGAGAAATCCAAGAGAGAATCTAGTTCTTCAGCTGAGCCACCTTGAGCCAGCCCAGAACCAGCTGACTGCCAGACAAATATATTCATTCAAAATTAAGAGAAATGCTTAACTGACCCACAAATGATGACAGATAAATGAATGAGCCAACTAACGATGCCCAGAAAAATCACCCATCCCACCCATAGATTTGTAAGCACTAAGTAATGCTTATTGTTTTACACCATTGAGTTTTGGGGAGGTGTGTTACTTAGCAATAGCTAATTGATACATTCTTGTTTTCACTTCTTCCTTCTTGGTAAAATTAAGAGTCAAACAGTAATTCATCTATAAGCAGGTTGGTGGATTTCTATATAAGGTTATACTTTTTGAATGTACAAGTTTTTAACAAATTGTACATAGTTATGTATGATTACCATGCCTTGTGTAGTTTCTTCATACATTTCATGGTAGTAGGAACTGACATATTGTTCACCGCTTGTAACATTAAGGATATTTGACAATTTTTGTAAAAGGAACCAACAAATGTAACTAATAGATATGTGTTCATAGGCCTCTCCTTAATTATTTTTACGAATAACCATTCATATTTTAATGGCATATGTGATGCTTTTCAGTGCGTGTAATTTGAAATTTTTTACTGTCTGAATTTACTTATTTTAAAATGTTTATTAGCTACATTTTTTATATCAGGCACGGGGATTAGCACTGGGTTTCATCAGTGAACAATACAAACAGAGTTCCAGCCCTCAGGAAATTTAGAGTGGATTACAGAAAATAGGTTTATAGTAGGTTATAACAGATAGATTTTAAATATATGTGAAGAGAGTTATTGTAAGAACACATATCTCTTTATTTTCCTGCATGATTTTTTCCCTTATGGTATGCTATTGCATGTATTAATTTAAAAAAAATTCTATTGTTTTCTAAACACAATGGTTGGTAGTACTTTTAGATTATCCTCTTTTATTCACCTCAGTTTTATATTCCAGTATGATATATCCTTCTGCCCTTTTGTTCACAAATTTAACTTTACCACCAAAAAAGAAAAAAAAAAGCTTATGCTGAACTGTGTGCTAAATGCTGTCAGACTATGCTGGCAGATAAACTGGCCTTTCCCCTAAATAATAAATGCCCAATTTTCATCATATGCATGTATTATTTCTGCCTTGAGCCACCTTGAGGTGCAACCAAGAATTCCAGAAAAGACAAGGTGGAGTAATCTCAGACAATGTGATCACGAAATATCCTGCCTATGTGTGAGTGTTCTGGGGAGAAGGCTGGAGATGGCAAGTGGGAATGCCTTTCCTACCCACAGTCTTTTTCCAGCATCTGGGCCGAGACAGCAGTTTTATTTCTTCCCATTAGAGAATTTCACTGACCAACTCTGGCAAACCCTGGTGCTCTGGAGCTGCTAAGAAGGGAACATTATTAATTATTGCTAGTGCCACAAGGGAATACTGTTATAGAGAAAGAATCTGGAAGGAGAAGCTGAATAAGGATAACTTGGGAACACAGCGATGACTGAAATCCTTTTTGACCTTGACATTCAGAGCAGAAAAATCCTCCTAAACTCAGTTTGACTCAATTGTTGAGAATTCCAAGGTGACTTCTCTTCTAACAGTGCATCTGGCTTTAATCTCAGGGAAAGTAAAATGAGCACAAATCCTTTTCTTATTGTCTTGAAATCCTACTGATACATTGGCATTTATCAAAAGTGGATTGGAACTTCCTTTATTTAAGAAATGAGAGGAAATATCATGGTGTGGGGCTTTCCTATACACTTAGAAATCTATGTGCTTTATTAAAAAAATCAAGGACCTGATGTTAGAATTGGTCTCTTTTCTTATAAAGTAACTTCTACCTAGGTCCACTTGCATGGGCTGCCCTATTACCTCAATAGTAATTTTTATAAGCTCATAGTTCTTGCTTTAACATGTAGATAAAAGCAGTGTAAAGTTTTTTTGTTGTTATTGTTGTTGAGGGATCTTAATTTGGAGTTACAGAATTAAGATAAGTTCTACATTCCAGGATATTTATGGGATAAAAATGCAATGGTTGCTTTTTTAATAATAACTTCCCCTTACTTCACCTTTGATTTCTATCCAAATGTAATTTATTTTCCTTCCTTCCTTCCTACCTTCCTTCCATTCTTCCTGCCTTTCTTTCTCTCTTCTTTCTTTTTTTCTTCTTCTTTCTTTCTTTCATTCTTAATTTCTTTCTTTCTTTCTTTCTTTCTTCTCTTCTCTTCTCCTCTGGCTCTCTTTCTTTCTTAGTATACATCAAACTCTGTGCTAAGTATCAGCAGAGTCAACTAATTAGACCTAGGTGTTGTCTGCATTCTTTTGTAGTTGACAATTTTGTGAGAAATTTAGGTTTATCAGGCCTAGTGATTCCTATCAAATCATACTGCACAAGGATCTACTATTTATGCTGATGACTAGTTATGTCGAAGACACTACAACAAAATAGGGGAAGCAATGACTAGCTTATTGTAAAGAGGAAATTTTGTGAAAAAATAGTTTTTTGTATGTCTTTTTGGATTTTAAATTTTTCAAGTTGATTTCTCATGCGCTTTCTTTTATCAACCCAGCAGTGCTCTGAATAGCCGGGATCTTCTGATAAATTTGCATTGCCATTACAGCTAAGCTGGATCTACCTTTCCCAGATTTTCCTTCCGTGTGTATTTCTGGATTAGCATGGAACCTGGGCAGTAGCCATCTTCCTTTAACCATCAGAAGGCTTGTGCAGAAACTCCAGTACTGTTTCAGAACATAAAAGTCCCTAATCTGTTGGCCCACCTTGCTGGTATGGGGAAAAAACCAGGTCCACTGCTCTGTCAACGTCTGCCAGATCCTGTTTTATCTTTTCTGCCTCCTAGGTCCAGTAAATATTTAGATCCATGAAAAAGGGCACCAGTTTCTCCTGCAAGTAACCAGCATCATCAAACTTGAAGACTTGGAGGTTGCAGTGAGATGTCAACTTAGGGTTTACTGTATCTTGTGGCTCTCGATTTGTTCTTACTTTCCCTTATTTTATATTTTTGCTTAAGTGCTGACATCAGGCCCCAGAATCACAGGCACAAGCATCACGCTCACATAGACTGTTGAACTTTCACAATTGCAAAGCTGAATTTGTATACTAAACTCGTCACTCTGTAACAATCATAGTAGCTCTGCTTCTCTGACTGAACCTTAACCTACAGAGATAGAATAGACCCCCCCCCTTATATTTCAGGAATGCATTTCAAGATCTAAAGTGGATAATGAAACTGTAAATATTACCCTAACCTATATACACTATGTTTTTTTCTTATTAAGTTGAGAATTTTTATGTTTTCATTTAAATGAAGTACTTCATACTTTCTCTTTGGCATGTTGAAATTGCCAGCATCACTACTCTTTTACCTTGGAGTCATTAGTAAGCAAAATAATGGTAACTTGAAAACAAGTACTGAAATAATATGACAGTCAATCTGTTAACCAAGATGGCTATTAAATGATTAGTGGGAGGGTAACTATTAAGTGACTAAGGAGGAGGAAGTATCTATAGTGTGGATATGCTGGACAGAGGAGTGATTCACTTTCTGAGAGAGAAGGAACAAGAAAGCATTAGATTTCATGCTACTCAAAATGGTGTGCAATTTAAAACTTATGAATTATTTATTTCCGGAATTTTTTATTTTATATTTTTGGCCAGCAATTGACTGAAGGTAACTGAAACTATAGTAAGCAAAGCCACAGATAAGGAGTGAACTACTAAATTATTAGGCTACGTTTACAGATGAGGAAATGGAGTCTCAGGGAAAATTACATAGGTGGTAAATGACAGACACAGACATAACCCAGGTTGATATAAATCCACCCACTGTAATAATTTAATGAATTAAGAGATTGGAGTGGGATGGAATAGACTGAGAAATTTGCTGTAGGTGTTGAAGTCATTACCTGTGCTCCAAAAAGTAGAATGAGAGGTCATTTACATAAAGAAGAAGAATTGGATCATGAATCAAGTTCATGGTTTAGAGCTTCCATGTTTCATATATCTGGAAAATTGTCTTTTCTTCTCTTTGACTGCTGTTACCATTCTTGCTTTCCGATAACCATATTGTTGAAGTTACATCTAGCATCTAGCAGGTCTTTCATTTCCACTGCCTACCAGCAAATCTTTGTTGTATTATCTTCTTAGAAACTGCTCCACCCTCTATACTTACTTTTGGCTTAGATCCATGATTGTTAAATGTATAGGTTATCTTAATTTTAGATCACCACTTTGGACATAACATTCAAGATTAGATAATTTTATTAGATAAGCAAAACTAAGACATTCACTATACAATTCTTGTATTGAATGTTGGTAGGCAGACTTTCTAATGGAACATCTCATCCTTATTTCAAGTAGATCACATAGAGACAAAAGAAGATTCATTAAAGAAGACAAAAAAGAAAAGTGAATCTTCTTTAAAGTTAGAGCCTTGACTTTTCAATGTATTTCCTGTTAAATTTTATCTCATATCATTGGCATTAGATAATAAATGATTCAAAACACATTATTACAGTTTGACATAAAATTTAGGATTGCTGCTTTAATTTTTCACCTTATACTATTTTTAAAGTAAATATTATAAATATTAAAAAGTACTGAACAATAACCACTGTCTCTCACAAGAAAAAAAAATTACCAAATGTATTATTCAGAGTTTGGTAATGTAATTTTATAATGAGTAACCTCTTACCTTAATTATAGAACAGAAATGTATGGAATACAAATTTAATATTGAGAGGAATGTTCTTTTGGTTGGACAATATGCCTTTCTGAAAACAAATTTTATGATGAGCAAATGATTGGCATTTGAAGGACAACTAGATGTAAGATCTGCACTCATTCACTTGACAAACATTTGCCATCATGTTTTGTATTGGGAATGTTCTAGGTCCTGGGCATATAGTGATAGGTCTTAAGTGGTCCCTTTTCCTTGCCCATAAAATAGGAGAGGACCAACAAAACACCTGTGTTATGCAGTGTATACAGATTTTGATTTGAGATACACACAGAAAAAGTGAAGACCCCAAAGAAAGTCCAATCTACACCCTTCAAATGGGCTGAGGAAGGTAAATGGGGATAAATTTGTGCTGGATCTTGAAGTATAAAGTCTAATCTGTGCTTTAGGTCAAGTGGGATTACATCAAGAGAGAAGTCAGTCTACAAAACAAAAGAGAGATAACTGGAAGTCATTCAGTGTGCTTAGAACAGAGGAGTGCATAAGGAAGAAAATCAGAATGTGATTTAAAGAAGTGGGTAAGAGCAAAAACGTGATTTATTTTTTGTTTGTTTGTTTGTTTATTTATTTATTTATTGAGACGGAGTATCGCTCTGTCGCCCAGGCTGGAGTGCAGTGACGCGATCTTGGCTCACTGCAACCTCCGCCTCCCAGGTTCAAGCCATTCCCCTGCCTCAGCCTCCTGATTAGCTGGAACTATAGTCACACGCCACCAAACCTAGCTAATTTTTGTATTTTTAGTAGAGACGGAGTTTCACCAAGTTGGCCGGGCTGGTCCTCAAGTGCTCCACCCACCTCAGCCTCCCAAAGTGCTAGGATTATAGGCGTGAGACACCACACCAGAAAGATTTATTTTTTAAAGTAGCCACTTTACAGTACTGTATTAGAAAGGGAAGTGGTAGAAGAGCAGTCTATCTGATTCTCAAATTAATAAGATTCTTTTCTTAATTTTATTTTTATTGAATACCAGAATGTATCACTAAAAATGATTGCAGTATATTCTCATGAAATACATTTTGTTTCTTGAAAAGAACAAAATCATCATCCTCATTTTTTAATTCAAAACATCAGATTCACTTTGTCTTTTGATTCACTTTGTCTTGAACCTAAGATCCTAATTTCAAAAAGAGTGATACATTTCCAATATTTAAGAAATTATTATGCTTTTATAAGCAGATTCCTAGCCTCAGTCTCCTCAGAATCTAATGCCAAAAGTATTATGGTGGCATATGAATTCTAATAGTGGGAGGTGGTTCCTGAACTGCACACTTGGCAAGATATTCCTGGTGAATAAGAGCTCATATTCCTAGTTATTGCCACAAGCCAGTGCTAACTGAGATCGAAGTTACATGAAACAGATCAGAGGGGAGTTGGAACATCCATCAAAAAAGAAGAAAATGAGGCCCATATCTCAAAGGACTCTACCATTCTGGTGGTATGGGTTGTAGGGAAGCATACTAAATAGTAAGGGTCTCTGGTGCACATTGCTAATTGCAAAAAAGAAAAAAAAAGTTTTACAATCCATTCCATGTCAGTGGCAGTAGAGTAAGTGCACAGTACCTCATTTCTGATTCATTTTTCATCAGTGAGGATTTAGGCAACAGACACAGCATGTATCTCTTCAAATGTAAGTGCTAATGCATACTTCCCTGCACCCCAACACACACACACACACACACACACACTCCCTCACAACAATGAACCACAATCTATATGAATTATGCAATTTTGATGGTAGAAATGACAGTACAATAGCATTTAAACCTTTGCCAAAATACCTGTGGTTAGAAACAAGAACGTCTTTTAAGAAACCAAATGTGCCTTTCAGATAGTCTCTAAGTATCCTAGCTTTTTTGCTCTATTACAAGCCAGAGAGAGAGAGAGAGAAAGAGAGTTTCCCCACTCCCCCCCACAACTTTTCTGTTTGACCTTGTATAGTTGCTGAAGTTAAACGGAGCACAGGTTGGAAACATCCATTGTTCTCATCCCAGCTGCTCTGAGCTCATAGAGCACATTGTCAGTGAAATGGAAAAGAAATTAGCAACTCATTTTGTGCAAAGTGAACTTTCTTTTTCTGTCTTACTCATGCTTGATAGGCACACTCACTTTGATAAATCAGTTCTTATGCCTTATTGCCATGCAAGAACTGGAAGTAAGAAATGTCAACAGCACTGCTTCTCTTAGAACTAATAAAGTTTTTTCACTGCCAAGAGAGTAGTTAACTTTTACTCAGATATCTTTTTGCAGGGATCAGGTTGAGACAGCAATTAGGGTGATAATGGAGGACATATCACTCAAATGTCCCAAACAACTAGGCATTGAAAGAGTTACGTCCTATATATGATAACAGTGACTGTGATAATGGGCTTATTCTGTATGCTATTGGGAGCAGGCTATACCTCATTGCACACTTCCAGACTGTTTTCACACAGAGTTGAATTAGCAGTTAAGAATGGGTTCAAATGGATTCAAAGAATTAGTCATTTTTGAGACCTTTATCAGGAACTTAACTTGGTTGTGCTTTCTGCCAGCCCCCAAAAAAGAAAGAAAGTCAGCGGGAGCTGGCTGAATGTGCAGATATGGCATCATTGGAGCATCTAGAGATGAAGGCAGACTCAGTATGTGCTGAGTAGCCAGCAGTTCCAGGACAGTAAAGGCTGTTTTAAGGTCATAGAAATCACTGTCAGAATTCAGTACCTTGGCAATAGCAAATATTCAGGGAAAACTGGTGCTCAAAAAAGACTGAAGGTCAGCATTTCTAAGAAAAAAAATGTTTTAAGTGAGTATGTTTCTTTATAAATTTGCACTTCATGAGCAATGCCTTGGAAAAGGTGACCTCCGCTGTCAATTCTATATAAGGCCACTATTCTTAATCACTCTCTTCTGTGTCTCAAAGTACACAGCCTTTAATTGATAAGAAAAGATAAGTTTCATGCAGGTATGCCAAAATCTGTTTGGGGCTCATTGGCAAGAAAGTCAGTGTTTGAGAGTGAAATTAACGGTGCATTAGTTTGGATGGCTCCAGAACCTGAGAGAGTTGGGTATCATTTATATTATTTCTGCTTTATTGTATGTCAGTTGGGGTAAACTTGTATAAGAGTTCATTCATCATCAAAAACATCATAACTATCATTTGTATCCATTAAAATTGCATTTAGATGCATTTAAGAGAGACCCAAATAGAAAATATAGAGATAGTTCTTAACACTATGTCACCTCAGATCCAAGCTCCTTATACTTTTATACCCTACATTCCTTACCACTCAGTTTTTTCCTATTTTCAGACTCACAAGATAATTGAAGGTGTCCCAGCCCTCAGCTTCAGATTTTAGCCAGAAAGCAGGAAAAATAGGAAACAATGAGATTTATATATACTTTTAAAGCACATAAATTGACGTTTACAGCTTCTGATTGTATCTTATTAGCCATAATTTTGTCACATTTATCAATAAAGGAGGTGAGGAAGTGCAATCTTTTTATGAGGGCACATAGCTACTTCAATAAAATAAGGATTCTTGACAGATTGGTGGTTGATTAATCAAGTCACAGCTTTTGTCATATTATGCATTAAAAAATGAGTAAGCCTTAAACCAAAAAAAATGTATTTCTTGCTAAGAACTTATAATCTCACAAAGTGTTAACAGTCTTATAGAGTGTTGATGGAAATATTCACTACAGTAAACAAGGAAGTATAGAAAAACGTATGTAATGTAAATAAAAACATAACATATCAGCAACAAGGCTGACATTGAATAATAGTTTATATTCTAGTGCCTAGAATATTTCTCAGCACACAGTAAGTGATAAATATTTATTGAATAGTTATATTACAACAAGTATTTATATATTAACTCTTTGTAGAATACTTACAAAATGCCAGTAGTAATGCTGAGGACTTATTTTTTAAACTGTCAGATCAGTGGTGACATTAGTCTCTCATGGGAGGGCAAACTATTGTGAACTGTACATGCAAGGGATCTAGGTTACATACTCCTTATGAGAATCTAATACCTGATGGTCTGTCACTGTCTCCCATCACCCCCAGATGAGATCACCTAGTTGCAGGACAACAAACTCAGGGCTTCCACTGATTCTACATTACAGTGAGTTGTATAATAATTTCATTATATATTATAATGGAATAATAATAGAAATAAAGTGCACAATACACAATAAATGTAATGAACTTGAATCATCCCAAAACCATTCCCCTCACTCTGGTCCATAGAAAAATTGTCTTCCACTAAACAGATCCATGGTGCCACAAAGGTTGGGGCCCTTGGTCTATCAGATTCATTTGGTCCAAAGTTGAGTTCAGGTCCTGAATATCTTTGTTAATTTCCTGCCTTGATGATCTGTCTAATACTGTTAGTAGAATGTTGACCTCTCTCATTATTATTGTGTGGGAGTCTATGTCTCTTTGTAGGTCTTTACGAACTTGCTTTATGAATCTAGGTGCTCCTGTGTTGGGTGCATATATATTTAGAATAGTTATGTCTTCTTGTCGAATTGAACTCTTTACCACTATGTGATGCCCTTCATTGTCTTTTCTAATTTTTGTTGATTTTGAAGTCAGTTTTTTCTGAAATTAGTATTGCAACCTCTGCTTTCTGCTGTATTCCATTTGCTTGGTAGATTTTCCTTCATCCCTTTATTTTGAGCCTATACGTGTCATTACATGTGAGATAAGTCTCTTGAAGACAGCATACCATTGATTCTTGCTTTTTATTCAGCTTGCCACTTTGTGCATTTTAAGTGGGGGCAGTTAGCCTGTCTACATTAAAGGTTAGTATTGATATGTGTGGATTTGATTCTGTCATTGTGTTGTTTTAGCTGGTTTTTATGTTGGCTTGCTTGTGTGGTTGCTTTATAGTGACAAGGGTCTGTGTGTTTAAGTGTGTTGTTTTATTGTCTGGTAGCAGTCTTTCTTTTCTATATTTAGTACTCCTTTCAAGATCTTTTGTAAGGCAGGTCTGGTGGTAACAAAATGTCAAAATTTGCTTACCTGAAAAGGATCTAATTTCTCCTTCACCTAGGGAGTTCAGTTTGGCTGATATGAAATTCTTGCTTAAAGATTTTTTTTAAGAATGTTGAATATAGATGACTAATCTCTTCTGATGTGTAGGGTTTTAGCTGAGAGTTCCACAGTTAGCTTGATGGGGTCCCTTTTTAGGTCATCTGCCCTTTCTTTCTAGCTGCCTTTAACATTCTTTCTTTCATTTTGATCTTGAAAAATCTGAAAATTATGTGTCTTGGGAATGATCATTTTGTGCAGAATCTGGCAGAAGTTCTCTGTATTTCCTGAATTTGACTATTGGCCTCTCTAGCAAGTTTGGGGAAGTTTTCATGGATGATATCCTGAAATATGTTTTCCAAGATGTTTGCTTTCTCTTCCTCTTTTCAGTGATGCCAGTGATTTGTAGATTTGGGCTTTTTACATGATCCCATATGGCTCAGAGGTTTTGTTCATTCCTTTTTATTTTTTTTTTTTGCTTTATTTTTTGTCTGACTGCCTTATTTCAGAGAATCAATCATCAACTTCTGAGATTCTTTCTTCAGCTTGGCTTAGTCTGCTGTTAATACTTGTGATTGCATTGTGAAAACTTCAATTTTGTTGTTTAGCTCTGTCAGACCCATTAGGTTCTTTTTGATACTGGTTATTTTGTCCTTCAGCTCCTGTATTGCTTTATTATAATTCTTAGTTTCCCTGGATTGGATTTTGCCATCCTCCAGAATCTTGATGATCTTCATTCCAATCCATATTCTGAATTATATTTTTGTCATTTCAACCAGTTCAGCCTGGTAAAGGACTCTTGTTGGAGTACTGGTGTGGTTGTTTGGAGGACATATGACACTCTGGCCTTTTGAATTATCAAAGTTCTTGCATTGATTCTTTCTCATCTCTGTGTGGGGATGTTCCTTTAAGAAATGTAGATTGGATACAGTCAGTAGACTTCTTTTCTGGATATTTTCACTGGACTGAGGGTTTGTGCAGGGTATTTGGAGCTGACTTCCTGTCTCTGGTTTCACAGGGGTTATATTAGCAAGGTGTTTTGGGTGTTGAAGCTTTGAGATGTGATCCAGTAGGTGGCACTTAGGCTTATTGGTCAGTTGGTAGGCTCTTGCTTGACTGCGTGGCTCCCCTACGTTTCCTCATAGTTGCAGCTGTGTTCCCTCTCAATGCTCTGAATTTATGGGTTTGTCCCTTCCTTGAGTTGCTGGCCATATATCATAGCTTGGCACTCCTGGGCTGCCCACTGCAGCTCTGGGGCAATCTCTGTGTTTATGTTCTTTCCCCAACTTAGAGGCAGCTGAGGTAGGGACCTTAGTAGTGGCTGTGGCTAATGTTTTTTTTGTTTGTCTCCTGGGGGCTCCATCCCAGAGAGATGTAGGTCAGCAATCACTCAGTGTAATGAGCTGAGGATAGAGGGTCTGTGCTGTGGACTCAAGCCTAGGATCCTCTGTCTGGCAAAGTTCAGTGTGAAGTCTGTGAGACCCATGAGAGACAGACTGGCTCCCTTTCCTTGGGTCCACTGCAGCTAGTTTGAAGGCTTAGTTGGGAAGTCCTGCTCAGTGAGGAGGAAGAGGATTAGGGAACTGCTTTTTATAAAAGCAGTCTCGCCATGTTTTTGTAGAGCAGTTGTGCTATGCTGGAGGATCCCTTCTGCTCCCAGTCAGCTTGGACTCTCCAAAGCCCAAAGGCTGGATTGGCTAAGTCACCCAAACAGCAAAGATGGTGGCCCTTCCCTCCCACTGGGATTTCCATCTCAGGGAGGTGCTATACCACTACTGGTGGCTGGCTGGAATTTCAGGCTAGTGGGTCTTATCCTGTGAGGTGCTCTGGAATTGCCCATCAATCATTGAGTGGATAAAGAAACTGTGGCATATTTATATAATGGAACACTACTCAGTCATAAAAAGGAATGAATTAATGGCATTTGTAGTGACCTGGATGAGATTGGAGAATATTATTCTAGGTGAAGTAACTCAGGAATTAAAAACCAAACATCATATGTTCTCACTGATGTGTGGGAGCTAAGCTATGAGGATTCCTAGGCATAAGAATGATACAATGGACTTTGGACACTTTGAGGGGAAGAGTTGTGGGGGGTAGGGATACAATAATACAAATATGGTGCAGTGTACACTGCTCAGGTGATGGGTGCACTGAAATCTCACAAATCACCTCTAAAGAACTTATTCATGTAACCGAATATCACCTGTACCCCAATAATTTATGGAAAAATTAGAAAGTAATATAAAAATAACAAATATGGTACCTGAAAAGGTACAACATATTGATAAGAGAATGGATAGTGTTCTCACCCCCTAAGTATGTGAGGTATCACACACAAAATACTTGACTTTCCCATTTCATAATATCAAGACATCATGTTGTATGCCATAAATATATATAATTTCTATCAATTAAAATATAATTTTATTTAAAAAAGAAAACCAAATCCATCTTTTGGGGGAACAAACCACATCAGAATTCTCTATTTCCAACTCTTCATGATCCCTTACAGTCAATTCTCTTACCCTTTCTTTATTCCTGTCCCAAACATACAGAATCAAAAGAGAGACAATTTTGGGAGAAATCTAAGCTCTTGAAAAAAAAAATATATATAAATAAAAATTGAAAAAACATCTAAATAGACATATCTAAAAAGAAGACATATAAACAGACAACAAATACATTAAAAATGCCCAACATCAGTAATCACCACAACATCACTGTGGTGTTGAAGTGCAAATCAACACCATGATGTGATATCATCTAACCCAATTAGAATGACTATGATGAAAATGATACAAAAAAACAATTTCTGGTAAGAATGCTGAGAAAAAGTAACTCTTATACACTGTTGGTAGGGATGTAAATTAGTAGAGCCATTATAGAAACATTATGAATGTTTCTAAAAAATTAAAAATAGATTTACCATGTGGCCCAGCAATTCTACTTTTGGGTATTTATCCAAAGAAAAGAAGATTATCATGTTGAAGAGATAGCTGCATCCCCATATTTACTTGCTGCTCTATTCACATTAGCTAAGATAAGAAATCAACCTAAATGTCCATCAACAGATAAATAGATAAAGAAAATGTAGCATAGATACACCCAATGAAATACTATTCCACCATGAAAAAGAATGAAATTCAGTAATTCACAGAAACATAGAAGAGCCTGGAGGACATTAAGTAAAATAAATCAGGCATAGAAACATAAATATCACGTGTTTTTACTCATATATGGGAGCTAATAAAAGAGAAGCTCATAGAAGTAGAAAGTTAATTGTAGTAATTAGGGGCTGGGAGTACAGGAAGAATACAGAAAGGAAGGATAGGGAGAGGTTGGTTAACAGATACAAAATTACAGTTTAATAGAAGGAATAAGTTCTAGTGTTCTATAGCACTGTAAGGTGAATATGGGTAACAACAATTTAGTATATATTTTCAAAAATCTAGAAGAAAGGATTTTAAATATTGACAACACAAAGAAATGCTAATTGTTTAAGGTGATGGGTGTGCTAACTTTCCTGATTTGATCATTACACACTGTGTACCGACATCAAAATATTACTCTGTATCTCATAAATATGTACAATTATTACATGTGAACCAAAAATAAAAGGAAAACCAAAAAGGGAGAGAAGGCAAAAAATTAAAATAAGTAACAAAAAAACTTTACAGAAATTAAAATTATATTTATTTATTTATTTATTTATTCATGACACTCTGTCACCCAGGCTGGAGTGCAATGGCATCATCATAGCTCACTGGAGGCTTGATCTCCTGGGCTCAAGAGATCCTCGCACCTCAACCTCCTAAGTAGCTGGGACTACAGGTATGCACCACCATGCCCAGATAATTTTTTTTTGTTTTTATTTTTAGTAGAGACAAGGCCTCACTTTATTTTCCCAGACTGGTCTTGAATCCCTGAACTCAAGTAATTCTCCTGCCTCCACCTCCCAAAGTGCTGGGATTATAGGTGTGAGTCACAATGCCGAGCCAAAGAATTTTAAAGAAATAACATGTAACAACCTTATGCCAACAAAGGCAACAATTCTGTGAAATTAACAATTTACTAGAGACACAGATTACAAAATTGACTCAATAAACATTAGACAATTTTGATGCATATGTAAGAAACAATTCCAACTACAGATTAAAAATCTTACAGAGAAAACCCAGACATAAATGCCTGGAGTACATTCAATCAAATATTTAAAGAAGAAATAATGTTCTTCTTTAAAAAATATTTTAAAAAGAAATAATATGTAGAAATATTTTTTTTTCCAGAAAGTAGAAAAGGTGAAAAATTTTCCAACACCTTCTAAAAGGTCAATTTTATAATGAACAAAATCCACACAAAACTCTTTAAAAAAGACAAATGTCTCTAATGCATATAGACACAAAAGACTTGAAGAAAATATTAGCAAATATATAAAATAGATTTATACACCATGATCAACATATAACATGACTAAATATAATTTAAATCAACCAGGAATTCAAGGTTGGCTCAATATCTTAAAATCGATTCATGTAATACATCACAGTAATAAACAAAAGGGAAATGAACACTTTATTACCTTAATAGATGCAGAAAATGTATTTGAAAAAAATCTGACATCCACTTATGATTAAAATCTCTCAAGAACTAGAAATATAAAGCAGCATCCTCAACTAATGCACACTTGCCTTTTCTATTTAACATTGTACTGGCTGTTTTTGCCAGGTCTAGAGAGTAATTAAGTAATTATAGATTCACAGGATGTTGTAAATTTAGTAAAGATGTACACAGCACCCAAAGGTAAAACATTACATATGTGTATTTAAACCCAGGAAATTTACATTGGCATAATCTGCAGACTTTATTTTAATTTTTCCAGTTGTACATGCATTCACCTGTGTGTACAGGTGCATGTATATGGCTCTAAGAAGATTTATTATATGTAAATTTTTATACCCATGACCACTGTCAAGACACAAACTGTTGCCCTCACCACAAAGGTCTCCATTGTGCTATTCCTTCATAGTCATGCTCTCACTTCACCCCTACTCCCAACCTTCCTTACTTCTTGCAACCACTCATCTGTTTTTCATTTCTGTTATTTTGTCATTTTAATAATTTTATATAAATAGAATTCTGCACTATGTAACTTTTTGAGATTGGCTTTTCCACCTGTTTAACTATTTTTTTAAAAGTACATTCCATTTTTTGAGTATATCAATCATCTGCTCATTTCTATTACTGTCTTATTTTATTATGTGGATGTAATACCATTTGTTTTAATTCACTCATTGACAATTGAGCTGTTTCTAATTTTTGGCTATTACAAATTAAGCAATAATTAACATTTATGAACAGGTTTTTGAGTGGATATAAGCAATAATTTCCCTGTGATGATGTCCAGAATACAATTGCTGGATCATATAATAAAAATGCTTATTGTGAACATGCCAAACTATCTTCCAAAGTAGTTGCACCTATGTTCGTTTCCACAAGCCACGTATGAGAAAACAATTTTTTGACATCCTCACCAGTTTTTAGTGTTGACATTTAAAAAATTAGCTGCCCTAATATGCACATAATAATTTCTTTTTATGATTTTAAGTTACATTTCCCTAATGGCTAATGATCTTGACCAACTTTTCATGTCCTTGCTTGTGATACGTATGTCCTGTTTGACAAGATGACTGTACATGTCTTTTGTCCATTTTCTGATTGGATTACATTTATAAAAAAGCTTACTGGGTTATGAAAGTCCTCTGTGTAGACTAGATATGAGTTATTTGTAAGATATGCAGTTTGCAAATATTTCTACCTATCTGAAGATTGATTCTTCATGTTCTAACAAAAGTGTTTGCAAAGCATTTTTAATTTTGAGGAAGTCCAATTTATTGTTACTTTCTATTGATCATGGTTTTTGTATAATGTCTAAGTACTCTTCAAATATCCCTAGGTCCCAACGATTTTTTCCTTTTTTTATTTTCTAAAAAATTATAATTTTATATTTACTTGGAAATCTGTTATCAACTTTGAGTTAAATTGGGCATAAAATGTGATGTTTAGGATGAGGTTCATTCTATCTATTTTATTCATGCATGTGGATATCTGATTGACCTAGCTCTTTTTAAGTGAAAAAATTATCCTTCCTCTAGAGTATTGTTTTTGTATCTTTCTCAAAAATCAGTTGGTGTTTTCAGTGGACAAATTTATGAGTTCTTTATTCTGCTTCATTGATCTTTGGGTCATCTTTCTAAGAAAATCACACTGTCTTACATACTGTAGCTACATTGAAAGTCTGAAATATCTAGCACAGTGATTCCTCCACTTTATTATTTTCTAAAAGTGTTTGGGTTATTCTAGCTCCCTTGCATTTTTTAGAATAATCTTGTTGATACAAAAATTTATGCTGAGATTTTCACAGGAATTATATTGAACCTATATAATAATTTGTGGAGAACTGTTATCTTTACACTTTGGTCTTCCAATTACTGTGCATTGCTATATTTATCTGATTTTTTAATCTGCATTTTGTAGTTTTCAGCATACAATTTCTGATCGTATTTTCTTAAATCTATACCGAAGTATTTGGTATTATTTCAAGTGATTGAAAGTTGAACTTTGTTCTTTTAGTTTGCCATACATTCATTGATACATATAAAATATATTTTACTATGGATATAAAATGTGTATCTACAAATTTATATATAATATAGAATATAGAACTTTATATATAATATGATAATATATAAATATAGATTTATGTATCCTTTATAGATACAAAATTTATTTTTCTATCTTAGTCTTGTATCTGATAAACTTGGTGAATTCATTTATTCTAGAATTTTGTTATTTTTAAAAATTCTTTGGAATATTCTATATAGATTACAAAGACAACTGCAAATAGGGAAGTTTTATTTCTTTCTTTTGTTTTATTTATACATTTATATATTTATTATGTATTTATATATGATATGTGTGTGCATTATATATGTGTATGTATTTATTTCCTTTTCTTGCCTTATTGCACTGGCTAGTACTAGGACTACTATATATTTAGAGGAATCTCTCATATTTTTAGATTAAGCACTGTATTTAGCCTATTAATAAGATGAATTGCACTAGTTAATTCTTTTTGAGTGCTGAACAAGTCTAGTTTGCCTGGAATAAACCCTACTTAGTTGTGATAAATCCCCATATTAAATTTAATATTTTGATGAGGAATTTTGCATCCATGTTCATTAGAGATAATGATTTGTAATTTTTTTTATTTTTTTATTTTCTTCCTCTTGTTTTCAGAGTATTACCATCTTTATAAAATGAATTCAGCAATTCTGCCATTCTCTTTTTTAGAAGTGATTGTGTACAAATATTGCTAATTATTCTTTAAACATTTGTTAGAATTATGTAAATGAAACAATCTGGGCTTAGGAATTTTTCTTTTGAGAGTTTTTATATGTAATTTCAACTTCTTTAATAGTTATGATATTATTCAAATTGTGTATTTTATGTTAGATGAGTTTTGTCGTTTATGCTTTTCATTGAATTGGTCTATTTCATTTAAGCTGTCAGTTTCATGTGTGTAGTCATGTTAAAGTATTCTTTACAGTCGTTATGGTGTATAGTGATGATACAACTTAATTCCTGATATTGCCAATTTGTTTTGGCTCTTTTTTCTTCTCTGTCAGTCTTGCGAGAAGTTTGTCAGTTTTATTGATCCTTTCAAAGAACCAGCTCTTTGTTTTATGTATTTTTTCTATTTTTTGTTTTCAATTTTATTGATTTGTGCTCTTTATTATTTTTCTTATATTTTCTCAGGGCTTATTTTGTTCTTTTTAAATTTATTAATATGGAATCTTAGATTACTGATTTGAAATCTCTCCTATTTTCTATTAATATGGAATCTTAGACTACTGATTTGAAATCTCTCCTGTTTTCTAAATTAAGCACTGTATTATGAATTTCTGCCTCAATAGTGTTTTAGCTTCATTCTGCAAATTTTGATATGTCATATTTTCATTTTCATTTAGATCAATGTATTTTTGTTAATTTCACCTAAGACTTTCTCTTTGACCCATGGGTTATTTAAAAGTATCTTATTTAATTTCCAAGTATTTGAGGATTTTCCTCTTATATTTTTTGTTATTGATTTCTAGTTTGATTTCATTTAGGTGAGAGTTCATTCTGGTGGATTTCAAATTTTTTATATATGTAGAGGGCTTTTTATGACCCAGATTATGAAAAGGGATGTTTATTTAGCAAAATTATAAACTCTAAATTTTTATATATCTAATACAAACTAGAGTCATCTATTTTATTAAGGAAACAAATAGAGGATAATGTAAATCATGTAAAGAAAGCAAATGAATAATCTATCTTGAAATCGAATGATTTAAAAATAGTTTGTGAGCACTCTGTTTTTTTCTGGCTATAAATATCATAAATATTTTAGGCCATCTTTTCTATATTAGAAGTATGAATGCAGAAAAAAGACTTAATTACTGGAAGTTTTTAGTGACTATGTCAGTTTTATTTTCTATATCTATTCTTGTTTCCTAGTGGCTTCTCAATTTTCCTGTTGGGACAATATCTATTCTTCACTATGTGTAATTTAATTTTTAAAATATGGAGTATAGTGAAGTAGCAGAGTAGTGGCTAAGTGTCAATCATCTTGTCTAAGAATTTAAATATTGATCAAATGCATGAAATAATTGGAGATTGGCTGGAGGCAATTCATGTTGGAAGGGCCCTTAGTCAATTCTTTCTTATCGACCTTTTGAGGTTGTCAAAAAGGTGTCCTAGTTGTCTTTTTGTCTGTGCTGTTTCTTGTTCTTCTAGAATTTTTTGGTTTTTATTCATTTCAAGGAACTATACTGAACTTCCCATTTATTTTGTGAAACGGTACTCCCTTACTAATAATCTCCCACAAAAGCCGTATATTTAATTAAGAAATAAATGGGTATAGTCATTGCAATCAAAACCTAACTGATGGAGATCATTAAATAAATGATCTTATTTAGACTGTGGAGTTGCTGAAAGATAGCATGTTCTAGTGTTTAAAAGTTTAGATTTTGTCACATACTGAGAAATCTTGGAAAAATTACTTAGTCTTCTGATCTTCCAGTTTCTCATCTTTCAATTAGGAATATTAACATTACTTACCCCAATGAAGTATCATGAGGGTAAAATAAGTTAATGTTGGTAAAGAGCTTGGAACAGCCCCTAAACTATATTAAACTGTCAGTAAAATATTGCAATCCTGTTTATCAGTTACCAGTGAAAAGCCTCACAAAACTTTTCAGATTTCTTTCAAGAGCTATTGCAATATTGGAAGGGGGTCATTTCCCTGAGAGAAGTGTTGGGTAAGGAAAGATTAAAAAAAAAAAACCCTCAAGTCATCAAGAAATAAAAGACCTTGGAAACACACTTAAAAAGCTGAATTAAATTTGAAGATAATCACCTATCCACTTTAGGTCCTAAGAAGGCAATCGTTCAGTGAAAATGGAGATGAGCTAGCTTTAGTTTTGGTGCTGAGGAAATACTGAAGATGATTATGAAAATGCCCTTGCATCTGCCCTTACACTTCATTTAAAATCAAGCTTAAAGATAACAACTCTAACTTTTTCTTGACTTTAGGTAGCACAATTAACTAAGCAATTAATTATTGGCTGCAGGAAATCTTTGATGACTTTTGGTTCTCTTTGTCCTATTCAAATTTATTTACTTCTGAATTACTTGAGCAATTCATTCTCTCTTCTCTGATCCCATTACTACTCTTGTAATTTAAGCCCTTATCATTCTCTGCTCGACTATGCTACAACTTTTTAACATGTCTTTCCACTCTTGACTTGATACATCTTCCCCAAAAACTATCTTCATCTCTCCTTTTCCCTTTCCAATCTATTCTGCATTCTGTTGAAAGAATAATGTGTCTCAAAATCTGCAATTGCCACCTGCTCTCCAGAGCTCTTTTAGATACCCATCTTCCACTAAACAGAGCATACTGTTACCTTCCTTAGCACTTAAAAAGTCCCATCACAAACTGAAAAATATTTCAGTTTTTCTACCATTTTTGTCACATTTTGAATTTCTATGAACAAAGAATACATTTTATTCCTACTGCCTCCCTCATATCCTAGCACTGTATATTTTACATAGTAGTATTGCCTAAATCTATTCTACATTGCAATAGTTATCTACTTGTCATTTATCTGTATATTTTATCTTTCTACTTTTTCTTCCTTGAGGTAAGAGATCAGATTATATTTTCCCATTCCCTCTACAGTACCTAACAAAATACTATGCAAAGGGAGTCATTCCATTGTTAGATTGAACTGAGTTCAACTGGAAATCTCAGGAAAGGGAAGAGACAACCAAGTTCTTTTTCTTCAGTTTTGTTACTTATTTATTGCAAAGCCTTGGACAACTCACCTAAATACACAGCACTTCATGTTTCTCATTCCTTAAATGTCAATAATAATATGATCCTCCATGGGCACATGTGGAAATAATTAATTTTGTAAAAACTTGAAGAATACCAGAGAACACTATCAATCATCAGTAGCAGCAGAAGAAAGGACTCGTTAAGTACTGATATGTGCATGATTCTTTGTAGAGCAGGATATGTAGGAAAGTTCCTTGCCCTCTGGGAGATGACAATCAAAAATGGACAACACATTCGTAGATAACATACTCAGAGGAAACCTATACTCAAGGGCACACATACACAAATGACAAAACAGAATTGTGAACTTCCTGAAGTATTAATACAAAAGTGATTTATCCTAGTAAACAAACAAATCACATCCTGAAGAAATAATTTTTATTGGCCTATATTAGGCAAGCTTGGTGCCAACTTATAGTGATACATTAGCAAAAAGGATCAAATGAAAATAAAATCCAGCCAGGGGAAGAAACACTAGGTTCATCACAAATCCTGGATTGACTAGGCTGCTGGCCTGGAAACAGAATGGGGGTGTGTTTGTGCAAACATGTATGTATTACTATGTATGTGTGCATAGTGAAGTGATGATGGTGGGAGGAATGAAGGAGGCAAAGTGTAAAAAAGCAACAAGAAGAAATGGGTTGTCATTACATAAATGTGGTCCTTTAATAACTTTTAAAGCTCATCCCACTTGTTTAAGGAAAGAAAAATGTCCTGACTGGTGGTAAGTCTTGGCAGGAGAAGTTCTGTGGCAATAATGGTAGTATAAATAATTCTGGTTTCAGCAAGATTACAGAGTTGAGATAATAGGTAGTAGTTTCTAACTTCCTATGAGCTAAACAGAGTGTCTCTCATCTCAGTGGAATGACTTGGATAGATCTCTGGCCCCTTTCAGATAATAAAGCACAATCAAGAAGCTGAGTGTTTTACCAAAATTATCACATAATTAATTTGGTGCAGAGAAGAAAAACATCAATGAAAAACTACACTAGTAGTTCGATAGAATGTTCAGTTTTTGACCAGCTATGCTGGCCGTGTTGACATGTAGCCACTGCACTGTTTCCTATTAATCCTGGACTTAAGATGGTCTATAATGGTGTTAGTTCCAGAGAAAATTGAGTAGGACTACTTAGCCCCTGGCTGCAATGGGCAGCTCAGGTCCAAAGTGACTGCTTTTTGAGTCTGTATTCCAGGGGGCTGGCAGGACCCCAGGCATTTCACAACTGAATCACTTTGGCCCAAAGTCATTTGTTCAATCATGGTTGACAAAAGGTAACAAACTTTCCACTGTTCGGAAAACAAATGGATCTCTTGGCTGTTTTCATAAAGATCGACTGGGACTTAAAATAGCCTGAGGTTAAATATTATAAATCTTTCTAAAAGAGATTTTCAGAACATATTCTTTATCCCAGCATTGGATCAATCTCACAAAATGACATATTTTCAAACTACTGTAAAGCAAAACAGCTTATTCTCAAAAAAGTTGAAAATAGTAAGAAATATTTTCCTTTCCTGGCTTTTGTTTGTTTTGTTTATGTTTTTTATTCTTGAACATCAACTAAAAAATAACTTGGAAAAAGCTGTGTGATGAATATGGATTGGCCTTTTTAATAGCTTTGTGACTATTTACCTAATCTCGACTGGTGTTCAGAGAGTTCCTTGAAGGCCCACAGCAGGTATGACACTGTGGTAAGCTGGTGTGAAGTATGGGTTTTAAACACTGTATGGGATAGAAAAAACAAAAAGAAAAACAGAACAAGGTAAAGGAATCCTATTTCAAACCCTTATAATCATGAAAACCTGTAAAATTAAAATTCACTTGGAATGTTGACTAGTAAACATTTTTGCCATGGTCCTACACGTGATGATTAAATAAAAAGAGAGTAAAAAAAATTAACTTTGATCTTTGGATGGAAGTATCTTTTCAGGAGCCATGACAGAGTATAAATTAAAATTGAAACAATAAACATAGAGACAAGGACTTCAGAGAAAGAATACTGTAGACAAATACAGCAGATGACATCATATTTATACCACTGCCTGATAGATGTTACCAGTTCTATTTTATAAAATACTAAAAACTTGCCCTTGTATTTTCACCTGAATTTCTTATTCAAAATTTATTGATGTCTTCTCTTTCACTGGAAATTTTTTGGAAGAGTGACCTGGTTTTCAGTTGAAGCATCATCATTTACTTGTATAACCACTAGGTAAGAAGATTCAGATGGTCCTCTGAATAAATGTCAGCCATGTGTATAGCTTGACTCTGTTCTCCTTACAACCCTCACAGTCTCAAGTTGCTTATTATTCCCATACATGTGTGTGAATGTATGTGTATGTTCAGAAAAGATGATGAGAATTGCCTCTATCCCATCTGCATCTGAACTGTAACTTGGATTGGAAGCAAGGCTCCATCTCATTTCCTTTGGGGTTTGAAGACACCATATTAACTACAAAGATTGGTTGTCTTAGAATACTTTGTCTTTTTAGCCACATTTTCTGGCTGGGGACCTGCATCATGAAAAAAGCAAGTGTATCTGCATCAACCAATACAACCAATACAACACAAGAACTTTGCTAGGAAAGATAATCTCTTATTCTCCTTGTTTTGAAAGAGGGCTTGTCAGGAAAGCTCTATATGAAACAGATATACTAAAATAAAGCCATTTTTAGTAACAGTAATGAAGACAGAATGAAGAGGTCGACTAAAATTGTGATTCTTACCCAGAAATTATAAATTTTAGAAATAATAACACCTCACATCAAATTTGATGACATTTTAGATTTCTGATACAAAATAAATCCATCATATACGCCTGTATGTGTGTGTGTATATATATATATGTTTGTATACAAAAACAATCTGATTAGTGCAAAAATTCATATCAAGTAAGAGGTGAATGTTTCACAAATTTGCAAAGTCAATTTACCTAGAGTATTAAGGATATATATAGGAGACTGTTGGATCTCAGTGAAAATGTAATTTAAGAGAAATTTTGTTTGATGACTTTAGTGTTATATTTACAGCAGTCATTGAGGATGTGAAAGGGTTATTTGGATCCAGAGTGCTTCATGGCTTTTTATGGGGGAAATTATATGAGAGTAACACCCAATTTGAAGATTAAAGACAGAGTCTCCTTTTCAAATATCTATAGAGATTGTTCTTTCTTTTCTTGCTATTACTTTCTACATTTCTAGACTGTCTATTACGAACCAGCTGAATTAGTTTTTCATTAAACTGTTATTGACTTTAACAGAGCTTGAGAGGAAGCTGCTGTGACCCTCCTTCATTTCTTTGGGGTCAAGGTTGTCATGAGATAACTCAGATTTTGGTTTTCAATTCTGGCTGTCTTCTGCAAGTTTCTAGCTTTTTAAACTTGAGGAGCCTTTCTGAGTCTCAATTTTCTCATCCGTAAAATGAGATAATTGGGTTCACTGGTCTTCAAAATCATTCTTAATACATAAAGAGAAAAACAAAAGAGAGAATAACAAGGAGAAAAAGTAGGATACTGAAGAATATTTGAATAAACTTGCTTCTGTGTTTGGTAGGGAGAGACACCATTTGTCACTCACAGATCACACACCGCAGGAAATGCAGTGGCAACGTGGGGAGTGCAACTCAGAGCTTCGAGGCCAATGCACACTCTTTGTTTTGTAATTTTTCTTTGGTGCCAGGTGGGTGCACTGTTTGCCAGGAATTCATACTTCAGAAATACAACAGTGCACACCCAGACAAAGGGCTTGGTTGGGATGTCTTTGTTCAGGGAACAATTAAAATGTACTTGTACTGAGTGATAAAAGCCTTCCCTGGACATAAGGCACTGCGGCAAAGCACAAAGTATGTTTGAGCTTTTCAGGTAACAATGCAGTGCTAGTCGTCTTTACTTCCCCATGGAACTAAGGCAGAAAAAAAAAAAAGATTGAAAAAAGTATTAGAAGAACAGCCTAAGTCATCATCAAGCGCCCAAATGTTAAATATATTGCAGTTTCTAACTCCACATTAAATTCAGGATTTATGCAATTTTATGGGATAAGAGGAAGGAACATAAGATTGATAATTGGAGAAAATGTTACTGATCACAGAATTCTTGGGCAATTGCAGAGAGTAGAAACTCTATTTCTTAGTCCATTTCAAAAGTTGCTTTCACAAAACCAAGGTCTCTGGACAAAGATGACTTTCTTTTTTAACCATTTATTTGTTTTCCTTGAGTCCTAAAGCAGGAATGCTCAGCCCCAGACCCCGGACTCCAGGTTCCTTTTGGACTGTCTTTCTGAAAAACAAAAGATCATAGAGATGAAATATCCTGAAAAGATTACTTCATCTCCTGTCAAAGCAACACCCAAGGCTTTCTGTACACTAGTCATTCTTTCTATGGTATATAATAATTGAACAACTAATCTCTTCCAAGCACTGCATATATCATTTCATTCTTCCCCTTGCACTGCAAAGTAAGTGTATTGTTTTCATTTAACTTTAGAGAAATAATAAGGCCAAATAAATAGCCACAGTTTGTAGCAGAACTAAGATTGAAGCCAATGGCAGCAAGCCTTCTACCTGTCACGGGGTAGCCCTCATCTTTTTGTGGTTCCCCCAAACTTATGTCCTCATGTTCTGCCATTCCAATCCTCCCCATCCCCAATGTCCTATACAACAGGGATGAAAGATTCATAATATATACATTTTAGTGAAAATAAATCCTGTGGTTACCTCTATGAATGTGATGTATGTTTAATACTATGAAATGGAAAACCTGACCCTTTGTTGGTTGGAATTTTAATAACCTTACAATTTCTTAAAGGACAGATTTGCTATGTGCTCTTTTGGTTGTCTGTCCAGGTTTAATCACTCTTCAGGCCAAAGCTGACAAAGCTCATCTCAACTATAGCCATTGAACCTACAAGAGTAGTTCCTGTAGGCTAAGCCAGTCCTTGGATTCCTGTTGTCAGCCTATTCATCTAGGGGACAACATCTTCAAGCTTGTACAATTCTTGTGTCAGCTTTCATTCCCATCAAAATTCTTTTATATTTTCAGAGTTGACTCAGAAAATTCAGGGTGTTCTTTCTGTGAGTATTTGGGGCAAAATTTTGTTATGAGACCCCTTCCAATCACCTTCTATTCATCAAGCTGTAAGTATATAGCACTTATTATATTCTGCTTTGTATTGAAGGTACAGTTAGCTCTTTGTTGATTCATTTTTTTTACATGCCTGCCAACACTGTCATCCCTCCTGTGATGCATGGACCCAGCCTAAGTTAGGGAATAGCTCTCTGGTGTACAGTAATCTTTCAATCCTAACCCATGACCTACGAACATTCCCACAGTTTCACAAAATCTGGGGGTATCATGGGCCTACCATTTTCTTTCACTCTCATTTCTGATTTTGATTAACTCTTTTCACATAAGCCACCATTTCTCATGGCAGTGCATTTGCTTTGTTACTTCTTTTAATCTTTCTGAACGTTGACACTCAGAGAAAGGAAATTAAATCCCTAACTAGCACAGTATATAGCAGAACATTACTTAGTCTGAATCCTGGTTTTAAAGCCTCAACCTCTGCCACGTTGAGATCTCTTCCTTGCCATCTTCTCTGAGAATCCTCCATTTCTGCAAAATTGTTAAGTGTTCAAACTCAGCCTTCTTGTTGATTTCTTCAACTGTTTTTTCTTAATCTTTATTCCCAGACAAAATTACCTTTTCTATCCCAGAGCACTTTTCTCAAGAAAAGATCAAATTTTATAAGCTGACAAAAAAAGGAATCAATTAATTTAAAAATTGACGAACATAATAGCATATAGTAATTTTTTTCTCTTTTGTTTCACTTTTCTGCCTTCCCAGCCCCTTCTTTGCCTGACCTCCTACAAACAAAACAGTTCATCAAAGTGTTTTAGAATTATGCCCAATTTTTAAAATATCGTTTGTTTTCTCCTTGCTTATCATTATTAATGATGGTGGAATTTTGGAATCAAACCAAATATACAACACAAAGTTATGCTTAAATAAATTTTAATATACTCATATTTTAAATACTGTCCACCCAATAAAAATGTGTTTTCTTAAGTAATAATTATAGTCATCTCTCAGAATCCAAGGAGAATTGGTTCCAAGACCCCTCCAATATCAAAATCCACAGATGTTCAAGTTCTGCAGTTGACCCTGCAGAACAAAAATATGAAAACTGGCCGTCTGTATCTGCGGGTCCTGCACAGTCCACTAATACTGTATTTTTTTTCCAGTTCATTGAATCTGCAGATAGGAATCTATGGATACAAAGGGCAAACTATATATTACAAAGGTTCTCTTATGGGTGTCATACATATATTTCCCATACATATAGAGAGATAATTTTGATTTTCTTAATGAATTAAATATTTAAGTAAATACTTAAACTATTACTAAAAGAAAATGTGCAAATAGCAAAATAAAAATCACTATTTAACAGAATATATCTATCAATTCATGTCTACCCATATCACTTAAAAGTATCATTTGCCTAAACACTTGCCAAAGTTGTTTTTGTAACTTAAAAATATAGATATTACCAAATTAATTGGTGAAAATGGTTTGTTCCTGAAACTTAATTTACATTTCATTGATTACTAGTGAATATCCTGAAGATTGAATAATCTTTCAAATATATTGAAAGCTTATACTCTTTCCTTTGTGTCTTGTGTACTCTTTAACCATCTGAAGTAGATGTTCAAATTTTAATTGATTACTAAGAGTGTTTTCTATGATAAGAATATTAACTCACTGGACACCATGCATATTTATGCATTGTTTTCATGTTAGTTCCCTCTCTATGGGCATGCCATCAAATATAGTCCCTTTTTTTCTTCATATATATAATGGTAATGATGTTTACTGAGTGCTTTAAGTAAGCAAGGCACTATCCTAAATGCTTTATTTTCATTATCTCCTTCATTCCTTATAACAAGTAGATGACAAAGGTATTATTTTCTCCTCTTTCACAGATGGGTGAATTACAACTTAGAAAGGTTAAGTAGCCTGCCTAAGGTTACACAGTTTGTTAACAATAGAGAGAGAACGAGAATGGTTTGACCTCTGAGAGTATATTTCTAAGTACAATACAATGCCATCTTGATATTTATTTTTGTGTCTATACATTTCTTTCTAGATTTCTCTGGCTGTCATTTTATCTATCTGGACGTTTAAGCTACTTTAATGTTGACATAAGTGTAAGATGTATATCCAACTTTATTCAATAAACTATTTTGGGAAAACCAACTAATTTTCAAAAGAAAAATAATCTATCCTTTGTGAGTTGAAGACATGGAAATTGAGTAGAGATGTAAATAATGCATTAAAATGGGGATAGTGAGAATGGCGGGAAAAATGTTTTGCAATGTAGGTTTGGCATAAGCTGAAGCACATGATAAAAATGACACTATTGAATAAGAAAACTTCAGAAGCCCATTTAAGTGATACATGACAATGAAGATTAACTTTGGTAGTTAAATTAGCGTCTGTTCTTAAATGCAGCCTTTTCTGTGGCACAGATTAACCTAAGCATGCTACTTGGAAACGATGAAATAACAATTATTTCATGCTAATACCAGAGTCGCAAAGTGAAGTTAAATGTAAATGTAAAATTTCTCGGGTATCTCCTCTCTCCGTCTCTCTGAGAAGTGTCTGTTCCTATTTGACTAGTCTCAGGTAGAGAATAGGCTAATAAGTGACTTTCTAAGAAAGTTATTTGGCAACATGAAACAACAAAAACAACTTAAGATTGAACCAAAAGATGCATAGTATTTATTTAGGAAGATTAAAAATGTCATTTTTATTTCTAGAGCCCTCTCAGCATAATGAAATAAGGTAAGAAGCTTCTCTACCTCTCTCTACCCTTTGTCTTCTTTGCTAGACAATTAGGGGTGTTCGCTGGTTTAGGTTCCAGGCATGCCTCTCTGTCTGAAGCTAATTATATCCCACTAAGTCTACAGGAATTCTTGGCTTTAGTTATATTTTGAATTTGGTCCTGCCATGTCTCAGTTGGCCCTTTCCAATGCAGTGACATCATAGAAGTACGTGATAACCATAGGAAGCACAGATCTGTATTCATGGCTTTATATACCAAGGAAAAGGAGCTTTGTATTTCCAATAGAAAATGACTGCCTAAGGAAATTTTCATGGAAATGGACAAAAGAAGAATACATTTCCGTTAGTCACAATCTTTTAAGAAATTTTTTATTTCACCTCCATTATTATATTTCTATTGTTGATAGTTTTTGTAGAGTTTTTTTAAATTGGTTCTGGATAGAAATGCAATGAGTATTAAATATAAAAAATACTTCTAAACAACTTACCTGTGATTTATGGTTTCAGAAAACCTATGATGTCACCTTTCAGCTATCAAAGTGCTAGTTACATAATCCTCAGTGAGAACACACTTTTTAATGACAGTGGAAATGTTGCAATGTGTGATAGGACACAAGTTAAAAAGTGAAGTATTTTTATTGAGATGGAAGAACTTAAATGGAAAAAAAGGAAAAACTATGAGGAAAATATTTAACCTATTTTAGTAGGTAGCTTCTCACTCTTCAAAAATTCTTGGCACAAAAATTTAAACTTGAAGTTGACATGGCAATAGAGCAGAACTCCCAAATCTTATGCTGTCTACTTGGACTACCTTAAACTATGTTTCTGTGAAAAGGGGCAACAGGAAGCCCAGTATGGGTCTTGTTTTTAGGTGATTGTCAATGTACTGTCTAATAATATGAAAACAATAGATAATCCTGAAGTGTTAATTCCCTGAGTTCTGAGTAGCCATAGCGCTAATTTTGTTTTGTTTTGTTTTTAGGAAAACTCACTATTTGCATGTCATTTTGGCTTCAAATGCAATTTTTTCTACAGAATCAAAACTCTAAGAAGAAAAACCTAGAAGTTACTTTATACACAGAACTTTAAGAAATGGGGCAATGATGAAGAACTAAAGAGATTGTTGAAATAAATAGATGGATGGAAATATAGAAGACTGAATGATTGTTGGATGGATTGATAGAGAAGTGTTTCCATGAAAATGTCTGGGTGTGGATGATAGTTTTCACAGTATCATATACCCTTTTTATCTTGACGAACATTTATGGAGAGTTATCTTCTGGGTGAATAATTTAGATCCAGAAAATTCTACTAGAAAAAATATATTTAGACTTCAGGCTTTTACTACGAATAAAATGAAAAGAGTCAACATTCTAATATTGCTGTTATTCATAGATATAAGAGTCACCACAAAGATGATCACAAAATTAGAACTGCTTTATTTGTCTTAGAATGTACAGAGTAGAGTCAAACAGGCCTGGGTTCAGCTTCTGCCCCTTTTGCTTATTTACTGTATGAATTTGGACATGGTACTTTATCTTGCTGATGCTCAGGTTTTCTCCAGGGTAATAAGACAATAAAATACCTCATAGGGACCAAAAGCGAGTAAATGAGATAACAAATATAAAACACTGAATATAGTGCCTAATCCAGAGCAAGTACTCCACAAATAATGATTATTTTATTTGTAATAGGTACTATAAAAATACTTATTAGAAAGTAAAAAGATGTATATTTGGTGCAGACTGCAAATTAGATAAACAACCACAAAGATATTTATGCCTTTATGAAATTCCACTCAAACTGTATGTTGATGTACTTACTTTCAGTTCACTTTGCTTGGAGTTGAGTTTAGTGGGTTTTTAATAGGAGCGCTAGACTGGAGCAAAACTGGAAGTTAAATTTCATTATAGAATTTCCAGAGATCAAGGTTAATATGCTGGTTATCCTCGGTCAAATCAACTGTATGATTTACTTTAGTGCAGGCCCTGTGATACTTCATTTTATATTGCCCATTTTTTCCTTCATTGCTTCATATATCTACCCCCTACCCATATACCCTATCCATGGCTCTGTCTCATATCTCTGGAGTGATGGAACAGAGTTGATCATATAGTGACTAGTCAATAAAAATTGACTGAATAATTGATGGCATCTGTCCTTCTCTCTTCCCTCAGGAAAGAACTCCCCACTCTCTTGCACCCAAGGGAGAGTATTGCACATTCATTGTAACATAGGATATGGCAGGACATATGTTTGTTCTGTTATTATCATCCTACATCTTAACCGTCTTTAAAGACATGCATACTCTTAAACAAGTCTCCCAGTGTTATCACATTGTAATATGAAAAGGAATTCTAGCTCTCAGGATTTCTGTTCTGAAGTTAAAAAACTAAACACCTTCCTCCCTCCCAAAAATGATAACAAATGCAATAATGATAAGGGAGCTCAGATGTAAACATGAATCTCTTACAGAATGCAGGATGTGCTTATAAACCCTCTCCAAATATCTTTCTTTGTAACCCAAATTAGATTTATTAGAAATTCTAATCTCAGAGTTGGCCTTCAGTAAATGTTAGATGAAATCAACTATGGCTAATCCCCAATTTTCTAGAGCTGGAATGGAGGATGCTCTTATATTTAACTTTCATCTAGTTCTTTGTACAAACATTTCTTCCCAGTTTATCATGTGAAAGAGGCTAATTTCCAGAAAGATATCTAATTTTTGTCTCCAGCTTTGTTCTTTTGGCTTAGGATTGTCTTGGCAATGTGGGCTCTTTTTTGGTTCCATATGAACTTTAAAGTAGTTTTTTTCCAATTCTGTGAAGAAAGACATTGGTAGCTTGATGGGGATGGCATTGAATCTATAAATTACCTTGGGCAGTATGGCCATTTTCACGATATTGATTCTTCCTACCCATGAACATGGAATGTTCTTCCATTTGTTTGTATCCTCTTTTATTTCGTTGAGCAGTGGTTTGTAGTTCTCCTTGAAGAGGTCCTTCACACCCCTTGTAAGTTGGATTCCTAGGTATCTTATTCTCTTTGAAGCAATTGTGAGTGGGAGTTCACTCATGATTTGGCCCTCTGTTTGTCTGTTATTGGTGTATAGGAATGCTTGTGATTTTTGCACATTGATTTTGCATCCTGAGACTTTGCTAAAGTTGCTTTTCAGCTTAAGGAGATTTTGGGCTGAGACGATGGGGTTTTCTAAATATACCATCATGTCATCTGCAAACAGGGACAATTTGACTTCCTCTTTTCCTAATTGAATACTTTTATTTCTTTCTCCTGCCTGATTGCCCTGGCCAGAAATTCCAATGCTATGTTGAATAGGAGTGGTGAGAGAGAGCATCCCTGTCTTATGCCAGTTTTCAAAGGGAATGCTTCCAGTTTTTGCCCATTCAGTATGATATTGGCTGTGGGTTTGTCATAAATGGCTCTTATTATTTTGAGATATGTCCCATCAATACCTAGTTTATTGAGAGGTTTTAGCATGAAGGGCTGTTGAATTTTGTCGAAGACCTTTTCTCCATCTATTGAGATAATCATGTGTTTTTTTGTCTTTGGTTCTGTTTATATGCTGGATTACGTTTATTGATTTGCGTATGTTGAACCAGCCTTGCATCCCAGGGATGAAGCCAACTTGATCATGGTGGATAAGCTTTTTGATGTACTGCTGGATTAGGTTTGCTAGTATTTTATTGAGGATATTTGCATTGGTGTTCATCAGGAATATTGGTCTAAAATTCTCTTTTTTTGTTGTGTTTCTGCCAGGCTTTGGTATCAGGATGATGCTGGCCTCATAAAATGAGTTAGGGAGGATTCCCTCTTTTTCTATTGATTGGAACAGTTTCAGAAGGAATGGTACCAGCTCCTCTTTGTACCTCTGGTAGAATTCGTATGTGAATCCATCTGGTCCTGCCTTTTTTCATTGGTAGGCTATTAATTATTTCCTCGATTTCAGAGCCTGTTCTTGGTCTATTCAGGGATTCAACTTCTTCCTGGTTTAGTCTTGGGAGGGTGTGGTGTCCAGGAATTTATCCATTTCTTCTAGATTTTCCAGTTTATATGTGTAGAGATGTTTATAGTATTCTCTGATAGTAGTTTGTATTTCTGTGGGATCTGTGGTGATATCCCCTTTATCATTTTTTATTGCATCTGTTTGATTCTTCTCTCTTTTCTTCTTTATTGGTCTTACTAGCGGTCTATCAATTTTGTTGATCTTTTCAAAAAAAAAGCTCCCGGATTCCTTGATTTTTTAAGGGTTTTTTTGGGCTTTATCTCCTTCAGTTATGCTCTGATCTTAGTTATTTCTTGCCTTCTGCTAGCTTTTGAATGTGTTTGCTCTTGCTTCTCTAGTTCTTTGAATTGTGATGTTAGGGTGTCAATTTTAGATCTTTCCTGCTTTCTCTTGTGGGCATTTAGTGCTATAAATTTCCCTCTACACACTACTTTAAATGTGTCCCAGAGATTCTGGTATGTTGTGTCTTTGTTCTAATTGGTTTCAAATAACATCTTTATTTCTGCCTTCATTTCGTTAGGTACCCAGTAGTCATTCAGGAGCAGGTTGTTCAGTTTCCATGTAGTCGAGTGGTTTTGAGTGAGTTTCTTAATCCTGAGTTCTAGTTTGATTGCACTGTGGTCTGAGAGACAGTTTGTATAATTTCTGTTCTTTTACATTTGCTGAGGAGTGCTTTACTTCCAACTATGTGGTCAATTTTGGAATAAGTTCAGTGTGGTTCTGAGAAGAATGTACATTCTGTTGATTTGGGGTGGAGAGTTCTGTGGATGTCTATTAGGTCTGCTTGGTGCAGAGCTGAGTTCAATTCCTGGATATCCTTGTTAACTTTCTGTCTCGTTGATCTGTCTATTGTTGACAGTGGGGTGTTAAAGTCTCCCATTATTATTGTGTGGGAGTCTAAGTGTCTTTGCAGGTCTCTAAGGGCTTGCTTTATGAATCTGAGTGTTCCTGTATTGGGTGCATATATATTTAGGGTAGTTAGCTCTTCTTGTAGAATTGATCCCTTTACCATTATGTAATGGCCTTCTTTGTCTCTTTTGATCTTTGTTGTTTTAAAGTCTGTTTTATCAGAGACTAGGATTGCAACCCCTGCTTTTTTTTTAGTTTTCCATTTGCTTGGTAGATCTTCCTCCATCCCTTTATTTTGAGCCTATGTGTGTCTCTGCACATGAGATGGGGCTCCTGAATACAGCACACTGATGAGTCTTGATTCTTTATCCAATTTGCCAGTCTTTGTCTTTTAATTGGAGCATTTAGCCCATTTACATTTAAGGCTAATATTGTCATGTACGAATCTGATCCTGTCATTATGATGTTAGCTGGTTATTTTGCTTGTTAGTTGATGCAGTTTCTTCTTAGCATTGATGGTCTTTACAATTTGGCATCTTTTTGCAGTGGCTGGTACCGGTTGTTTCTTTCCATGTTTAGTGCTTCCTTCAGGAGCTCTTATAATGCATGCCTGGTGGTGACAAAATCTCTCAGCATTTGTTTGTCTGTAAAGGATTTTATTTCTCCTTCACTTATGAAACTCAGTTTGGCTGTATATGAAATTCTGGGTTGAAAATTCTTTTCTTCAGGAATGTTGAATATTGGCCCCCACTCTCTTTTGGCTTGTAGAGTTTCTGCCAAGAGATCTGCTGTTATTCTGAAGGGCTTCCCTTTGTGGGTAACCTGACCTTTCTCTCTGGCTGCCCTTAACATTTTTTCCTTCATTTCAACTTTGGTGAATCTGGCAATTATGTGTCTTGGAGTTGCTCTTCTCGAGGAGTATCTTTGTGGCATTCTCTGTATTTCCTGAATTTGAATGTTGGCTTGCCTTGCTAGGTTGGGGAGGTTCTGCTGGATAATATCTTGCAAAGTGTTTTCCAACTTGGTTCCATTCTCCCCGTCACTTTCAGACACACCAATCAGACATAGATTTGGTCTTTTCACATATTCCCATATTTCTTGGAGGCTTTGTTCGTTTCCTTTTACTCTTTTTTCTCTAAATTTCTCTTCTCACTTCATTTCATTTGTTTGGTCTTCAATCACTGATACCCTTTCTTCCACTTGATCAAATCGGCTACTGAAGCTTGTGCATGCATCACGTAGTTCGAATGTCTGGAACCACACTGAAACAAAATCAACAAATAAACTTAGGCTGCTATAATGAACAGAAATACAATTACAATCATAAAACTGATGGAGTTCTAGAATAAAGGAGAAATTCACATGATTTTTTTTTTAAATCTTGAAGATCATTTCTACACAAGAAACAAAATTTTAACCTCCATTGGTTATGTCAGTATAAAATGGAGCTTATTGGCAATTTTGAAACTCAGAAGCTGACAAACCAACATAGAGGACATTCTGATAAGTTATGGAGAAGTGTTTTGTGGAGGTAATTTAGTATTTTTCTTCTAAAGTCCATAGGTTGACTTGCAGTGAACTTATAGTTAAGTAGTCTAAAGCACTGAGTGAATAATGAAAAATGGCCTGCTTGTACTGCAGGAGTAGGAATGAGTTTTTTGTGTGTGTCTTTTGGAGCCAGAAAAGAACTGGGATGACTAAGGAAAACATCTGAGCCCACTGAACAAAATTAATACATATTTTTATCACCCTCAATTTCTAGCAGATTGCAAGAAATGATTGTATGAAAAGTCAGTGCATCTCTAAAGAACAGAGAAAAGCAATAGTAGGCCCTAGTGAATTATTAGATATGGTTGAGTAGAACAGATTTTACACAGCCCTTAATATATATTCTTATATGGCAGAATTTCTAGCAGATTCTATAAATGTAATGCATGAAGTGAGCGAAGAAGTTTTGTCCAAAATAAGATAAGGTACAGGGTGGAGAATAATTAGATTTATTTGAAAATAAATCTAGATCAAACATATATTTTCTGGCCTCAAATTTTTAAAAATCTGGAGGACTCTGTTTTGCTGATAAAATTCTGTAGGTGATATTATAAACTGTCCATATCATAGTGCATTACCAGTAAGTCTATCTTCTGTTAGTCAGTTTTCTTACAAACCCTTCATCCTCGTGTCTTTGCCTGACCTCTGAGGCTTTAGTATTTCTTATAAGTACAGATCCTAATTCCATTGTTGACTTTGAATCTTAAAACTTATGTGTTTTTAACTACTGCCTCCATGCTTGCTTGCTGCCCCTGACTATGTCCTTAAATCAAATTCTAGAAACTGCTTGGGTGTGACTCATTTTCATGGTTGGCATCTAATTTTATTTTCATCTTTGCCAACATTTTTCAACTGGCTATTGAGACCACAGATGTGCCACTTTTTAAAAGTGGAAAATGTAAATAATTTTAGCTAATCGATATTCTAAATAATAAACACTCCTGTTGAGCTGCTATTTTTTATCCAAAACACATCATCTTTCTCTGTTTAATCTATTGCATATACCTCCCCACCTGCCTGAAATAATCTTTCAACTGTCTTCATTTATTAATATCTAACTTCCTTATCTTCTCTTTTGCCTTTTCTGACCACTCCTTTCTTCCTTAGTTTATTCTCCCCTACTACTTTTTTAAAAATTTATTACTTGGATAGAAATTTTGAAGATCTGCTATTTCATATCACTTCCTACCTCTTCTGCCTTTAGTGCAAATGTACCACCTACAGCTACAGAAATATCTGGTAAACAAGAGGAAGCAATCATGGAGTCAATCAAATAAAAATGACAGAACTACAGAAAGAATCTGAGTCCCTGATGGTATGCTAGACTCATGACCGGTTATTATAATGGGAGAATAACAACAACAACAAAAATATATTATTATATTCAATCATAGGTTTTTAATTAATTTCAGCCAAATTTATGTTAAGTAATAAAGTAATAAATATTGTTGAAGGGATGAACAAACAAGTGAATATAGGCTTCCTCATTGCTAGCTTTAGTTTCCAATAGTCTTTCTCCTTTTAATTTTTGTACATTTTGCTTGGTAACATTCTATATAGAATTATTACTAAATCTTCTATGCATATGTGCAATCTCATCAGAATGAATTATAGACCTTTCAGAAACAGAAGATGAGATTTATTTTTCTTTCTATCTCCACCAGTTTCAGGATCAGTATGTAGTAGGAACTTGATCATTCTGATGATAATGATGATGATGATGCTGTTAAAGATAATGGTAATAAAACACCTGCGGTGAAAAGAATTTAATTCTACTGTCAATGGCTCACTCATTTCAAGCCAAGCCTGGCTATATTTTATTATTTTCTATAAAAGCCACCATGATAAACATCAGAGTTCAATGGAACTATAAAAACATTGGTTGTCCTTAAATTTGTCAGTGCTTCTATCTCATGTTGAAGAGGTCTTTGACAAGGTCTCAATGCATACCCACAATGACATGAGCCTGAAACTCACAAATGTGCCCATACTAGTTTATAGACAATCCAGTAATTGTTAGGGAGAACAACAGCTTGAGTTAAATTTATTATCAGTGAAGGCTGCTCTTCCACAATTAAAGAATTTTTACTCTCAGTTTTGCTATAGTAAAAATATGGTGCTCTTTTTTTCACTCTATTCAAGGTCATCTTGCCAAGGGTAGAATACAATTGAGTAAAGATGGATCCGAAACATAAGAAAATGAGAGAACTTCTTCACTGAAACATGACAGAGTAGCCAGAATTATTTTACAGTCAATGTCTGTTCTTAACAAAGTTAGGTTAAAAAGTTAACACAGCTTTTAATGGGCATCCTTAAGGCTGGAGGTTTTCATGAAACCACCTTTACAAATACCAATTTAATAAAAATAAAACCTGCTAAAGTCAGTACTTAAAAACATTTAGAGGGAAGGATTGTGGGTTATTGATTCCCCTCTCACCTTTTCTGTTATTTGTTTTTGTAAAGTATACATTAGGCTGTATTTAATCTGGACTAGACAAAGTTACCATAGCTTCTGCTCCTGCCCAGATAATTTTACCCCAAGTGACTATTAAACTCTAGAAATAAAGCTATTTAAGGACAAGAGGTTGTTGGGTTGATTAGAAAAGTCTCAGGATGAGGTTTGAAAGTTTGTCAATTTGGAACAAGGTTTTATCTCCTTAATCAACTGAAGCTAATATCTTAAGCATCAAGCTGAGATTTCTCTTTGCAGATAGTACTTTACCACCTTCACAGAGTTCAAACACAAGGCAGTTTTTCTCCAGCAGTCGGAAGAACTCAGCTATCCTCTTTTCTGTCTCATCTTCTTTATATTTTCTTGTGAACTCTTAAGGGTTATGCCTTTTTCCAGTTCTTGAAAATAAGCAATTTCTAAGCCATTGTAAGTCTGACATTGTATCTTTAAGATACTAAGAGACATACAAATGAACCTAAGATATTGTAAAGCAAAGCATACGTGCATTGATGGTTATAATCCCTTACTTTGTTCTCACTTTAAACAAGACAAAACAGACAAAACAAAATATAAAACACCTTTTTTGATCCTCAAAACAATTTTGGATGATAAGTTGAGAAGAAAAGCTATTCTGAGACTTCAGACGACAAAACATAGGTTTACAGAAAGACTTTTTCAAAGCCTGAAAACAATAAATGGTGAAGCTAGAACATCAATGAGCATCTTCTGATATTAAAAAAGTGGGTTTCCTGTCCCACACAGAGCTGTCACTCAATCTCCATGAAAAAACGGGATGACTATTCCCAAACACTTAGCAAACACCAATGCATTTTTAAGTAAGCATCCAGGGCTTACAAAAGCCAAGAATAGTTCTTTTTTATTCTCTTACAAACAGCAGCCATTGATGGTCTACAACACTTCTGAAAACTCAGCAAGACACTTATATTAGGGTAGTTTGAATATTTAAGATTGTGCTCCAGAGATTTCAAATTTATCCCCAATCTTCTGATGCCAGGTCATAGAGGTTTGCTACTACTCCTTTTTGTGTTTCTTTGGAATTTTCCCCAGAGAGGAAAAAAGGCCACATCAACAAAAAATTGCCAATGTGATTATTTTTAGAGTGATAAACCAACTAACTACAAGGATAGACTTAAGTATGTATTTGTAATAGTCAATATTTTCAATCATATTTGTGGCTATGTGTGGGCAATGTATTGTATGTGCACAGTTATTACTATTTATGTAGATGGTACTAATGATAATCAAGGAGTTTATTACATTATTTTAAACATTTTAATAAATTCATGAATGATGATAGAGGTCAATTTTTACAAAAAAAGAGTGCAGTAACTCTCGATGCAATTCTTACACATGTATAAATGGTTTAGTTGAGGAATAATTATCTAAAATTAATTACTTAAACTATAGATAGTTTTGTTTAAAAACAGTTTATCACAATGTGTTGGAAAGAGTACATTAAAAGTGTAACAAAAATATTGGGGACAGAGGCCAATTTTCCTTTTTTTCTTTTTTTTGTATCTGAGGTGCCTCCTCAGTACCTGTAGACAATAGTCATGCACTGTATGTTCAATCCTTGGGTATGAGCCTGTAATTTTTAATTAAGAAGGGCCATTGGAGTCTTTCTATACAACCTCTCATTCCAAATTTTCTCATAACCTATTTCCTCATAAATATCTATCTTTGCTGGAATATTGTAGTAAGAGGAGGTCTATGTTGTATGATACAAAGAGACAAGTTCTTCAATTGTTGAAAACTTTCTCATTTGAATCAAAACCAGAAGCCCTGTAACTCCCTTGCAATGGTTTAATTTGAGTCATTTGTAAGAGAAGAGATAAAATCTGTTACATTTCCATTTCTCACTGTTTTTAATATTAACAATCCTTATTTTTGTCTTAAGGCAAAATATAGCTAGTTTCTTTGATAGTTCTTAGCGCAATACAATTTCTAGACCCTTTGCAATATTAAGGAGCTTCCTTTAACCTCAACCCCCATTTTGCCAATGCTTCCCTAAAAATGAAGAACCTTTAGTGAAGCCTGAGCTTCAGAAGTGATTTGACCTATGTCAAATGCGGCAGAACTATGTCCATTATGTCAACAAAATCCATACATTAATGAAGTCTAATTCTATTTGTACTACATTATGGCTTTCTATTCATTTCACATAGAGGATTTTAAGGCAGGCCTTCTTGATCCCAAACTCATTAAATTAATCTTTTTGGAACTAAATTCAAAACTATAACATTTTCCCAGTTTTTTTAATGCTATTGATGATGAAGTATTGTTTCAGTTAGGAGGATGATTTTAAATCTAAATTCAGCTATTGTATTATTTATTTTCTTAGTTTTGTATGATCATAATTTTGATAAACATACTTTTGATAATATCATTAAATCTGATGAGTCCCTGAGTTTTGCAAAGTCAAAGGCAGAATTGTGGAAACACCACATAAAGAACTATTTTCAGTTGAGGAAGAACTGTTATATGACATTTTAAGTGGAAAAGGCTGTCAGAGTAATTTCTCTACCAACTGTGAATCTATTTATCTATGTTATCCTGTAACTCACATCTCCTTCCATTTAACAATAAAAATGTTATACAAGACTTTGGGAGAAGTTAAACAAAAAAAAACAGAACCTGGATCTAAGGAATTCACTTATTTCAACTACCTTATGCAATGTTTACAATGACAAAGCAAACAAAAACATCAAGTAAGGGAAGGTCACCCTAGTCAACAAATGGTACTGGGATGATTGGCAAGCCACATGTAGGAAAATAAAACTGGATCCTCATCTCTCATCTTATACAAAAAATCAACTCAAGGTGGATCAAGAACTTAAATCTAAGACCTGAAACTATAATATTCTAGAAGATAACATCAAAAATACCCTTCTAGACATTGGCTTAGGGCAAGATTTCATGACCAAGAACCGAAAAGAAAATGTAACACAAACAGATAGTTGGGAGTTAATTAAACTAAAGAGTTTTTGCATGGCAAAAGGAACAGTCAGCATGGTAAACAGACAACCCACAGAGTGGGTGAAATTTTCATAATCAATAGATCCAACAAAGGACTAATATCCAGAATCTATGAGAAACTCAAACAAATTAGCAAGAAAAAAAAATCCTATCAAAATGTAGGCTAAGGACATGGATAGACAATTTGCAAAAGAAGATATACAAATGGCCAACAAACATGAAAAAATGACCAAGAAACATGGAAAAATGCCCAACATCACTAATGATTAGGGAAATGCAAATCAAAACACAATGAGTTACCATCTTGCTCCCACAAGAATAGCCATAATGAAAAAATAATAGATGTTGACATGGATGCAGTGAAAAGGGAACACTTCTACACTGTTGGTGGGAATGTAAACTAGTGCAACCACTGTGGGAAACATAGTTTGGAGATTCCATAAAGAACTAAAAGAAGATCTACCACTTGATCCAGCAATCCCACTACTGAGTATCTACCCAGAGGAAAATAAGTCATCATATGAAAAAGACACTTGCACACATATGTTTATAGCAGCACATTTCACAATTGCGAAAATGTGGAACCAGCCCCAATGCCCATTAATCATCGAATGGATAAAGAAACTGTGGTATATAGTTATGATGGAGCACTAATCAGCCATAAAAAGGAAAAAATTAATGGCATTCACAGTAACCTGGATGGGAATGGAGACTATTATTCTAAGTGAAATTACTCAAGATGTGGGGGGAGGGGTGAGTGGGAAGGGGGGAGGGATAGCATTAGGAGATATGCCTAATGTTAAATGATGAGTTAATGGGTGCAGCACACCAACGTGGCACATATATACATATGTAACTAACCTGCACGTTGTGCACATGTACCCTAAAACTTAAAGTATAATTAAAAAAAAAAAAGAAATTACTCAAGAATGGAAAACCAAACATTGTATGTTCTCACTCATAAGTGGCAGCTAAGCTATGAAGATGCAAAGGCATAAGAATGATACAATGGACTCGAGGAGGAAGGGTGGGAAGGAGGTGAGGGAAAAAGACTACAAATTGGGTTCAGAGTATACTACTGGGGTGATGGGTGCACCAAAATCTCACAAATCACTGCTAAAGAACTTACTCACGTAACCAAATACCACCAATTCCCCCAAAACCTATGGAAATAAAAAATTACAATAAATAAATAAATAAATAAATAAATAAATAAATAAAATATTTACAGTGACAGTTTTGGCATGACAAACCCAAACTGACTCATCAATTATCTGTTTAATAATACACTATAACATTTGAATATAATAAAACAACAAAACAGTCCTCTAATTCTCAATGTCCACTTTTTTGTTTATTAATATTTTGTTTTGGCAGAAGGTAGACCAGCATAGGTTCAAAGTATGTAAGACAGTTTTGTTTATTGTTTGCCATATTCTATTTTTAATTTGATAAGTATTTTTGGAAAAAATTATCTTTTTCTTCAAGAATTTAAAAATTTTTGATAAATGAATCCATAGTATATGGTATAGTATTTTTAGCAATTTTTAAATATTTTGTTTAGACTTCTTAAATTTTATTTTTTAAATGACAAGTAAAAATTGTATATATTTATGGGGTGCATAGTGATGTTTTGATATATATAGTATACAAAGTTATTAGATCAAAGTAATTAGCATATTCATCATCTCAAACATTGATCACTTCTTCATGTTGGGAACTTTCAATATTCTCCTTCTAGCTATTTGAAACTGCATATTATTGTTAATGATAGCCACCCTACAGTGATGTAAAACATGTTTTTTTTTTAATTTGAATATTTTAAACTAATTAGATGCTGAAACACGTTTTATATCTTGGCCTCAATTCTTTTTCATAGTGTAAAATATGAACAAAGACTCCCTTGTGGGAGAGATCCATAAGATTTTGCATCTTTTTTTTTTTTTTAGCGTGTATTGAAGTTATCCTGTTTTTTATTCAATTATTAGCAAGTGTCCTTTGGAATTTCTTTTCTTCCCCATACTTAAGGCTTATTTGCCTTTTGCCAACAAACCAAGCAATCAACCAGCCAACCAACCAATAAAAAAAAGAAAATCTCAGCATTTCTGTGAATTCATTGTTGGAGCATTTTGTGAGTTCATTTATGAGGCATTTTAGTCCCACTCTGTTACCTGATTGTTGTGATGAAGTGAAGGTTTACAAAATGGTGAAGAGGACCATGAGGGAAAGAAACAAAAGAGGAGTATCCTAATGTGTTCATGGGTCTTCATGTGTCTATTTTATAATCATTACTCAATCTAAGGTTATGTTCCAGGGGCCTCAGACTAAGCCTTGGAAGTCTAAACTCTAAACAAATTGACCTGGTATAGACGCTGAACTCTCTATTCTTCCAATGATTAGGACTGCCTCCAAAAAGAAGGTAAATGACTTGCCTCATAACTACCTGTAATATGCAGGAGGAAAAGAAGGCAGGCAATAAATCAAAAGGCTGCGAAGAGTGGAAAAAGACATATGGTGAAAAGGAAGAAGAAGAAGAAAGACTGCATGGATCTAATTAAAAAGCAGAACTTGATAAATCCTTGAGAAACTGGAAATTCCAGTTACACAGATTTTATTACTACACATGGTATGCTTATATAAAAGATCACATACCCCCCATAAATATGTAGTATCATTACATATCCATAAAAATTGTTAAAAAGAAGCAAAATTGAGTTCATCTATGTAACACTTAAAATACTTTCGGACTAGATTCCTTTGGGGGTAGAGATTTTTGGGTCTATATGAAACTTGGCTTCTGGTACTGGCATTGCAAATGGATTTATCTGTGTTATCATCTTTATTTAAACTCACTCATTCTTCCTCTTTCACTGTGCTCCCCATTTTGCCAAGAAGATTCACTTTCAATTACACATACATCATAACACTAAAACATTAGTTTCACTTGCCTTTGGTTAATAACTCACCTTATATTAAACATCCATCAACATAAAATCAGCATAACAACTTTTATGAATCCCTTTATCATCAGCACATTCTAAATGCTTATACAATTCACTCTCTGGATTCATATAGGAACTTGCTTAATAGCCCTTAAAGTTACTATAAACCGTGGTTGCTTTCAATCATAGGAATATTATTCATATTTTCAGAGTGAGCATGTTTTTAGTAATTGTTAAAGTTTAAAACCACCATAGGTGGATATAGGTGTAGTTATCCTTATAATCCAAAAAATATTATTTTTTTTCAAATAGTCATGGAATCTTCAGCTTGCTTCCATTCTTTTCTTCTAATCCATCTTGAAATACAGGTCTGAATGAAGAGACAGATACACATAGTTAGAGTTTTCAATGGAGAGAGTTTCCAAGTGTCCCAGTGTCTGGTTTGGCATGATGGTGACGCAGGTGGTTATTTTGACTTGAGGCTGACTCATAGCCACTTATGGAATCTCACCTCAGTTGTCCCATAGTGGAGACCTTATGTTCAAGTGAATGACATTACTCAGTGCTGAATTGGTTTGCAGGCAGTCAATGAGCTCTAACTGAGAACTATATGTAGACAAAGGAATGTTTCTGGAAGGACTAAAGGAGCAGGGAAAGGGATAGTGAGAGTCAGACGATGACATATTTTCCCTTTTTCATTTGTGCCTAGGCTCCTCCTTGAATGATGCTAGCTGTTTTTCTTGCAATTCAGCAATGATGCATATGGAAATGGTATGAGCTATTTAAAAATAATTAAATTCATTCAAAATGGCAATAAATATGACAACAATAGATACAAAATGAATTTTAGATGTCATAATTTTTCTTCCTGCCACTAGCATTTTAACTTTATCTGGACTATTCAAAGAGTAAGACATAATTTAACAAAATCTGATCCCTATAATCAAGTTGCAATATTTCACATTCAGCTCAGTCCATATCTTTAAGATGACATGTAGAAATTGTATGGGAAGGAATAGAACAACATAAAAGAAAATCACATTTTTGCTTTCATTTATTCAACACAGACTTGTGAAATGATTACCATTTGTCCACTGTATACATACTTGGATTAATTTTTATAGGAAAGGTAAGAGAAGTTGATGCTCAGGACTTCATTTCTGAGGACTTTTTGGTTTAACAAAACAGCATATGAACAAGATATCATAGTCAATAAAATACATTTGCTTCCTTGACACAAACTAGTGTGATGACCTTGGGCTAGTTACAGGTTAAATGTGATTGCAAATTGTCTTCCTCTAAATTTCTTCCCATACCTAATTTTGATAATTATGTGCTTTTCTATCCAAATGACAGAGCTTTATGTGCAAAGTCCTGCACTAGTTTCTGGAGCTACAAAGGAGATACTTAAGATGCATTTTATTTAGTTAGGTAGACAGGATGTGTATTTTTCATTGTTTTGTGGTTTTTGGTTTTCAATTCTATTTTTGCTTCTTTTTTTAATGTGAAGAACCTGATATTCCCTGCCTCAGAAAGAGTTGTACAGACTTTGTGCTGTAGGATGAGTTGGCTTCCACTGCTTAAAGATTATAACAGAAAATTGTGTGCCTCCATCAAGGTTATCACTGTCTGAGACACATGGTAAATAGTTCCCTACAAAGTAGGTGAATCATTTTGCCCAGAGCCATTTGCCTAAAGGGCTCCTGAAAGTGAAACACATTGGCTGGGTGTGGTGGCTCACACCTGTAATCCCAGTAATTTGGGGGCCTGAGGCAAGTGGATGACTTGAGGTTAGGAGTCTGAGACCAGCCTGCTCAACTTGGTGAAACCCCGTCTCTACTAAAAATACAAAAAATTAGCTAGGCATGTTGGCTCACACCTGTAATCCCAGTTACTTGGGAGGCTGAGGCAGGAGAATAGCTTGTACCCAGGAGGCAGGAGGTTGAAGTTGAAGTAAGCAGAGATCGCGCCACTGCACTCCAGCCTGGGCGACAGAGTGAGACTCCGTCTCAAAAAAAAAAAAAAAAAAAAAAAAAGGAAGTGAAGCACATTGAGCTCTGATGTCCAAGATTTGAAGTAGAGAGGCCTAGCCAGGAGACAGAGCAGCCTCTCCTAAAACCAAGTAGAAAGAAAAGACAAACTCTCTCTGAATTAAATTGCCCTAAGAAACAGAGGAGATCTTAGATTTAGGCTTAAGACAAACATGTAGGAGGTACTGAGAAGAGAACTGAAAGTTGTCTCTGACTCAGTCCTTTTGGCAAACAAAGCCCTACCGTGTAATTTAGAGTGATCCATTATTGTGTGATCAGCTTGTAACAGAACAGAATATGGATAAACAAAGGCATGAAATATATCAGGAGTTCAAACATAGGATATGGTTTCAGGAACTCATTCCTGCAGGAATGAGGTCATTTTCCCTTAAAGAATCTTGATTGCCTGTGCAGGAATCTGAAACAGCCAGCAAGACATGCTGTAAGCCCCAGCCCTGAAGAGTGACTCCTCAATAGCCACCTCATATGACAGCAAGAAGTCATGTTGGAGGTAATCTCATTAAACTCTTCCTCCCAGCCCCGGGCTTGGGTAATGGGGAGTCAAGGTGGTTAAGTCTTGAAAAGGGAATAAATTCCTTTAGGAACTACTGAAGGGAATAAAATATCAATTAGAAATATTACAGTGCTCTAAGTGTGTTTGTACTCCAAGTTGTAAAACAGGTCACAGCAGTTTTAAAACTAGATAATAAGATAGATTACAATGAAATAAATGGGCTGCATTGGATTATTGTCTAAGAATTAAATGAGAGATATGGATGGTGAGTTCTGAATCTGTCAGGGGAAAGATCAGCTTTGTGGGGGCAGAAGGAAGAAGTCACCCCAATGAGGTTAGAGTTGGAAAATGAGACAGTCTTTGAAAGCATGGAAGGATTCAGAATAAAAGAATAATATGAAAGCAATGTCATAAAGAGAGATATGGTGAAAAAAATATACAATATATGATGAGGGATAATGAGAAGACAGTAAAATATAAACCACATATAAATTGCTTATGCATAATTGCTAAAGAGATAGAACCTGAAGGAATTTTTGATAAAAATTGACTCCTATCAACATCTTATCAAAATGGATATTTTGTTCTAAAATGCTGTAGTATATAGCACTGATATTACACATTGTGTATGAATTGCCATCAGTAGACCATGTATACATAAAATTTGCTAGATTGACATTTATTTTATTGTACCCAGCCCCAATTTTTTTCATTTAAATAGAATAATGTCCACTGTCGACTTCAATAATTCAGAATCCAACAGACCCTATTCAGGGCTATGGCCATCGACAAGTTCAGAGGACATCGCTCACCTTGTGTTCTATGTGTAGGACACCCCTGGGTTGAGGACTGCACAGTATTTGTGGCAGTAGATACAGACTCTGACTATAGCACCCCTTTTATTATGTATGTCTATTTGCATGAGTAAGTGGAATGTCAAAGAAAGTGTTCTGGAATTTCTTGGGCAAAACATTTTCCTGGGCTGTTTAAAATGTCATTTTATGTAACCTTCCCAAAATCTTTATTGGATAGATATTATAACCCCCATTTAACAGATGAAAAAACTGAAGTTTACATCATTTTTTGTCCAAGTCACAGTTTTGCGCTTGGTGAAACTGAGTTACAGATCTAGATCTATCTTAAGTTTTGATGTATTAGGGGTGTTTGTGTGTTTGTATTGTGTTTTCTTAGAAGGTGGGCTGCAATTATTACATACAGAGCATTTTTCCACAGCCTGAATAGGATTCCAAATGATATAAAACAGAATTTGTCTTTACAGAATTTACTTACGAGAAACAAGGACAAAGAGTTATGAAGTTTAAATTATAATACCAGGGACTGAAAAGAAAAGAAAAGCAAAAGCAATGTATGACTCATTAATGAATGATTTTTTGTAAAATTTACTGTTATGAGGTTCAGTCTTCAAGGAAAGAGGGAATGTAGCATCAGTAATTCACTTATCTGTTTATCTAATGACTCATTTCTTGGGTATTAAATTGCTATGCCAGACTTCCAATCTCAAAATGAGCCAGAAACTATTTAAAAATTATTTTTGGCAGAGTGTGGTGGCTCATGCCTGTAATCCCAGAACCTTAGGAGGCTGAGGCAGGAGGATCACTTGAAGTCAAGAGTTTGAGACCAGCCTGGCCATCAGGGCAAAAACCTGTCTCTACTAAAAGTACAAAAATTAGCCAGGTGTGGTAGAGAATGCCTGTAGTCCCAGCTACTCTAGAGGCTGAGGCAGGAAAATTGCTTGAACCCGGGAGGCAGAGGTTGCAGTGAGTCAAGATCGTGCCAGTGCACTCCAGACTAGGTGACAGAACAAGACACCATCTCAAAAATATAAATAAATAAATAAATATCTTTGTTGTTGTGGTGATTGTTGCTTATAACACCAAAACAAGGCCTTCACTTAGTCTTTTGAATAAGGGCATTCTATGAAGGCTAGAAGTCTCATAGTAGATGTGGCCCTGCAAAGTCTCTCCTCTCTTGGATCTTTATTTTATTCTTCTGTTGCTGTTGTTGCTTTTTTCTTGCAAATATATTGCCCACATAGAGATCAGATAGGTCTGGCACAGATTTTAAGTCGAATGCCACATCCAATGATGTGTGCTTACAATAATGTAAATATTTTGTACAGTGGATGCTTGTTTCATGACTGTCTCTTCCACTCAGTTGTAAACTCTTTGAAGGATAGGATTGTGCTTTATTTGTTTCCCTAAAATCTCCCACACCTTTTCTGAGAGTTACTAATAAATACTGGCTACATAGATAAGTAAACTCATTACTTTTATGTCATTGACTAGGATTTTAAGCCACACATACTTATTGTTCAAGGTTTTGGAATCATCTACTTTTTATGAATCTCTGAAACACTGTCTGTGCCATAAAATATAGTAGGTAGCTATGTATCATTTTGCAACATTCTCTAATTTTTTCATATGCATGGGTTTGTCTTAATTGCCAAGCAAGTCTTGGGGGAGTTGAGTCTAAGTGATAAATGTTCCTATATGAGATATAGGAAAACCTATATCTTATACCCTATTGAGACTTGCACAATGTTAGATATATGGTAATTTCACAGTAAAGTCTCATTGATTGAATCTCTATCTCTTTCTCTCTCTCTTTATGTATTGTATATATCCATATGTATATATGTATATATGTATATATCTTGCAGAGTGTCTATACAGAGAGATACAAGATATAAATATAGATAGATACAGATGGATATAGACATACACAGATATATGTACTTGTTTGTATTCTGTACAACTTGAACACAGACTTGTTGGAATTTCAACTCACTGTCATCTGAGAACACTTTACCTCACAATAAACAGTGCTGTTTGAATTAAAAGAAAAGAGAGCAAGCAAATGAGCAATGCTCTTTGTTCAGTGTGACCCCCACGAGAAATAGTTCTCCTCAAACATTTGGAATTCTAGGTTTTCATAAACTTGCCTGCAAGACTTAGATTTCTTTGATCCTAAGGCCCACAAATACAATGGAGAAAATAAGCAATTTGGTGTGCAGGACTGCTGGAATAAATGTGAATTAGAGCTTTGCGATGTGAGTAACACTGTGTCTTTTTACATTTATCCCCGCCATCATGTGCTCAAATCACCTTATCTGGTGATACACTCATCCAATCACTCTTGCAGTACACATCTCCCTAATTATCCCCTGGCTTGAAAGAGAGAAATATTTCATGATCAAATCTAGTACTCCAGTTTCCTTCAATGTAAACTTTTACGAACTTCAAAGAGAATTTTGCCGAATGAGTGGTACAGTAATTATTCACTTCTGGGCCACAGGCATTATTTCACCAAGACAGTACTTTTCCAGACTGATGGACAGTATTTTTATGGTTGCTCATAGAAAAATGAAATCACTTACTACAATTTGATTTTTATGTTGCTGTGGTTCGACGGAGGTTAGTGTCAGCCACCTTGCTTTTAGAATTGAGCTAATATAAAACAGTTCACAAAAGCTGGTGTTCTCACAAAGAAAAAAGAAGAAATATAAACGTGAGTTCTAATTTTAGGGTAATCAAGGCTCTAAAATATAGAGCCAAACTATGAATAATAAAATCTGTTTTTACAAAGTTGAACTTACTAAACACATATATAATTTGACTTTGAGACATCATATTTTTCAAAGCTATTGTCTTAAAAATTCCCTTTCCTGTCTGTCTGTGCAATTCACATCCTTGCTATAAAATTAGTCACTCCTGGCAATAGAGGCTTATTAAAATGAAGTGATAGCATAGGTAATGAATCTGAAAAAGGCAATGGTCACAGGAAAATGTCCTCCCAGAGTCAGCAGGGATGTGTTCTTGGAGTCCAGGGGCAAGGCTCACTGAGAAAGGATGCATGGCTTTGCTTACTCCTCCAGCTTCAGGGTGAGAATGCTAAATTGCTTTAGCATGTAATCTCTATGCAACAGTACCACCAATTAGTACACCATTGTGTTATCTTTTTGTCTATATTAATATACTGACTCTTCCACTAGATTGAAAAGACTTTAAGCTTTGAAATCAGAGTTTTAGTTCACTGTGTTTCCTGGTGCAAGTCACTTTACTTTGCGGAGGCTTTGTAAAATTGGATTTTTTGTGAATATTAAATGAAATACTCATGAGAAATCCTTGCAGAGTGTGTCGTTTATGGTGGGCGTTCAATAAATTCTCTATTGTTCTTTTTCTCCCCTGAAGTTCTTAGGATGGCTGGTAGTGGGTGTGTAGCAGGGTATTAAAATTACAGTTTCTAGGGCTGACTGTCTGCACTCAAATCTAGGTTCTACCACTTATAACCTCTAAGTTTTTGGGTTTCTCATCTCTGTGCCTCAGTTATTTCACCTATCAAATGAGAATCATAAGACTTTCTATTTTATAAGATTCTTGTGGACAGCCAATGAAGTAGTACGTGCTAAATGCTTATAACATTGTCTGCCACTTAGCACATGCCATAGACATGCTTGCCATTTAAGGGAGTGATTAAGTGCCCTGAAACATGGTGTCAGAGTTTGTGGTTGATGGGAACAAGAGAGCTCTCATGTGCACGTGCTACTGTGGATACCAATGGAAGACCTCAGGAACTGAGTAGAGCCAAAATCCTTAACCAGGAAAGGCAAGGTATGGTAGTCATCACATTTTGCAAATAAACTGAGAATTCAAGATTTTACAAAGGCAGGCAATTGACATTCCATGAAAAGTCAAAGACAGCGCAAACAGGAAGACTTAGAAATTGTCTACTGAATATCATAAAGCATTTATCTGTTGACAATAGGCCCTGCATCAAATGGAACTTTCCACCATTACTCCCTACCTAAGAAGATGGGGCTGGATCTAACCTGGATGTCCAGGTGAAGAAGCAGTACCTCAGAAAGGTTCAGGGTCGTTTTTGACAATTAGCTTTGGGCAAAATATGCCCGAAATATGCTTTGTGGTACAGAGAGAACTGGATCAAGGGTGAAGTAGAATTTCTAGCACATAGATTCAGTTACCACCATACTGGATAAATAATTTAAAAAAGCCAAGTACTTTCTAATTTGAGATAATGAGTCAAATTAAAGTTGGCTTGGGATTTATAAAAAATAAATAAATACATAAAAAACATACATTAGAAAGAAAATACTAAAGCCAGTCACAAAATTGCCAAACTTCTACTTGGGGGGTCCTTATCTAGTGTGATGTTGAAAGGAACCTGAGTTGGATATTCTTAAAGGATGCCAGCCAAGATAATGTGGAAGATGTAGGACTTCTAAAAATGCAAGGACTACTAAGAGTAAAAATAGATGTGAAATGGTAAAACATCAGGATTCAGGTCAAAGTCAAGTTAGTGAATCTCTCTCTGCCTCAACTTCTGCAGTAAAAATAAAGCCCATCTTTTCCTTCTGCCCCTTCTCTATCAACTGTTCTAAGAACCTCTTTCAGATAGATTATTTGGTAACTGTATCATCACTATGTGTTGTGTGAGGTTTGCATTCCGACAGGGGATTCTTAAGAAAAGGACAAGTATTTAAAAATACAAAGAATGCCCATATAATAGTAGACTTCTAAGCAGAGCATTGTCATTTGGGAGAAATGTGGTCCTTCCAGTCACAGACACTCTGCCTTCCCTTAAAGACCAGCCCCAACTCGGGCCACATGCTCTATTCTATCACAGATCCCCTCTGCATGAGAGAAGAACATTTAGGTCACTTCAGCCTGTAACATTAAAACAAATGCTGATAGTTCAAGGTTAATAGATGCATAAAACAAAAGTAATTCCATGTCAAAGCTGAGATGACAGGCGATTTGATTTGAGGCAGCCTTACAATCACTCTTTTACATGGGCTCCGTGCTGAGACCAGGCGAAGGCGTTATGTTTCTGACATTTACTTGTCAGGAAGGTACGACAATAGAGATTGTTTCTATCTCTGCTGCTCCCAGATGTTAACCTTCCAGCTTTAGTTTGTAATTGGGGTTCTGTGGAGCTTTAACATTTTCTATTGATTCAATAGAAGCGATAACATTTCCAATCATAAGACGGCATTATAGAAATATCAGGCAATTCACATATCAGAATGTTTGATAGCTGGGCTCACCGCATTAATTTCTGTCACCTTTGCCAGGAACCCTTTATCCTCTTTTTAATACTGAAGGACACCTGGGAGTAGTTGCTGCCACTTTTATTGTTCAATAAAGTAGACAAAAGTTTCAATTAACAACCAAGGGGCCTCTAGGAAATTGTGAATGAGAATATATTTTACTCATTTTACTATATTTCTTTTTTCTAATGTGCCATCTGTGACTTTGAGGCTATACTTCACTCAGCAAGCACACACACACAGAGTCCTCCCAATCCAGTTTGATTTATATTAAAACATTCAGCCAAGGAAAGCCAAAAGGGGTTAGGAGAATGTTGAGAGAAATTTGCAATAAAAAGAAAAGCTCAGGCAAATGAAACTAGAGGAGTGAATGTCTCCAGGTCTGTAGCACAGTGAGGCAGGAGGTCCACTGACTTCACGTCTCTGCCTTTAACCCTGAGACTGATGTACCGAAGAATCCTTTTTCTATTGTGTAACTAGTACTGTTTGAAGAAAAAAACACATATCAGGTATCATTCGTTTACTCACAGTCTCATTCTTTTATGAAACACTTGTTTCTTGAGGGTTAAAAGCTTTATTAACTATATTTTTAAAATAATGAAGAGAAAATAAATTGATATCTATAATGTGAAATTAAACATGTAACAATAGTATGATTTTTCTAGATGACTTGTCCTGCCTTACTTTAATACAACCATTTCACTTCTTCATGAATAGTCCCTTCCATGTACATTTTTGATTTCACAGCTTTCCTTATGCTGCTTTTCTCAATTGTTACAATTTAAGCAAGCGCTATCACTTTTCCATCTTACTCATCTGTCCACCCATGCCTGCACTTCATGAACAAGCTCAGTCTACCTCCTCCATGAGAAACTTCTTGACTATCCTCTCTTTCCTCTCTCCTAAATTACATAAACAGTGATTTTTAAAAGTCATAGACTCCTCTGAGAATCTGGTAGTTTTGTTATAAAATTATGCAATTGCTTTTATGAGTTAATAAACTTTATAACTAACCTTAAGGTAAAGACCCTTAGACAAAAGCATTCATTGACTTTTATGAATGTTCAATATGTAACTTGTCACTTCAGCTTGTCGATATCTTTGCTATCCTTCACAGTTCAATGTTATGTAAAATGTAGATGTCAATTTCACTTTATTATAATTATCTAATACAGTCAGCCCTCCATATCTATGGGTTCCGCATCAATGGATTCAACCAATGGAAGATTGAAAATATTTGGAAAAAAATGTATCTATACTGAACATGTACAGGCTTTTTTTCATATTATTCCCTAAAAAATACATTATAACAACTGTTTACATAGCATTTACATTGTATTAGGTATTGAAAGTAATTTAGAGACAATTTAAAATATACAAGAGTATGTGCATAGGTTACATGCAAATACTGTACCATTTTATACCTGTGACTTGAGCATTTGAGAATTTTGGTGTCTGCCAGAGGTCCTGAAACCAATTACCAAGGGATAATTAAACATAAATTAAAACGTTAGATTAAAAAATATATAGTCAATTAGTTTAGTTCTAGAAACTTCTACTAAGTGTACCTTAATTAATTAATCAGCCTCATTTTGATATGGTTATTCAAATACTACTCAGTAGAAACAAACTTCCCTTTATTTAATCTACATTTTTACATTTTGTTTTCAAATGTAATGAAGGGAACACTGTCAAATATTTGGTGGAAATCTGGACCAGAAATATCTACAGACAAAGAAACTCAGCTATTGAAACGTGCCTTGTTTTGATAGACACTCAGGAAGTCCTGCTTTTGTGTATGCCTTTCTTAGGCACTTACAAGCTAGCCCCTTAATAAGTTATAGAACTGTGTCTGAAAGTTAGATTCTTCTTACTGGTTTATAGTTCATGATAACTTTGATCCTTCTTTTGAAAATGTTATTGATGTTTTCTCATAGCCTGATTTAGTATGAATGAATGAAGCCATGCCTAAGAGAAACTAAGTTAATAATGTCATTGCATTTGAAGAATAAGGGTTTTCTATTGTCATCAATATACAGAGATGAACTCTATGAAGAAACACTGGAAGTTTAGCAAAGAAAACAGAACATCGTTGCTACTTTGCCAAACTTCTTTACTAAATTATTATTTTGTCCTGCCCACTGGATTGGTGAAGAAACTGTCCACAGTTTTTGAGTTCTTTGGAACATTGTCTTCCTTGATTCTCTCAGTGTGGTCAATGGGCCAGTACCATTGACATCACGTGGGAGCTTGGTAGAAATGCAGTCTTGGGTACCAACTGAGAAATTCTAAGTCAGAGTTTGAATTTCACAGGAGATTTTCAGGAGATTCATATCCGCATTAAGGCTTGAGAAGCACTGGTATAGATGGAATCTCTGTCTTCAAACATATTCCCTTTAAATACCTCTATAGCCAATCACCTACCTAATCCATGCCTTATCTGACCAAGAATATCTGTATTATATAAATTGTTCTGTTTATTGTCCAAACAATCCTCAACAAAAACAAGTTGCTCTACCAGATATCATTCTTATCTCATAACAAATTTGATGTTTGACTTCCAGAAAATCACCTTTAACCGTTAGTACATGTCAGAAGTTAAAACTCTGGTAGTTCCTTTGACTTGATTGATCAGTTTTCCACCAGGCAGTGCTTTCAACAAAGGCTAGTTACAATGCTTTAGCTATTAAGAAATTAAGGCTATACATCTCTAGGGTAAACCACATATGAAAAATATTACTTAATATGGTCAGTGTTTGGGGGTTATCTTAAAGGCAGATAAATCACAGAATCATACATTCTGAGTGTTCAGAGGGATCATAGAAAACTACTTCTTAGTTATATTTGCAGAAAGTTATGTGTGCAATAAATGTTTATGGAAAGAATAGAAAGCTGAACGGAATTTTGTGATGTAGCAATATAGATAAGCTATTGTATATCAGATGGAAAGACTGTGTGGTATTATACCATTCAATAGTAATTGTATAGAAAAGGGTCCTCTTTTTTATTTTTATTTGTTAATTTTTTTAAGACAGAGTCTTGCTCTGTCACCCAGGCTGGAGTGAAGTGGTGTGATCTCAGCTCACTGCAACACTGCAACCTCTGCCTCCCAGGTTCAAGTGATTCTCCTGCCTCAGCCTCCTGAGTAGCTGGGATTACAGGCATGCACCACCATGCCAGACTAATTTTTGTATTTTTTTTAGTAGAGACGGGGTTTCACCGTATTGGTCAGGCTGGTCTCGAACTCCTGACCTCATGATGTACCACCTCAGCCTCCCAAAGTGCTGGGATTACAGGCGTGAGCCACCACACTCGGCTGGGTCCTCATTCTTTATGGTCCCTTCAGCTGACCTCTTTGACTTCCATCAAGGAGAGAGCTCTTCCATCTCAGAGGCTTTGTCAGGCAGGAGACAGACATTTCTCTGAATCACAGTGTAGAAGCCGGACACCAGTTTTTTGAAACCAAACAAATATGTAATTTGTCAGTCTGCAGATAGAGTGTTTCTGCCTTCAGATTCAAAATGGTTTTCATTTATTCACGTAAAAAAAGAAGCATTTCAGTTATAGTTGTAATATTTACTTATCTGGTTTCCTCAAGATGGATAACAAATGCATGCAGAACTTCCATGCATCAAAAAGATGCCGCTTCACAAAATGGCAATACAACTCCATATTACAATAAAAACAGATACAATTCAAAATGCCTCAAATAGTTCCAAAAGCAATTATGGCATTTCAGAAGTAAACATTACTTACAAATTCATAACCACCCATCAAAATTATTTCACTAGGGTAAGTTAAGGAAGCAACAATTTATACATTTTGAGTCTTTCTTATTTTTCATAGCCAACTTTGAAAAAAGTGCTTCCAGCAAGTACTGTAGTACAGAGTGCAGTAAAACCCTTTGCCATTTACTTAGGAGCATGTACCTGTTTTAAGCTGTGGCTCAAACCATTTACTGTAATAAAGGTATAAAATTAATATTTTCATTATATTAATGAAATTAATTTTTTTAATATTAATTAATTAATATTAAATTAATATTTCATTAATATTTTCATCCACAGGAACAAGATATGACCATGCGCAGGGGAATAGTGTCTAAGATTAGCAGTCATTTCTTTGCCTAAAAGAATAGCAGAATAAGCTCCTTTTAAAGGCTGAAAAGAGTCATTCTTCATATCCTGTCCAGAATAATGCTGAATTATTTCTCAACTACAAGTAGTGTTTCATAAATCACAAAAAGAATAAATCTTATTAAATCAGTTGTAGATTACAAAAACCTAAAGGCAAGGTCCATTCTCCAAAGGACAATGCTGTCCTCACTGATTTTTTACCCTTTTACTTATTTAAGAGGAGACAGTTTCTTTGAAACCTACTTAACTGAAAAAAGGGTCTTTTTTCCTTTTTACAGGATGTCAAGTGGCAAATAACCATGGTGGACCAAGCCATCCACTAAAAGTCTAAATATTATAATTCTTAGCATTTGACACATGTATGTATAATGGAGAGAGTGTTTATACAGCATAATATGTAAATAGATAATTTTTATGATGAAATTCTGAAAAAAACCTGTTGTATGTATTACACACATTCAGAAAATTAAAGAAACGATAATTTAATAAATTTTAAATATGTTGGAAAAGAAAAACATTAGTCTTACAATTAATATAAAGTAATACTCTACAACCTATTCTTGAATAGTCAAAATATTTTCCATTGCTAGCTCTTAATCTGATGCAGTATTATATTCAGAAAACTCTAGTTTTATGTTTCAGAAAAAATAAACTCACTTTTGCATGTCACAGACCAAAATATGAATGCAAAAGTTATGGTTCTCTTAGCTGTGTGAACTTTGCACATTACAAATAACACATTCAACAAGGTAGATATTTTATAGTCTGCTAGTGATGAAAAATTCAATATGCATATATTTATGTATTGAGTAGATTTATAGCCAACACGCCCACTGCCACTTGGCCTCAGTTCACTTTCATGTCCTTGAAAAGAACACATTTCACACATTTTAAAAAACATTTAGAAGATTTAAAAGCATTTGCCAATGTCACAAAGCAACAGCAAATGGTATACGCATCTCTAATAAGTTAGCCTAGAAATAGAGAATATAAAATGTGCAATGGGTGTTTTGTATTCTGAACTGAAAAGCTTTCTAACTTTGTTGACTCTCATTGAGGGTAAAGACTGGCTTCAAAAATTTGAGTGGAGTTCATTTTGCTTCAGTCTGGCACTGATGTGCTGCCATTTGACCGGTATTTGAGAAGTTAAGCTTTACTGAGGGGTCTTCCATAATAGGAAATGAGTACTAATCAGTTTAAGCATCATTTTGCACAGCACACAGTATACTTTTGCTCATTTTGAGATGATAATACAAAATGTAACATGACAGAGATCAATATTATAAGGAAGATACACCACATACATAACTGGTACTAGCATATAGAAAAACATGGTGGTAGGAAAAATGTTGTCTCTGTCTGCCTTTATCCATGCAATGATTTACCCCTCAGGATTGCCTGCTGCCTGCTGTTTTTTTGTTTTTTTTTTTTTTTCCTGTAATGTTCCCGGGTTCCATCTGCAGCCCAGAAAAAAATGCCTCCCTTATTCATATATTCAACAAATATTACTAACCACCTTCTATGTTTCAGTCACTGAACTAGACTTTGGGGAGGCAATTATAAGCAGGCTGGACAAGGTCCTAGTCTTAAGTTTATAGCATAACGAAGAATAACACATGAGTAACGAGTCTTTAGAATACTGGGTGTGATTAATGCAATGGTAGGAGAAGTACCAGGTCTTATGAGGACCCATTAAAGAGGTGTCTAACATAAACTTGAACAAAGAGGGGAGGATTCCCTGAGAAAGTAACATTGAAATAGACAGATTGAGTAAGAATAGGAATAGTCCAGATAAAAGGAGAAAAGAAGCATATTCCTTGAAGAGTAGCTGGCATGCGCAAGAATCAGAAGATTCTGAGAGAACATAGTCCAACTGAGGAAATGTGAAAGAAATTCTGTATGGCTGAGTTTAGTATATAAAGGGAGAAAGTAATAAGGGGTCATGGAGTAGGCACAGAGAAGCGTCAAAACAAAAAGAAATATGGATTCTAGAATCTATCCTAAACATGATGAAGATATCACTAAGATAGGGGATTGTAGTGGAATGGCATATTCACTTTGTTTTAATTGTTTCCATTTGCTGTAATGCGGGGATTGAATTGGTAAAAGGCAAGATGAAAGACAATGGGAAAGTGATTTTGGTAATCCAAGAAAATATGATATTGGCCTCGATAGAATAATTTTTAAAAAGAAGAAGAAATGAAGAAAGGAGGGACATAAAACTACAACCTCACAATGTAATTACTGTTGCAACAAAGAGACTATTAAGGGTTAATATGAGACTATATCTTAGGATATTTTTGCCACAAGCTTTCAGAAGTCATTACTATTATAAATATCAGGAATGGAATTGATCTTTGAAGTTTAAATTATGGCGAGGAATTTTTCAAGTCACTCCAGCTTAGTCTATGTTGTTCCTTTCCCTTTACAGAATTTTCTTCTACTTCCAAATCTTATCTTTTCTTTTTTATAATCTTCATTTTGATATGTATAAATTAATGTTGATGATGAATATTCTATACTATCTCAGAGGAAAAATTATCTAGCTTTTCCAGAAGTCACTGGTGCTGCAGCAGGGTTTACCTAGATGGTAAAAGCTACCTAGGACTGGAAATTAGGGATAATTTGCATTCACTGAGTCCTAGCATGCACTTTCTATGGATTATCAAATTAAATAATCACAATAATCGTATGAGGTTATTATTATCTTTATTTTGTAAAGAACAAACAAGCTCAGAACTATTAAGTAACTTGCCCAAGGCCACAGTTATTACCAGGAGATGGAAAATAGCATTTCAACTTGAAAGCAAATTTATTTTCTTTCTATTATCTTACCCTTCTATAGACATCCACAGATGTTTCATGAAGGCACTTATGGTGGGCTTAAACTCTCCAAAAAAAACAAGGAAGCCATCTCAGGCAAGTAAAAAATATAATTCAAAAAGGGAGAGACAGTGATGCTTATAGCACGTGTGAAATACAGTGAGTAGAACAATTTGTTTGAAAGCAGATCACATAGGGAAGGTCCTTCCAAATTGATGTCTTGAGAATTACCCCTTTTTAGCATACAACATACAGTCATACAATATTAAAAATGTTCACTATTCAAATGTCTTTGAAAAACCTTGGGTTGTATTACTTCATCTAAGTTTGTTTTCTGCGTATAAACTTAGGATGCTTAGTATGTTGCTGTGCATCATGAATCTACAACACAAGGTACTTGTATGATGCATTTCCTAAAGCCATTTATACATAGAAAAACATTAACCTTGGTTCTACAAGTCATGAATTGTGAAAATAAAACCTCCCCTGATCCACCCCCACAAAGATATCTAGGGGACACATAATGATTGCCAAGGTAATGGTTGAGTAAGGATTTACTGTGAAGAAATAATTAGAAGGTTTTTTCCTTGTGGTGTCAAAAACAGAAGGATTCAGTGTCCTGTAAACGGCGGAAGTTATATACTATGACTATGGACAATGTTGTCATTGGGGACAGCTGTTTAGGTAAAGGGTACATGAGGGCTCTCTGTACTATTGTTGCAGCCTTTTGTCATTCGGAAATTATTTCAAAATAAAGCTTTAAAAATGCAGAAGAGTGAAAGATAACAATTTGGTTGGGGGTGGGGGTGATGAAGTTATTATGAGCCTAGAACAGGCAGCTCTAACTTGTCTTTTCCAGGTATTTCACAGGTGAGATTATCTCCCATTGACAAAGAGAGCCAAGGCTCATTCCTTATTACCCTGTTGTAGAGAACCGGACTAGGAACCCAGTGGGTGAAACCCTAAAACAGATGATTCATTATTGTTTATACAACTCATGTTTGTATCTGAATTGGATAGGGGTTAGGAGAACAAGCACAGGCTGAATCTTTCTCTAGTCATCCAAATAGTGTAAACAGACACAGAGAGTTACTGGGGAACCTTATAGAAAGGTTGGTGTTTCTAATGCTTAATACAAATTATTAATGATGCTATGGAAGCATACAACAGTCATTTGCTCGATGGAAGTTGTGTCCATACTGTGTCACTCAAACTGAGTGAGTTTATTCACAAAAACATTTTTTGTCAAGATCATGCATTTGCACTAATAACCAGGTTACTTAGTGATTTTTTTTAAAAAAACCTATTGCTTTTTCTAAATATAAGAATTTTTTTTTTCTCTTCAAAGCATTTCCCAAAGAGAAGCCAATAAATAACTGGAAGTCTGACATTCTTTCCCCTACTCTTTTAGATTTGCTAACAGTCTGATTCTCTTGAGCGGAAGTGAGAACATGAGGCTGTTCTTACAGAGAGATGCTCTAATGCCATGCCTACTATATGGGGAGGACCAGCTGAGGACTAGTTCATTTTGATACATAGAAAGCACTTTCTTTCATATTTGTTTTCCTGTTTTATATTTTATTTTTTCTTTTTCTGTAGATCCAGTTTTATAAGCTTTATAGTAAATTCCTTTCCATGGAAAGTTTGCACAAAATTCCAGTAAGTGAAAGAAATGCTAGCCTTCATAACATGAATTCTAAATTTGTAGGAAATAATGTTCTAGTGTATTGCTCCTGTAATAATATAAATGCTAATCATTTTTAAAGCATTGAATTCCTTTCTTTAGTGAAGAGCCTTATAGTGAGATTCCAAAGGAATAATAGAAACACTAATTATTTTGATTAGCATAAAGGGGAGATTCTATTAAAATTTCCTGTATAAAATAGTTGCTTCTTTAATTTTATGTTTTTTTTTTAATCTTCTTTTAAGATGAAATCCAAGCTTTATTCCAGGATTTTATTTTTTATGTAAATGATTTTACTCAAAATGCCCTCCCAAGTTCTTATTTTCAAATGAACTTTATGTGAGAGACTGAATCAATATCTATTGTGTATTTCAAATCTCCATAATTGTATTGAATAGACAGAACAGTCAAGTGGGGAAATTGATGAATATTACTTTGGAAGAAGGAGCTGGCATTATTTGAAAATTTGTTTGGTATGTATGTATGATATGTGATTGTTTAAAATGCTTCAAATGAAAGCTTCATTGAGCAGTCTTTTCGAAGTACTTAGGAAATTTTTTAAAGAAAATCTGCAGGCCAACAATATGTCTACATAAGAATAAATGTTATGTGCCTCAACAAATCAAAAATAAGACGTTATTCTGTATTTCTAATAAAAAATGAGCTGCTCAATGAAAATATAATTTAACCAGTACTGTAAAGGAGGATGAGGGACATGGAATAACTAATAGTTAATAAAATTGATTCTAGAATCAGGTAGCCATGGATTAAATTCCAGCTCCACCACATTCTAGCTATGTGACTCTGAACAGGGTTTTTTTCTGACTCAGTTTCCGTTACCTTATCTGTTGTGAAGATTAGATGAGAGAATTCATGCACAGAAAACCACATATCTGAAGCATAGGAATTGATTATAATGTGTGTTACTCTTACCAGTAACCTTAGTTATATCAGTTAGCTAGCTATACTATCACTAGTGTCATCATTTGCTCTTACTATGATTGTTGCTATCAACATGGATAACTACTTTAACATAAGCAAAGTCATGTCAACAGAGCAGTGCTTTATCCACCTTTTCACTTCCAATTTTTAAACACTTTCGTCTTTACCAACTTTGATACAATACCTAAAATATAAGATGCTGAGTACCCACTAGATATCAGGTTTCTGATAGGAACCACAAAGACACTTGTCTCTCACAGGAGACAGTGAGCTGCCATTTAGGCAAACAACACATTTTGGAAAATGTGGTAATGAAAGCATGTGCAGGGATAAGGAAATGAGGAAGAGATAGCTCTGTCTGGGGTGACAAGGAAGGAATCCAAGGGGAAATGACAAGTAAATTGATCCTTACAATATGATGATGAGACATTTCCCAGAGACAAAAAAGTGAATGGTAATTCAAGCAGGGGGAATAGTATGTGGAAAAGCCTGGAGGGTTGATAAAGCTGACCTCATTTATAGCATTCATTGCTGTTTTTAATTATTGTTGGAGCAAACATTCAAGATCAGAAAACAGTAGCATATGTGCTTGGTGAATTAAGCAGAGGCCAGATTAGTAAAGGATTTGTGGATCATGATGAAAGTCTTAGCTTTACTCCGTAAAAATACAAAGCAGTTGAAAAGTTACAAGCTGGCTAGTGATGACTGTAGAAGGTCCTACAGAGAAGTTGAAAAATGAGTGTTGGAACGAGTGCTTAAAGTGGAGGAGGAAAAATAATAAAGCTATGACAAGAATCCCAGTAAAAGGCAAAGAAGAGAGTAACAGTGGAATGAGATGCAAAGATTTGAGGAAAAAAAAAACCCTAGAGGAAAATATAAATAAGCCACAGTGCTTGACTTTGCATCAGGGGTTTGGGAGCTTAAGAAATGAAGTGGGCGCGCTGACTGTCAGTCAGTCAGGGGAAGAGGAGGAGGGGGGATTTTGATTCTGAAAGTCCCGAGAGGGTGCACATGCAGGATCTGCCACGCTAAGCCCTGCATTGGCTGATGCTCAGCAGGGTTTTGGCTATAGGTTCGCAGGCCTTGAGAAGAGGTCACGACCATAGATTTAGCTCTGAGATACACTAGAAATAATTGAAACTCCACCGGGAAGGAATAAAGTGAAGGAAAGAAAGAAGAATAAGGCTGATACTGTTAGTATCACGAAAGTGGACAATGTAAAGAAAATTGAGGCAGCCATGAAAATTGGCAAAGATTAAGCAAGGAAAGAGTCTCTAGGTGAAGAAAGTGGTCAGCAGATTTCAATTCTACAACGAAGGTCAGGGTAAAACACGTCCATTAGATTGGCAGTTATTGTGACCTCTATGAAGACAGTTTCAATAGATGGGCAGCAAGCATAATCCAGATTGTGACATTCAGTAAATAAATGAGGGGGACTGAGAATGTTGGCAATTCCTAAGTATGAAGTTATAATTCAGGGTCAAAAATGGCACTAACATAGCTAACCTGGGCCTAGGCCACACAAATGTAGCAAGGGCTATGATAGATCTCAGCTTTCTTATCTTATGGTGACCATAATAGGAAATAGTCCACCAGAACATAGCTCTGCCCTATCCTCTGCTATTAAGGAGGGCTAGAGAATAAAGGTAAATGTCCTGACTTCAGTATCAATCAAATGTTTGAGTCTCTGGTTACTTAACTATCAGTTGTCAACCTGAAAATGGTTGATCTGGAAATATTGAGATCTACAACCACAGTCCCAGTTGGAATGTTCACATTTGAACCAAGTTTGTCTTTCCAACTTTCCAAACTGCTCTGTTGGACTAGAAGAGTAAAGTACATTATCTCCTGCTATTTCATTTTTATTAAAACTGTTTGAACTTGGAAATGAGGCCTGATGGTACCATTTTCAGAAGGCTGAAGGTCACTGGGTGTTTCTGTTCAAAAAGAGAAAACAATGTGTAACCCCTCTGGCACCATAATCTAAAGAAATAGTGTGGTGATTACAGCCCTGCACTGAGCTGGCGGCTGCTACAAATACTAGAACCACATTTGATAGGATCCTGTATTACCTTACAACAGAGTATCATTTCTTGCAGTTCCAAGGTCAATGTCTCTTTCTCAAATAACATTTTGGACCTATAATCGTTCATCTACATGCTAGCAATTATGGGGGAATTGATCAGCCAGTAATTAATGCCATGCTATTACACTTTTTAATTTGTAGATTATGCAGCTGCAAGCGTTCTCACATTTTTAATTTGTATATTATACAGCCACAAATGTTTACAATGCCCTTTTTAATCTCCTTACACTACCACCGCCATTATTCACTATAGATTAATGATACCCGGATGCTGGGGTTTATTTCATTTACTGATCTTACCAGGAGAGCAGTTAACATTACTTTGCTCTATTACTTAATGTCTTACCGCAGCTGATAGTGAGCATTGGTTACCCTTTAAAATATTACCAGCCAGTTATTTTTTTCCCATTTTTTTTTAGCTTTCTTGTCACCAACAATATGACTCTGTGGTAATATTATACTTTATTTCCAAATTTATTTCAACTGGTTCCATCAGAGATATTTAAATAATTCATTTTGAATAATACAAATGACCTGAGCCACTCCTTACCCACTCTTGTCTATTTAAGAGCCTATTTTGGGATATGTAACTAATACAAAACTTTTTTTCCCCTCCACCTACCTTTTTTTCCCATACCAGTGAGCTGGATGAATTATAAAGAAAATTGCAAATGGTACTGGAATTCTTTTCAATTAGCCAGAAATAGATATTCTCAATATTGGTTGGGCATAATAAGTCTTAATATGTTAATGTGATTCAGCTGCCTGTGGCTGGGGTTATTATGGAGCATTCATTTCCCTTAGTTTTCCTTACAGTGATCTGCAGTTTCAAGGGGAGGGTTGTATCTGTCTTTTTGATAAGGCATTGCGACAACTTTAACAGTGGCACTGCTGTAAGCCCTCAGGATGTGCAACATCCACATCACAGCAGAATTCTATGAAACACGTGTAAAACACTGTATTACTGGGCAGAATATACCAAAATGAAAGAATGTCTATCATCAAAGCATTTATATTCTTTTATTTAATAGTGATGAAAGAAATATGTAAAAATTAATAATAATCCATATATAACTGAACTACAGGAATGAAATAATTATATGACAGCACAATGAGAAAGGTTTCCCAAGGCTTTTGATAAATGGACAAAAAGCTTTATAACCAATTAGAGGAATGGCTTTTCAGACAAAGGAGAGAGTGAATCCAGGAGGAACAACTTGAGCTGAGCTTCCAAAGAAGGAGGCATCAGAATAAGATGAGAGCAGAGAGAAGAACTTTCCCTGCAGAGACTGCAAAATGAATAGGTGCTTCAAGTGATCAATGTTTGTTATATATTCAAGGGACAGAAAAGAGATGAGTATGGCTTGAAGAAGATTCTTGGTGAAGAATAGTAAGACTTAAAGCTGGAGGAGAGATCCAGTCATGTGATAATTCTAGAACGCCAGTATAAGGATTTAAGGCCTCTGCAGGGTGTTTTTGATGGGCATTTTAATGATGAATCTTTATTCTTATTATAGATGTATTCACTTAGAGAAAACTACAAGTGCATTTTTATTACATAGACATGTTGCGTAGTGGTGAAGTCTTGTTTTGCTTGTTAAATTTTGTTGTTTTTGTTGAGTGTCATTATAAAAGCAGTATTTTGATGAGAATTAAATGGTAGAGACTGATGTCAAAATCATTCAGGAGGCTGATGAATTTAACTCAAGTGTGTGATGATAAAATTGTGAAGACTGACAATATTTTCCAGCAGTTTCTAGTTACCTGGCATAGTCCACCTTTCTCCTTCCTTAGGATTAACCCCAAGACCTTTAATCACCTCTCCTCTCTGCTCCAACTCTGAAAATCCTATCCACTTTTATGGGTTCAGAAATGGAATGTTGCATCAACTTTTATTCACAAAAAATTTTTATTTTTTTCTGTTTGAATGTAATAATACAAATGCATATGTCTTGTTTCCTAAAGTAAATTGTTATAATCATTATAATAATTATGTTTCAGGTATTACATTAAGAATTTTATACACATTATTTTATTTTATTTCATTTCTATTAATATAATCACCTCAGAGGTAGGTGTTTTTATTTCATTTTTAATAATAAAGTAACCCAGGTTTCCATTTACATAACATAGATGACAGAGTGAAAATTTAAACTCCAGTCTACCAATTGTATTCATTTCTTTGCTCATGCATTTGTTCATGTATTCATTCATTCACTGACATTCATTAAGTTTATACTTGATACCAGACTTAATTATTTGCTAGGAATACCTTATAAACAATTACAGCTGGAGTCCCTGTTGCTTGGTCTTACAGCTGAGCAGAAAAAAAAATTGCATTCTGTATGTTGAGCAACTCCTACTCACAAATTTTAACAACCAAGTCCTTTTGAAGTCTCCCCATGTGTCTTCAAATTTATTCTCCTCTCCCTGAATGGAATGTAGGTAAATTCCCATGATTTGGGGGTGATTTCATGTAATAAATATTCTCTTGTAGATAATTAATAAGTAGAGATACAGTAAGAATCAAAACCTTATATTTTCTCTAAAGTTATGGTCTCTCCTCTTTTCTAACTTAGCAGGCTGCAGGCCAGTGTTTCACATTAGGAGGAGAGATGCCTGGCTGGTGTCTGCAGGACCCTGGCTTGTGGATGGCTTCCTCCTCTTCCCTCTTGTTGACTTTGACTTATGCTGATCCTTCCAGGGTCAGAGTTTGGAAGGGAGGAGCCTAAAGGTGATTGCAGACCTCATCAGACTAAAATGTGAGATGGCTGCAATTTCTCTGGGCCAGGCAGGTTGGGGAAACTGACTGTAGCTCAAGTGGGCCCTAAGGAGACCTGTGGTCCCCTTGATGTGGCTGGTTCACTCTCCTGAAGCTGATTGCTCAAAGCACCTTCCTTAGCCCTTGACCTCACACAGAAACCGTCTTCTCTTTTCTACTTAGTTCTTTTAGCAGCCGCTAGAACATCTGAGTTGATTTAAGGGGACATCATATGTCCCAAGGGGTGTGCTTTTTATTCATCCTTTTTGTTTTCAAAGTCCAGAATTACAGATTACCCAAGGCATCCAGATATATTTCTTCCTTCACTTTACTCTCAGAACAGGTATCCAGCCCCTTTTCTCATGCCGAGATTCTCTCACACACAAATCCAGTGGGCTGACAGTGTGTGTAAGGAACACATCTTAACTCTCAAACAGGTTTCTGTGGAGTTTTTGGTTTTTAATTTGAGATATTCAGGAAAAGTATGTCTATCCCTACCTTATTCTGAGGGAGGTAATATCTTCCACACCCAGACTTTCTGTAGCATAGTCCTTTTCTAGGCCACTGAATCTTATCTTACAGACTGAAATAGAATGGCTCCATAAGGGTGCAAACTGTTTACTATAATCTCCTTTGCAAGTCCTGTAGATAGGTTCACGCCACACTTTAGAATGTGGCATTTACTGTGTTAGAACCTCAATTCTAGTGTAATGCCATGCTACACAGATAAACAGAAAAAATAAGGTTAAATAGTGATGAGTGCTATTAAGAAAACAAGAGACATCAGTGTGAAATAAAGGGATGAGGAGGGCAGTGTTTGAAATTGTGGTCTGGAGAACATCTTATAAGAGATAGTATTTAGCAGGAACCTGAGACAAGTAGAAATTCATGCAAAGATCAGGGACAGACACATTCTATGCAGAGAGTTGAAAGCTCTGATACATTATTCCGTTTTCACATTGGTATAAAGAACTGCCCAAGACTGGGTAATTTCTAAAGATAAGTGGTTTAATTGACTCACAGTTTTGCATGGCTGGGGAGGCCTCAGAAAACTTACAATCATGGTGGAAGGGGAAGCAGGCATGCCTTACATAGCAGCAGGAGAGAGAGAGAGAGAGAGAGAGAGAGAACAGGAAATACTACCATTTATGAGAGAGGGAGAACAGGAAATACTACCATTTATAAAACCATCAGATCTCATGAGAATTTACTCACTATCCCAAGAGCAGCATGGCAGAAAATGCCCCCATGATCCAATCACCTCCCATCTGGTCCCCCCACCCACGACACCTGGGGATTATAGGGATTAAAATTCAAGATGAGATTTGGGTGGTGACACAGAGCCAAACCGTATCACCTGACAATAGAATAGATTGAATAGTTAAAGAGTGGAAATAAATCCTGTAGGTCTGGAGCAAATCCTATAATGGAACAAGGGCTGTGGGACAATGGTCTCCCCCGTCATGCATATATAAAATTACCTGGGGGGCTTGTTAAAATGTCAGTTCCCGGTTTTCCTCTCAGAAATTTTGACTCAATAGACCTGGAGTGATGCTGATCCCAGAGGATACTACTCCTGCTGAGTGGCAGTGCTATACGATGTAAGGTCAGAGGAATAAGCAAAAAGCCAGAGAAAGTAGTTTGGATTTTATTTTAATTCACTGAGAAAGTTTTGAGGCACTGGAGGGCCATCATCTAATTTGAAACTTTAAAGATGATTGTACTAGTCCATTCTCATGCTACTATAAAAGACTGCCTGAGACTGGGTAATTTATAAAGGAAAGAAGTTTAACGGACTCATAGTTCTGCAGGGCTGGGGAGGCCTTAGGAAACTTACAATCATGGCAGAAGAGGAAGCAAGCACTTCCTTCTTCTTATGGTGGCAGGAAGAGGAAGTGCCAAGCAAAAGTGGGAAAAGCATCTTATAAAATCATCAGTTCTCATGAGAACTCACTCACTATCACGAGAACAGCAGCATGGGGGTAACTGCCGCCATGATTCAGTTACCTCCCACTAGGTGCCTCCCATGGCATGTGGAGATTATAAGAACTACAATTCAAGATGTGATTTGGGTGAGGACACAGCCAAACCATATCAATTGGTAATTTGGGTCAATTACATGAGGTGGAGTTTGAAAGTAGATTAATCCAGACAACACTAAAAATTCATTTTATTTACCTCCAAGTAAACCACTTTGGGTAACAGCTTCACTCCTATACATGGGGGACAAAGGTGCTTAGAACAACTCAAAGCCTTTGGCCCCGAGCAAATAGCACAATGGCCTCAGCCTTTTTGTCTCTACGTTGCTCAACCATATTTGTTCTTATACTTCACGTTAAAGTGAACATCGAGATCAGTACCAGAACTTAGCCAATTAATAAAAGTAAAATACATGGATTTTTTTTTCTTATTTTTCACAAGAAGTATGTCTGTGGGTATGGGGATCCTAAGAAGAGGACTACAGGTAACGCGTCATAATCGTTTTAGGGTCATGTGTCAGCTTTATACATCTTTATTCCCTCTCTTCCATTGTAAACTTGCCAGCCTCATTGGCTCTGGTGACATGATTCTTACTATGCTCAGAGATTTAGCTTTATCAGTAAAATGTGCCAGTATATTGATCTAGTTAAGGAACTAGATCATATTAACTACATGGAAAAGTTCTGGAACTTTTCAGTTTTTTAAGCTTCCCTTAAAAACATGTTAGGTAACTAATTATCCAAGAGAGGGCAAACAACATATTTTTAAAGGACACCTCTGCAGTGGTAACCAAATTCCACTCCATTGATATGTTCTTCTCTCAAATGACTTAAAATTCTAAATTAGGGATATAAAATTTATGTGAATAATGTTATTTAGTGCAAGTTTACTCGACCTGAAATTTTATTCTTAAGTGCCAAAAGGCTCAATATTATGATCAAGATGAAAAAGAAAGTAGTTGCCCCAATCATCCAGATTTTTTCTCTAAAATTCTATCTCATTAAAAACTATATGGAAATGGCATATATATATATATATATTTCTTTTTACCTATGATTTTCCTTTCAAATGACCAGTCAATGATTATTCTCTCAATTAAATCTTGACTCAGGAATTATTAAGAACTAACATAAGAGTTTGTAAGATGTAAAAACTCAGGAATCAATCTAACTCTTCTGCTGAAGTAGTAACTACAGATGTGTCAAAGTCCCAAAACAACAAGACAAAACAAAGACAAGAAATGAGAGTTAATACAAACCATTGAGTGTTATAAAGGAGGGTGTTTGCAGGTTTAAAAACAAGAAGTACTTCAAGTAGATAGTAGAACAGAAGGAATTGCTTTTGAACTTCAGTTTTCACAAAGACAAAGAAGTACAACATATTAAGACCCTGACCCTGCATCCCAGGCATTCCTGGACCAAACTGAAGGTTGGGGTGCTATTTCTTGTGGCCCAATAACAAGATGCAGGTGAACTGGGGAGGAAGAGAGTTTTTATTTCTACAACGGGTTACAGGGAGAAGGCATGGAAATTATCGCCAGACAAACTCAAAATTACAAAGTTTTCCAGAGCTTGTATACCTTCTAAGCTATATGTCTATGTGTAACTGTGCATTCATCTAAAGACATAAGTGATTAACTTCTTTTAATCTATAACTAAGGTCTGAGTCATGAAGATCTTCCTCTGTAGCCTCAGTAAATTTACTTAATCTAAATGGGTCCAGGTGTTGGGGTCATTACCCTTAGCTTGTCTCCTACTAAGTCATGGAGGTCTGGGGAGTTCCTTCTGACCCCGAATAAACTTATTTGTGGAGACCTGGGGCATTTCTTCAGACCCCCAATAAACTTGTTTAATCCTAAATGGGTGTTGATAAAAATTTTTTCATTATTTTGTCATGCTTTAAGGCTTAGGAAAGGCCTAGGGAAAACTCTTGGTGGGCTTTTGTTGTATTCCAGCGTTCGTATAAAGGCACTGGCTTTTTTTTTTAGCTTTTACTACTTAACCATTCAATCAGTACTGAAACAGTTGTTATGGAGGTCTGCATTAGTGAGACCTGGCCTGCCCGCACAGGGACTTTAATAAGAGTAGCTGGAACTCAGGGCTAAATGGCCCTGATGTGCCCTGACACTAGTGTCCCTGGGTAGAGCACAGTAGACATGCATTTCAATCTAGAGTGCCCTTGGTGTTTCCGGTTCCTGGTCATGGGATGAAAACATAGAATGAGAGGGATCCTTGTTTTATCCCATTTGTAGATATAAACAAAAAGGAAGTCATTTGTTAGTGAGAGCTCTACAAAAAAAGAAGCCTTTGGCAGAGTTCCTCCAGGACATTTTAAGGAAGAGAAACACTGAGTATTCTCAATGATTCAGAACTCAAAAAGGAGACCTCTGTTAGGGGAGGAATATTTCCTGGGGTGTGTGTGTGTGTGTGTGTGTGTGTATGTGTATGTGTGTGTGTTTGACCTGGATGAATATTTCTCAGTTTATCAATCTTCTTTAAAATTGATTTTTCAACATTATCCAAGAATGGTCCAAGGGACAGGTGATAATTAAATCTTTGTGCATTTATGATAAAATAATAATAACAAGAAAAATGAGTTTGCTTTTTCTTCATGTAAAATGGATGTGATTTATAGGACTGTCTTCGTCCTAAGGTGCTATTTTTTTTTATTTTTTCAGTATTAAAATACAACTTATTTTATTTTCAAAATGGCTACACTATCAATAATTTTAGAAACACCTTTGAATTATAAAGCACTTTCAAATTATTTTCAAAATATTTTACACATATTCACAAAAATATTGCTTAAATAAAGGACATTTTGGTTTTTCTTTTTATTAAATGAAGTAATAAATAAGCTTTCATGGAGTAGTTAAGATGCTCTTCTTTTCTTTTTCTTTTTCTTTTTTTTTTTTTTCCTAAGCCATACCGTAAAGAATAGAAAGAGGTAGATGACTAGAAGTGAAGAAGAAGAATATTCCAGGAAGCATTAACCTAATGAACAAAGGTAAAGAAAGGGCTTTGCATGTTTAGAAGAAAATGAGTATTTTAGCCTGGCTCTAACAGAAGGTTTATGGAAGAAATAAATGAGAGATAAAATGGAAAGACTAGATAAGGCCAAATTTTGGATGACCTTAAATGTCAAGACAAAGATTCTGAACTTTATTTGTTTTATTGTTGTTTTATTTTATTTTATTTTTTGAGACAGAGTTTTGCTCTTGTCGCCCAGGCTGGAGTGCAATGGCGCAATCTTGGCTCACTGAAACTTCTGCCTCCTGTGTTCTCCTGCCTCAGCATCCCGAGTAGCTGGGATTATAGGCACACGCCTGTATTTTTAGTAGAGTTGGGGGTTTCACCACATTGGCCAGGCTGGTTTTGAACTCCTGACTTCAGGTGATCTGCCCTCCTCAGCCTCCCAAAGTGCTGGGATTACAGGAGTGAGTCACTGCGCCCAGCCTGAACTTTATTTTTCAAGACTAGAAAAGATTGATGGTGATTCAAGAATGCAAATCCATAAAACCAAAATTGGCAAAGTTAAAATTGAACTTTATTTTTACTTTCTTCTTCTCCTTTCTTTGCAGAAATGTGGCCAATGCCACAAAAATAAGATGGCATCATGGCTTAGCCAAGTGAGCTCTGAAACTTGGTTACAAAGAAAGCCCTGTGTCTTTAAACTTCTGGCATGTACTATGTGGATTTCTAAAGTGTCCCCAACAACAAAGAAAATGCCAAATGAGCTGAGTAAGAAAAGTTTCTACGGACCACTCTTATGCCACTGAAAATAGAGCCATCTGATAAACAGTCTCAGTCCATTTCAGAGATAATCCAATTCGGAATTAATTCGTATAAATTGTTTTCCTAAAATTGCATTCACCTCAGGCTGTTCCCTTATTAAATCCACTCTCACTTACTTCTGTCTCTCCTACTGTCCCTCACCTCTGTCGGATTGATCCAGGATTCATGACTCCAAATTCCGATGGCTCCTTCTTATGACAGTAAAAGATTAGCCCCTAGTGTAGCCACATACTGGGATGCCTCATTCAGTCCAGATTGGAAAACACTTAGGTTACCGTTTTATCACTAAAATCAGTGCATGAAGAAAGATTTTTACCCACTCAACTTTCAGCTTCTCTGGTTTGAACATGTGAAGTTTTCAATTGTGATTCATACCAACAATGGGATTTTTGGAGCATCCCTGAGCCCCTTAAATAGGTTTCCTTCTCACCCTCTCCCATCACCTCCTTTCCTGTTGAGATTAAAGAATGTATAAAATACGACCTGTTATTGCCAGGGGGTATTACTACTATATATTATCACTCACACCTCATTAACCTCGAAGCCCTGCTAACTAAGAAAATCCTCTCTAATGAGGTTTCCCTTGACTGCGCTAAAGAACAAAAGGTCTAAAAGTTTTCCCTATTACCAATGTTCTTCAAATTATTGCACTGTAATTAAAATGTAACTTTGAGGCCAAAGAAGAAGGAAAAAAAGCTTTAAATTTTGTTTAAACTCTAAAAAAGACCTTGTAGAAAACTTCTGCTTTGTCCTTCAGTAGCATCTTAACCATAGGAAACCATTCAGGTTGGGGAGGATAATTTTTCTCAGAACATCTGAATTGTACCTGCATTACTCAAGACAGGGAGACATGGATCTAGATGACACAGACTTTAATACTTTTATAATATGGGAAGTAAAAGTGAATTTCTCACCTCTGATCTAAATATACTCATTCTCTTGCTACAGTACTCCCTTAGATAATAGTACAAGTCTATTTTCCTTGGCTGAGAAAAACTTAATAACTAGAATTAGGATTAGAAAATTGATGGGTTCTAATGCATTTCTTATTCAGAGCCCTAGAGTCAGGGTTATTTGTATGGTTGTAACGCAAGAATCTTACGGAGTAGAGATGTAGATTAAACAAACAGAAGGAGCTGTCTTCCCAGGAGAAATTTATAATCTGGTGAAGTAGCTAGAATTAAGTATCCTCACCTCTGAGCTTTGAGTTTTTAAATGCCCAAAATGCAAATAATAATTACCTCTTTTAGCTTCCTCGGAAGCCTGATTTATGTGTGTAGCATGTCCTCAGAGAAACAGACTAAAGAGTTAAGGACTCTTAGGCTGGAAAATAAAGGCTGAGAAGGGAATACAAGTACTGTTTCTAAAATGGCAAAGGGACTAGCTTGAGGGAATACAGCCTTGACCACTGAATCCTGGAAGACTAATTAACAAGCCTAGGCTTTCTTGAAATTCAAACAATTTAAGTTTAAGGCATTACAAATAAGTCTTATTACACAAAGGATGAGTAAACACACGGCATTCAGTAAGCAAAAATCATTGCAGTCTGAAAAGAGAAAACTTACAAATTTAGATCATATGTTCATAATAAAGTTCTAGGGGACTAAAATATCTAAAACACATCCTTGGTCTTTGCATTTAAGTCAAGAAGTAAAACCTATGGACCATCCCATAAGGCAGCAATAAAATTCTGGGATATTAATAACACTGGATTTATTCAGTTTATTTTCATGTTTTCCTTGAAATTGCAGAAATGGTCTGCTGAGAGATAACGCTAAAGCAATACAATAGATATCTTCAATGTGTGCCCATGATGGGAAAAGGTGAAAAATAAAACAGGTGGTGGACATGCTAAGCAGTGATGATTAACACCCCTGCCTTCATGCTCACAGGTTCTTTAATTAAAAAAAATTTTTTTTCAAAGTATAAATAGATAGCTTGCGTTATTTGTGCTGTAACAAATATTCAAAATGCATTATTTCCTACTGTCAAAGAGCTTAAAAGCCATTGCATTTTATGAAATACAAGAGTGTCAGAATCCCAAAAGCATCTCTTCTAGTCTTAGTTCTAGCAGGAATCTGTATTAATATGAGAAACTGATTTGCTCATGCAGGCTAAAATGTCTTCATGCTACACTGGACATAATAATATCTATCTTCCTATATCATCAGATTATTAAAAAAACTAAATATAATAAACAACATCAAAGTGCTTTGAAAAGTAAACCACATCATAAAACACTACACAAATGCAAATTATGTGTATTAGCAACATTATTATCATAATTCGGAAAATTTTCCTTTGCTTCACACATGCAAGTATTTCAGGTTTAAAAAAAACAAGGCTGGGCGCAGTGGCTCACGCCGGTAATCCCAGCACTTTGGGAGGCCGAGGCCAGCCGAACACAAGGTCAGGAGATAGAGACCATCCTGGCTAACAAGGTGAAACCTCGTCTCTATCAAAAACACAAAAAAATTAGCATTAGCCGGGCGTGGTGGCGGGCGCCTGTAGTCTCAGCTACTCCGGAGACTGAGGCAGGAGAATGGAGTGAACCTGGAAGGCAGAGCTTGCAGTGAGCGGAGATCGCGCCACTGCACTCCAGCCTGGGCTACAGGGTGAAACTCCGTCTCAAAACAAAACAAAAAATAAAAACAGGAACAACTACAAAAAGCAAGCACAAAACCTTTTTATGTCATCTTTGCACTTTGGACAAATTGAGTCAATGTTTATGACTAATTTGATCTTGAGACTCTTGGAACCATAGAGTCATTGGCTAGAATATCGCAAGACTCTCTTGGGTGAACCCAAGGTTTGTGAGGAGCGTGCCAATAACTCTTTAACTGAACTGAATTGAACACCTTGTTAGGGTAATATATTCATAACTGCCATTTCGCCATTGGAACCCTGGTGCATGGTGCGACTACTAGGGATTTGGCAAGATGGGGCTCCTCCATCAGGAATGGAAAGTGTGCCATCACCAGAGGCCCAGGACTGTAAATGGAATGATTCTCTGATGTCAGTCATGGTTTCTGCACTCTAGCTATTTTTAATTTTCTGCCGTAACAACCAACAACCAGAATATTATTAGAATCCAAGATAAGAAATTATGTCATTAAGGACTAATTTTTTTGTAAGACAAATTTTAAAGAGTTAGAAAATGAAGAATTTATCCGCTTTAGTAATTTGTGATAGACAGTGGTAGAGAGAGCTGGCAGACCTTTAAATATGTTTGTCCCTGTTCCTCGTTTTTCCTTCCACAGTGAGGAATTGTAGCATGAGGCAGACACCCAGTTGGGGATATTTCCCAGCCTCCTTGCATCCAGGGGTGGCTGTGTGTCTGGAAGCAGAATGGAGGCTTCTTCCCAATCCCTGGAACCACCCAGGGACTGGCATTAAGCACAAGACTTGCAAGTCAACAGGGGAAGGTGGAGCCAAGTGAAGCATGGGTCCTGGGTCTTTGGATCACAGCAGGAGGAAAGCAACCACAGACAAGGAACCCCTGCATTGGTCTCCTACCTAAGTAAGAGATACTTTTTTATTTTATTAACCTGGCATATTTGGGGGTTTATTTGGATAGTATCTAGGTTCCCCCAACCAATACATGGGTCATTAAACACAAAATAAGTTGGAAGTAATTGTTTATTAGATAAATTCCTTCTCCAAAAAATTGTTGCAAAAAGAGTTAATTTTCATAGAACAAGAAAACATAAGCCAATTTACAAACTGATGGTTTCAGGGAAGTATCTCTTTCATAAAATGCTTACAGCTGCCATAAGAACCTAGGCCCAATCCAGAATGTAATTCTTTTCACAGCCTTCTGAGAAGCATATAAGCAGAAAACTCTCAGTTAGCATCATGGTTTGTGTCCAAGTACTGGCAACCCCAACTCTCTAGTTTGACTGCAGCACTCCTTTGAAAGGCTTCCTTGAGTCCTGGGAAGAAGAGTAAGATAGTCACTGAATAAATAGTTTGGAGGAGGATTTAATGGGAAAAGAAGCAGATGATATAGGTCCTGTCCTCCAGGAACTGAGAAAAAGATAAAGAAATAAATAATAAAATACGGATGATTTTGTACAGTTTCGGGGAAGTAGGGGTTGAGTTGGCGGTTGTTTTAGAAATGGTTTTTCTAAGAAAAGAAGTGCTGCTCCTCCATTCTCTGGGTACTGATGAAAGGATGCAGTAGTGAAAAGTTCCAGAATTTTTAGTGTAGGACCAAGAAGCACTTAGTGTCTGCAGTTACCTCATAGAGCCAGCTCCTTGATATGACTGACTTATTATTTAGTAGTTAAGGAGCCCTTGATAATTCCAGAGAGCTTTCTAATGGCTTGATCATACGCACCCTTTGGGATGTCTGTATTAACAAACTATTAATTAAAAACAAATTGGATAGACATATTTACATGCACTCATATATATGCACATATACATATATGTAATATGTAATATTTCTTTACATTTTGAAACTTTTTCTGTAATTGCTCATGAATACCTAAATTGAGGTCATGATCTTTTGTTGATGAAGTATGTGAGAACACACACACACACACAAACACACGCACACACACGTACATTACTGAGCATATTTAGTTTCCAGAAAGCTACTATAACTTGGCATCGCATGTTGAGCTTACCAGTCAGAACAAATTGCTGTTATTTTCCTCTTTGTTAAATGTTTGCTCAGTGGCACAAAAAGGTGTGAAAGCAAGTGCTGGGGGAAACGACAAAGCCATCCCCGCAGTCCTTAGTGATTTTATATTATCACCCAAGGAGAGGATGGATATTTTAGTCTTTATCTGAAACAATACTGGGTTAGTCTCAGGATAACAAATTTTTGTGGGAATCTCAAATTCACCCAGCCTAGCATGCCACAAATGGTTCAGCTCCCGGAAAAACAGAAGATTGAATGCTTTCACCTAGAAGGAATGCAACATTCTCAAATTAAATTATAGCGATGTTCTTTCACCTACACACACACACACACACACACAATTATAATCAATTTTGTTTTTGTAAATTTTCCATTAAAGAGCAGTGGAAATCATAAATATCAGTAGTGAAGGAGGCAACTGTTATATGATGGAAGGACTTTAAAATATAATTTTCCATTCACCTTCACTCCTTTAGACATATGGTTTCTTCTCTTCTACACACCTGATCCTTTGTTAGTGTTGGCATCTTTTAAAAAATGGCACTAATATAGACATCTGTCCCCTACTATCAGCCTACATCCCTCATAGCATTGTTGTAATTTTGAAATGAGATATAACAGGTATGAGCTCTTCTCAGTTTTTACTCATAGAATCAGGACTATGTGACTGACTGCTCTCTCTCACGTGGAGAATACGGACTGCAAAAACCAAGATTTAAAAGTCTCAGTTGATGATTTATGGAAATAAAACCATGCAAATATACATGAAAAAAATAAAATTATTTAATGCCTAAAATACCCCAATAAGTAATGGTTAAAACAATACACATATATCATCTAAGTTATTGTTAGCCAGGAGTCCAAGAAGAGATTATCTGGTCCCTCTGTTTCAGGGTCATTCACAGACTACAATTGAGTCCTGGAGTCGCATCTGAAGGTTCAACTGCAGAAGAATCTATTTCAACCAAGCTCACTGACCTGGTTGTGGGGAAGACTTGCAGACTGTTGGAACGAGAGCCTCAGCATATGGCTGGCTATTGGCCAGAGGCTGCCCCAGGTCTTTACCTTGTGGGACTCTCCAACACAACAACTTATTCCATCAAAGCCAACAAAAAAGAAAGTCTACCAGCAAAATGACAGCAATGGTCTTGTATAACTGAAGTGACATCACCTCACTTTTACAATATTCTATTCATTACATTGCTATGTCTAGCCCACACTCAATGGAATAAGATCACACAGGACATGAATACTTGGAGTCAGGAATCATTTTAAGTCATGCCAGAAGTTCCAGATGGAAATATTACTTGCATTTTTGTAATAATATTATATTTTCTCTTTAAAATTCATTGGCTGCTAAAATTCAACAAATAAAATGTTATGTTTACTTTGTAACAAATGTAAATTTAGAACTATAGATTTTTCCCTACATTCAAATTCTAAACTCATGCATTTTATACATAACAATAAATCAGCAAGCCATTATAATGAATTCACTAGCAAAAAAGCCACAGCGCTATATGCTATAAGGAAGCCTGGAGACATGACAGTGTTCCTGCTCCCTTATCGAGTTATAATTGAACAGGAAATTGAATTTTTATATTTTTTAACAGTTAAATAATATTATAAGATGTTTAAAAATCCTGACTCTGAATGATAAATTGAAGAAAAGTGTAACAGAGATATTAAATGCTGTGATTTCAGAATTGGTACAAATCCTTATGGGGTGGAATGTCCTATGAAACTCCAGAGACATGATGAGACTATAAAGCTAGATCATCAAGGCTATGTGGTATTTAAAAATGAGAAGAAGAGACAGAATATTCCAGATGGAATATGTAATATGAGCAACAGCAGCCAGAGGTAAGGATGTGCACGGTGCCCTACAGAGACAGTGAAAGAAGGGCCATTTTGACTGCAGCCAAACATTCATACAAACATTCATACAAGTAGTAAGTGGTAGGATAGAAAGTTCATGCAAGTCCATATTGCAGAATATCTTAGAAGTTAAAATACAGAATTTTGACTCTATTCTACCTACATTGTGGAACAACTGAAGGCTTTTGACAAGAAAGAACATTATAGGTGGATTTAACAGATAATACTCTGAAGGATGAACTGTTATTTGAATCAGAATAAATATTTACCAATATGAAAGGCACAGTATAGTGTTGAGAAAGATGCCTTTTGGTGTGCAATAAAGAAGGTTGATGTGCAATAAAGAAGTACCTCTGCCATTTGGTGTTTATGTGATGTTGCAAAGATAGCTAAGCTTTGTAAGCCTCACTTTTCTCATCCACAAAATGGAGACAATAGTACCATCTATCTTGTTGGCTTTAATGTTAAACAAAAAAGATAGATTTTATAATCTTAAAAAAAATCTGAACAGAGTAAGTTCTCAATAATTATTGCCCATTATCATCACCGCCATCATCATTATTATTAACATCATTTTAAGGAGTTAAGGTAGAGTTAGGCTTTAAAGAAGTAGAGAGCTAATGAATTAGACATTGGGCAGGCAAAATTCAGTTTTCTATATGGTAGAATTCAGATGTTAATAAGCTAAATAGAAATGAAAAGATGACTCCAACACCCAATTTTACACTTTATTTTTTAAATGTCAGACAGAACTTAGTTTAAGTTCTGACTCTGCCTCCTTTCAGCTTTGTGGCCCTGATTCACACAGGTCATCTATCTCACTTACTTCAGTCAGGTGTTATTCTGTTCTTTCTTGGTTCACTTGTGCAAATATAGCCCACCACACTGAATAAAGTATTCTTTGTTGGAACAAGTATTCTTTGTTTAACTTCAGAAAAATATGCATCTTTTTCAAAATAAATGGAAGCTACTCTGTTTATGTCACTGGATATATCTTTTGATATGTTCATATGCTGTTATATAAAAAGTCATTGTTTGTAGCTTAAGGCTGTAACCTTTTTTGTTTCTTTATACATATTGTTTTCTTATATTTCTTATTTTTCTTTTCTTTTTCTTTTTAAAAAAGAAAAAGTAATGTGATTAAACCTGAAGTTAATTTGAAGCTCAAAATGTCTTAAAGTAAGTAGATCATATTGCTTTTCTGGTTCCTCACAATGTTTTGATGTGCCCGTTTAGGAACAGGAGCTGATATAAAGTGGTTTGTTTACTAGAGCAGACAGAGAAATAAAAATGAAAGAGGTAAGAGGATCAAGGAAGATGATTTCCCTTGATTGAAAAAGTTACCATCTCATAAATGCTTGGTGGGAGTGGATTTTTGCTTTTAGTATGGTTTTGTGACTAGAGATAAAATAAAAAAGAGTGACCCAAGGCCACTCCTTGAAGACATAGCCACTCCTCTGGTACCTCCTCCAGCCTGTGTTTCATAAAAATAAGAGTTACACTCTAAAGATTCGTGAGATGTGGAATTGATATTTCTATAACTTGAGAAGAGAGATTTTCAAATGGTATTTATGTTATGGTTAATTTAGGTAAATGTTAGGGGTTTTGGAGGTTTTGGGTTTGTTTGGTTTGGTTTTTTGTTTTGTTTTTCAGAGATGGTCTCACTCTGTTGCAGAGTCTGGAGTGCAGCTGTGCAATCACAGCTCACTGTAACCTCAATGCTGGGCTAGGACTGTAAGAGTGTGCCACCATGCCCGGCTCATTTTTATTTTATTTCTTGTAGGATCAGGGTCTCATTATGTTGCTCAATCTAGTCCTGAACTCCTGGGCTAAAGTCATCCTCCCACCTTGGTCTCCTAAAGTGCAGGGATTATAGGCATAACCCACCATGCCCAGCATAGGTATTGTTAGTGAAGAGACAATAAAACATCTTTGCTTCACTAGATTTGTTGAATTTCTGATTCACTACATTGACTCCAATAAATAGTAACTGTAATGCTCAGTACAGTAATTATGAGAAAATATTTCTATCTGTTTGTATATAGTCAAAGTAATTTTATTACCCCTTACTATGTATATATTATAATGATACATTATGGTTAGTTGGTTAAACATATAATACTCAGCCTGACTTACTATTCTTGAATTTGTTTAGGAGCTGGAAAATTCATCACAACATTCTTTTCATAAGTAAAAGGAATATACCAAGCACATTTTCTATGCTTACAATAGCACCCAGATACTATCTGAATCCCTGGGAGTGCTACTCCAAGGAGATGTCCTAGCAGCCTATCCTTTCAAAATGTTTTGGTATGATGCCAGTTGAAAATTCAAAAGTGACTCTGGTGGCCATTTGCTGTCTGAGCATCTGATGCACATCTTTTTTGATGGGAAAATTGTTTCGGGAAGCCAGGGTTAGGACGTCAGTCCCATTAGAGATACCTGAAAAGAGTTCTGAAGATTTCAGATTGATGAATCTGAATAATTTGAGAAGGAAGCCCACCCATGAAAATGGAAATAGTTACTTTTGAGCTAAGAGAAAGCTACTCTGTTTATGTCACTGGATAAAAATATACTATTGAAATATGGGAAGTTGAAAAGCTTCCTAGAGCAATGTCTTGAAATCAGCAGACAAAAGTATTTGAAAAAAGAAGTAAATATTATTGTTTTCTGTCAACATCAATGTTTCTGAAAAATGTATTGCAAAAATATTGACAACGTCTTCTCTTCCTGAATTTACGAGTCTCATTGATCCCTTCCTTTGGTCAGTGTATCCAAAATCAAATGAAAACTTTACAGCAGATTTTTCTATATGCAAAACCAATTTTTCACTTTTTTTTTTACCTGGTTGGCAAATATATAGATTCCTATGTCACTGTTAGGAGAGATTGCCCAGAATGTGAAAGATTACTTAGGTACATCAGAGTATCCTGAACTCAAGCACAATGAACAATTCATCAAGGCCTTCCACTGTCCTAGGTTGACAATGTAAATTTAGCTAGGAGAATATTCCATTCTGAAATAATAACTTGAGCATGTATTACAAGGGTCAGCAAACTAAAGGGCCAGATACTAAATATCTAAATATGTAAATATGGCTTTGTGGGCCATATGGCCTCAGTCTCAACTGCTCAATTCTGATGTACTATTACAAAAGCAGTCATAGACCACTGGTAAACAAATGAGCCTGGCCTTTTTCCAAAAAAATCTTTATTTATAGACATTGATATTTAAATTTCACAGAATTGTCAAGTTCCAGGAAATTTCTTCTTTTTTTAATCAACTAAATTATAAAAAATATTCTGGGCTCACGGGCTGTTTGGAAACAGTAAGCAGATTTGGCTTGTGGTCTATAATTTGCCAACTCCTGGTTTATTATAATTCAGTGTATTTTACATTTTTTAAATTATTTTACTTTCTAAAATTTCTTTTTTTTAATTTTAAGAGATTAAAATTTTATTTCTGTACCTTTTCTAAGAAGAAAAACTAATTTGGATACATTATATAATAAAAAACAAGAAGTATGCCTATGCACAAAAATAGCTTTTGTAGGTAAAAATGAAGCTAAGATCCTGAATCTTCACACGACTGAGGGCCCAAAGTAGTTACTGCAATTAGACCCATCTCCAGATGAGAAAATAAATTACATAGACTTCTTCCAAAAACCACAGTCATAGTGTCTCACCTAGGAGTTGGGTAAGTATTCCTTAGGTATCAGAAGAAGGAACATCTGTGTGGCTGGGAAGAGCTCTGATTCTCAGGATTCCTCTAGGTTCAGCTTTGTTATTACCCAGTGAGATCCATGTCCTAAAACACAGAATCTCTCTTGGCCTTGGTCTTGTTTCAGAAAATAAGATATACTCTGTTCTCCAGCAGGATTCTTGTTTGAGGTCTGATATAATTCCTTTCATTGGATGTTTCATAGAATGAACACATTGCTTAGTTTCCTTCTCATACAATCTATATTTTCTTATCAAGGCAATCTTCTTTTAAATCCTTATAGCATTTTATGTTGTTTATGATTCATCCTATTTATTTGGCAAACTCTACTTGGTATTGCCATATCATAAACCTTGTAGGATAACACAAATAAACATGCCTAACTCAAGACTGGGCAATTAGCAAATGCTCAATAAGTGTTCCTTAGTTTCTGTTTTGACAACAGTGTATTTCAGTATTCAACAATGTGGATTCTGCATGCCTTAATAAATTTATAATAATGATGACTGTAATTAAAACATTCCTTCTTCTTTAGCGTAAGCATTTCAAGTGTGTGTCAGTGTGTGTGTGTGTGAAACCAGAGAAAAGAGATAACATAATATAGTCTGGTGAAACAGTGGCCTTTTCTTTCCTTTATTGTACAATAAGAACAATCCTTAAAAAGAAATTTGTCATGGATTTTCCAGGGCTTGTCTAGTTCTCATTTTATTTGTTTCTTTCTCTAGTCCCAATCTCACAGCCTGGATAAAATAATCATAAAACAGTTTGTTCTAGTCCTTGACAACTTTATACTAGATTACAATAGGGTGACCCATAGAGTACTTAAAAAATGTAACAAAATTGGGCTTTCCATATCTATAGAGAAGTTTTTTGAGTTGGACTTTACTTCAGAGGCTTTCTGTCAGTGTTTCAGCATTTCTGTATCTGCTCTTTGCTTTGCTTTTATTCTACAAATAGGACAGGGTTCAGAAGAGGTCATAGTCTTATTTTCTTTTGTAGCATTTTGCCCAGTCTAAATATATTTCTGGATTATAGTGGGTCAAGAATCCCATGAATTTCTAGATTTGATAAACTAATGTTTAAGGCAAAAAAAAAGAAACCAATAACCAATAACATCTGAAAATAAAGGTCTGTCGAGGCAAACTGTTTTTTAGGAAGAAAAAATATAATTTTGTGTCTTGTAACTTTTTTATTAGCCATATAGTTACCATGCTCAAGTATGAGGGAGGAACAGAAAGTAAAAGCTAATAGAACCTCATTAGAAGATATTAGAAATGAAAAAGAAGTATGTCTTTCTAAAGTATATTGTAAATGCAAATGTTGTGAAATCTGTAAGATTTGGAGGAAATTGAAAATTTATCCTGCCATCTTTTAGGGAATAAATATGGTTGAATTAAGAAAACCAATTAAGATATAAAAAACAGCAGGCTTGATGGTTTCAAGGCAGGAGATAGCAGATAAAAACTTTCAGGAAGAGACAGATCTTAGCTTGCAGCAAAAAAAAAAAAAATAGCATATGAAGTTTTGTCAGCCTTTGCAGAAAGTAATAGGAGGTGAAAGCGTAAAAATGAAATGATCAGAGAAAATGAATATGGACTTTCAGAGTGGAAAGATTGGGAAAGTTTTCCATAAGTTAATAGAGTGCCACAAAGAGAAAGAGACAAAAAGCAAAAGGTATGTTGAGGATAAATTTTTGGCAAATACCCATGAATGAATTGAATACAAAAATTTCCAAGTGTTACTACCTAAGAGTTATGGGATTTTTCTTCCTCAAAGCTAAGTTGATTCTTTTAAAAAGTGAAAACATTTCAAGTATCAAAATAGATTCTAAACCCTCTTTATTAAAAATATATGCAAATGTATAACCCAAAATACCACCTTAAATTATAGGCTTATGGTTCATCATACAAGCTAAATCAATTCCATTTGAAAAATCTGTGCTAGAAATAATATTGATATTTAAACTTTCATTCACTGTGGTAGAATGTGACTAAAGATAGTCTCAAGATTTTTGATACTGTTCCCTTTGAGAGATTAGGGTTTATGTCCCCTGTCCTTCACTCTGAGCAGTCGTCATAACTGCTTGATCAATAGAATATAGCAGAAGAGACGTGCCACCTTCTAGATTCAGTCTTTAAGTAACAGGTTGTTTCTACTTCCTGTTTCTCAGAACACTCAATCTGAGAGACCTAAACCACCAGGTTAGAAGTCCAACTACCCTGCTGAAGAGAACACTGGGAGATACCCCGAGATTCCATGGAGAGGGAGAGAGGCTTACATCGGCCCACTCTTCCTGGCATCCACATCCTGGTGCCAAACGCGTGAATAACCACCAGGTCATCTTGGCTGTCAGCTCAATGTCAACTGAGCATGGCTCAAGTTCCTGAGCCACAAAATGGCAAGGTAGAATAAAATCACTGTTATTTGAAGTCATCAAGTTTTGAAATTATTTCTTGCTCAGCAGTTAATAGCCAGAATTTAATTAGTTCCTAGAAGTAAAGTGTTATTGCAACAAAAATCTGAGACATGTGGAATGTAAGCAAGAGAAAAGGGGTTCCCTTTTACGAAGTGGCCAAACATTAGTCAACATTATTCAGTGACAAAATGGGAAATAGGAGACTTAGTGAACTCATGGATTTTACTGGATAGATTTTCAGGACAAAATGTAGAAAGTTCTAAGAGACTAGTTGCTTATGATAAAGTATGGGGAGAAAAATGAAGGAGCTGTTAAGTCATTGAGCAGAATTTAGAGGATAAATGAAGGAAACAGAAGTTTAAAGGTCTAATATGGACTGTTTCTTATTTCTAATCTCTATGAGAAAATCGATTGTTAAAGTAAGACATGATTTTAGTGTGAACACCAAATCCAGTGGGCTGTCAGAATGGAATGGCTTCATTGTTAACGTCTCCCTGACATTACTAAAAGAGTCTTTTCTTTTTTTTTCTGAACTGAAAAAGTTTTAAGGGCATGCCTAATAGGGTTTCTAATATTCCTAATAATGTGACTTGTAGTTAAGTAACAGGTTTTCTAAGAATTTCAAAGGTGTTTTCTCATAGCAGCCTCACTGGAGCCCAAAGTTTAGAAGAGTGTATCTCTAAGAGATTAGCATTGAATAGATTTTATCTAACGTAGTGGATTATAACTGATGTGTGGAAACTCTACCAATATTTTATTAATTATGGTAGCCTGAAATAAAACGTGCATAGAAAATACAAAATAAAATGAGGCTTTGGGGCTCTTAATTTACAACATCAGAAGTTTAAGAAAACTACTCAGCTGCGGCTGGGTGCGGTGGCTCACGCCTGTAATCCCAGCACTTTGGGAGGCCGAGGTGGGCGGATCACGAGGTCAGGAGATCGAGACCATCCTAGCTAACATGGCGAAACCCCATCTCTACTAAAAAATAAAAAAAAATTAGGCGGGCATAGTGGCGGGCGCCTGTAGTCCCAGTCCCAGCTACTCAGGAGGCTGAAGCAGGAGAATGGTGTGAACCTGGGAGGCGGAGCTTGCAGTGAGCCGAGATAGCGCCACTGCACTCCATCCTGGGCGATAGGGCAAGACTCCGTCTCAAAAAAAAAAGAAAAAAAGAAAGAAAAAAAAAAGAAAGAGAAAGAAAACTACTCAGCTGCAAACATGGGATTTCTGATAGGAAACAAAGGGATCATTCAGAGTGCAAGCCAAAAGCCATGGCAAATCATTCCAAAACGCAAGACTGAACAATAATTAATGAACTAACCATATGTGCTTAGTTCGGATTTAGAAATGGTATGAACCAGTGACTTCTATGTGTCTTCTAATTCTTCTCTTTTTAAATGGGACAGTCTATTGCTGTCATCCTATCTCCCATTATATTTTGTGCATGTAGGGTCAAGTAACTTCTCTGTTGCATCACAGGATGCGAAGAACAGCCACTATGCTGCAAGAAAGCTCCAGCAGCCTCATGGAGAGACTTATTTGTAGAGGAGCAAAGGCCCCAGCCTAGCTCTCAGCTGACAGCCATCACCAACTTTTCAAACATGTGTGAACCATTTGTAAGTGGATACTTCTGCTTAAACTGCCCCAGCTGATGCCTTGTGAACCCAAGATGAGCCATCCTCACTGAACCCTGCCTAAATTGACAATTCAAAAAACAAAGTATTGGCATCAGCTTACACCACTGAGTTTGTCATATAAGAATAGGTATCCTGCACAGTCTTATGAGGTAGAGAACAAAATGAATCTACCCTCTCCAAGATTACACGCAGGAGCAGGAACAAAGAGGCCATAAAAGCAAACAAAACTCCTCACAGGCAACACAAACACAATTCAGGAAGTAAGATAAATGAGGCATTTATATCAATGTAAATTGCATGATTGTTACATAAGCACATACAATATTATAGCTATAAGCATCAGTAAGATGATTCAGAAGTTTCATAATGTTATTTTTGAAAAGGCAAGGCATTATTATGGCGAAGTGGAAACTTTAGGTTGCTCTCTGATCTTCCTGAAGATCTGATTATCTACAGACAACATTCCAAAGCTACTGGGTGCAACAGAAGTAGACATGACTTGAATTGAGAATAAAGAGTGCTCACCAGAATAAAGAGAGAGAGAAAAACAAAACAATGCATTGTCAAGAAGGAAAGGTATCACAAGCAATCCTGGTGCCAAAAAGTCTTTGGTTGCAGGTAGAAGAGATAACTTTTGACTTGAGGAATACTGTTTGCTTGGGCAGATGATAAGAAATGATCTAGGAGCAGGGATTAAATAAAACTGCTAGGAAATAAGATAGAGGCCTTTGAAATTTGTGAAAAATGAGAGTGGGTTTGATCTGTACCCTTGAATAGTCAGTCATATCATACCTGGAAGTTTAGAATAGATGTATTTAATACATACTATATCTTCTGATATTATTTTCTTTATGAGTATGTCATTTTGAAGATTCTGAAAATAGAATAAAACAAATAATTACAAATTTATATTCATTAAAAATGCTATATCTTTAAAAGCTTCTTATTGGCAATTATAATGTCATAGTTTCAGAGAGGATTGCATGGATCTTCATAGTCCTACTCTCCCAGGTCTGCAAAAGTGCCTTGAACTCTTTCTAACACCAACATTCACTTTTTGGGGGGAAGCTAGATCTTATTTTATGGAATAATCTGAAGTACATTCAATGGTAGTTATGTTGAGCTATACATTTAACTCAACATAACTTTAAGGAGTTATATCTTAAAGTATGTTGAGGAACATATTTAATTAGGAAAAGTATTTAAATACAATCAAAGCCAGTCAGGAAAGTAAATGTAAACACAAACGATACACCCATACTGTGGCAATAGTCACTCTGAATTCACTTTGGGCTCTTTTAGGAATAACAGGCCATTGAAATAGCCTCTCACCACTATTCTTGTTGAGTCTATTTTTATGAATAGATGAAATGAAAAAGCCCTCAGTTAAATTTACAATATGTGATTTTATTACTGAAAATAAAATAAATTAGATTTCTATTTATGAAACTACTCAAGGGTCTATATTTAAATCAACTAAAGAAATCTAGATGTTGTTTTATATTTATGAATTAACAAAACCCATTACATGTATTAACAGAAGAGTGACGGTTTGTAAGTTCAAATGAAAAGGTTCTTGTTTTCTATACCATTATTGTACTCATAATGCGCCATTCACTCCAATTGAATGTGCACTGTCTCAAATACTTCCACATTTCTTCCCCAGTAGCTGTGTTACACCTGGAATTCTTTCATCATTGTTCTCTGTGTCCCTAGGTTACACCCAGATTTAAGACTCAGCAAGTGTTAGACTCTGAATGGCCTGTTCTGGCCACTCCTTCTTACAGGATTCTTCTTCTCTTCTAAAAACCTAGAACACTATGCCCATATTATACATGTGTCATTATTATTCACCAACATATTACTTATTTGATGGTTCTACGCATCATTTTCCCAAATGTATACAAGGAACACATATTTCTGAAATGACTGAATTACCATTGAGTAGAAATGGACCACGTTTAATCAATCAGGAAATATTTATTGAAAATCTGCTAGATGAAATTGCCAAGTAGAACATTTTTCTTGCCATAATTCTCACCTATATCAATTACTATAGGATTCCTTAGTAGTGTAAAGAGTTCCTTTTCTTCTTAGTCTAAGCAATCCTGAGTATAGTCCTTTCCTCTGAAGATCATTAGTTCGGAAAGATATGAATATTATTTTATTGGTGGTTTAATTTCTCTTCCTTTGATAATAGTGAGAGTGACCATTTTTAAAGTATTTTTCACTGTTCTCCATTCTGCCACACAGGCATTGCATTTTATGACTACAGGAGAAGGAAAAAAACCCTTCTCCTTTTCTTGCTTTTGCCTATACTCTAGGTTTTCACTAGATCTGTTGCAGACACCTGTTCCCCTAAAACTCACTACCCCAAAGATTGCATGTTTCCCACATTTCTCTAAAATCTCATCAACTTTCATTGTCTCCTGAGCCCTCTTCGGCTGATGTGTATATTGAGGATTTTACCAGCACTAGTAGAATAAGATTGCCTTAAAGTTAAAGTCAAATGAATGTGCAAAATTTCCTATAGGCAAAAAGTCAAGTCAGTAGTAGGTAGCTAAACAATAATCTTTAATATACGGGTGGGCAGAAAAATCAATCTGCTAGAAAAAGAAGCAAGTCATTGTTTGGACATTTAAAAACTAGCTTAGAATTTTAACTTAGCATTAGTGGGTTTTGATTCTGGGCTCCTGCTTCGTTAAACAGTGACCATGTTAATACCTGCTCAATTATTCTTACAGGGTTCTTTGTAAGAATCCAGTGAGAAAGTATATGTGAGGTTTATGTTGCAGAGTGCAAAAATTTAAAAATATATCGTACATGATAAATGTTTAAGTATTAAATGATTAAAGTAAAATCAAGGGAGTGTAAATTGGAAGGAAGAGTGATATAAAATCTTTACCTTGGCTTTTATCTTTTCTAAGTTGAGAAGAAGACACACAAAAGTTAAAAAAAAAAAATCAGCAGCTTTAACTATGAACTTGTTTACTCTTGGTTGTTCCAGTGAAACACAACTTTCTTTTATAGCTGTCAACGGGAACTGGGAACCTTCAATGGGGTATCTGATAGTTTTTAATGATAGTTATATCTCTTATGATTTTTAACATCCTACACCAAGGTTGTTAGTTTCATTTCAGAACCATAAATGAGGACATGATACTTGTGTTCTTGGCAGAGCTGGGTACTGATGTCTTCAGTTGCTGTTCTCTGGAAGTGAGACTAAAGGGCATCCATGGAGCAGAATTATATCAGTAAAGTGTATTGCCATTTAGTCTTCAGGGATCAAGAGAAGGTGTGCCATTCCTCTGTTCTTTTCTCTAGAGTCTGAACTAACATTATCATTCGGGGAATAGATTTACCAATTAGGCCCGAACACAAAATGCTATTTGCATAAAGCAAATCTTCAATTGCTCTTTTGGGGGGACATGTGGACTAGTGCTATCTTCTATTGCATCTCTAATGTGATACTGCTTAGCAGCCTCCAGGAGGAGGACATCCTGGGGAGGGTTGGAATTGCCCATTTTGGTAAGGAAAGTAATTCAAAGACACATCAGGAAATCCTGGCTTCTCACCGGATGTGTGTTTTATCAGTTATCTCTGCTCTAAAAATAAAGTAAGGAAAAGACAGTTATAATGCTGGAGGGTTCCAAAAAAGTTAATATCTTTAAGAAATTAAGGTACTGGCATCTGCTGCATGTTGCCTAGGGAAAATGATATCATGCAAAAAGACCACACAATGGATGACGCTTACCAAAGAAGGCACTGGAAAAAATGGATCCAGGATAGAATCAGCCTTAATCATAGCTTTTCAACATTTTTCACGAGAAAAAATGTTTCCTCAAGTTTCAAAAAAAATGGAGTAAAAGAAATAAAACAGGAATGAGGTAAAGCATTCCAGGGTTTATAGTAAATAAGGCTGTGATAAAAGTCAAAGTTGCTAGCAAAAGGCAGAATCACTTAAATTCCAGAGAAGAAATATTTGGGGCCTGGATAGAAAACTCTCTTCTTCACCTGGCAGGCAAAGACTCCTTGCACTGTGTAATTGTGTTAGGAAGTGACTGGGTAAAAAGCAGAATGAATCAAATTAGCAAGAAAAACCTAAACATGGGACTCATCACTGCTCCAGCCCAGGAGAGCATTACCTCTACGAGAAGATTCTGTCTCCTGAGGCTTTCAAAGTGAAAATACTGAGCTGTTCAACAGGACTCTGTTCCTTTTGGGCCAAACAATGCCAACATTAGACTTGGTTTCACATAGAAATATGGGGGAATGCCACTCTTTCCCCACTATCTAATATCTGGTCACCTGGATTATGAAGCAACATAATTTATTTGCCTCTAATAAAGATTACACTTTCAATTTCCATCTGCAGACACTTTCTATATAGGAAAAAAAAACAAATTCTAGGGCAAAACTGGAAACAGATTACTCATTACAGGCAGGTTGTTCTAATTAGGGAGAGAAGGCATACACCAGTGGGTCAATACAGCAAAAACAAACAAAGTCGATGTCTTTATCCATTGAAGGGCTCAGCAGAACACCTGGCTCCATAAATTTCAGCAAAATTTTTCCTGTTTTAATTAATGTTTGAATGAAATTCAGAGATAACTATTATCTTCAAATTTCATGTAACTTGGCACCTGTAATATTGAATTATTTTTCTTACCAATTTTCTTTTTTTTCTAAATTTACTGATAAAACCTAAAAGAATATTGTGTGTGTTTCAAAGTCAGAAAGTTGGGAATTAAAGAAGTTTCCAATTTTTTGTTGACTGTTAGAAGAAATTAGTTTATATTGAATATTAAGTGTTGGTATGCTAGAGCCAAATCTTACCAGCTGGCGAGGACTGATTGTGCATGACTCTTCCAACTCTGCAACATGATGTTACTTTGGTAGCTTGAAATCAGCCAAAGAGAGAGTACTTACACCACAGGAATTGGCAAATAATATAAGTTAGAGCTTTTGCAGTAATTAAATATTTACCACCATCTAACTGATGATAGGAGATGGCAAGTAGAAGGAATCAGATATGTGAATCTCTCAAAGCTGATGGAAAGACAATGCAAGCTAAGCAAACTGAATAATATTCAATATAGGAAATTCTATTCTCCTTCAAACATCAAAAAATACAATTAATTAGTTAATTTAATTTAATCTGGTCAAACAGTGGGCAACTACACAGTTATAAGAAATGACAACATATCTTTATATTTTATTACATATCATTATATAGCAGTTTTCAAAGTACAGTAAACAAGATATTAATTGCTACATAGTAGCACTTGTAGAGTGCTACTATAGAGTTACTATTATCCATATTTTACAGATGAAGAAACTAAAGGTCATTAAGGTTAAATGTTGCGTATGGTCATATAGCTAGTATATGCCAAAAACAAGAATAGCAGTTTTCAGTTGATTTTCCTGCTATTGATTGTGAGAGAAAGAGTTGTATATAATTACCCAAATGTTTTCCTAGAAGGGAGCTATTATCATTCAATATTATTCTTGGCTCATTTTATTTTCTTAGGTATTTTTGAGAAGATGAGCCACAGCCCCAAGCTCATTCCTCTTCTACTGCACACGCTCAGCTTCATTGAGGTTCCGCACTGGTTGTCCACCAGATGTTCAATGTTATCTCTCTACTGAAGGTTGTGACAAAACCCCAGAGAGTAAAATGACAGCGATCTGTCAACCAGTCATCATTATACTTTTTTTTTCATTTTCCATTATTCTCCACCTTATGTCACTGTTTTTAGTGTGTAAATTGCTCATTGTTTATTTCTGCTCTTTTCTTCCATCAGTATTTTTAATTTTAATGACATTTAACTGCTGAGTATATTCAGAGCAAAGCTATACTTTTCTTCATTGAAGAGAGAGACAACAAGGAGGTATCCAATACTCTGAGAAATGCAGAGGTGCAGGGTGTTTTGCCACTAACATGGAACATGTGATAAAAACCTGGATTCACATTTCAATCCCAACAGATTTCTTTCTGAAAATTATGTTATCCTGGTTACTTATCCACTCAAACTCTCACAATGTAATTGAAAAAGGTTAATTTGAATTACCCTGCAAGCGACCAGAATTTGGGTTGGTTGAGTCCTTAGAAGTGCAAACTGTTATACTGTTAACACATTTTTTGTTATATTTTCCAACATGATTTCTGTTTCTAAATATAATACAGTAAATCAGCAAATTTTACTAGCCAAAATTAAATGCCACATGATAAGTGTGGATGATAAGTGCAGGTCCAACGAGCATGACCAATGAAGGTCCTACCCTCAAGGACTTTATGGCTATGACCTAAAAATATTATTTAAAAACTATTTATAATAAAATATAACAAACACATTAGAGAAAGAAACAAAATGACTATGGGATAACAGAAGAGAGAATAATTAATTTTTAGTAACAACTTCAAAAGTCTTCACGGAACTAATGATATTATATCTGGACATAGAGTTTTGAAGGCAATTTTTCTACATACACGAATTAAGAAGGGTGCTCTGTGTATTAAATAATATATGGCTAAAAGTCACAGTGGGAGTGAATGCTGTTATGCTGAAATATTCATTCCTGCTACCTGGTACAATGGCAGAAGATAAAAATTAAAATATAGTCAAATATGAACTGAGAACAACTTTGAATGTTGGGCTAACGTTTCAGAAATTTATTTAATAGGTGTTGCAGTCCCCATTAGAAAATTTTAATCATTCTCCTTGTTTATGTATGAGTCCCACAAAGGATCTGACTTTAAGCTTATTTTGATTCATATTCTGAATATTAAGTGAAAACAGAAAATGTCCTCTGTTGAGTAACTCTTGAATAGAAACTTTCTGTTTAGTTAATTTATATCACAAATATTTTTCAATACTTCATATGTACCTAAGATTCTGCTGGGGAATAAAGTCTATTAGAGGACAATGCAGACAAGTTTCATGACAAGATAGACAGGCCTCTTCTTGCAATAGCTAAAACTGTTGTGGGTGTTAACCTGGCTGTACAAAATGATTCTGGGTTAAATATTCAGGATTCAAGAAAAGGTTTGGAGTAATAAAAAAGGTGATCTTTATGATTACCTACCCTATTCCACTTGGTATTTATGAACTCAGATTTTTATTACTGAGTCAAAAAGGATTATGACCAAGTTTCAAAATCTATTGCTTATTAGAGGTATTGAATATTACCAAAGTATTAGCAAATAAGTATTTTTGGATGGCTGTTACTTATCAGGTCTTATACTTGTTAGTAATTTCATTAATATAACCCAGTAAATTAGGTACAGGTAGTATTATTAACTCTATTTTGTGTTACAGAAATCAAAGGTTTTGAGTGACGAGATAAATTAGCTTCTTTTCATTGCTTATTACTAAAAGTAAATTCAAACTCAAATTTGTCTAGACTCTAAGACCAAACCCTAACACATTATTTATTTGCATTTAGTTGTTTATGTACTGGGTAGAGAGGCAAAGACAGTATTAATTGGGATGGGAGTAGGTCTTTCTATTTTTACCTGTTTTAGTCCATTTGTGTTGCTATGAAAGAATACCTGAGGCTGGGATTTTTATTTAAAAAAATAAATAAAACAGATATATTGTGTTCACAGATCTACAAGCCCTGCAACTGATGTGGACTTCAGACTGCTTCCACTCAGGTGAAAGGCAAAGGAAAGCCACATGCACAGAAATCACATGACAAGAGAAGAACTGAGAGAGAAAGACAGAGAGAAGAGGAGGAGGAGAGGAGGGAGGTGCCAGGCTGTTTTTAACAGACAGGAACTAATAGGGGGAGAATTCACTCGTTACTGCAAGGTTGGCAGCAACACATTCATGAGAGATATGCTTCCATGACCCAACACCTCCTATTAGGCCTTACCTCCAACATTGGGGATTAAATTACAATATGAGGTTTGGAGGGCCAAATATCCAAACTCTAGAACTGTACAAGTACTAATCATTAAATAATTGTTAAATTTGAACTAAAGACCTATTAATCCACCCCTAAAATGTAGAAATAATATGAAATCTGTGTGATGTAATGTTTGCTATCTTCTTCAGGAATTGACAGATAATTTTTGCAAAACTAATCAAATTTATTGCATAAAGTCAAGTCTTTGTCTTTCTTTTGATAAGAAAACTTTTTATTTCTGAAAATATTCATATAATCTTACCTATTTGATGAAATCAAAGCCATTCCTGTTTGATCAACACCTAAAAATTAAACTTATTTCTGCCAATTTAGTAGAAATTGTTGCTAATTAACAACTTTTTTAAGAGCAATGATCTTGATTACATTGCACTGAAACAACTATGTACACCTAAATGAAAAATTTTAAGAAAGGATATGTCTTCTTAGAAAACATGAAAATTTCACACGAATTCAACATAACTGTTCTGATCCTAGAAGGAAAGTGAAGTTTCACATAAATGCCTATTATTATTTTTCAAAAAAGATGGCTATGCATATATAAAGTCAGAACAGCTAGGCAGGTAGATAGATAGATGTTCAAAAGATGAAAACTCAGCAACTAAAGTATAGAAGGATAGTTCTAAGACTCTTATGAACAGATCACTTTTTAACTAATCTTTATCATATTTTGTAAATATGTGACTTTTTATAGGGCATTAGCTGAAACCTTATTCATAATTGTCTTATGTCTCAGTTCCTTAAAATTCTGCAAACATCAGAGCAATTGTGCTACTGCTACTGAGGATGGGAACTTGAAATAGCGTTTTGAATGTAGATGCAAATTGGGTTTGCCAAGAAATTCTTCTGCTTACCCATTCACTGCAGACAAAGACTTTTGTGTGGGCATTGTAGCATTAAAAAAGGGAAGTGTAAATTTAAACCTGTTGTATTGTGATCTGTGATCATTATCAGTAAGAACACTAGATATCCTGGAAATCAAAATAAAATGTCTCCACTGGGCTCATTACCTGAGATCTTTTTGTTGACCTTTTCTTGAGTTTTCCATTATTTGCTCATCTGTGATTACATATGATAGCTATTCCCAATCAGCGGCTGACCTCTTAAAAGACAAGCTAAATATGTAGAATTTTAGCAACGACCAGAGTGTTATCTTAAAATGACATTAAAATGAGAGCAGTAGAAGAAATCAATGGGTTCCAGCATGTGAGATGGAGACCGGACATTGAATCTGGATTAGCTGCTAGTAGGTCTTTGGTGAACATTGCTTCCTTTTATCCCCAGAGATATCCTTAACCATGGAAATCAGGTCATGTTAATTCCATTTCATGATCACTCCAGGAAAGGACACAATGTGTTATTCTCATTGCTGGACCCCTCAGATTCCTTTGCATGCATTAACCTTCATGGTATTTGTTGAGTTATTCAACTCTTTGTATGCCATGAATAATTTCATTAAACATTAATAATTTACCCACACTGTATCTTTGTGTATTTTTAAATATTTACAATTTGTAATACTGAATAAATATGTAATAGGTGGGTCAGGGTTTCTAGGATTTAATATTGCTTAAACCTGTCATGTATTATAACCTTTTGGAGCTTACGTAATATTCAGCTCCTTAATTCAGCGTCAGAGCTGTTATCATAGGTTGATGGGAAAATAACAGCCATGTTGGGGCTCTCCAGTCACTAATAATTCCTATTTTGATTTGATTAGCATATAAATGTTCCTGGATTTATGCAGTGTCAGGGGAAAATGTATTAAAAATACTCCTCAGGGTTCTCTCTTTCTCTCACTTTAATCAGGCAAGAGAGAAAGAATCTTGTCATGCATGAAGCCTAACTTGCTTTTGTTCAAATCCTTGATTTATGGAAGTTTCCAGAAAGAAAATTTTGCTAAAAGATAACATCAAAGAAGACTTTATTTCATAGTTTAAGACCAGGGTTCATTGATAAAATAGACTTTTTATTCAGTTTGTTTTTCCCAGAGAGTCCATAATGTGGTGGAGGAGTGGATAAAGATTCTGCTCATAGACACAAATCAACTAAACTCTGGCCAGAACACCTAACAAATTGCAAAGCTTCCTCTTGGAGTAATCCTAAATAATGAGAGCCAAGTTAACCAAAGTTATAAGACTAAGTTTGCACATATTTATCTTTCTCTAATACACTGAAAAATCAAAGATATCTATTTTGCCTCTGGTGCTATTAGGAGTGCTTCTCAAAAATGTGACCAATACAAATTTTGATATCACAAAAGCATTATTATAGTCTTAAAGCTACAGCTTCCAAAAAAAAACAAACAAAAAAACAAAAAAAAGCTTAGTATTCATTGTACTGGAAGAAAATGAAAATGGAAAGGAAGAGGCATGCTTAAAGTAACCATGCTTTAGTAGACTAAAACCATCAAGCAGAAGCAAATTACCCCTATCCTGTAAGTGAGCAACAAGGCTCTCATCACAGACTCAGTCCATAAAAGAAACCTTAAAAACAAGAACTTAACCAAAATACTTGAATTATTAATAATATAATATAACTTAATAGACATTAAGACTCATTTATCTAGGGGTGAGTGACTAATCTAGCAATAAATACAGTAGATCAAAAATAAAATTATAATTCACATAAAAATAACAGGTAAAAAAAATCAAGGAAAAGGATCAAAATTAAAGTCCAGAAAGATAAGCTTAGAAGAAAATGAGTTATTCAAAAGTTATGTTTAAAAATGTTAAAGAAGTTTTCTCACCCTTATCAAGTTAAATTTATATTTATCTTATCAATTTCACACTTGTATGTGCCCTTTTTGATTGCTGATTATTTTCAAAATCATCTTGATCTGAACACATTTCTAAGATCAAACTTCTAAGGCTCAATAATTTTTATCCCAAATGTTATGTCATATTGAGTTTTATCCTTCTTGACATTGTTCGGTATACATTTTGTACACCATTCAAACAGATATTTGCCACCTGCCCCTTTACGCAATCATCTTCTTGATTTTTCTTCTTGCCATTTAGAGCCCATGTGTTTTAAAAACCTTAGCCCTTTTTACCAAAAGAACTACATTGTCCTCATAGGCTAATCCTACTTAATTCTTATCAGAATAATTTTAAAATGTGATCTTTTCAATTATTTAATATAATAATCAGATATCTGTTCATGATAATTTTGCTAATCTTTCGAGTTTTTTAAAAAATTAAAGACATGTAAAATTGCCTACTATTTATTTGAAGAATTCATGATTTGCCTTAGGTCCAAGTAAAATTATATTTCTTTCCTGGATATCAAGCTCTAGATATCATAATCACATTCTCGCAAGATTTCTATAATATACATGCCATCAACTTATTCCTCCATATTATGCATGATTAGGGTGAGGTCCCCTATCATTTCTTTGTCTTTCTGAAAGACAAAATTGTCAATTAGTATACAGAGAGTTTGTCAGATTAACCAGGGTACAGTCACTAAATCGAACACTAGGCAGACATTTTATAAATATTTACTACGTGGATTATAAAGATGCTTATGTCATAATTTTATAATAAATAAGAAAGTGGTCACCAGCCTGAGTGACAGAGTTCGAGACCAGCCTGGGCAATGTTTGAGACTACATCTCTATTAAAAAAAAATGCTTTTTGCTTTTTCCAGGATATAGGGAGGAGCCCACAATATGTGTTTAGATGTTATCTTGCAACTAGACTTGGCAGAATTTAGGTTATTTTCCTATATACAGTTTAATTCATCTGCACAAAATTCTAATCATATTGCACATAAAATTCTGCATTCCTTTTTTGTGAGACAGGGTTTTACTCTCATCACTCAGGCTGAAGTCCACCTTCTTATTTATTATAAAATTATGACATATGTATCTTTATAATTCATGCTGAGTTTATTTTCTTCACAGGAAATATCAGGAAGGCTCTTGGAAAAGCTTTTTCATGATGCTAGCTGGAGACGGGAAAGAGCAGCCACCACCAACATTCACTGGGACTTACTCCCCCATCTGTTTGAGAAACGAAAAGCCTTAAAGGTAAGTGAAAGAGCAATAAAATGTGTATATTGTAGGCACCAGTGAAAATCAGTTGCAGCTGGAGGAGAGAAATGGCAGTCACCACCAAAACTCCATCCAGAATTTTCTGGCTTATTTTTTTCTTATGGAACAAAAAACCTTACTCCACAGTGGGAAGGGAATCAAAACGGTAGCGTGAGGGCTCTTTTGGAAATATACTGCAGCTGGAAAAGGTAAGAACAGGAAAAAAAGTTATTTCCTCAGGAGAGATGAAGGAATATCTGCTAAACTCAGAAATGCTTCTAGAGAAAGGGCAAGAAGACTTTTCAGGGCCAAGATGCTGAGAGCTAGGTTCACAGTGCATGACTAAGGCTAAGAGTTAATCAGAATTTTAGGGGCCCACCTTCTTTCTCTGTCCCCTCCCACCACACTAACACTAAGTAAAAACAATATAGAATACAATTGAGAGAGTTGCAAGGCAAGGATTCTCTCTGGGAGCCTCCTTAACATGGAAATAATCAAAGTCAACTGGGGACACTAAAGTACAAATAGAAAGCAGAGTTCAATCCCAGCCTGACTCCTGACAGGTGTAAAATAACTTTCTACACTAGGGCCTAAAAGAATAATATAAACTCATATCCAAGCATAAAATTATGTAACTAAGACTACTGCTCTATACAACATGTCTGACTTTCAATCAAACATTGTGAAGCATATACTAAATGACAAGAAATAAAAGTAAAAGAAAGCAATCACCAAAACCAGATTCAAATATGACATGGATATTGGAACTATTAGAGAGAGAAATGAAAACGATTATAATTAATATGTTAAATTTTCTCAAAGAAAAGAGGCAGCAAGCAATGTCAGATAGGTCATTTGTGCAGATTTGGAAATTATAAGAAATAATCCATGGGAAACACTAGAAATAAACAGACATGAAATCAGTAATGGATATTAAGATAGTAATCAGTGGACACTTACAGAGATTTGAAACAGTCACAGAAAGAGTCAGTTACCTTGAAAGTCAATAAAAATTTACCCAAAATGAAATATAAATAGAAAACTTAGTGGAAAACTAAAAACTAACAGAACAGACCAACCAAAGCTGTGGGGCAATATCAAGAGTTCTGCCATCCATGTCTTGGTACACCAGAGAGAAAAGGACAGAAGATTTATTTGAAGAAATAATAGTCAATAATTTCCCAAAATTGATAGTGGACTCCAAATAGCCAATCCAAGAATTTGACAGAACACCAAAGAGTTTAAATTAAAAATAAGTTAAACAAAAACGCATCACAGCCTGAGAATATCCTAATCAAACTGATGAAAACAAAAGGGAAAGAGAACATCTTAAAAATAACCAGTAGGTAAGGGGTAGAGGGGAGTCACATTATTAACAGTGGAAAGTGAAAAAGAATTACATCAGACTTCTCAACAGAAACTGTGAAGCAAGAAAAAAACGGAGTAACAACTTTACATCCTGCAAGAAGTAAAAAAACCTATCAGGAATTCTATACCCTGTGAAAATGTTCATTAAAAATTAAGAAGAAATACTTTCTCGTCAAGCAAAAACTCATTGAATCATTGCCAGTAGATTTAATCTATTGAAAATTTAAAGAAAATTTTTCATGCTGAAGAAATATGATGTCAGAAACTTGTCTAAAGAGCATCAGAAAATGAATAAATTTTAGGAAAAGAAAATATTTTAGTCATTTATAAATTAATGAATAAATCATTGGAAAAGAAAATATTTTTAGTCATTTGTAATTTAAGTGAAAAATAACTGTTCAAAACAGAACTTGCAAAACTAGTGTGTTTTACATAAAAGTGAGATGTATGTACAATAAGACGAAGAAAACACACTGATACATAGATTGTTGCACTGTACATAGAGCAACATGATATTATTCAAGACTATAGTGAGGTTATTTAAAAATGAATATTGCAAAACTCAAATCTAGCTCCTAATAAGCTTTTTAAAATAAGTATAAAGAGTAAACAAGATAAAGATTAATTATAAAAGGGATCAAATATGCTCAGAAGTTGCCAAAAGGTGGAAAAGAGAAACAAAGTACAAATTAAACACAGAAAATAGCCAGCAAGATTAAGTATATATTAATCAACCATACCAAAATCACTTTAAATGTGAATGATGTCACATATCAATTAAAAAAGATATATTCATTTATATATATAATGAAAAAATAAACAAAAAGAAAACTGAAGTAAATATTTGCTTAAAACAACTATTTAAGCAAAATAAACTTCAGTAAAAGGCTATTATCAAAGATAAAGTAAAACACTGCAAAATGATAAAGAAATCAATTATCCAAGAGGCAATAACAATTCCAAATTTGTATAAACCTAAAAACAATACTTCAAAACACATGAGACAAAAACTGGTTTTATTTATTTATTCATCTATTTTTAAAATTGTTTCAAATGTTTATATTTATAGTATACAACATATTTTGTTATTTTTAAATTAACACATACATATTTGGAGGTACAATGTGTTGTCTTGTACATGTATACATTTTGCAATGATCAAATTAAAGTAATTAACGTATCCATTACTTCAAAGTTTTATCACTTTTTTTGTGTTAAGAATATTCAAAATTCTCTCTTCTAGCTCTTTGAAAATATACAATAAGTTGTCAACAATAGTCACTCTACAGGCCTATAGTAAAGTAGAACTTATTCTTCCTATTTAATTGTGATTTTATATTACTTAATCTCCTTACCCCCTCACTCCCATGAGTCCTAGCCTCTAGTAATAGTTATTCTACTTCCTATTACTATGAGATCAATTTTTTAGTTCTACATGTTAATGAGAACATGTGGTATTTATCTTTCTGTGTCTGGCTTATTTTACTTAATATAATGTCCTTTCATTCTCAATCATTCTGTTGTGAATTAAAGGATTTCTTTGTTCTTTATAGCTGAATAGTATTTAACTGTGTACATGTACCATAATTTCTTTATCCATTCATCAGTTGATAGACATTTAGTTTGATTCCCTATCTTAACTATTGTGAATAGTGCTGCAATAAGCATGGGGATACAGGAATTTCTTTGATATAATGACTTTCTTTCCTTTTGATAAATACCCATTAGTGGGATTGCTTTGGTAATTATATTTTTAGTTTTTTAGAAATCTCTATACCATTTTCTGTAACAGTTGTGATAATTTACATTACCATCAAGAGTGTCAAAAATTTTCTCAGCAACCTCACTAGCATTTGTTTGTGTGTGTGTGTGTGGTTTTGATTTGCATTTCTGCAAATCAAACCCTGATGATTAAGGGTGTTCAGCACAACAATTTGTATGTCTTCTTTTGAGAAATGTCTATTCAGATCATTGCCCATTTTTCTGTTAGATTTTTTTTTTACTGTTGAGTCGTTTGTGCTTCTTGCATATTCTGAATATTTATCCTGAATTAAATGAATAGTTTGCAAATATTTTCTCCCAATTTGCATGTTCTATCTTCAATCTGTTGATTGTTTCCTTTAATCTTCAAAAGCTTTTTAGTTTGATATAATTCCATTTGTCTCTTTTTGCTTTTGTTGTCTGTGATTTTGAGGTCTTAACCATCAAATCTTTGCTCGTACCAATGTTCTGAAGCATTTCCCCTGTTTTCTTCCAGCAGTCTCATTGTTTCAGGTCTCATATTGAAGTCTTTAATCCATTTTGAGTTTATTTTTATCTCTGGTGAAAAATAGGAGTCTAGTTTCATTCTCTTGTATATGAATATCCAGTTTTTCCAACACAATTTATTAAAGAAATGTCTTTTCTCCATTGTGTGTTGTTGGTACCTTTTAAAAAATTTAATTGACCAGAAATGTGTAGATTTATTTCTGAGCTGCCTATTCTATTCTGATGGCTTATTTGTTTCTTTTTATTCCAGGACCATACTGTTTTGATTACTATATCTTTGTAGTATATTTTGGAGGTAGTGTAGTGCTTTTAGTTTTGCACTTTTTGCTAAGGATAGCTTTGGATTTTGGAAGACTTTGCAGTTTCAAATTTTAGTTGTTTTTTTTTTCTGTGAAGAATGTCATTGGTATTTTGATAGGGATTGTAATTAAATCTATAGATTGTTTTTGGTAGTATAGTCAATTTAACAGTGTTAATACTTTCAACCCATGAACATGGAATTTCTATTTGTGTGTGTGTGTGCCCTCTTCAATTTCTTTCATCAGTGTTATATAGTTCTCATTGTAGAGATAATTCACCTCCTTGATTAATTTATTCTTAGGTTTTTTTTTGTATTTTTGGGGTCTACTGTAAATGGGATTTCTTTCTTGACTTCTTTTTCAGCTAGTTTGTAATTAGTGTATGGAAATGCTACTGATTTTTTATGTTAATATTGTATTCTTCAATTTTACTAAATTTATTTATTAGTCTTAAAAATTGTAGGGTGCAATTGTTAGGTTTTTCTATATATAACATTTTATTGTCTGCAGATAGGGACAATGTGATTTCATTCTTTCCAATTTGGATGCCCTTTTTTTTCCTCTCTCTCATGCCTAATTGTTTTGGCTAGAACTTCCACTACCTGTTGAGTAAGAGTAGTGAGAGGGAGTATCCATATCTTGTTCTAGGTCACAGAGGATAAACTTTCAGCTTTTTCCCATTTGGTATGATGTTAGCTGTGAGTTTGTCCTATATGGCCTTTATTGTGTTGGGGTACATGTTTTGATAGCTAATTTTTTTGAGTTTTATTATGAAGTCATGTTATTTTATCAAATACTGGTTCTGCATCTTCTGAGATGATCATATGGTTTTAATCTTTATGTGATATGTTACTTTTATCAATTTGGCTATATTGAACCATGCTTGCATCCCTGGGATAAATCCTGCTTGATAATGGTGTATAATCTCTTTAATGTGCTGCTGGCTTTGGTTTGCTAGTATTCTGTAGAGAATTCTTGTATCTATGTTTATTAGATAAATCAGTCTGTAGTTTTCCTTTCTGTTTTGAACTTGTCTGGTTTTGGTATCACAGCAATGATGACATTGTAGAATGAGTTGAGAAGAATTCTTTCCTCTTAAAATTTTTGGGATATCTTGAGAATAATTGGCATTAATTGTTCTTTAAAGTTTTGATAGAATTCATCAGTAAAGCCATCCAGTCCTGGGCTTTTTGTAGTTGTTGTTGACAGACTTTTTATTATTGACCCAATTTTGCTATGCTAATGGTCTATTCAAGTGTTCTATTTCTGGTTGAATCTTTGCAGGTTGTATGTGTCCAGTAATTTAATAATTGTCTCTAGGTTTTTCAATTCATTGGCATATTATTGTTCATAAGTTTCAAATGATATGTTATATTTCTGTGTTATCAGCTGTAATGTCTCCTTTTTCCTTTCTGATTTTATTTGGGTCTTCTCTCTTTTCTTCTTACTTATTCTACCTAAAGTGTCACCAATTTTGTTTATCTTTTCAAATAAACACTTTTTTATTACATTCATTTCTTAGTCTCAATTTCATTTATTTCTGATGTGATCTTTATCATTTATTTTATTCTACTAAGTTTGGATTTGATCTGTTACTGCTTTTCTAGTTCATTTAGGTACATTGTTAGATGATTTAAAATCTTTCTAATCTTTTTTATAGATGTTTATTGCTATAAACTTCTGTCTTTGTAGTGCTAGTGCTCTATCCCATAGATATTGGTATGTCTTATTTCCATTTTTATTTATTTTAAGACCTTTATACATTTTATTATTAATTTTTTCACTGACTTATTGGTTATTCAGGAGTATATTGTTTAATTTCTATTTGTGTATTTTCCAAAGTCAGTTTTGTTATTGTTTTCTACATTTATGCATTATATATTTTGTTTCTAATTTGTTATAAAATATACTTGATGTTATTTGTATTTTTTGAATTCTTGACAATTGATTCGTGGCCTAAGATGTGCTCTATTCTGGAAAATGTTCTATATGCTGATGAGAAGTGTGTGTATTCTGCAATTGTTTGGTAAAATGTTCTATAAAGGTCTGTTGGGTCTATGTGGTGTATAGTGGAGTATAAATACAATTTTTTTTTGTCAATTTGCTGCCTAAATGATCTGTATAATGCTCAGAGTAGAGTATTGCAAATATAGTTCCAAGATATAACTGAATTGGCATTTATCTCTCCCTTGAAATCAAACAATATTTGCTTTATATACCTGGGTGCTCTTGTATTGGGTGATTACATTTACAATTATATTCCCATTCTAAATTGATCCCTTTATCATTATATAATAGCCTTCTTTGTCTCTTTTTGTAGTTTTTAAGTTAAAGTCTATTTTATCTGATATAAGTATAATTACTCATGCTCACTTTAACTTCTGTTTGCATAGAATATCTTTTTCTATCACTTCACTTTCATTCTGTGTGTCTTTATATGTGGAGTGAGTTTCATGTAGGTTACATATAGTGGCATTTTGTATTGTTATTAAGTCAGTTTATATATTTCAATTGAGTAATTAATCTGTTTTCATTTAATGATATTATTTATTGGTGAGGACATACTCCTGTCATTTTGTTAATTTTTTCCAGGTTGTTCTGTACACCCATTAGTGTCTTCTTCCTGTCTCATTATTTATCTTTGCAGTTTGAGAGTTTTTTGCAATGATAAAATTTGATTTCTGTCTCTTTCTTATTTATCCATCTGCTCTACCTGTGACGTTCGTACTTTTTATGCCTTCCTAATAGAAGTTATCATCCTTTCACTACAAGATGTAGGATTTCCTCATAATAGTTTTCAAGGCCAGCCTAGTTGTAATGAATTTTCTTTGTTTCTGCTTGTCTGGGAAATAAGTAATTTCTCCTTTTTTTTCTGAAACGTAGCTTTACTGGATATAGTATTTTTGTCTAGAATTTTTTTTAGCATTTTTAATATATCATCTTGTCATGGCATTACATCCTTTTGTGTGGGCATAGTGAGATGATAGGAGGGCCTCAGGGATGTGGAGATGCAGGGGCTACTGGTCCCCAGAACAGAATGCTTTCTAGCAGTCTCTCTGTTCTCAAAATGGTACCATGGAATAGCAGCTTGGGTCCTGTGGAGTGGGAGGGAGCCCAGCATGACTTCCTTTCTGCAGGCAATGTTGCCACATGGATTCCAGGCAGTTTTCTGTACTCAGCTGAGGGCCTGTGAGGACTGAAGGGCTCTTCTCTAAGATTCCAGGCATTTTCAGTAATTAATGGTGTCTTCTGGGGATCTTCTACTTACTTTTTCCTCATAAAAGGGAGTCTTTTTGGCTACGAGCTGATCTTGGCCAAGTGCTTTACTTCCCTCTTTATGCTATTATCACGTGTTCCTGTGCTTCAGAGCGTTTTCTCACTTCCTTGGTAAACTCCAGCATTCACACTTAGATACTCTACTCAAAGTCTAGTAATTTACCTGTTATTTTCTTTCTTCTTTTGTAGATGAGTACTAGATACTTGTAGTCAAACATCTTGGTGTTGTCATGCCAACATGATGTTTTGATATAGGAATACATTGTGGAAAGTCTAAATCAAGCTAATATAGTTATTCCCTCACATATTTATCTCTTTTGTGGTAAGAACATTTAAGATCTATATTTTTACCAGTTTTCAAGCATACTATATATTTTTTAACTATCATCACCTTTTGTACAATACAGCTAAACTTACTCCTCTTGTCTTACTGAAATTTTGTATCATTTAATCAACATATCCCCATCCCACTCCCAGCCCCCAAGTCAGCCCCTGGCAACCACCCATTCTACTCTATTTCCATGAGTTCAACCTTTTTAGATTCCACATAAATTGAGGTCATGCATTATTTGTCTTTCTTTGCCTGTCTTTTTTTCAATTATCATAATTCTATAGGTTAATTCATGTCATTGCCAATGATAGAATTCCTTTTTTCCTAAAGCTAGATAGTATTTTACTATGTACATATGCCACATTTTCTTTATCTGTTCATGTATTGATGAACACTCCAAAACTGATATTTGAAATAAAGAAGATAAACCCAAAATTATAATAGAAAACTCAACATCTTTCTGTCAGCAATTAAGATAATAAATGGGTACCACATCAGTAAGAATATAGGTAATCTGAAGAATACTATCAACTAACCTAATTTAATTGGCATTTGTAGAGCTCTCCATCTCAAAGTAGAATACACAAAAGTTTCAAGTGTACCTGGAATGCTCACTAAGATAATCTTCTGGAAAATCTAGAATTTAAGGAAGTAAAAATAGAAATAAAGCAGTATCTTAAGAGAACACACAGGAGATAATATGAAATAATTTCCAATGGCTAAAGCAATAGCAGATTAAGCAATAAAAAAATACAGAGAGTAATGAATCATAATTTAAAGATTTTAAAATTATATATTATACTTACATAAATAAATAATTGATTAATAATTAAACAATTAGATAATAAGTAGCATGGAATAATCTTCCGCCTAGAAGAATTTCAATAAATAAATGTAGAAAGAATGAGGGAAATAAAAATAATTATTAGAATACTGCAGTAATAATTACTTCAGGCAAGATCCACTGATGAAAGCTAACATTAGTAGGTTAAACTTGAAAGGGATATGGGAAATTTACATATCCTTAAAGTGATTTCCAATAATATGTATTAATAACTGAGACAGTTTTAAATATATTCGTAAATTCTTTGATATGTCTCCCTCCAGAAGGTGGAGCTTAATTTCTCTCCCTTTTGTTGTGGTTCAGACTTAGTGTCTCAATAGCAAGACACAGAGTAGAGAAAGAGGAACATAGTAACTTTACAGTGGAGTAATCAGGAAGATACTCCCACAACCAAATGTTTAAGATTAACATAGCCAGCAGTAAGCCTTTTTGATATTATGTGCTACTTGATATGCAATTAGAAGAGCACTTTACCTCTTTGGCAAACTTTTAACAAATCCATAGCCACAGTCTAATCAAGAGAAAACATTACATTAAGCCAAATTGAGGAATTTTCTACAAAACACCTGGCTGGTGCTCATCAAAAGTGTCAAGCTCATGACAAAAAAAGAAAATACTGAGAAATTGTCACAGACTCAAGGACACTAAAGAGACATGACAGATAAATGCTATGTGGCATTCTGAACTGGATCCTTCAATAGAAAAAGGACATAGGCAGAAAAACTGGTGAAATACACATAAAATATATAGTTTATTTAAAAGCAATAAAAAAACTTTACTATTTTAAACTCCTCTTTAAATTTAAAAGTATTTCAAAATACAGAGTTTAATAAACTGGTTCTCAATTTCACTAGAAATAGGGGAAATGCAAATTTAAAACATACCAATAAATAATCAGAAAGACAATTTTAGTAAAGTTTGACAATACTAAGTGTTGACAGAATTATATGGAGCAATTAGGACTTCTTTTAGAAGTTCTAGAATCATTCTTCTTTCTGATTAAGTAAATTTATGCATATATCTAGAAAACTGTTAAATCTAAATGTTATGCTTACCTATGGCCCAGAATATCTACTATTAAGTATGCACCTAATGTATACCCATGAGTGCTCACGTGTACAAAAAGGGACGCACAAAAATGTCTGTAGTAGACAAAAAAACTAACATTAAACTCCCAAACAGTAGAATAAATAAATAATGTTTTTATTCAAATAAAGGTTTTACTCTATCTAGTAAAATCAAATAAACTGCATCTGCACACAACATAGCTGTGTCTCACAAATATGTTCAGGAAAGGAACACAGATACAAATGAATATATATTGCATTTTTCCATTTAAGTAAAGTGAAAAACAGTCAAGCATATATGTTGTAATTTAAATCAGGATGGAAGTTAGCTTTGGTAAAGAAGGAAGAGTCTCTGATAGAAGGGAGGACATTCTGGGAAGCTGATAACATTTTATTTCTTTATCTGTGTTGTGGTATCATGGTTTACTTAGTAATAAGTTATTAAGTTGTCCATTTATGAGTGTGGACTTTTCTGTATGTGTTTCTTACTTCTACAAATATGTTTTTAAAAATATATGAGTGAATATAAGATTAACAAATCAAATGCATAACTGTCAAACCATTAGTAGAAAAAAATGTACAAATAATACAGGCAGGTCTTTGCTTTGCATAGATCTAATATGCATGAATTTCAGTTACCATGGCTTAGTTAAATAAAATGAGATCCTATAACATGATTTAAATTTTATTTACAACATGTATTAGCTGTGAGTAATTGCAAAAAATACAAACTTTCTTGCTGGCTCTTCAGGCCACAAATCACTACATAAATAAATTATGTACATCATGATCAGTTGCATCATGTCACTTCTTTCAAAGTTGGCTGAGAGTGGTTATTGCATGTCTATTATTAAGTTTATGCACAGAGAACAAATGCGTAGTTTTGTTTTCTCCTTGTTTCTGAGTGTTAAGCCATGTGCCAACTTAAAAAATAAATAATCAAAAGTGAGAATTGGACAACAAAGACAAAAGAGCAGCAAAGGAATAAAAATATGTTGGGAGGGAAATTTGAATTAATGTAAATAGAGTTATAGAAGAAATTGATTATCAGGGAAATGTTGACATTGATATTATTTAAGAGATTCTAGATATGCAGCCAAAAGAACTTAATAAAGACAAACAACATAAATTAGGTAAGCAATAGCGACAAAAAAATTTGGAGATGTTCCATAGGAAGTGAAATCAGCAAAAAGCTTCATATTAAAGTAACCCTAGAAGATGTTTCACGATGTTAAAACACAATGTATAAAATATTGGTATTCATGACACAGAAAATATGTTCACTCAGTTAAACTCAATTTACACAATGGGAAGGCAAGTACTGGTCAAACAATTATTCATATTTTTGCAAATAAAGAAAATACTTTAATTCTCAATGTTTTCAATGTTTGAAATTACAATGTACTGAGCAACTATTAGTGTAATTTTAGTAGCAATTAATGTAATTTTTAATTTTTTCTATACATTTATAATGGACAGTTTTGAATTTCTTAATAAAAATTTATAGGAGACAAAATAATTGTAATATTTTCCTTGATTATTAATATTGCTTGCATAGTTTCAACCAGCACAGTCATTTTTGCAATCTGACCCTACCGTGCCAGACAAAAACTCTAATATAATGAGACACAATGAAATAAAATATATGTCCATAAAAGGTGGAATATATGAAAAAGACAGCAAAGCCTAAATATATAGTAGTAAGAAAAAGTATAAATGGATCACTCATTATAATTCAGAGGTTCTTATGTTAAGCTTGAAAGTTCAGCATTGTACAGTTTATACAAAATACATATAAAATGACATTATGCAAAATACTTCAAATAAACTGATACACACATATATATATATACGCACATATCATATATATACACCAATGGAAACCAAAATAAACCTAAGGTAGCAATATTAATATGACATATATTAGAATTAAAACTTAAAGTAAGACGTTAACAGAAAAATAAATGTCACTTTATTCTTCAAAAAAAATCATAAAATTCTGAAAATATATTAGGCCACAAATATCAAATTCAAAAGATTTGGTGCAAACAAATGCCATTCTTTGATCATACACTATAAATTTTGAAATAAAGAACCTATCAGTTAATGAAATGTTCCACCTGTTTGTTAAGTTTAAAAATGTGTAAAATCTATGTCATGAAGAAATCATAATGGAAATAAGAACTTATATGAACTAGAGTGTCAGTTCTAGATTACAAGCCTATGCTATTCGGTTGTGTGTAGGAAATTTGTCAACTTCAATGCCTTTATTAAGGAAAAAGAATGATTGAAAATGATGAGTAGAGATGATTAAAAAACTTTATTACACAATTTAGCTGATAAAAAACCTTATTACACAATTTAGCATAAAACTTTAGTGAAATGAGGGTTAAGGAATATATAAGGCATATTGAATGTTAATGAATAAATAAAAAAGTAAAGAATAATTGAGTAACTGATAATTACCCTAGAAAAACACAAGAAAATGAAACCAAAGCATGAGTGGGAAGAGAAAGTATTGGAAACCAATTAAAAGCAAACCAACAAGCAACAAAACAATTTGTGCCACAGAAACATGGTAAGTTCAGGAACTCTGAGGTTCACAGTGATGGTTGTGGAAAAAGAAGAAAATTGACTGAAAATTGTCTAAGAGGCAGTTAGATAACCATAAGTATTCTTCAATGCCAGCAGAGGACTGTTGGTTGAATTCTGAAGACTGATATGTAGTGGAGTGCAAATGTCTTGTCTTATGGAAGATGAAATCAAAGAGTGTCTAAGTGCAGAAAGATGGATGATTTATCTTTGATGAAACTGATCAATTCTGAAGAACGTGAAACAGATGCTGACATTGGGAATTAACCAATAAATTACCCACATATTTATTTGTTTACTTATTTATTTGTGTGTGTTTTTTCTTTTTTCTTTTTTTAAGACGGAGTCTCGCTCTGTTGCCCAGACTGGAGTGCAATGGCACATTTCTGCTGCTCACTGCAACTGCCACCTCCCACGTTCAAGAGATTCTCCTGCCTCAGCCTCTCGAGTAGCTGGGACTACAGACATGTGCCACTACATCCGGCTAATTTTTTTTTGTTGTTTATATTTTTAGCAGAGATGGGGTTTTTCCATGTTGGTCAGGCTGGTCTCAAACTTCTGACCGCAACTGATTTGCACCTCAACCTCCCAAAGTGCTGGGGTTACAGATGTGAGCCACTGTGCCTGGCTTGCCTACCTATTTATTTGCTCCATTCATACACACAGAGCTTTGAAGATGTCTTTTGAGTATCTCACTGTTCTATATGTGTATATTTTTTAATTTTAAAATTTTATACTTATGTTTCTGTCATCAATAATTATTTCATAGGGAAATTGTTGAATACATAACAAATAAAATAAATAGGAGCAACTAGTGGGAATTAACTAATTGGCCTTTTGGTTTACATATTTGTTTATTTCAAGTTTGGCTACTAAAAATCTATACTCTTAATTCTAATGACCATTAGCTGAGCTAATATAATCTTTCTCATGAACATGCAGATCTAAGGATTCTAGGCCAGGAAACTCTTCTGCATCTATTTTGATGGTTAATTTTAATGTGTCAACACGACTAGGCAATGGGGTGGTCAGATATTTGATTTAACATTGTTTCTGGATGTATCTGTGAGGGTGTTTCTGATGAGATTGACATTTGAATTGGCAGAGTGAATGTAGAAGCTTGCTCCCTCCAATCCACTGTAGGCCTGAATAGAATAAAATGGTTGTATAGAAAATAATTCCCTCTCTGACTGTCTTCAAGCTTGGATATTGGTCTTCTGACCTTAGAATCAGACTCAGCCTGAAATTTACACTACTGGCTCTCCTGGTTTTCAGGCCTTTGGACTTAGACTGAAACTATACCATCAAGTCTCCTGGGTCCCCAGATTTTAGACTGAAGATTTTGGGAGCCAATTCCTTATAATATAAATATATGTATATGTTCTGTTTATCTTGGGAACTCAGACTATTAAGACTAATAGATCCAATTTTAATAAAGCCTAATAATCATGTACACAGCATCTGATATGCAACATCTATCTAGGCTCTATAAGATTTCTTCATAGTTACTGCACATATTCTCAATGTCACTTTCAATTATTTCTTCAACTAATTCTTACTCCTAACTCTCTCCTCTTCCCTTCACCATTACAAATTTTACATATTACTTAGAACTCTGCTCATATGTTCCCACTTTCATAATGAGGAATAAAAAATAAGAGCAAACAGAAAGTTTAAATAAATCTGAATGACAAACTTTTCTGCACAACATTAAGAAATTTCCTTTCCTGGTTTCTTCATCTCACACTGATAGCCTCCTTTTCTGAATTTCTTTAATAGTTAAATATTGGTCCACATGATTCAATGATTTATTTCTTCCTGTGTTTTTGGCAGAAGCTGCTACTTGTTTTCCAGTATACATTCACTTCTTGTTTGTTAGTAATGAAATCGGTTTCTAGCTGGTTGATGGTCAACCAGATGAAGATTACATTTCCCAACCTCTTTGCACGTGACCATATGTGGTTCAATCAAGTATAGGAATTGACGTATATGACTTCATGGAGCTTTTTTAAAATGAAGAGTCACACCTTTCTATTTCCTTCCACCACCTGCTACCTCCAGCAGGACCCATCCTTGACCATTAAGTTGGAGGCCACATCAAGTAACGGCTGTACAGAGAACTGGAATGCTTCTGGGTTTTTCCAGTGTATGGAAATCCCATACACTTCCCAGACTGCTTTATTTTTGAAAGAAATCTCTCTCTTCTTTAAGCCACTACTTTTTAGCTCTTTTTTCACTTGAATCCAAAATTAAGCCTAACTGATACTTACTACTTTATAATTGTTTTATGGGTTTTTTAATGTATTTTTTTCTCCTTTGTAAAAGTTTAAGCTGTTTAAGTGACTATTGTACCTCTCAGAGGGGGACAGAACTCAATTCTCAGTTCCATAGTAATAATCAGTAAAAACTCATTAGATTGATTGATAATCACCATTCTGCTCCCCTAAATACCTAGGGGCAAGACTTCAAACTGTGGCAGAGTTGTGAAATAACCCCTCTGAGCAAGTTTATAAATCATTTAAGGTTTCCATTTGTCTGTGAAGTTTCACAGCACTGTTCTTTAGGCAATGTTAGACTGTAGTGTACAAGCAAGACTCACCTACTTCTCAAATATATTAAATCCACATAACAAGTATTTAACTCCCTACCAAGTTCACTGTTAAGAACCCAAATGGCTATTTGCGTCTCTGTTCATATATTGATACAGCAGCATTTATTGATTTGTATGTTCTGCTTATCACTATGACATTAATCCTTATTAACACTAATGCAGCTTACCACAACTCTAATTAAGATTCACCAGGATAAAATTGAGATTGGGACAATTCTCATTTTTGCTTAAACTAGTTTGTCCATTCTCATTTGTTGGACTTGTCCTATTCATTTATTGGAACTGTTGCTTTTCATTAAATCTGCAAAGCAATGTTTCATTTTGATAGAATGGTGCCTGAGAAAATGAAAATGTATTTTTCAAATTCATTTACAAAAATAGAGAAAAATGAGCATACGAAAGGAATTAAGTAGTATTATTAATGTTATTAATAATAATCACTTTTATTGAGGATTTTTTTCATATCTGGGGATTTTAAAGTCTCGAATTATGTTAAGCTTGAAATATAACTGCTTGAGTATTGAATGGAGACAACTGTAACTTTTACATCTTGGAATGTGGGATCAGAGGAAGACTTTAATGTGACAATATTTCGGTTACACCATGGGATCCTGGAAGCTGACATGCACTCTAGACTCACTTTTAAATTCAATCTAGACTCACTTTTAAATTCAATCAACTCATCATATGTGGGTTCCTTTTAATTAGCAGTGATGGCATCTTGAAATATTTATTTCCCAAATGTAAACTTATAAGTATGTCATCTATGCTATAAAATATTACACAATAAGAGGACTTGTAGAGGCCATCACACCCTCTCAGTAACATTCTCTTTAAACTGTTTCCACTCCTGTAAGATTTGCATAGAGCATTCCATAAGAGAAAAGTTGAACAATACCTGAACTAAATTATGGCTTCTGAACATTAGGACATTATCATCATACTATTTGATACTCAGTTATGAAAGGAAAATTGCTTCCCATGATGGTGCCGAAAGATGTTGAATTCTCAAGCCAGATCTTTATCTCAAGAGTTATTCAATTATATTTGTGAAACAATATAACAATACTTGTGAAAATACCTGAAATGACCACTCAATTTGGTTCTGTCTTTGCTTTTTTCTGTTTTATTGTTTGTATATGAGATGATCTGTTTCCCATGTAATTAAAAATTAATTTTATTTTCATTTTCAATAGTTAACACATGCATCTAATATCAAATTCAAAAGATAAAAACAGTTGTACAGTATAAAGAAAATTAAGCCTTCTTCCCATCCTTTTTTTAGGTAATCTAATTCCACTCTTGGAAGGCAACCACTGTTACCAGTTGCACAGATATATTTTGTATATATCCAGGTATACATAAATTTAAAAAATTGCATTTACTAACTCAAAGAGCATGCATTTTAAAAAATTTGATTAGATGTTGCCAAATTGTACTCCACAAAGACTGCACCTATTTGTATTCTACCAACAGTTTATAAGAATACCCATTACCTGGTAATCTCACCAACACTTCGAGTAATAAATTATTTTGTTATTTACCAATAAGATAAGTTTTAATTAGTGTCTCCCATTTCAAAATGAATTTGAGTGGTTTACTTGGCCCATTTTTATTATTGGTTTCATACATAGTCTTTTGCTTATTGATTTTTATGAGATCAATTTATATCTTAAAAGCTGTTCTTATATTGAGGAAATTAAGCCCTGTTCTGCACTCTGAGTTCCAAATATTTTACAGTTCATTATTTGATTTTTTACTGTATATATCTTTGATTTGGAGAATTTAGATTTTTTTATGTAACTAAATTGTATCAATATTTACTTTTATGTCCCTTCATAGGCGGTACTTCCAAAATCCACCCACAGACCAAGAACACATATGAACAACTATTATATTTCTCTAGGACTTTTACATTTCTTGTCTTACATTTTAAATTTTCATCCATTTGTCTTTTATTTTGGTATTAACTGGAAACAGAAATCCAGCTTATCACTTTTTCAGATTATGAATAAGCTGTCTCCAAATCATATATTAAATAATCGATTTTCCTACTTGTTTGTAATGCCATCTTTACTGTATACCAAATATTAATTTGGTAATCAAATGTTAAGCTGGTACTGAAGAACTTTACTATGGTCCAGCCAACCCTCAACACTTTATATATGATAACTCATTTTATTCTTAAAATTATCCTACTCAAAATTCCTGTGTATGTCTTCATATGTAGGACTGGTTTTTACTGGCCCCTAAGAGAAAACTGTTAATTATCTAAGACTTATGAAGCCAGTTCTTAAATATAGTCATTATTTAAAGTCAAATTATCAGCATTAATTTAAGCAAATTATACCAAAAACAAAAGTAATAAATATTTTAAATTTTCCTATCTAATAATTTTACTATTATTTATTCTCTTAAGGTGATGCACAACTATAGATATATACATCTCTAATTCTGCTTTTGGTAACATCAAGTATATAGCTTGGAATTTATCATGGTGGAGTAATTACATCACAGAAATTTGCAAAAAATCAAAGCTTTTTTTCTCCTCTGTAAATACATTGTTAACAATTACCATCACACAATTATTATGTATAATTACGTTTATGTTTATGTATTTTTATCTACGTATGTGCTGTGCACACCAATGTTTGTGTATACACATGTGTATATGAATGTGTGAATACGTGTCATATGTGTATATGTGATTCATATACTCTATGTACATGAATCATATATTTATGATTGTCTATACATTTTAAGATGTTCAAATATCTTTCCTTATCTGTTTGCCTGTTCATCTGGTATTACCAACCAATTTTAATTATTGTAATTTTATAACATGTTTCAATATTGCATGAGAGAGTTACAGATTATTATTCTCTATTCAGAATTTGTTCCTCCTATTAATGTTTTTAAAATTATCTGCATTATTTTTCTTTGTTTTCATCTAATTTTCCTGATAATTGTTGTGCTATTTTAAAAATTGTGATTGTTAAATTCATAAACTACTTAGCAAGATTGGTGTGTTTTTAGTGTAAAGTGTATTTACCAGGAACACAGTATTCGTTTTCATTCACTAATATTTTCTTTTGCTTTACTCAAAAGCTTTTCTGAGTCTTCTTTGTTTTTCCTCTGCACTCTCTCTAAATCATGCTAGTGCTGTACGTTCCTTAACGATTTGGCTAAATTCTTCTTTTGAAACTTAAGTCTATTTTTCTTGTTCGTTTTGTTTTGTTTTCAAGCCTAGAAGTTGGTAATGGGGGTAGTAAATCACTTGGCTATTTTCTCTTTACTTGTATGGCAATTTGTCTGTTTAGATTTTATTTTCTGAGTTCAGCTTTCATAATTTTATATTTGTCCTGAAAATAATTCATTTTATGCACACTCTCAAACAGATATGAGCAAAGCAACCACTGAGCATCAGCGGTGAGTGCCCTGCCTGCAGCCTCCAGGAATTCTGCAGCCAGCATCTGCATCTCTTTGCATAAGGCCTTTTTCTAAATTGTGGAAGACAGACTGTAAGTGTCTGGGAACGCTGGGAGCAGCATTCAAGCAATGACTGATAGAAGTTGATGTGCGTATATCCCAGTTTCCTCACCCCATGAATCAGGTAAATCTATGGCTTGTGCTTTAAATGCATTCTCAGGTTAAGCTCCAGTTACCTACCCATGGTAACAGCTGTATTGATGACAATCTTTTATTGACTGTTTTGTCTTTACTTTTTCCCTTTGACACAAACTGCCCTGAGCCTCACAATTAAACTACTTGCACCAGAATCTTTCTCAGAGGATTAACTTCTAGACAGATACAAACTAACATACAGATTGAGTTTCTTATCTTTCAATCTGTGTCTCTGATTATTTCTCTAAATTTATGTTACTTTTGTTAATGTATCAGCTTACTGTCTCTCTTATCATTATTGTTTCATAAAAATATGTATTTTAAGGATTTTCAACTGAGGGAATTCCTGCCCTGAGAAAGTATTAAAAATGTTAGGGTGTCTTAATTGTCACAATGACAGAGAAGGATAATATTTACTTCCAAAGGCCAGAGATGCAAAGTACCCTTCATTTATCATTATGCAGCCTCATAAAACAAACAAAAAAAATCCCCTCCAAAACAGCAATTGCAACCCTGTTGAGAAGTCTACGTTATTAGGTCTTCTGAAGAAACAAAGTGCTATTGCTTTTCTGTTTTTTAAATTTTATTTATGCTTTAATATATGATCTTTTTTTCTTCTGTTTACATGGGACTTATTTTTCTATTTGGAACATACAAGTGAATGCATAAGACTTTTATTTGCATTTTAAATGATAAAATCAAATTTTTTTTTTTTTTTTTGAGACAGAGTTTCACTCTTGTTGACCAGGCTAGAGTGCGATGGCACAATCTCGGCTCACTGCAACCTTTGCCTCCCGGGTTCAAGCGATTCTCCTGCCTCAGCCTCCTGAGTAGCTGGGATTACAGGTGCCTGCCACCATGCCCGGCTAATTTTTGTATTTTCAGTAGAGATGGGGTTTCACCATGTTGGCCAGGCTGGTCTGGAACTCCTGACCTCAAGTGATCCACCCGCCTCAGCCTCCCAAACTGCTGGTATTACAGGCGGGAGCCACTGCGCCTGGCCAAAATCATTTTTTTTAGTCTTGTTCTGTCAACCAGGCTGGAGCGCAGTGGCGCCATGTAGGCTCACTGCAACCTCTGCCTGCCAGGTTCAAGTAATTCTCCTATTTCAGCCTCCTAAATAGCTGGGACTACAGGCATACACCACCACACCCGGCTAATATTCATAGTTTTAGTAGAGGTGGTGTTTCACCATGTTGGCCAGGCTGGTCTCAAACTCCTAACCTCAAGTGATCCACCTGCCTTGGCCTCCCAAAGTGCTGGGATTACAGGTATGATCCACCATGCCTGCCCTGAAAAAATCAATTTATATTCAAATATTCAAGGCTGGGAACTTTTTTATTAACTGTATCTTATAGTTTGTGCTTATTATTCTTATTTTCTTTCTTTTTTTTTTTTTTAGAGGCACGGTCTTGCTCTGTCACTCAGGCTGGAGTTTAGTAGTATGATTGTAGCTCACTGCAGCCTTGAACTCCTGAGCACAAGCAATCCTCCTGCCTCTTGAGTCATTGAATAGCTAGAACTACAAGCATGTGCCACTATGCCTAGCTATTTTTATTTTCTTGGAGACATGGGGGTGGGGGGTCTCGCTATGTTGCCCTGGCTGGTCTTGAACTCCTGGATCCCAGTGATCTCCCACCTTAATCTCCCAAAGTGCTGATGTGACAGATGTAAACCGCTGCACCCAGACTTATTCTTATTTTCTAACTATAAAATTTATATTTACTTTTTTGGTTACTCTTAACATTTTTTAAGATTTTTTTTGCAAAAATTTTCCATGTGGTAAATTTTTGTTGTTATTTTGTCATTGTGTTGCTTATTGCTATTATTAACTTCTAATTTTATTGAGTTATGATTATAGAATAAACTTAGTAATACTTCCACATTTGAGAAAGTCCAAGAGTCTTTGTGGTTTAATATGGGTGACTTTCATTGTGATTCTTTTTTACTTAAAAATAAAATGTATTTTGTTTCATTTCAAATAAATACTGCTCTTTAAAATATTAATTATACTATATACTGCTTTTTTGATACATTAGTTACACTCTCACATCAATATGTTATTTCAATTTTATATATTTTTATTTCTTCCTTTCTGCCATGAACTCAGAGAGGTTAAGATTTTTTAAATGTATTTTTGTCTATTTGTCCCTATATTTGCTTTATACATTTTGATAGAGAGCTAGCTGCCATCTTGACAATAATAACTTATCAGCTTTATGTGTGTATTTTGCTCTTTGTCACTGTAAAGTATCCTCATCTCTTTGAATATTTTAACCTAAATTCTATATTTTTGATAGGGTTATTTTGTTCATTTTTTTCTTTTTAATTCCATTTGTGAGTAGATCTTTTCTCCATCTTTTTTTTCTTTTAACATTTCCAAAGTCTTGTGGTTTTGCAGTCTTTTGAAATCAGGACTTATGTGAATTATATTCTATGATCAATTATAAAGTGCTTTATCTCTTACTAGTTAAGTTTAGAACATTTATTTATTGATATGACATATGTACTTTATTATAATTCTGAATTTGTATTTATATTATTCCTTCTGTTTTTAAAAAATATTTTGTGTGCAGTTGTGCTTGTATCTTTGTATTATTTGATCTGTATTCTCTTTATGTTCTCAAGCATATTTGTGCTTATTCTGATAAAATTGAAGTTTTGAATTTTGATTATTATGATTTTAACTGAATATAATTTTAAAATATTTAACAAATACAATTGTATATATTTATTGTGCACAACATGATGTTTTGAATCATAGATATGGTGTGAAACAGCAAAACTGAGCTAATTAACATATGTATTACCTCACATACTTATCATTTTTGTGATGAGAACACTTAAAATGTAATCTTTTAATAATATTTAAGAACACAATATACATCGTTACTAACTATAGTCACTATGTTGTATCACAGATCTCTTGGACTTTTTCCTCCTATCTAGCTAACATTTTATATCCTTTGATCATCAACACCCAATTCCTTTCCCATCTTTTGGTAACCACCCTTCTACTCCCAGTTTCCATGAGTCCAACTCTTTTATAATTTTCATATAAGTGAAATCATGTGGAAATATTCTATCTATGCCTGGCTGAATTTGCTGAACACAGTGTCTTCCCAGTTCATCCATGTTGCCAGAAATTATAAGATTTCCTTCTTTTTCATAGCTATATAGTATTTTATTGTGTATACTACATTTTCTTTACGCATTCATGTATTTATGGACACTTAGGTTGAATCTGTGTTGTTGGCTATTGTGAATAGTGAATGCCGCAGTGAACAGGGGAGTGCAGATATATCACTTCACCATACTTACTTTATTTCTTTTGAATATATATCTAGTATTGGGATTGCTAGATCATGTGGTCGTTCTGTTTTTAATATTAGAAGGAACTTCCAGATTGTTGCCCATAATGGCTATATAGTTTACATTTTCACCCACAATGTGCAGTAGTTCCTTTTTCTCCACATCCTCACCAATACTTGTTACCTTTCATCTTTTTGATAATAGCCATTCTAACATGTGTGAAGTCATCTCTGATTATGGTGTTAACTTATAATTCTCCAATAATTAGATATGTTGAGCATTATTTCATATAACTGATAGACATTTTTATGTCTTCTTTTGAGAAGTGGCTATTCAGTTCCTTTGCCTGTTTTTAATTATTTGTTAAATTGTGATGCCTTGTTTGAAGTCCTTATATATTTTGGATATTAACCTTCTATTGGATGTATGGTTTGAAAATATATTCTTCAATTCCATACGTTGTCTCTTCACTCTATTAATTGTTTCTTTAACTGTTGAAAAGTTTTTAGTTTGATGTGGTCTCGCTTTTCTATTTTCACATTGTTGCCTTTGCTTTGGGACTATATCCAAAAAATCATTGCCCAGACAAATGTCAGAAAACATTTTCCCTATGTTTTCTTTCATTAGTTTTACAGCCTCAGGTCTTATATTGAAGCCTTATATCCAATTTTTTTATGTATGGTTTGAGATAAGGTTTAATTTCATTCTTCTGCACATGACATCCATTTTTCCTAACATCATTTATTGAAGAGACCGGGATTTCTCCACTGCAAGTTCTTGCCATCTTTGTTAAAAGTAAATTGACTATAAATGTATGGACTTGTTTCTGAGCTCTCTATTATTTTCCATTGACTAGTTTTTATGCCAGTAACTGCTATTTTGATAACTTTGGCTTTGTAGTGCATTTTAAAGTTCTGTAGTGTAATGTCTCCAGCTTTGTTGTTTTTCCTCGACATTACTTTGTCTGTTTGGGTTCTTCTGTGGTTCTATGTGAATTTCAGAAATGCATTTTTCTATTTCTGTAACACATGTCATTAAAATTTTGATGCAGGTTGCGTTGATTTTATTGGTGAAGATACTGGGTCCTGGACTTTTCTTTGTTGAAAGGTTTTTGATTACGAATTCAAATTTTTTACACATTACTAATCTGTTGATATGTTATATTTCTTCATAATTCATCCTTGGTAGTTTGTATGTATGTAGGAATGCATATATTTCTTCTAGCATATCCAATGCCTTCTCACATAATTGTTCATGGTAATCTCTCGTGATCCTTCTATTTCTGAGATATCTGTTGAAGTGTCTCCTTACTTACTTCTGATTTTATTTGTTTGCATCTTCTCTTTTTTCCTTAGTCTAGATAAGGATTTGTCAATCTGTTTATCATTTCAAGAAAACAACTCTTAATTTCACCATTATTTTCTATGTATTTTCTGGTATATAATTTATTTATTTCTGCTCTGACCTATATTATAGCCTTCTATTAATTTTGGACTTAGTTTGCTCTTTTTTTTCTCTACTTCCTTCAGTTATAAAATTAGTTATTTATTTGAGATCTCTCTTATTTTTTATGCATGCATTTTTACTATATTCTTCCCTCTTAGAACTATTTTCCTTGATTATATATGCTTTTGCATATTGTGTGTCCATTTTATTTGTCTCAATTTTTTTTTTAATTTCCCTTTCCATTTTATTTTTGACCCATTGATGATTCAGGAGAATGTTGTTTAATTTCCATGTATAGTGTTTTTTAGTAGTTCCTCCTGTTCTTGATTTCTAGTTTCATACCATTTGGTTGAAAAGATACTTGATATGACTTCAGTCTTCTTAAGTTTGTTAAGACTTATTTTGTGGCCTAACTTATAATTTATCATGGAGAATGTTACATGTGCAATTCAGAAAAATATATATCCCTCTGCCTTTGGATGGAGTGTTGTGTACATGTCTGTTAGTTCTATTTGAAGGAAAGTGTAGTCTAAGTCCAATATTTTCTTATTGATTTTCCACCTAGATAAACTATAGCTGAAAGTGGGATATTAAAGTACTCTACTGTTATTATGTTACCATCTATCTCTCCCCTCAGATCTATTAACATTTGCTTTATAGATTTAAGTGCTCTGATATTGTGTCTATATATATTTATAATTATTATATGTTCTTGATCAATTGACCCTTTATCTTTATGTAATAAAATTTAATTTTACAGTTTTTTACTGAAAGCCTGTTTTATCTGATATAACTATAATTACCCCTGCTCTCTTTTGGTGTCCATTATGTGGAATACTTTTTTTATGCCTTTACCTTAACCTATGTGCAATCTTAGATGTGAAGAGGCAGCATGTATTAGGGTCTTGTTTGGTTTTGTCCATTCAGCTACTCATCTTTTGATTGAAGAAATTTGTCCATTTACCTTTGAGGTAATTATTAATAAGTAAAAACTTACTTGCCCATTTTGTGGGTTTTTTGGTTGTTTTATGGATCCTTTATTCCTTTCTTCCTCTCTTCTTGTCTTCCTTTGTGATTAGGTAATTTTCTCCAATGGTGTGCTTTGATTCTTTACTTTTTAATTTTTGTGTATTCACAATAGGTATTTGTTTGTGAATACATAAGTGTCACATAAAACGTCTTATAGTAGGCTGTATTATGTAGATAACAACATAACTTTGATTGTATTAAAAAAACTCTATTCTTTAACTCCACTTTAGCTCCACTTTTGTTTTTATGTTCTTGATGTCACAGTTCAAATCTTTTTTATATTGTGTATTTATTTACAAATTATTGTGGCTGTTACTATATTACCAGCTTTGTCTTTAAGCCTTTATATTAAAAATTTAGTAATTTACACACCACGATTGGAGTGTTAGAGTATACTGAATGTGACTGTGTACTTACTTTTACCATTGAGTTGTATATTTTCATACATATTTGTGTTACTAATTAGTGTATTTTTATTTCAGTTCAAACAACTCCATTCAGCATTTCTTATAAGAAAGATCTGGTGGTAACGAACTACTTCAACTTTTGTTTGTCTGAAAATGTCTTAATCACTCCTACATTTTTAAAGACAGCTTTACCAGGTAAGGTATTCTTTGTTGGAGATTTAAAAACAAATCCTTCTGCACTTTGAATATATAATTCCACTGGCACCTGGCCTGTAGGTTTATGCTGAGAAGTTCATTGCTAGCCTTATTGAGTCTACCTTGTATGTGATATGTTCTTTTTTTCTTACTCTTTTAAATATTCTGTCCTTGTCTTCAATTTTGACACTTTGATTTTAATATATCTTGATATACTCTTCTTTGATTTGAACTTGATTGGAGATCATTAACTTTCTTTCACCTGAATATTTTTATCTTTCCCCAGCTATAAACACTTTTCTGCTATAATTTATTTTAGTAAAGTTTCTTCTCTTTTTCTAAACTCCTTATTCCTAACATAGTTGCTCTTTTGCTGTGTTCAATAAATCCTGCAAGCTTTCTTCATTCATTTTTTTTGTTTGTTTTTTTTGAGACAGAGTCTCGCTCTGTCACCCAGGCTGGAGTGCAATGGCTCAATCTTGGCTCACTGCAACCTCCACCTCCCGGGTTCAAGCAATTCTCCTGCCTCAGCCTTCTGAGTGGCTGGGATTACAGGTGCGTGCCACTATGCCTGGCTAATTTTTGTATTTTTAGTAGAGACGAGGTTTCACCATTTTGGTCAGGCTGGTCTCAAACTCCTGACCTCATGATCTGCCCGCCTCGGCCTCCCAAAGTATTGGGATTACAGGCATGAGCCACCGCACCTGGCCTGGTTATATCATAAAATTGAAATACTGTTTTATTCATTTATTCTGCTTGCATTCAGTTTTAATGTTTTCATTCCATTCATATATATATATAAAATTTAACTTTTGAGCAATGTAATTAACACAAATGTATTATTTAAAAGTTAAAATTGTATATAAAATATGTATTTAGAAAAGATTAATTCATGCTTCTTCTACTCTGCTGTTACCCACAACTTCTAGGTAACTACTTTTTATCTTCTTCCATTTATTTTAAAAGAATAACCAAATACAAATACATTATATCACTTTCCAATGACTTATGTAGATACTTATCAATAGTGTATGTTGTAAAGCTTTTGAACTTCTGCTAATCGACTAGGTAAAATATACAAGTTTTAGTGTACATTTCTCTTTTTTTAAGCAAGGTATTTTTCCTGTTTATGGGTAATTTGTACCATTTTTTACATTGAAATATGTATGTTTTTCCTTGAAATATGTATGTCTGTGGTCTTTTTATTCATCATCTCTATATACTGAGTTTTGTTAATTATTTATTTTTTTGTATATTGTGAAAATTATCCCTTTGTCTGTTATATAAGTTGCAAATAATTTCTCATCCGTTTGTCATTTGTCTTTTGACTTTGCTCACATTGTTTTATTTCCATGCAAATGTTTTTTATTAATATGTAATTACTTTATCTATTTAATAAATTGGATTTATAAATTTAATGTAACCATCCACATATGATGGGTTTTGTTCAGTAAAAAAGATTAAAAGTAATCTAAGCAGAGTTTCTTGTTCATCTAACCTGGCTTCTCTCCTCCCCCATGTCTGTGCCACGCAGACACCTAAATGTATCGTTCTGATGTTTGATTTTAGCTTCCAGTGAAGTTCCTAGAGAAACATCCTGCAAGACAATGTTAATCTCCCATTTTTTATGTCTCAAAGGTTTTACACTCTATTGCCAGCTCACATTGTACTCTCACCAGTTTGGCAAATATATTAGCTGAAATTTTCTTCCCGGTGTCAGGTTATACTACCCCAAGTGAGAAAGGATTCCAGTCTCCTCATGCCTTCAGAAAGACTCTCTCCTTTTATATTGAGCACAGTTTATTCTTTTTCAGTGATTTTTGAAAAAGCATTCAATTTGAAGTTAGTTTGGTTCCTTTCCTTTTCCCTTATTTGATTTTGTTTTTATTTTTTTTTCAACTTCTATTTTACATTCAGAAGGGTACAAGTGCAGGTTTGTTACCTGAGTATATTGCATGATGCTGAGGTTTGTTCACAGACGATATGATTTAGAAAACTCTAAAGACTCCACCAAAAGGCTCCTGGAACTGATAAATGACTTCAGTAAAGTTTTGGAATACAAAATTAATGCACAAAAATCAGTAACATTTCTATATGCCAATAATGTTCAAGCTGAGAGCCAAATCAAGAATGCAATTCCATTTAAAGTATCTATGAAAATAAACCTATTTTAGGAATACGACTAACTAAGGAGATAAGAGATCTCTATGAGGAGAACTACAGAACACTGTTAAAATAAATCATAGATGACACAGACAAATGGAAAAGCATTCCATGCTCATGGATTGGAAGAATCTGGTTCCCTTTGGCTGTAAGGGTGGAAGTGACACTTTTTCCTGTCTCTACATTCTGAGACAGAAGACAGAAACTCCAGGATAATCTCTTTTAATATCTTCTCTATTAAATAATAATGTAAAAAAGATGGTTAAACTCCTAGAATGACTACTGAATACATGCATATACTGTACTTCTTCAGTATCCATGAGATATTGATTCCAGAACCCCCCACAGATACCAAAACCTGTGGATACTCAAGCCCTTTATATAAAATGGCATCTTATTTGTGTGTAACTTACAAATGTCCTCCTGTACACTCTAGATTACTTATAATACCTATGTAAATACTATACAAATAATTGTTATACTGTATTTGTATTTGCACTATCCTTTATTGTTTTATTGTTATTGTTTTGTTTTTACATTTTGAATATTTTAGATCCATGGTTTGTTGAATCCATGGATGTAGAACCCACACACAAAGAGAGCTGACTGCTCTCTCTCTCTCTATATATATATATACATACACACACACATACATATATATATATACACAAACACACACACGTACATACACACATACATATATAATATCTATATCTACAAATATGTATACTAATATGGTTTGATCTCCATATTGTAAGAGGTACTTATATAGATAGAGCTCAATATTAGAAGTGGATAGCAAGTTGGAGAACACTGTACAAACATATATATTTGATAAAATGTCATTCTACATATATATATATAAAATATTGTACCACATATACCATATGTCTGTATATAAATGCATAGACTATTAATAATCTAAATCATGCTCACAAAATGTAAAATAGTAGTTAGATCTAGGGAAATAGGAAGTAGTCTGAATGAGGAAGTAGTCAAAGTGGACATCCTTTTTCTTGTACACTATAACTGATAACTTTAAAAAAGAGAGAAAAATTGTTTCCAGATATTACTTCTATTTATATTATCTGTGGTGATAGTACAGGTGATAATAAGAACAAAACAGTATGGATATTTGTTGTAGATGTAGACAAGCTGGTTTTAAATTTACATGAAAGTTGAAAAGAATTAGAAAGCCAAAAATGTTTTGAAAAAAAACAAAGTGGATCACTCACACTACCTAAGTTTATTTTATAAAGCTAGTATAACCCAGACAGCACGGTACTGTAAAAGGAAAGACACATAGATCAATGAAACAGTAAAAAGTATAGAATTAAAACTACACAAATGCAATCAATTGTTTTTTGACAAATGCAAAGGCGATTTGATGGAGAAACAATCAACTTTTCCAGATTATGATATTGGGGCAATCAGATATTCATATACAAAATAAATCAAAAATCAGACTAAATCTCTCTTTCAGGACTAATGTAAAAATTAACCCAAAATAGATTATAGATATAAATATACACATGAAACTATAAGAAAATAAGAAAATTGATATGACCTTGGATTAGATATATAGTCCTTAGATATGACACCAAAATAAAAATTTGTAAAAAATAAATTGAAAAATTAGACTTAAAAAAATTGAAAATAGAAAAACTCTTGTCTGCAAAAGCATTTATTAAGAGAATGAAAGGACCATTTATGGATCAGAAGAAAACATTTGCAAATCACTTATCAAAGGACTTGTAATCACAGAAATAAACAGGCCTATTTAAAAAACACATGGACAGTCTAGGTGCAGTGGTTCATGCCTGTAATTCTAGCACTTGGGTATACTCAGGCCAAAGGACTGCTTGAGGCCAGGATTTTTTGAGATTAGCCTGGGCAACATAGTAAGACCCCATCTCTACAAAAAAATTAAAAATTAGTCAGGCATGATGCTGTTCTAGTAAGTAGTGAGTAGTAGTTCTAGCTACTCAAGAGACTGAGGTGAGAGGATCACTGGAGCCCAGGAGTTTGAGGGTGCAGTGATCTACGATTGCAGCACTGCACTCCTGCCTGGGTGACAGAGGAAGATTCTATCCTTAATACATACATGGACAAAAGATGTTAAAAATCATTCAAAAGGGAGGATATAAGTATGGCACATGAGCATATGAAAAGATGCTCAACATCATTTGTCTTTTTGGAAATGCATATAAAATGGCAACATGGTACCATTTTTAAAAATTGCTTGAAGAAAATTGAAAAAAAATGCTGACAGGTGTGAGAAGTGACTGGAATTCTTGTACATTGCTGATGGAAATGTAAAATGATGTATTTGGAAAATAATTTGTCAGTTCCTCATAAAGTTATGCTTACTTTACCATTTGACATAGGATTATTTTTTTCAATGATTTGTCCAGATGAAATAAAAATGCATGTCATGCAAATACTTATACAAAAAGTTCATAGCAATTTTATTTTTGTTCTTTAAACCTGGAAGCAAACCAAGTGTCTTTCAATAAAACTAGAATGTTTTTGATGTACACAAATACATACAAAATGATGTTGTGTATATATATATATAATGGAATACTATTCATCAATAAAAAGAAAAGATGATAGTGTTATCATTTAACACAGTAGTTCCATTTCTGCATATGTGCCCAAGAGACACAAAAACATGTTCACAAAAAACTTGTAATGAATGTTCATTGCAACGTTATTCATAATAGCCAACGATTCTTAAAAATTGGACGCCATTCAAATGTCCATGAATTGATTGATAAATGGCAAAATAAAAAGGAGTTTATCCATACAATGGAATGTAATTTGGCAATTAAAAATAAATGAAGTACTTACACATGCTATACATGGATGGAACTTGAAAACATTATGCATCCTATGTGAAAGAATCAGCCACATATTGGATGATCCCATTTATATGAAGTGACCAGGATAAGCAAATCCATAGAGAAAGAAAAATTGATGGCTTTTCTCAGAGCTGTGAGTTTCATGAAGGAAAAAGGGGGGAGGGTGTGAGAAGAAAGGGGAGTAACTGCTAATGTTTACAGGGTTTTCTTGGGGGCTGATGAAATTTTCTAAAATTGATTGTGAGAATTGTTGCACAACTCTATACATAGACTAAAAAATGCTGAATTGTACCCATTAAATAGGGGGATTGTATCCTGTTTGAAACTCAGTAAAACTTCTAAAACAATAAATGCAATTTTGATAGATGCAACAATGTAGTTAAGTCTCAAAGGCATTACTGAGTTAATAGGGTTGATCCCAAGAGAACACTCTTTTAAAGTAACATATCATAGAATTTAATTTAGGTGACATTCTTGAAAAGATCTATGGTGATAGAGAACAATTCATTGTTTCCAGCGGTTAGGTATTAGGGGAGGGCTTTATGACAAAAGGACGGCATGAGGAAATTATTTTGGGTGATAAAACTGTTCTGTATCCTGCTTGTGGTGGTGGTTACACAAATCTAATCATGAGTTTAATATCATAGATTTATGTAACGAAACAAAATGTTTCTGCTACATAATTTTTTTAAAGTAAAATGGAGAGAAACATGACACAAAATATCAATATGCAGAAGAGAAATTTTATGTTTTTCTTATCTGAGGGTAGTATTTTTTTAATCTTTTTACACTTTTAAAGTATTTATCTTATGTACCCAATGAATACCTACTTAACGAGAAGTTGTCAAACATCCACTTCACTCGGTAAGGGCATCTTACCAAAACTAGCCCAAGGAAACAAAAACAAAAAAGACTTTCCTGAGTCCATCCTGGGCATCTTGACATGTAACTAGGTTTTTGACACCTGACTGGGCTTCTGTATTCTGCACCCAGAAGCTCTTAATGGCTCTTCTGACATAGTAAGTGTTACTCAATGCCAGCCTCACTGAATACCTCAACCACTAATCTGCCCATGTGTCTTATTCTGAGTGGAACATATCCTATTTCCACTATTAGAGTCTTAAAGGTAAAGAAAAAGGATGTATACTACAAGTTTTAAATCCATCTTATTATCCAACTAAGGAAATTAGATGATCAGTTTATCTTAGCTCAATAATTAAGTTATGTCTGCTCCAAAATCTCTTTAAAAATTATATTAGCATTAAGACTGAGAAGATAGTTGGTGGAATTAAATACTTGTAGTACCACTCCCATCTTATTCCTTTCTAATATAGGTAAGGTCTGATTTTGTCAATGTTTTTATACCTCTCACTGAATAAAGAGGATTACCATTTCTAAAATTGATTAATTTTTCCTTGAACTATACTTTGTACCTTATAGATTCTTGGAAGTAATGTAAACATGTGATTATGCTGACTTTATCGTAAGGTGTACATCCACTGATGTGAGTTTAAACAAATCTATTTAGATGTATGTTCATATAAGTATCTTGTGTTGACTAAATTATAATGGAAATAGCATAATACAGTGGACTACCTTAGCTATCTTTTTCCAGAATTTCAGTTTCCTCATGTGGCAAAATGGTGGTAACATATCTACCTGGCCTGCCTACCTTACAAAATCATTGTCTCAATGTTTTTAGTAATATAGTATGTGACCATTCATTCAGTCACCTTTGCCAGAAGCTAGGGCCTCATAATGGAATCTACTTTTTCATTCAATCCTCTAAAACCATGAGATCAGGCATAAGAAGGTATGATCTCAATGTCCTAAGACTATCACCTGCCCATACACTCCTCTGCATTCCTTTGCACGCTCAGATAAGGGCTTCATTCTTATATGGATTACTATAACTTTCTATCTGAATATCTTATTGCATTTTTTTTTTTTTTTTTGAAACGGAGTCTCTCTCTGTCACCCAGGCTGGAGTGCAGTGGCACGATCTTAGCTCACTTCAAGCTTCACCTCCCGGGTTCACGCCATTCTCCTGCCTCAGTCTCCAGAGTAGCTGGGACTACAGGCACCTGCCACCATGCTCGGCTAATTTTTTGTGTTTTTAGTAGAGACGGGGTTTCACCATGTTAGCCTGGATGGTTTTGATCTCCTGACCTCTTGATCCACCCGCCTCGGCCTCCCGAAGTGCTGGGATTACAGGCGGGAGCCACCGCGCCCGGCCTGAAATTTTTTACAATCACAATAATCTCCCATTATTACCCCCATTCTATCTTCACACTGATGACATGATGGTCTTCCTAAAGCAGATATCTAACCAGGTCTTCCGATCCCTTTAAATTCCATCAAAGTCTCCTTCTTGAGATAAAGCTCAAACCCCTTATACTAATCACGATATAAAATATAATAATAATCTGACCTCTGGTTGCCTCTGCAGTTTCATTTTCCACCAATGCCCGTATAAGCATGATTTGTTCAAATCCAAATCAACCACTTGCAATTGAGTAAAGACTGAATCCTATTTCATACCAATGTAGCACAGGTGTTTATATGTTATGCTCAAAATGTCTATCTTGCCTCTCTCCATCTCTCCTTTTGTTTTCCGAATGCCTACAAGTGATTAAAAAATCATAACTAATCTTTGGGAGGCTGAGGCATGGGGGTCACGAGGTCAGGAGATCGAGACCATCCTGGCCAACACGGTGAAACCCCATCTCTACTAAAAATACAAAAATTAGCCTGGCGTGGTTTCGCAGGCATGTAGTCCCAGCTACTCGGGAGGCTGAGGCAGGAGAGCTGCTTGAACCCAGGAGGTGGAGGTTACAGTGAACCGATGTCACACCACTGCACTCCAGCCTGGTGACGGAGTGAGACTCAGCCTCAATAATAATAATAATAATAATAACTAATGAAGTTAAAAGTACTATAAAGAATTTCCTGACCACCATGCTAAGGTAGAGGACTCTTATCTTTACTTCTTGAGTACTTTATCATAGCTCTTATTATAAGCTCTTATTATACAGACTTACTGCCTTTCTTCCCTCACCACACTGTAATCTTCACAAAGGAAGCATTACCTCTTTTTTTACCTGTGTATCTAGCACATGACATAGTCGTTTGTATACTACAGGTACTCTATAACTTTTGATTGAATAAATGTTATATGTAAAAGTATTTTATCAACTACAAAAAATCATCAGAATATAAATCACTGTGATCATTACTACCCACAAGTTAAATGTTAGGATGGTATAATATTTTAGTCCTCTTCCTAAATATGAGAGACTTTTCTTGACCAAAACTGCTAATAATGCCATAAAACAGGTTCTGGCTAAATAATATAAAGTATTGGGATCTCATCTCAGATATGCTACTTACTCATTTGTTGTCTGATTTTGGGGAAAATACTTAATCTCTGTGAATCACAATAACATCTGCAAACTGGGAATATTAACTATTAATTTACAAAGTTATTATTAGATTTATACATATTTACATATCACTGGATGTGTCATATAGGCAAATGAAGTTGGTATAGTTTCTCTTTATTTGAAATATAATATCTAGGCACACATGAAATTGTAGCTGCTATTATTGTTATTCTTATTTAAAAATAAATTTAGAGGACTAAATAAGAAGGTTTCTTCACATTTGCGTGGCAACTTTATATTCCATGTATATTTGTGGCTTGGGGCACTGTTCATAAAACAAAAATATATGGTACCAGATACTGTGTGCTGCCAGATGTCACATTCTATCCTTAAAATATAAGGAGAGAAAAAAATCTGTGGAGAGCCGAATCAAATCATCTGTATTATTTATTGATATACATGCTACTCTCCCATATGCACCAATTGGTCTAGGTATTGGGTTTATTTTTATAAATGAACTTGATAAATAATTGAATATGATATTCTGTCCTGTCCCTGCTATTCTGTCCTTGGACTCTTGGGGCATTAAGAATTCATGCCTCTCTTGACCTGCAAGCTTCTACTCCTATTCCAGCAGCCCTGTGTGGTGTCTGAGAAGAGATTTGCCGCTCAAGTTGAATTGTATGGTGTTTTCCTGATATGCAAAATGTTGGCCCAGTGGAAGCCTCTGGACTCATTTTCATTAGTGATTTAAACACATTTGGAGAATTGGATGGGGTGGGCAACAGATTATTTGCCTCTCAGCATGGCAAAACCACCTTTATTGTCACTGCTCACCAGTTCAGAAGAAATTAGCCTCCTAAGTGTGTAGCCTCTTCTGCATTTCAGTGGGCTGATTTGTGCTCATATTGGGTTCCTGGGATCACCAGTGAGGGCCAACTCTCCACTGATTAATCAGGTAAGACAGAGCCCCTAAAAACAGGGCTGGTCCTTCCCCTAAGCACCTTGCTCCAGGACTTTGTTCATTTTGAGTATTTATTTACACCTATCTGGGGTGGTGTGCAGATAAGGGTGTCAGTTAGTTTTTAAAAATATTAAATAAAGCTTGTTTGAATAAGTTATCAGATCCTTTGCTACTTAATTTTTCAGTATCTATGAACCAGCTACTAACATATTAGAAATGGGAAACCTGTTACTCCCCTAATTGGTGTTAATGAATCATGTTTCCTTGTCCTTGAGGTAGGGTTTAGGGCTCAGCTTCACTTAGTCCCCTGGTATGGGCATTGCATTGTCGTAACCTCCTTTAGTTTACAAACTACAGAAAACTCCTGGAAAGCCATAAGGTTAGGTATGTTGTAGTCTGCAGTTAGAAAGTAGTCATTGTGGAAGAGCTGAGACCAGCAGGGATGATATTCCATAATGGTAAATATTGCCCTGGATATTAAAAATACGAGAGAGACAAAGTAACACCACTTAGAGATGGAAAGGTCTGGATAATTTCATACTATTTGCAAAGGATAAAAACAAAAATTTCTTTCCTCACATTGCAGAAAATAATTTAGTTCTCTCTCTACAGCAGTTACTGTCATTTATCACTGTCTTTCATCCATAAAGAATTTTCCACTAAATAAATTTCTTTAAAGAGCCCAAAATAATACAATGGAACAAAATTGTTCAAAGTCCATTTAAACACCAATCATACTAATTCCCAACTTGTTCCTGAGATTGTTGGAGATCAGGCTTCTGTATTGGGCAGGGCTGTTTAGCAAGTGAGCCAAGCAACAGCAGGGGCTCGGCTATTCAATTCTTCTCTAAGGTCCTGCAGTGATGATAACTGGTCATGGGCTGCCTGTTGGCCTCTGCTGCTGTCTGCCTGCACATCCCTAGTCCTCACCATCACTCCACCCACTCTATTTTTCTGTCCAATTTTTATTTTTTAAACCATATATATATATATATATATATATATATATATATTTTTTTTTTTTTTCCTAGCTCTCATCTATTTTTGATGCACCTGAGGTTTTACTTTGCTGGGAGTGGCAGATTATTATATATTATTATATAGTCTGTCCAATTTTTATTTTTTAAACCATATATATATACATATTATATATATTTTTTTCTAGCTCTCATCTATTTTTGATGCACCTGGGGTTTTACTTTGCTGGGAGTGGCAGATTCCCCAGACACAATTCCCAAAGATTTTGATACAAAGCTGGACGTTGAGGGTTGGTCAAGAAATCTAAACTTTTAATTGGCATTTAAGTTTATTCAGGCACGATGATCTTGGGAACATACTTGGAGCAACATTGCTGTAAGGAAGGAAAACCTGTTATGTTTTTAAATTACTCTATGTATTTAAAGTATACAATATGATGATTTGATATACATATACATCATGAAATTATTATTATAGTCAAGCAAATTAGTATATCCTTCACCCCCCAAAATTATCTTGTGTGTGTGTGTGTGTGTGTGTGGTGTGTGTGTGGTAAATGCACAAGAATCTCCTATCTTAGAAAATTTTTAGTATACAATAATATTAACTACGGTCCTCATGCTGTACATTAGATCACTAGACTTCTTCATCTTACATAACTGCAACTTTGTACCTTTTGATTTACATTTCCTCATTTCTTCCCCTTCTCTGCCCTTGGTAACCAGTGTTCTACTTTCTGTCTCAGTGTGTTTGGCTCTTTCTAAATTCCACATATAAGTGATATCATGAAGTAGTTTTTATTTCTGTATCTGACTTCATTCGTTTGGCATAATGCACTTCAGGTTTATTCATTTTTGCCACAAATGGCAGGATCTCCTTTTTTAAGGCTGGATAATATTTCATTACACACACTTACAATACACACACACACATATGCACATAAACACATACATCACAATTTCTTTTTGCATTCATCCAGTGATAGACTCTTAGGCTGTGTTTTTCTGTCATGGTTATTGTGAATAATGCTGAAATGAACACGGAATTGCATATATCTCTACAAAATATTGATTTCATTTCCTTTGGATATATACCCACAAGTTGGATTCCTGGACCATATGGTAGTTCTATTTTTAATTTTTTGAGGAAGTTCTATATTGTTTTACATGTCTACTAATTTACATTCCCACCAACAGCATACAGTGTTTCCTTTTCTCTATACCCTGCAGTTTGTTATCTCTTGTCTTTGGGATAATTGCCATTCTAACAGGCATGAGGTGGTATCTCATAGTTTTGATTCACACCTCCTGGGTGATTAGTAATGTGGCACATTCTTTTATTTACTTCTTGGCCATTTGTATATCTTCTTTGGAATAACGTTTATTCAGGTTCTTGCTCATTTCTTAATCAGGTTAGTTTTCTTTAATTTTCTTTTGCTATTGAGTTTTGTGAATTTCTTATATTTTTAGATATTAACGCTTGATCATCGGTATGGTTTTCAAATGTTTTTTTCCCCAGTCCGTAGTTCTTCTTTTTATTTTGTGGATTTTTGTTGATTGGTTCCTTTGCTGTGCAGAAGCATGTTAGTTTGATGTGGTCTTACTGGTTCGTTTTTGCCTTTATTGCTTGGGCTTTTGGTGGCACATTTAAAAATTTATTGCCAAGGCCAATGGAAGAGAGATTTTTTCCTGTGCCTTCTATGAATTTAACAGAGCAAATCGGCTTTTTGTTTTTTTTTTTTTGCAATTACTAATTTTGTCAAGATGTTGCAAGATGATTTATATTCATTTGATACTCACAAAACACCTGTGAGTTAGGTATTATTAACTACATTTCTCAGGTGGAAAAAAAAGAAAAAACAAGATTGAGAAACTTTAAGTACTTGCCCAAGGTTACACAGTTAGTGCACAGCAGAGCTGGGATGAAAACCGAAGTTCGTCTGATTCAAAATCCACCTCTTTCCACCACGTCATGCTGCCTCTTCAGGTAAGACGTTGCCAAGATGCTTGCCAATGAACCTGGCAACCACTCATGCTGGCATTCTCCCTCTCTCATTTCTACATCATTCTGTGCCTCCATAAGGACTAAATACCCATATATTTTTGGGCTTTGTCCCAAATAACGTGGGTGAGGCCAAAGAAAATTGAAAATACATTATCTGCTCTCCAGGATTATGGATTTTATTGGCAAAGACAGGTGTCACATGTAACAGTATTTACAAAGAGTAAATGACAATAATGTGATCATGACTTGGGGCTAACTTGGTTTTGAGATAAATAGTGCCCTATTTTTTACTTGAAATTGATGTTGATGTTATGGAGATTTCCTATATAGCAATAATGGCATGTGTCAATGTCAAAAAGTACAAGTTTCTAATTCTGGTTTTACTAGCAAAATCTATAAAATATTGTGTCTCCTAAACTTTACAGAGCACATTACTTCTGAGGGAATCCTTAAAAAATTGAATAGCATTTCACAATTAAAATCATAATATATTCAAGGTAAACATTATGTTAAGAAAATACTGATCACCTTGGACTGAGCTGATGAAAACAGAACCCTCTCTGGCTGCAATTACAGGAAATTAGTCACAGGGAACAAATGCAATTCACATCAAGAAACAGAATCAATGACGCAGTCAGTACAACAACATAGGGTGTTAGAATCTAAGGAACACACAGTAATAAAATGACCTGAAAAATGCTATGAAATAATTATGAATAAAATACAAATTTAGAGTTGAACTCTAAAGGAAGATAAATGTAAGAATGCTAAAATTGAAGCAAGCAATCAAGGCAAAAGCATTAACGAGAAGTGGAAAACCCTAACATTTATAATAAGCTGTAGGGTTTAAAAGCTACAAACTGGTATTCTAACATGCAGACCAGGTGCAAAAAAAAAAAAAAAAATTGGAGTATGAGCCTGAGTAGGGTGAATAAATTAGAATTGAACCCCTTGCATAAATCCTAGGGCTCCAAATTCTCCCCATCATTTTGGGAAAATACTCTGTGGACACTGCATGGGGGTATTGAGATTTCTGCTTGGGAATAAAAATTTATTCCCCAGCTACAGCAGACAACTCTCACCTATAAGCTCTTTCAGGAGATGGCCTCAACTAAAAAGAGCCACTTTGACCAAATGTATACCCCTTTACTGGGCCGGCCCATCTTCAGTGTCTGAGCATAGGATTCAGGAAAAAAAAAAAATGTATAGTCATTCCACCTCCAGGGCTTCTCACAGGAGCAGGCAACTCATCTGTTGATAATGCATAGCTTGAATTTTCCCTCTGTCCAATATTGAGTTCTCTTTCCTTTCATAGGTGTTGATTCCGAGAGCACTGTTAGTATGTCTCTTCCTATGTAATCCCTCCTGCAAAATATGTCTATTAGAGAGCTCAACCCAAAGGGACACACAAGGGTACACACAAGCTTTAATTTTATTTTTTATATTAGAAGGAGAAGAAGAAGAAGAAGAAGAAGAAGAAGGAGGAGGAGGAGGAAGAGGAGGAGGAGGAGGGGGAGGAGGAAAGGCAGGGGGAGGAGGAGGAAGAGGGAAAAGGAGAAGGAGAAGAAGAAGGAGGAAGAGGAGGAAAAGAACAAGAAGGAGGAGGAGGAGGAAGAAGAGGAAGGAGGAGGAGGAGGAAGAAGAAGAAGAAAAGGAATAAGAAGAAGACGACAGAGGAGGAGGAGGAGAAGGTGGAGGAGGAGGTGGAAGAGGAGGAGAAGGTGGAGAAGGAGGAGGAGGAGAAGGTGGAGGAGGAGGAGGAGGAGTAGAAGGAGTAGGAGAAGGAGAAGGAGGAGGAGAAGGAGGTGGAGAAGGAGGAGGGAAAAATAAATGATGTGAAAATAAAATCTCAGGACAAATGCATTGCATTACTTTTGGTCTGATTTCACACTATCCGTTTTCAGTGAGTGAACTAAAGTTATTACATTGATATTAAAGTTGTTCTATGATAAACTGAACCCAAGAAGATACAGGTAAGAAAGTTCTGTCAGGAAGCTTTCATATGTCAGGGCATACAGGACTTTCAAAGAATAAACAGTGTCAATAAAGTTACAGAATCAAAAATTCAATATTACATGAAGGCATTAAAAAACTGACAATGTTTAATTTTATCTCAGTCTTGTATCACTAGAAAACAGCAATGGTCGAGAGATGTTTCCAGTCCTCTGTGTTCTGAGAAATGGCTAACTGGAAAGGACTACTTTGTTGTTGTGTACTCAGAGAAAAAGACCTATGTCTATTTTTCCTCATGACTCCCATAAGGCCACCCTCATTTTCTTTGCGAAGTCACTTATAAGTGTATAATAACTCTGTTGTAACATCCTGAAAAAAATAATATCTTCAATTGTCTGGTGCAGTTTGTCCTTCGCAGTCTTCATACCATGACTCAGGTAGGCTCTGACCCTGCCTTCATAACACAATGAACTCACCTCAAGTAAATGAAGCCTCTTGGCAACTCTTTTTTTGTGCTCCTGAAGGTCTAGAACTCAACAGTGAACTCAGCTCTTTTCATGCTACTGACTCTTTTGTTGGGTGATAAATAATTAATTTTGGGTCCTGATTTTTTACTTGATTTCTGGTGCTAGCGTCTTTTGGCTTTATTATCTAATCATTTGGCTTTTTATGTAAATTGATTGAAGGTTTACAGAGATCTTGTATCTGTCGGCAGAAAGACAGAGAACATGGTTTGTTAATCTTTTTAGTTTGTCTCTTTGTTTATCTTGAGATCAGATCAATTGAGAGTTACATGCCTACCAGGAAGTGGAAGTATATATATGAATTGGTAAGTTTGTATTTCTGTGTTTATGCTTGACAAAGGACTAAAATTTTAGAATTGAAGTTATAAATTTCCTCTCCTGTATATTTTTATGTTTATGTGTCTCTAACATAGAAAGGCCTTCATTTTACGAGTATATAATATTTTCTCTTCTCTAAATATATTTCCAAATTTGATTATATAATCTCTTAAAGAAGTTCTATTCTAGTAGGTATAGAAATAAATAAGCACTAATGTGGCTTGGAAGTTTCAAACTTCCTAAGAAATAATAAAAAAAAAGTTATTCTTGTAATTCAGAAATGTTTTAAAAATTCAAGTTTACATACTTTAGGTGAATCCTTGGCTAGATTAGCTTAATATGTTTTGCTTAATAATTGCAGATGTATCTTCTCTGATTTCTCAGTGTTCAGTATAATACAAAAGTAGATTTTTATTTTACCTACTGATTAAATAAGCTAGTGTTACTTAATAACTAAACTTGTGTTATTTATTAAGTATGCTTAATAAATAAGCTAGTGTTACTTCTATGAAATGCCTAAGATTATTAAAAATGTACGTTTGTAAAATCACGTTAAATCATTATTCATCTTTTTTTTTTTTTTTATTTTGACAGAGTCTTCCTCTGTCACCCAGGCTTGAGTGCAGTGGTGTGGCATGATCTCAGCTCACCGTATTCTCTGCCTCTCGGGTTCATGTGATTCTCCTGCTTCAGCCTCCCGAGTAGCTGGGACTATAGGTGCGTGCCACCAAACCCAGCTAATTTTTGTATTTCTAGTAGAGATGGGGTTTCACCGTGTTGGCCAGGATGGTCTCCATCTCTTGACCTCATGATTCGCCTGCCTCGGTCTCCCAAAGTGCTGGGATTACACCATGATATCATCCTATATATCAGTCTTGCTGTTTTTCCTGATATTAGATAAAAATGGTATAGTTATCAGTCATAAGTTGTTATTTCTAAAAATGTTAAGTTAGTCATATCTTTACTTTTTTAATGTAAATCTAGCATTTTCTAGGCCAGTTATTTTCAATTGAGGATTCACAGCAGTTACCTATTTTTATTTAATATACAGATGTTTAAAAACTACTCATTACTTACTGAACCTCTATACTTGATGTTCTTGATATATTCTAGATATAGTCTTAGTGTATGAATGGTATATTTGTAGCATATTATGTATCAAGATGATTTTATGCTACATTTTAATTTTTTCTGTGTAAAAATTATCTAATGTACAAAATTTAGATATAATATCTACTATTTTGAAAATGGGGTTAATCAATATATTAACAGTTATTTTGCCTAGAGAATTTTTGGATTAGCTTTCTTATATTATTTTGCATGCCACAAAACAACCAGATTTTTCTTGTCAATTGCATTACAAGTTGAGCATCCTCATTCACAAATTCAAAATTGGAAATGCTCCAAAATCTGAAACTTTTTGAGGGTGGATAAGCTGCCACAAGCAGAAAATCTCACATTTGACATCTTTGCTTTCTGATAGTTCAGTGTACACAAAGGGTTTCATGAACTAAATTATTAAAAATATTATATAAATTACCTTCAGGCATTGTGTATAAGGTGTGTATAAAAGATAAATGCATGTTGTCATTAGATTTGGGTCCCTTCTTCAAGATATCTCATTATGCATATGCAAATATTTTAAAATCTGAAAAATCCAAAATCTGAAACACTTCTGGTCTCAAGCATTTTGGATAAGGAATACTCAACCTGGATCCTTGTAATGAACTCTCATCAGAGAATTCACTTACAAAAATAATCAATAATGAGTTTGCTACAGTTATTTTAAATCATTTTTTATCTACAGATAGCTTTTTGTTTGATTGTTTTATTCTCGTTCTCTCCTGAAAGCTCTTGCAATCAGCTACAGGCCAGAGTGCTTCATTTGTGATAACAACTCTCTCAGAGCACCATAGCAAAGTATGCCAGATACTCGTAGGTGCAGGCTTCTAATGGCATCACTTAAATAAGTTTGAAATCATACCAACAGATTAAGTCATGTTTTCCAGGCACTTGGTTGAGAAGCAGATGAATTCATAATGTTGCTAACTCAAGATCTAGGAGGGCAGGAATTAATTACATGGGTTGAATGAAATGATGAGAGATGACCGTTGTTTTTGTTAATGTTCTATTTTTGATATTTCATAAACTCCTCTTTTCATTTAAGTCATTCATGACTATCTATAAGCTATCTATAATCCATAACAAATGAGTAGACTATACTTTTGCACACAAAAATAAAATATTTATAGCTGATACCATTTCTCCCTATTTGATCATTTTCAGAATCATGAGAATTATAGGACTGATTTGGCAATAGTTAAATATTTTCTTAAATACAACACAGAGATAAACTAATGAAACATTTGGAGAATGGTGAAGAATACCCTCAGTTCTGTACTCACATAGCCATCCCTAACACTATTCATTTGTATGTGGATGATTTTTTTTTATCTCAATCTCCTGTGGCTTTTTGCCTGAAGGCATTCCCTGGCCACTGGAGTATGTCTGAACCATGCACAAAAAACTGCAAGTGTCAAAGAATGAATAATGCCCGTGGCAGTAGCCTTCAGTAAATATTATTAGTTGGGAATTTGTGGATAAATGCCACGTTTTGAGTATGTTCAATAATGCCTCCCTAGAGGTCCCTAGTAGTATTGAGCCTCTGTTTCCACAGTAGTAATCTACTTATTATTTTACCCTGTATTAGTTTCCATTCTGTGTTACTCTACTAGGGCTGCCATAACAAAGAACCACAGATTTGATTACTTAAAAAATATAAATTTATTATCTCACAGTTCTGGAGGCTAGAAATCTGAGATCAAAGTGTCAGCAGGGTTGGTTTCTTCTAAAGCCTTTCTCATTGGCTTCTATGTAGCTGTCTTCTTCCAGCATATTCACTTGGTCTTCCCTCTGTATGTGTCTATCGTGAGCTGAATTGTGTACTCCAAAACTCATATACTGAAGCCCTAACTCCCAGTACCTCAGAATGTGACTGTATTTGAACATGTGGCCTTTAAAAATGTGAGTAAATTGAAATGAAGCTGTTATAGTGGGCTCTAATTCAATCTGACTGACATCCTTATAAGAAGAGGGAATTTGAGCACACAAAAAGACATTAGGGATGTTTGTGCACTGAGAAAAGGCCATGTGCAGACACAGTGATAGGAGGCCATCTGCAAGCCAGAAAAAACAGGCCTCAGGAGAAACCAAACCTGCCAACACCTCGATGTTGGAATACTAGCCTCCTGAATTATGAGAAAATAAATTTCTGTTGTTGAAACCAACCACCCAGCCTGTGGTATTGTGTTATGGCAGTCCTAGCAAATAATATTAGGTTAGCCCATTAGTTTCAATGGCAAAAACTGCAAGTACTTTTACACCAACCTAATATATCTGTGTCTTAATCTCCTTTTCTTATAAGGACACCAGTTAGGTTATATTGGAGCTCCTCCATATAATCTCATTTTATCTTAATTATCACTTTAAAGACCCTATCTCCAAATGCAGTCACATTCTGAGATACCAGAAGTTAGAACTTCAACATAACATGAATTTGCAGGAAAATCAATTCAGTTCCTAGCACTTCTCTTCTGAATTTCATGCTCTCCTCTCTACTATTTGTGTTTCCCAGGGATTATTCCCTAAGAAGCTAGCTGCAATTAATGCTTTCTCTCAGACTTTGCTTTTGAGGAGTCTCAAACTAAAGCAAGTGGTTAAAAGGCCTGGGGGAGAAAAGGAAGTTTAAAACATTTTTTGAAAAATTCACAGAACAGGAGACTGGAGAGAATGAGAAAGAGGTATTTAAAAATATAGTGGTATAGAACTTCTAAAAACTAAAGGAAAACATGGTTTTTTAGATTAAGGATTACACTGAGTTCAGAGTAGAATAAACAAAAGCGATCTCTCTGTAAATACATTTTATTAGTTATAGTATATTAAATTGTTCTATAAATAGACCCTAAAATATAATAACAAACTCATAAAACCATCCAGGGAAGGTGCTCTGGGATTATGTGACAATTTATGGACTCCTACTCCTGCCATTCTGCATCTCCACCTTTGCCATGGATTACTGCCATCCATAACTAGCCAGGGGATGGGAAAGGTCAGGAGGAAGACATGGCTACTTTAAAAGCTGATCCATTTAGAGAAGTATATTCCTCAGCCTCACTTAACTGCAAGGGAGGCTGGGAAACATGAACTATTTCTACCTGGCTACAGTATTGTTATCATAAAAGCAGGAAATAATAGATTTTGGTAGACACCAAGGATTTCTGCCTCATGCAACATGATGACATTACAGAATTAAAATTGCAAAGGCAAAAACCAAGACAAACCAAAAAAGAAATACTAAAAGTGTATCATATATCACGAGGAAAAACAGATTACACATCACCCCCAATTAACAATGGTTCAACTTAAAATTTTTTTAATTTATGATATGAAAAGCATTAAACATTCAGTAGAAATCGTTCTTCTAGTACCCATACAACCATTCTATTTTTCACTTTCAGTATAATCAATGAGATATTCAACAGCAGATTTTCAACACTTTATTCTAAAATAGTCTTTATTATAAAATAGGCTTTATGTTAGATTATTTTGCCCAACTGTAGACTAATAAGTGTTCTGAGCACGTTTCAGGTTAACTACGCTAAGCTATGATGTTCAGAAGGTTAGGTTTACCAAATGAATTTTTGACTTACAGTATTTTCAACTTACCAATGATTTATCAGGAAGTAACATGAGGAAAAATCTGTATTTAAAAAGGGGCAGCAATTCAGTGATAAGATAATTTGCGTTAAAATCAATTCTTCAAATCCTGGGTGATAATCTCACTTGTAAATTCTGTACTTAAACAATACTCAAAAGTATGGGTAAAGAATTTATACTAATAAAGAAGTACTATATTAAATATATACTATTGAATGCACAAATGCATAGTAATAATAACAAATTTGGAAGTGATAAAACAAGTTGGTTTAAAAGAGTTGAAAACAATAAATCTTTTTCTATGTAAAGAATTTGTATGCTGTTATATTGATGGGTACTTCTTGTTTCACATGAAAGTGTTCGAATTTTTGTCAAATAATTTTCTGTATTTCTTGAAGTCATTTTATAATAATTCTCCCTTTATATATCAATATATTTTCTCATATTAAATCACTTTTCATTCAACTTAATTCTTCTCATATGTTTTAAATATGTATCAAAAATGGATATCCAATAATCGGGAATAACTTCTATTCTGATATATGTACAAATATTTACAAATAATTTAGCTGTATATTAGACTATAAGAAAATAATAAAAATCGAAACAATAAGATGGCAACCAGAAAAAAAAGGATAATTAATAAATTTTAAATGAACTTCTACTAAGACTCCAGAGTATAAAATCTCCATTAAATACCCTGGGAATAAAAAGAAATAACAACAAAATAGTTATAAAGGGCTTTAAGATGGCTTACTAGGGGGATTGGATGCCTCTCTTTCTCCACAATAAAGAACCAAATTAGCAAGTATATAATAACACTTGAAACAGAGCATTTAAGCTAGTAAACTGGAATTCAACAGAGAAATGAGAGAAAACACTTGAGGCATGGAAAAGAGCCAGGATATGTGGAAGCCTAGATGCTTCCCCAGTGCAGGGAAAGGGTATGTGAGAAATTCACAGTGAACCCATGGTGGACTCCTGCAACTTTAGCTTTAGGAGAATTCCTCAGTCCTCACAGAACCTGAGAATAGTATGGGGAGCTGCCTAGAGACATTGCAATGGCATTGCTCCAGAGAGAGAGAGCTTACCCTTGGTCTCACACATTTCTCAAGTCCTAAGCAATTGTACCATAGTGCCACTTTGACAGCCCAGCACCCATCAGATTGCATCCTGCCCTGGGGCCCAATAGCCTCTGAATCTCCACATGCATGGATTCACACCAATATTTCCCCATGTTCACACAGAGCACTGCAGTAGTACAATGCCAGTCGGACCCATCAGAGTGACAGAGTACCCAGCACTCTAGCACACACACTGTCCTGTACCCCAGGGAATGGGCAGTGCAGTATGCCAGTGAGGCTGCCTTTGGGAAGAAGGGAAGCAAAATGCATGCTCCACAGAGTCTTAGAACCACTTACCTGGAATAGCTGCCACAGATAGGAATTGTGACTTCCCCAGAAGCATGGCTGCCTCATACATACCCTGAAGACAGTCTCTGCTACCATACCCCACAGCTGCTGCTGTTGCCACCAAGGACTGAGGCATACACAACTGGCAGCAATCCTGTCCCAGTCAGTAGCAGAGGACTAGCTTTGCTTGTAGCCTTGCTACTGCTGCTGCCACCACTGCTACCACTGCCAGGGGTGAAAGCACGCACTCCCTAGAGCCTGGTAACTGCCTGCTTATGGTTGTAGCCATTGTCAGCAATTCCACTCCCTTCCAGCAGCAAACTCATAGCGTACTTGCACATATGAGCCTGAGGGCAGGCTCCTCCCACCCCCCAACTTATCACCTCCATTGCTGCAGCCACCTGAATACTCTATCAAGGGGGCCTGGTGATAAAGCTACCCTGCTCAGCACAGCCAGTGCCAGAGTACACCCACTGGGAGTCCTGAGGACAGGCTACTGGGCCACCGGGCCTGGCACGGCCCCCGCTCTCAGTACTCACACAAACCACCCAGGGAACTCAGAATAGTCCCACTCTGTCCACCACTACTGGTAACTGTGCACTCTTCCTGGAGGCCTGAGGATAGGCCCACATAACCTGCTTCTATCTCCACAGATGGCATTCACATGCAAGCACTAACTAGGAGCCTGGGGATTGGCCCACTCAGACCCTCACAGCTAACACTAACACCAGTGTGCTACTTGCAGCACAAGAGTTTTCTCACCACTGCTATTGCCATCATCTATACCAAACACAATACTCTGAGAACCAAGGACCTGCTCACCTACCTGGTCAGCCACTGACACTGGTGGAAACCAAGCAAGCCCTCTCAAGGCCCAAGAATCAACCCCTGTGGACTTGCTAAAACCAGTTCACACATGTGCTGCCTGGGGACCCCAAACCAGGTATGCTCTGCCTGCTGCTACAATCAGTGGGGTCCAAGGACTGGACTACCTGGTTCCTGGTTTCCCTATCCCAAGCAACACCTCACCACAGCCTCCAAAAACAGCTGCAGCCTACAATACTATGGAAATTATAGACACTTTTGACACTGTTTACAGCTAAAGAAATCATACAGAAACTACAGTACTGCACATAGCCACAATCAAACTTATAGTTTCCTACCCAAAAATCATCATAGATATATCTTCAGGAAAAATTCTTACCCTTCACAAGCTAATCCAAAAAACTGGAAGTGACTATTACAGTAGATGTGCAGATATCAACATAAGGACACAAGAAATATACCAAAAAAAAAAGAAAAAAATATGACACCTGTAAAGGAACACACAATAATACTTCAGCAACAAATTTGAATAAAAAGAAAATTTATTAGCTGCTAGAAAAATTAAAATATTAAAGAAGCTCAGTGATATATAAGAGAACACAGATAAATACGAAGAAACCAGAAAAACAATTCAGAATATGAATGAGAAGTTGACTAGAAAGATAGATAATATAAAAGAAAGACCAAAGAGAAACTCTGTAAGTGAAGAATTAAATGATTGAAATTTAAAAATTTATTAAAGGGTGTAAACAATAGTCTAGAACAGGCAGAAGAAATAACTCAGAGATTGAACAGAGGTCTTTTGAAATAACTCAGTCAAAAGAAAGTTAAAAAAAAAAAGACTGAACAAAACCTACATAACATGTGGTACACCAAAAAGTGACTAAATATATCAATTTGTGTGTTCCAGAACATGAAGAAAAGACAAATGCAAGTTTAACAAATTAATAGCTGAAAACTTTCCAAGTCTAGCAGGAGATATGTACATCCAGATACAAGAACCTTTGAATTTCAGAAATAGGTATAATACAAAAAGATTTTTTCAATGGCACATCACAGTCTAAGTGTCAAAAGACAAAGAGAGAATTCTAAAAACCACAGGAGAAAAACACCCATTCATATATAAGGGAACCCCCATCAGAGTAATAGCAGATTTCTGAGCAGAAACCTTACAGGCTAGAAGAGAAGGGATGATACATTGAAATTGCTGGGGAAAAAAACAGAAAAAGGCTGGTAGCCAAAAATATTATATCCAGCAAAGTTATCCTTTATCAATGAAGAAGAAATAAAGTGTTTCCCAGTAAGCAAAAACTGACAGCATTCATCACTACTAGACCAGCCCTACCAGAAATGCTTAAGGGAGTCCTACACTTGGAAGTAAAAAAAAGATATCTGCCATTAGGAAAACATATGAAAGTATAAAATTCACTGATAGAGCAAACACACATGAGGAAAAGGAACTCAAATGTTACTACTTCAGAAAACCCCAAGCCACAATGAAAACAACAGAGAAAGAGAAGAACAAAGAAAATACAAAACAACCAGAAAACAATTAACAAAATATAGAAATAAGTCCACCTATCAGTAATAATCATGAATGTAAACAGCTTAAATTTTACACCTAAAAGATATAGTCTGGCTGAAAGAAAAATAAACAAAAACATTACCTAATGATATGCTTCCTATAAGAAACTCACCTGTAAAGACACATATAAATTTAAAGAGATAAAAAAGATATTCCAAACAAAGGAAAACTAAAAGTTACCAGGAGTAGCTATACTTATATCAGATAACACAGAATTTAAGTCAAAACAGTAAAAAGAGACAAAAAGAATCATTATATAGTTATAAAGGGATTAATTCAGCAAGAGGATATAACTATAAATATATATGCACCCGACAATGAAGCACTGAGGTATATAAAGCAAATATTATTTAACCTAAATGGAGAGGGCAACTCTAATACAATAATAGCTGGGGACTTCAACACCCCACTCTCAGCATTAGAAAGATTATCTAAACATAAAATAAACAAAGAAACGTGTGACTCAAACTACACTTTAGACCAGATGAAACTAACAGATATTTAAAGAACATTTTATCCAACAGCTGTAGAAAACATATTCTTCTCATCAGCACATGGAATATTCTCCAGAATAGAACACATGTCAGACCACTAAGAAGACTCAATAAATTTAAAATAATAAAAATTGTATCAAGTATCTTCCCAGACTGCAATGAAAAACAACTAGAAATCAATATATAGCAAACTTTCAAAATGCAAAAATACATGGACATTTTAAAAACATGCTCCTGAATGACCATTGTGTCAAGTTATTTATTTCAGCAATGCAAGGATGGCTCAAATTTGTAAATCAACAAACATGAAACATCACATCAACAGAATAAAGGGCAAAAAACATATGATAATCTCAATAGATAACGAAAAAACAGTCAATGAAGTCCAACATTTTTTCATGATAAAAATTCTCAACAAACTAGTTATAGAAAGAGCATACTTCAACATAATAACAGCTATATATGACAAACTCACAGCTAACATACTGAATGAGGAAAAGCTGTAAGCCTTTCCTCTAAGAAAGGAAACAAGACAAGGATGCTCATTTTCATTATTCCTATTCAACATAGTATTGAAAGTTCTGGCCAGAGCAATCAGGCAAGAGAAAGAAAAGACATCCAAATTGGAAAAGAGAAAGTTAAATTGTTCCTCTCGCAGATGACATAATCTTATATTTAGGAAAACCTAAAGACTCTACCAAAAAACTCTTAGTTTGATCAACAAAGTCATCAGAAAAGTTGCAGGATACAAAATCAAAATATGAATATCAATTGCATATCTACATATCAATAATGAAATAGCTGGAAAAGAAACCAAGAAGGCAATCTTGTTTACAGTTGCTACAAAATAAAATCTAGGAATAAATATAAGAAGATGAAAGGCCTCTGCAAGGAAAATTACAAAACACTGATGAAAGAAACTGAAAAACACACAAACAAATGGAAAGACATCCCATACTCACGGATTGGAAGAATTAATATCATTAAAATGCCTATACTGCTCAAAGCAATATACAGATAAAATGCAATCCCTATCAAAATGCCAACATCATGTTTCACAGAATTAGAAAAAAAATTCTAAAATTCATAAAAAATGAAAAAAATCTTGAATTGCCAAAGCAGTTCTGAGCAAAAAGAACAAAAGTGACTTTATGATATATTACAAAGCTATAGTAACCAAAATACCATGATATTAACATAAAAACAGATATAAACCAATAGAACAGATTAGAGAACCCCAAAATAAATCAACAGATTTACAGCCAACTGATTTTCAACAAGGTGGCCAGAAGATACATTAGAGAATGGACACCCTCTTCAATAAATGCTGCTGGGAAAATGAGATATCCATATATATAATAATTCAACTAGATTCCTACCATTCACCACATACATAAATCAATGTGAAATGCATTAAATCACTTAAACATAAGCTCTGGAACTAAAACTACTAGAAAAAAACATAGAAAAAACTACAGACTATTTGTCTAGGCAAACATTTTATAGATAAGACCTCAAAAGCATGGGCAACAAAATTAAAAATATACCAATGGGACTATATTAAACTAAAAAGCTTCTGCATAGCAAAGGGAACAATCAACAGAGTGGAGAGACAACCTGTCAAATGGGAGACAATATTTGCCAACTATTCAACTGACAAGGGATTGATAATCAGAATATAAAAGGAACACAAACAACTCAAGAAAAAATAGTAAAAAGTACATTTAAAAGTTTGCAAAGGATATAAATAGATTTTTCAAAAGAAGACATACAAATGCCCAACAGATATATGGAAAACATATTCAATATCGCTAATCACCAGAGGAATGCAAAACAAAACGACAATGCTATATCATCTTACCCTAGTTAAAATGGCTATTAGTAAAAAGAAAAAAAAAACAGATACTGGTGAAGGTGTAGAGAGAAAGGAACTTTTATACACTGTTGGTGGAAATGCAAATTATTCATTATGGAAATGGTGTAGTGATTTCTAAGAAACCAAAAAATTAGAACTACTATATGATCCAGCAGTATCACTCCTGGGTATTTATGCTAAGGAAAAAAAATCAGTATATTAAAGGGATACCGGCACTAACAAGTTTATTGCAGCACTACTCACAGTAGTAAAGAACCTAAGTGTCCATCACCAAATGAATATTTAAAGAAAATGTGGTATATATACACAATGAAATATTTCTTAGCCATAAAAAAGAATGAAATTCTTTCATTAATAGTAACATGGATAGAATTAAAGGTCCTTACATTAAGTGAAATAAGCCAGGTACAGAAAAACAAATTTTGGATGTTCTTCCTCTTTCTTTGGAGCTACAAAAGTTGATCTCATAGAGAAAGATAGATAGAATGATAGAAACCAGAGGCTTGGAAGGGTGTGTGGGGGTGAGAGCAGGATGAAGAGAGGTTATGTAATGTGTAAGAACACAGTTTAAACAGAAGGAGTAAGTTCAAAGTTTGGTTGCATTGTAGGGTGACGGTTTTTAACAATAGTATTTTATGTATTTCCAGATAGTGGAAGAGAGGACTTGAAATGTTTCCAATACATGGAAATAATGAATATTTCAGATGATGAATACTTCAAACCTTCTGACTTGAGCATTACATAGTCTATGTTTGTAGGAAAATTCCATATATGTATCCTCATATAAATGTACAAGTATTATATATAAATAAATAAATTTTTAAATAACAGATTTTTAAGAAAATTATAATAACAGAAACATGCTTAAATCAATGGACTAGTGTTAAAGCAGTGCTTGGAGGAAATTTTCCACAATTAAATATCTGTATCAATGAATTAAAAATAAATTAAATATCTAACCCAAAAATCCAAAATAGAACAAAATGATAAATGAAAAGGAAACGAGAGGAATATATTAAGAAAAATAAAAGCAGAAATCATTAGTAGAAAAATACACAGGTTTGGCTGGGCGTGGTGGCTCTCACCTCTAATCCTAGCACTCTGGGAGGCCAAGGCGGGCAGATTGCCTGAGCTCAGGAATTTGAGACCAGACTGGGAAACATGGTGAAACCCAGTCTCTACTAAAATACAGAAATATAGGCACATGCCTGTAATCCCAGCTACTGGGGAGGCTGAGGCATGAGAATTGCTTGAACTTGGAAGGAGGAGGTTGCAGTGAGCCGAGAACTCCAACTCAAAAAAAAAAAAAAAAGAAAAAAAAAGCTTTATAGACAGATTCGCAAGGCAATTCTTTCAAGTAGATAAATATCAGATAATCCAAAGAGGGGGGAACAGCATAAAAACGTCCAAATTTTTATATAAAGCAAATATATTTGGAAACAAAAACATGATCAAGAATTAATATAATATAAAACTAATGACAAAATTCAAATATTAATATTGTTGTAAAAATATGAACAAAAATAATGTAATACCTTATTAAAATAATTTTGAAAAAGTGAGATTGATTTTAGGAATGTCAGATTTTTTTTTTTAATATTAGGAAATCCTATACAGGTTGGGCATTCATAATCCAAAAAATTCAAAATCCAAAATGCTCCAAAATCTTAATTTTTTTTTTTTTTTTTGAGATGGGTCTTGCTTTTTCACCCAGGCTAGAGTGCAGTGGAATAATCATGGCTCACTGGAGCCTCAACTTCCAGGCTCAAGTGATCCTCCCATCCAGCTCAGACCACAGGCATGTGCCTTTATGCCTGGCTGATTTTTTGTTGTTGTTGTTCTGTTTTGTTTTGTTTTGTAGATGTCATCTTGATATATTGCCCAGGCTGGTCTCAAATGTCTGTCCTCAAGCCACCCTCACCCTCTGTTTCTCAAACTGCTTGGATTACATGCATGAGCCACTATGCTCAGCCTGTAACTATTTAAGTGATAACATGATATTACAAGTGAAAAACTCCACACCCGGCACCCCTGTTTTCTGATGGTTCAATGTAAACAAACGGTTTCCCGAAAAAAATTATTACAAATATTGTATAAAACTAACTTCAGAGTATGTGTATAAGATTTATATTTAAAAAATTTCATGTTTAGATTTGGTTCCCTTCCTTAAGATATTTCATTATGTATGTGACTATTTCAAAATTTAAAAAATATCTGAAATATTCTGGTCCCAGATAAAGGATATGCAACCTGTAAAATACTTTATTATATTAATAAATTTATTTAGAAAAAATAGTCATCCTTATAAATTCTAACAAAGTATGTGACAAAAGTTAATATACATTCAGCATAAAATAATTCACTAAAATACTTAGAAAGAACTTAAGAACTATGACAAACATATTAGAAAATCTTTACCATAAAGTCTTTGCCTAAGCCAATATCCAGAAGGGTTTTTGTGATGTTATTTTCTAGCATATTCATGATTTCAGATCTTAGATTTCAGTCTTTGATCCATCTTGAGTTAATTTTTACACAAGGTGACAGATGAGGATCCAGTTTTATTCTTCTACATGTGGCTTGCCAATTGTACCAGCACCATTTGTTGAATAGGGGCATCCTTTCCCCACTTCATGTTTTTGTTTGCTTTCTCAAAGATCACTTGGCAGTAAGTATTGGCTTTATTTCTGGGTTCTCTATTCTGTTCCATTGGTCTATATGCCTATTTTTATACCAGTACTATGCTGTTTAGGTGACTATGGCCTTATAGTATAGTGCAAAGTGAGCTAATGTGATGCCTCCAGATTTGTTCATTTTGCTTAGTCTTGCTTTGGCTATGTGGGCTCTTTTTTGGTTGCATATGAATTTTAGGAGTTTTTTTTTTGTTCTGTGAAGAATGATAGTGGTATTTTGATGGAAATTGCATTGAATTTGTAGATTGCTTGTGGCAGTATAGTCATTTTCACAATATTGATTCTACCCATCCATGAGCATGGGATGTGTTTCCATTTGTTTGTGTCATCTATGATGTCTTTCAGCAGTGTTTTGTAGTTTTCCTTGTGGAGGTTTTTACCTCCTTGTTAGGTATATTCCTGAGTATTTTAATTTTCTGCAGCTATTATAAAAGGGGTTTCATTCTTGATTCTCAGTTTGGTTGCTGCTGGTGTATAGCAGGACTACTGATTTGTGTACATTAATTTTGTATCCTGAAATTTGTTGAATTCATTTATCAGTTCTAGGAGCTTTTCAAGAGATTCTTTAGGGTTTTCTAGGTATGTGATCATATCATCAGCAAACAGTGACAGTTTGACTTCCTCTTTACCGATTTAGATGTCTTTTATTTCTTTCTATTATCTGATTGTTCTGGCTAATACTTCCAGTACTATGTTGAATAGAAGTGGTGAGAATGGGCATCCTTGTTTTGTTCCAGTTCATCTCAGGGGGAATACTTTCAACTTTTCCCCATTCAGTATTATGTTGGCTGTGGGTTTGTCAGAGATGGCTTTCATTACATTAAAGTGTGTCCCTTCTATGCCTAATTTGCTGAGGGTTTTAATCATAAAGGGATGCTGGATTTTGCCAAATGCTTCTTTTGCCTCTATTGAGATGATCATGGGATTTTTGTTTTTAATTCTGTTTATGTGGTGTATTGCATTTATTGATTTGCATATATTAAACCATCCCTCCATCCCTGGTATGAAACCCACTTGATCGTTGTGGATTATCTTTTTGTTATGCTGTCAGATTCGGTTAGTTAGTATTTTGTTAGCTATATTTTGCATCTATAGTCATCAGGGATATTTGTCTGTAGTTTTTTTTGTGTGTGTGGGTGTTATGTCCATTCCCAGTTTTTGTACTAGGGGAATACTGGCTTCATAGAATGATTTAAGGAGGATTCCCTCTGTCTCTATCTTGTAGAATAGTGTCAATAGGATTGGGACCAATTCTTCTTTGAATGTCTGATAGAATTCAGCTGTGATTTCATCTGGTCATTGATTTTTTTTGTTGGCAATTTCTTTACACCATTTATTAACATTTCAATCTTGCTGCTTGTTGTTGGTCTGTTCAGAGTTTCTATTTCTTTCTGATTTAATCTAGGAGGGTGTATATTTCCAGTAAATTTCCCATCTACTCTAGGTTTTCTAGTTTATGCACATGAAGGTATTCATAGTAGCCTTGAATGATCTTTTGTATTTCTGTTGTATCAGTTGTAATATCTCCCATTTCATTTATAATGGAGCTTTTTTTGATCTTCTCTCTTCTTTTCTTGGTTAAACTTACTAATGGTCTATCAATTTATTTATCTTTTCAAAGAACCAGCTTTTTGTTTTGTTTATCTTTTGTAATTTTTTTTTTGTTTCAATTTCATTTAGTTCTGCTTAAGACTTCATGACCAAAAACCCAAAAGCAAACACAATGAAACAAAAATAAATAGATGGGACTTAATTAAACTGAAAAGAAAAAGAAACAATCAGCAGAATAAACAGACAACCCACAGAGTAGAAGAAAATCTTCACAATCTGTACATCTGACAAGGGACTAATATTCAGAATGCAAGGAACTCAAATCAGCAAGAAAAAAGCAAATGATCCGATCAAAAAGTAGGCTAAGGACATGAATAGAAAATTGTTAAAAGAAGATATACAAATGGCCAGGAAACATATGAAAAAAATGCTCAACATCACTAATGATCAGGGAAATGCAAATCAAAACCACAAGGCCATACCACCTTACTCCTGCAAGAAGTAATCAAAAATCAATCAAGTCAAAAACATCAAAAATAATAGATGTTGGTGTGGTTGTGGTGAAATGGAACACTTATACACTACTGGTGGGAATCTAAACTAGTACAACCACTATGGAAAACTGTGTGGAGATTCCTTAAAGAACTAAAAGTAGAACTACAATTGATCCATTAATCCCACTCCTGGGATTGATCTACTAAGAGGAAAGGAAGTCATTATTTGAAAAAGATACTTGCACACGCATGTTAATAGCAGCACCATTCGCAATTGCAACAATATGGAACAGGCCCAAAGGCCCATTAATCAACAAGGAGATAAATAAATTGTGACACACACACACACACACACACACACCATGGAATACTACTCAGGCATAACAAGAAACAAAATAATGGCATTCACAGCAAACTTGATGGAATTGGAGACCATTATTCTAAATGAAGCACCACAGGAGTGGAAAACCAAACATCGTGTGTTCTCATTCATAAGTGGGAGCTAAGCTATGAGGATGCAAAGGCATAAGAATGATACAGTGGACTTTGCAAACTCAGGGGAAAGAGTGGGATGGGGATGGGAAATAAAAGTCTACACACTGGGTACAGTGTACACTGCTCGGGTGACGAGTGCACCATAATCTCAGAAATCACCACTAAAGAACTTATTCATGTAACCAAAAACCACCTGTTCCCCAAAAATCTATTGAAATAAAAAATTAATTAATTATAAAAAGAAAAACTTTAAAACATTCTTGAAACAAACAAAACCATATTCAAGGAAATGGAAAGAAATCTTGTCTTTGTATATAATGACCTAAAATAGGTCAATAATTTTTTAGTTAGTTTATAAGTTAAGCTTAATCTCTCTAAAAATGTCATATTTTATTTTGCAGTTAATGAATTGTAAAGGTTGTATGTATATATTTATCTATATCTATATATATATGAGTCTGAATAACCAGAAATCCTTTTATAAACAAAATGCTACGTTCAAGTAGGAAAAAAAAGGATATTACACAGACTCTGAAAAGAGAAAACAAAGTGCAATAATTGTGCATCAATCAGCAAGCAGGCTAAAGAATTGAAATAAGTTCAGACATAAAACATACACTTGAGTGCATTTAATATTTTGATTTATAGCGCAGTTTTCTTTGAGAAGACAACTTCTCAAAAACACATGATGATTTAGTTATTGGACAACTGAATTATTATTAGGAACAATATAAAACTGTATCTAAATATTACACCATATGTCACATAAATTTCAAATAAATCAGGGGTCTAAATGCAAAAATAAAATCATAGGAGCCAGGCACAGTGGCTTGCTGCTTGGAGGCTGAGATGAGAGGGTTGCTTGAGGCTAGGAGTTTGAGAAAAACCTGGGCAAATAGCAAGACACCATCTCTGGGGAAAAAAAAAAAAAAACTTACAAAGAAAAAATATAGAAATATTAGAGAAGTTGTGAGAGAATTACGTTATTGTCTGGGACAGAAGAAAACATGATTCAAACAAGAGGTTAATAAAAGGAGAAAGATTTGACTACATATTTTTAATGGAAAACTTTTATACAGCAAGAGCACCACATGCAAAGTCCAAGAAAAAAAAAAGAAGCAGAAGATATTTTCAACTTACATCACAAATAAAGAGCTTATATCCTTATATACCAAAACTTCTAAATATCAAGCAAAAATATGTCCAATAATCTAGTATAAGATAGGTAAAACATATAATATTCTATGGAACCCAAATTCTTTTTTTAAACTTTTATTTTAGGTTCAGGGGTACATGTGCAGGTTTGTTATATAAGTAAGTTGCATGTTGTGGGGCTTTAATGTACAGATTATTTCATCACGCAGATAATAAGTATAGTAACTGATAGGTAGCTTTTTGATCCTTACCCCCCTCCCAGCCCCACCCTCAAGTAGGCCTTGGTGTCCATTGTTTCTTTCTCTGTGACCATATGTACCAGATGTGTAGCTTCCACATATAAATGAGAAGATACAGTATTTGGTTTTCTGTTCCTGTGTTAGTTTACTAATGATGATGGCCTCCAGCTCCATCCCTGTTACTGCAAAGAACATGATCTCGTTCTCTTTTATGGCTGTGTAGTATTCCATGGTGTATATGTATAAAATTTTTTTTTTATCTAGTCGACTGTTGATGGGCTTTTAGGTGATTTCTATGTCTTTGATATGGTGAATAGTGCTGTGATGAATGTGTGCAAGTGTCTTTTTAATAGAATGATTTATATTCCCTTGGATATTTACCCAGTAATGGGATTGCTGGGTTGAATGGTAGTTGTAAGTTCTTTCAGAAATCACAAAATTGCTTTCCACAATGGCTGAACTAATTTATATTCCACCTAGCAGTGTATAAGTCTTTTCCCAAAACCTTTGCAGCATGTTATTTTTTGAGTTTTTAATTATAGCCATTCTGAATGGTGTGAGATGGTATCTCATTGTGGTTTTGATTTGCATGTCTATAATGACCAGTGATGTTCAGTATGTTTTTCATGTTTTTTTTTTTTGCCACATGTATGCCTTCTTTTGCAAAGTGTTCATATTCTTTGCCCACTTTTTGATGAGGTTGTTTTGTTTTTGCAAATTATTTTAAGTTCCTTATAGATTCTGGATATTAGATCTTTGTCACATGTGTAGTTTGCAAATATTTTCTTACATTCTGTAGATTGTGTGTTTTCTCTGTCAACAGTTTACTTTGTTGTGCAGAAGCTCTTTAGTTTAATCAAGTCCTATATTTGTCAATTTTTGTTTTTGTTGTAATTGCTTTTGGCATCTTTGTCATGAAATCTTTGCCAGGTCTTATGTCCAGAGAGGTACTTCCTAGTTTATTTTCCAGTGTATTTATAGTTTTAGGATGCATATTTAAGTTTTTAATCCATGTTGAATTGATTTTTGTATTTATGGTGAATTTTATATGGTGTAAAGAAGGGGTCCAGTTTCATTTTTATACATATTACTAGCCAGTTACCCCAGCACCATTTATGGAATAAGGAGTCCTTTCCCCATTGCTTGTTTTTGTCACTTTTGCCAATGATCAGATGGTTGTAGGAGTGTCACCTTATTTCTGTGTTGTCTATTTTGGTCCATTGTTCTATGTGCCTGTTTTTGTACTAGTATCATGCTGTTTTCGTTTTGGCAGACTTGTAGTATAGTTTGAAGTCGAGTAACATGATGCCTACAACTACGTTCTTTTCACTTAGGATTGCCTTGGCTATCCGGGCTTTTTTTTTGGTTCCATATACATTTTATTTTATTTTATTTTATTTTATTTTATTTTATTTTATTTTATTTTATTTTTGAGATGGAGTCTCGCTCTGTCGCCCAGGCTGGAGTGCAGTGGCGCAATCTCGGCTCACTGCAAGCTCCGCCTCCCGGGTTCACGCCATTCTCCTGCCTCAGCCTCCCAAGTAGCTGGGACTACAGGCGCCCGCCACCACGCCCGGCTAATTTTTTGTATTTTTAGTAGAGGCGGGGTTTCACTGTGTTAGCCAGGATGGTCTCGATCTCCTGACCTCATGATCCGCCCGCCTCTGCCTCCCAAAGTGCTGGGATTACAGGCGTGAGCCACTGCGCCCGGCCCATATACATTTTAAAATAGTTTTTTTTTCTAATTCTGTAAAGAATGTCATTGGTAGTTTGATAGAAATAGCATTGAATCTATAAATTGCTTTAGGCAGTATGGGCATTTTAATTATATTGATTCTTCTTATCTGTGAGCAGGGAATGTTTTTCCATTTGTTTGTGTCATTTTTGATTCCTTTGAGCAGTGTTTTGTAATTCTGGTTGTAGAGACCTTTCACCTCCTTGGTTAGGTGTATTCCTAGGTATTTTATTATTTTTGTGGCTATCATGAATGGGACTGTGTTCTTGATTTGGCTTTTAGCTTTGATGTTGTTGATGTAAAATAATGTTACTAATTTTTGTACATTAATTGTGTATCCTGAAACTTTGCTGAATTTGTTTATCAGATCGGGGCACTTTTGGGCAGAGACTATAAGGTTTTCCAGATACAGAATCACATCACCTGCAAACAGGGGTAGTCTGACTTCCTCTCTTCCTGCTTGGATGTCTTTCATTTCTTTCTCTTGCCCAATTGCTCTGGCCAGGACTTCCAGTAATATGTTAAATAGGAGTGGTGAGAGAGGGCATCCTCATCTTGTTTTGGTTTTTAAGTGGGATGCTTCCGGGTTTTGCCCACTTGGTATCCTGTTGGCTGTGAGTTTGTCATAGATGACTCATTATTTTGAAGTATGTTCTTTCAATGCTTAGCTTATTGAGGGTTTTTAACATGAGGAGATTTTGAATTGTATTGAAAGACTTTTCTACATCTATTGAGATGATCATTTGGTATTTGTTTTTAGTTCTGTTTATGTGATGAATGTTGAAACAACCTTGCATCCCAGGGATAAAGCATATTTAATTGTGGTGGATTAATTTTTTGCTGTGCTGCTGGATTCAGTTTGCTAGTATTTTGTTATGTATTTTTGCATCTATGTTCTTCAAAGATATTGGTCTGAAGTTTTCTTTTTGTGAGTGTGTCTCTCCCAGGTTTTGGTATCGTGATGAAGCTGGTCTCATGGAGTAGTTAAGGAGGAGTCCCTCCTCCTCAATTTTTAGACATGTGAAACAAATGCTCAAACTAAGAAAAAGGGATATTAAATCATTTTTATATACAACTTTCACATATTAAAAAGGCCAAATTCTATAAGTTTGAGAAACATGTTCTATTGGCAAGGCTGTGGGAAAGTGGGCTATTTTACATATTAGTTTTTTGAAAAGATCAACAACATTGTTACACATTTAACTAAAACATCCAAAAAAAAAAAAAAAAAAAAAAAAGAAAAGAAAATCGCCCAAATTAGGAACGGCAGAGGGTACATCACTACAAACTCTACCAAACCTATAAGGATTTTAAGGAAATATTGTGAACAATTTAGTGCACACAAAGTAGGCAACCCAGATGAAGTGATCAAATTCCTAAAAAGGAATAAATTAATGTAAGGTGAACCAAGAAGAATTTGAAAATCTAAATATATTTGAACAAATAATGAAATTGAAATAGTAATTAAAAACCCTCTTACAAATAAACACCTAGGGGCCAGATGACTTCAGTAAAGGACTCTGCAAAATATTTAAAAATGAAATAATAACAATCTTTCTCATGCTCTTCCAGTAAATAAAATATGAAAAAATTACTTCCTATCATGTTCTATGAAGTCAGTATTATTCTGATACCAAAGTCCGACAAAAACTTTATTAGAAAAGAGAATGAGAGACAAATATCTCTCAATATAGAACTCAAAATCCTCAAACAATATTAAAAATAAAGAATACAGCAACATATAAAAAGGATTATACAGTATAATCAAGAAGGATTTATCCTATCAATGCAAAGGTGATTCAATATCTGAAAACATCTAATAAAAACCTATAGCTAACAGCACAATTAATGGTGAAATACTGAATGATTTTCCTATAATACAAGGAAAGAGGCAAGGATAATCACTTTTGCCTTTTCTAGTCAACATTATACTAGAGTTTCTAGCCAAAATCATCTGGAGACAAAAATAAATAAAAGGCATTCATATCAAAAAGGAAGAAATGAATCTATCTTTATTCTAAGATGACATCATCCTGTATGTTGAAAATTAGGCAATCCACAAAAAGTAACCAAACCACCCGCCTTTACACACACAAAAAGATCAGCTATTAGAACTCATTAAAAGTTTCAGCAATGATGCATGATACATAGTACATCCACTGTATTTATATATTCAATCAATGAATAACTAAAAAGTGGAAGTAAGAAAAAAATTCCACTCTCTAGAGAATCAAACAGAATAAAAGATTTAAGAATACATTTAACAAACGAAGCACAAGACTTGTAGTCCAAAATCTATAAAACTTTGCTGGTTGAAATTAAAGTCTATATGGATGGAGAGACACTCCATGTCTGTGGATCGGAAGACTTACTATCATCTACCATAAAGATGGCACATCTTCCCAAATTATTCTATAGATTGAAACAATCATTATAAATATCCCAGCAGGCTCTTTGTTTGTTCTTGCAGAAATTCATAAACTAATTCTGAAATTTACATGTTAATATGAAAGACCCAGAATAGTTAAAACCATACTGAAAAAGAAAAACAAAGTTGATGGGCTTCTGTACTTTAAAACTTACTGTGAAACTTCAGTAATCAAGACAGTGTGGCACTGATATGCAGATTTGAGTCTAAAGTCTAGAAACTAACCCTTATACTTCTAGCTAACTCATTTTTGGCATAGGTACCAAGACAAATCAATGGAGAAAGGTAAGTCTTTTCAACAAATTTTGCTAGGACAATTGGACATATATGTGCAGAAAGATGAATATAAACACTTAACTTGCATCATACACACACACAGAATTAAAGTGGATAATAGAATTCAATCCAAGGTTATCTTAGAAAAATACATACAATACAATTCTGATTACATCGGGTTAGGCAAAGATTTCTTAACTACAACACTCAAACTAAAATCCATTGAAAAAAGATAAAACTAAACTCCATCAAAATTAAAAACTGCACTTCAAAACACATCATTACATAATAGAAAGACAAGTTTGACTGAAAAAAAATATTTACATATCACAAATTCAATAAAGGACTGTGTCCAGAATTTGAATTTGAAGAGATATTTAACAAAGGAAGGTAGATACAAGGTCAATAAGACCATGAAACAAGGTTCAACATTACTAGTCATTAAAAAAACACAAATTTAAACTAAATGAGATACTATTTCACAATAACTAGAATAGCTATACTTTAAAAGAGAGGCAACAAGTATTGGTGAGGATGTGGAAATGTCGTAACCCTCATACCCTCCTGGTAGGAATGTAAAATAGTTTAGTCACTTTGAAAGACAATTTGAGAGTTTCTTAATAATTACACAGATTTATCAGAGAGCCACCAATTCCACCCATAGGTATCTATCCAAGAAAATGAAAACATATTTCTGCACAAAGAGATAGTCACAAATTTATAATAGCATTATTCAAAATAGCCAAGAACTGGAAATAATCTCACAACTGGGAAATGGATAAAGGAAATGAGATAAATGCATAGGCTAGGACACTACTGAACAACAAAAAGGTATGGAGAGCTGAAATATACCACAATATCTTGAACCTCAAAAACATGCCAAGTCTAGGATTGGCAAACTTCTTTAAAGGGCCCTGTAGTAACTCCTGTAAGCTTTGCAGTCTATAAAATTTCTGTTGCAGCTACTCAACTTTGTCCTTGTAGAAAAAAAATAGTCATAGATGCTATGTAAATTAATGGGTGTGGCTGTAATCAATACAATTTTGTTCATAAAAGTAAGAGTGAAGCAGGAATTGGCCGGTGGGCTACAGTTTGTCCACTTCTGTGCTAAGTGAAAAACTCCACATGCAAAAAGCCACTCCTATTTGATTCTTTGCATGTGATATTAAGAAACGGTGAATCTGGGGGCAGGACTTGACAATGAAAGGCATGCAAGAGATATTTTACAGGTGATAAACATGTTTTAAACTTGGATTTTGGTGATGGTTACACAAAACTGTAAATTTTCTAAAAATATTTGAGTTGGAAATTTAAAATTAATTAATATTATGATGTGCAAATTATGTCTCACACATGTTTAAAGAAAAGACCTAAAGTAAATATCACAAAATATTTGCATTTGTTAACTATGTTTAATAGATCTTTGGTTGTAATAGCATTTGGTATATTCTTCTATGTTATTAAAATATTTCATAATTAAAATGTGAAAAGGTAATTATGTTAGGTTCCAAACCCTCATTTTGAACACAAGTAAAGTAAGGCTCAGAGATGTTACATTATTCGTTCAGAATTAAATAACCAATTAATGCAGAGTCAAGACTCACATGCAGCCTCCTTATGTTCATTTTTTCACACTGCATTTCATTGCTTTATTCATATAGACAGAAAGGAAAGTAGAAGCAAAATAGAATATTCTGTTTTCTGCTCTCTATTTCTTTTCCTAATTTCTCTAGGTTGATCTGATCCATAATAAACTAGCCCACAGAAACAATAGTAAACTCTCAGAAGTTCAGAGAGGTAAATATAAACATAAGATATGGAAATGGTGTGTTTTGGGACCATCTTTGGTATTTCATCAATCTCTGTGAATAATCTTTGTTAATCGAATAAAACATTGGAAGGACACCATTTTTATAGTATTCTAGATTTTTTTGGTTATTTTCCTTCAAACACTTAGTGGGAGCTTAAGTATGAATTCAATGAAGAAGATTCACAAGGATTAATATATTTTATTAAGCATGTGCAATCTTTACTTATTTAGAAATAATTTTTAGAAAATCTGCCAACTTGTTAGGAAATGTTAGTACTTTTTTGTGTGTGTGCAATTCTTTCATCTTTTAAATCCCTCCACCACAACCAACTCACCACAAAAAAAAGAGGAGCACCTCAATTCATTCCTGTTTGCATATATTTTTAAAATTTTAGAATTAAATGTCAAAATATACCAGAAAGCTCAAACAAAAATTTGATGGAAAGTTCAGTACCCACAATGGTTATTTCTTATTATTCACATTGATTACATTCCATGTATATGTTTGTCTTTGACATTTCTTTAAACAGGGAAAAGTCATCAGTGTGATCTATTTCTGTGTTGATTTATATATCTTGTCTCCTTGATGGTTCTAGGATACTGACTTCATTTCTCATGAAGGATACTATAGATTATTAAGTTTAGTAACGTGTATCCCATAAATTTTGTGCTTAATCATTTTTTTTTAATTTTGTAGGTGGTTTGGTTGCAACATTTTCATGTGTGTATTAGTCTTTAAGAAGGAAACATGAAGATTTGGCAAAAATGTGAATCAATTTTTGTAGACCTCAGCAACTGTTTCTCCCACTGAATATACTCAGAGCTATGCAAAGGGAATGAGATTTGGGCATATTGGAGCAATTTCCCATTCAATACTTCTCATCCCTCTCTATTAGAAAGCAAAAATACACAACAAAATGAAACAAAACAAAAACATTAAAATCAAATATATGCAAACCATGGGAATGTGTGCAGGTGGTCAGGAGGAGGTATTTTAAATTTTATAGAATAGAACCAAGCTTATTTAGTGCCAAGCTGAGTTAATTGGGATAAAACACTGCTATTTATGCTATTCTATTAGGTTGGATTTGAAGTTATTACTGCAGGAGATTAGGTCAGAGTATGCTACAAAGCCAGCCAAATTTTATCTAAGTTGTTTATTTTCACTTCTCTCTTTAAACCGTGTATGCACATATGTATAAAATAGCCAACTGCACAGGAGATTTCACATTGCCTTTAAATTGCTCTCATTTGCTAAAGGTACTTAGTAGCCTGGATAGCTGAATCTTTGTGATTTAGCCCTCTGTCCTAGCAATACTTTGTTACAGCTAGAGGGCATTCTTTTTACTGCACTACACAATGAGTACTGGGACTCTGGCTCCGCTTTACATGGTAAATAAGTTTTAAAATATTGGGTCAGGTAAGCTAGCAGTGGCTTTTAAAGAAAAGTTAAAAACAAACACACAAACATTACTTCCATTTTCTGGCAAATTTTAATTATTTATGGGGAAGGGAAAAGTGTCATGAATTGTGGGCACCACATGAAGATGTTTATTGAATGATTTTGAAGAGGGAGCTTCATGGGAAATTTACAAGTTGGGGAGATACTTTCCCCAAGATAGATAATTTTTTCTCCTCTTGAATTAATGCATAAACCTGACAGGAGAAAACGCTCTGAATAAAGATGATGGGGAAGGTGGTAGAGAATAATTCTAGCACATACATGCCAACAGCTTTTGTCTCATGACATTCATCTCATTAATTGTTTTGCATCCTAAAGAATAGTGTTCAATTTAGTAATTTCTATTTTTTCAATTATAATATAATTGTCTCAATTATAATATTAACTAAATTTTACAAAGTCCCTTACTCTATTAAAGGCACTGTTTGGACTTTTTAAGTGTATTAATTTATTTATTTCTCCCAATGACTCCAGGAGGTAGATATAATCTATTGTGTCTTTACAGATGGAGAAACTGAGGCACAGAGAAGGCAAATATCTTACCTAAGGTTATCCCAATCTTAAGAGACAGAGACAGGATAAGCACAGACTTTGTTATTTAATTTTACCTTTAAAAAATGTTGAAACTTTGTTATAATAAGAAATACATGAAAAGAATACATTATTAGCTCTAAAGGCAACATTCAAAGGGTCATTCCAACCATGTTTGAGATGATGTAGGATTTTTGGAAGAGGTATATCATCTCAGGTTCATTTTTTCAAAAAATAATAACACTCCTGTAGATGCATAAAGTTTCGTTTCTTTTTAAAAACAAAAGTTGCATCACTTTAGTCATCCTGTTGACACTTGTAAAAGTGCTTCTTTTCTGGGAAAACATTCCCCTCCAGACCATCCTTCACCTTTCACCCCCAACACACACACACACACACACACACACACACACACACACACACACACACACACACTCTATTCCAACCTATTTCTCTGTGCCAAAGTATGTGATTACTAGTGTCAGATTTTCATGCAAACTCATTTGCTCTGGAAAGACTTTTGAAAAGAATCCCACCTCACCCCAATCGGAAGATTTTTACCCTGCAATTTGTCACTGAATTGAAAGCCCAGGAGGACATTGAGATGGACTTTCTCTTACTCAGGTCTGAAGGCTGCCCTGCATCTGCCATCCACCTCAGCAGGTCAGGCAGTCAGCATGTACAAGTCCAGATTTTTTGACCTCCAGCTAATCAGGAAAGAAGCAGGATAATGAGAGCAGATTAATGCAGATCTGGATTAAGCCTGTCTGGACACTGAGCTTCCCACTCTGGTCAAAAAAAAATAAAACTCTTTCAAAGGTGGTAGGGTCAGTACTTACTGTTGATCTCTGTAGCCCTCAGCTTCCAGCCCAAACCCATCATATTATGTAAACACCATTATTCATTATAAACTTGCTCAGCTCTTCTACAACACAGCTCTGCAGTATTTGACTTTGTGACCTATTCTTAAAGTGACTTTAGGGGTTGACCCCATGCTGCATGTAGAGAACATTTTTTCCTTTTATTTGTTAAACTTATTTCGGTCATTAACCTCTTCCACAACCCTTTGATCTCCCCCTGGTTTCAGAATTGGAGACAGAAATAATTGACCTGTTGTCCAGAGCCATGCTAATAGAACACTCCATAATGATGTCTTATTAGAAGCAATATCTCCAGTTCAGGATAAACTATTCTAACCAAAATTTTGCCTTACTGTCCTCTTCAATGGGGGTCAATGCAAGCACCCCAAACTTCCCAGTTGCTTGGCCAGTCATTCCACAGTTTTCTATGGTGAGGGAAATAATCACACCTTGTTAGCCTGGGTCATATTATCTGTTCTTAACTTTGCTTTCTGGCCAAGTTTTCTGTGACAGAAAAAAGGGGAGATATTTTCGAAATAAAGTTAAATGAAGTCACCTTTGGTGGCCAAAATCGCTGGCTGAGAAGGAGGCATCCAAAAAAGAAAAATGTACTATAAACAGAACAGAAAGGGCCCAGTCATGCCCACCTGCATATAGTTCCATGGCAGGAGGCCAGGCCACTGGAGTCAGACACTGTGTGCCAGATCTTTCCTTCACCTAAAAGACATGCAAAGATCCTTTGAAAGTGTGCACACAGGACATTTAGCAAAAGCACAATATCTTTTTCAAAAATTTCCATGGTCACTGGGCCACATTCTAAGTTGGTGGGAGTAGTGAGAAGAACATGCCTTTGTCAGTACTAGTTGGTCAATAAATATTTACTGGATACAAATATTAGTATAATTTTAGAAACTTTGAGAGTGATTCAAATTTTTTGTAACTAGCCTTTAGCTACAGAGTGATTCAAAATTTCTAGGCTTCAGTTACTTCAATTAAAATTAGACAGATGCAAAAAGACTAAAGATTCTCAAATGTAGAGGCCAGAGAAACAGCATCCACATCACTTGGAAATTTGTTAGAAATGTTCATTATCAGGCAGACACTTTGGGGATGTGTATTTACCTTCATATTTTGGAATTCACTTTACTATTGAAAAACCACTGGGTTTCATCTCTCTCTGTCAGCTCACGTGTCTATATCTCATCTACCTTCAAAGTAACTCCCAGTTGGCCTGTAGTCAATATAGGCTTTAAATGTGGTTCCAGTTCAAGCAAAACCTCCACATTCTCAGTATTCCCAGGGGAGCTTTGTCAGTCCTTTATTGTGTTATTCTAAAAAATACCTGAGACTGGGTAATTTATAAAGAAAGATCGTTTAATTGGCTCACAGTTCTATAGCCTTTGCAGGAAGCAGGATGCTAGCATCTGCTTCTGGTAGGGGCCTCAGAAAACTTATAATCATGGTAGAAGGCAAATGGGAGCCAGTGTGCCATATGACGAGAAAGGGAACAAGAGAGAGATAAAACTGATGTCCCAGTCTCCTTTAAACAACGAGATCTTGCATAAAATAACTGAATATAAACTCACTTATTACCAAAGGGATGGTGCTAGGCCATTCATGAGGGACCCACTCCCATGAGCTAATATCTTCCCAACAGGCCCCACCTCCAACATTGGGAATTACATTTCAACATGAGATTTGGAGGGGACAGATATCCAAACCACATCATTCTGACTATGGCCCTCAAATCACATGCCTGTCTCACATTTCAAAAATATAATAATGCCTTCAGAATAGTCTCCCAAATTCTCAACTTCTTCTAGCTTTAATTCAAAAGTTCCAAGTCCCAAGTCCAAATTCTCATCTGGAGATGAGTTTCTTCCATATATGAGCATGTAAGATCAAGAACAAGTTAGTTACTCCAAGATACAATGATGGAACAAGGATTGAGTATACATTCTCCTTCCAAAAGGGAAAAAATAACCAAAATAAAGGGATGATAGGCCCTAAGCAAGTCTGAAACCCAGCAGGGAATTCATTAAATATTAAAACTCCAAAATAATCTCCCCTGACTCCATGTTGCTCATCCAGGGCACACTCGTGCAAGGGGTGGATTGCCAAGAACCTGGGCAGCTCTGCCCCTGTGACTTTGTGGGGTGCAGCCCCTGTGGCTTATCTCATGTGTAGAACTTGAATGTCTATGGCTTTTCTAGGCTCAGGGTACAACCTGTTGTTGGTTCTACCATACTTGGGTCTTGAAAGCAGCAGCCCCTTTCTCACAGCTACACTAGGCAATGACCTGGTGGGGACTTCAACCCCTTATTTCCCCTTGGCACTGCCCTAGTAGAGTCTCTCTCCAGGGGCTCCTCCTCTGTGGCAGGCTTCTGCCTGGGCACACAGACTTTCCCATATATCCTCTGAAATCTAGGTGGAAACTACGAAGCCTCCTATACTCTTGCGTTCTGTGTGCTTGCAGACTTAACACCATGGGGGAGCTGCCAAGGCTTATGGTGGCTTGCACTCTCTAAGTGGTAGCTGGAGCTGTACCTGCGGCCCTTTGAGCCAAGGCTGGAGTCAGAGCATCCTGGATGTGGGGAGCAGTGTCCTAAGGCTACACGACATAGCGGGACCCTGGGCATGGCCCTGTAAATCATTTGTTCTTCCTAGCCCTCTGGGCCTGTATGGGTAGACACTGCCTAGAAGATCTCTGAAATGCCTTCTAGGCCTTTTCCCTATTGACTTGAATGGGGAAAAGGAACACTTGGATGGAGCACTTGACTCCATTTCAGTCATGCTAATCTCTCCAGCAACTGGTTGCTCTGTAGCACACTCATATTACTCTCTTGAAAATGCATGCCACAAGGGTAGTCTGTGAGCTTTCCAAATTTTTATGCTTTACTTCCCTTTTAAATATAAGTTCCAACTTTAAGTCATTCCTTTTTTTCCCACATCTGATCACAGGTAGTTAGAAGTAGCTAGGCCACTTCTTGAATGCTTTCCTGCTTAGAAATTTCTTCTGTCAGCTACCCCAGGTCATCATTCTTTAATTCAAACTTCCATAGATCCCTAAGCATAAACACAATGCAGCCAAGATTTTTGAGGGTGTAATACACATGGCCTTTACTCCCATTTCCAATAAATTCCTCATTTCCATCTGAGAGCACATCAGCCTGAACTTCACTATCCACATCTCTGTCAGCATTTTGATCACAGCCATTTAACCAGTCTCTAAGAAGTTTAAAACTGTCACTCATTTTCCTTTCTTCTTCTGAACCCTCTAAACTCTTCCAACCTCTGCCTGCTAACCCAGTTCCAAAACCACCTCCACATCTTCATATTTTTATAGCAATGCCCCCCATCCTTGGTACCAATTTTCTGTGTCATTCCATTTCTGCATTGCTATAAGGAAATACCTGAGACAGGATAATTTATAAATAAAAGAGGTTTAATTTGTTCACAGTTCTGCAAGCTGTACAGGAGTCAAGGTGCAGACATCTGTTTCTGGTAAGGGCCTCATGAAGCTTACAATTATGGCAGAAGGCAAATGGGAGCCATTGTCACATAACAAGAGAAGGAGCAAGACAGAGGGAATGGGGAGGTCTCAAGCTCTTTTAAACAACCAGGTCTTGTATGAACTGACTGAGTGTGAACTCATTACCAAGAGAATGGTGCTAAACCATTCATGAGGGATCCCCCCTTCATGATCCAGTCATTAGGCCCCACCTCCAACAAAGAAAATCACATTCCAACATGCAACTTGGAGAGGACAAAGATCCAAACCATATCAGGAACCATGGAAAGATGCTAAAGATTTGATTTTAAGTGTGTGGATGTGGAGGTGTGGATGTGGAGGTATGGATGTGGACATGTGCTGATGTGTCCGTGGTGATGGTAAGTTTAAATAATTTATTACACAAAATCTATAACAACAATTAATAATTGCCTGCTCTGTTTTCTTATACACTCAATCTTTAACCAATTTGGATTTTGAAAGTTTACTTTTCCACTTATACATATTCTTGAGTCAGCCTTGATAATTACCAGATATAACGCCACAAAGCTCACAGAGATATTTCTTATTTCCTCTGGAATTACATAAACCATTTAGCATCATTGAACTAGGGAGCCAGAATCCCTCAACTACCTTTAAGGACACTTCAGGATAGATGATGCAGTTGAGCTATTTGTAGGCCTTAAAAGGTTCCCATCCTTCTTGGCTTGAGATGGGTTTTATGAGCCTGTTCCCATTTAGATTATTGGCTGGTAAGGCCATTAGAAAACTAAGGAGCTGGGCGCAGTGGCTCACGCCTGTAATCCCAGCACTTTGGGAGGTCAAGGCGGATGGATCACAAGGTCAGGAGATCGAGACCATCCTGGCTAACACGGTGAAACCCGTCTCTACTAAAAATACAAAAGAAAAAAAAGAAAACTAAGGAAACTGAGAACTGAAGAAGCTTAGAAAATAGCTTAAAAATCTTACAATTTTCATCATCTAGAGATTGTCGATCTAAGTTTAGTAAGTACATAGTAGCCATTCAACACTTAAAAAGTTTATTCTTTGATCTCACATGTTAAGCATACCTTAAATTGTTTTTGTAAACAACAAAACTGCAGTTAAACACAAGTTGGTGCTTAGAACGCACTCACATGCCATTTCTGCCTGCTTCTCACTTTTTATATACTCTTAAACCTCACACATTTCTCTTGAAGGACCTGGACTTCTAGTTTTCCCTTCTTGTACTGTAGTGCACGATCAGTCTCCCTTTGACACATTCCCTATCCCATCTAGATTATCTCCATTTTCCTCTCCCCTGTATACTTTGTATCGGGAGGATTAATTCTTTTCCTCCATCCTGCATTGTCAGTTTTGTTCAACATTAATAGGTTTTCTAATTTTGTTAATTTCTTTATTCAAGTAAGACTTGCAGAACCTCACTTTATATGGGATATTGTTCTCAGTGATGGAGATAACCAGAAAATCAAAGCATTGCAACATTAACTGCAGAAAGAGGTCTACTTTAGACAAGGAGGTCAGGGAACGTCTTTCCTGATGGATGACGTTTTAGCTAGTACCTGAATATTGAGAAGGAGTCAGCCATGTGAAGATCTTCGAACGATAATGCAAAAGAGAAGAAATAACAAGGCCAAAGTTGCTGAGGTAAGAACAAGCTTCTCAGGTTAATGGAAAAGCAAGAATGCTTTCTAGGGGCTAGATAATATTGAGTAGGTGAGAGTGAGTGAGTGGTAAGAGTTAAAGTTCCAGGCTGCGGGGCATGGTAAGTAGTTTGAATTTTATTCTAAGCACTTGGAAAACTGCTGGATATTTTAAAACAGTGGCATAATTTGATTTAAAGGATATCTTGGGTTACAGGTGGAGGATGGATGGCAAAGGGGTAATGAGGAAAAAGTGAGACAAGTTAGGAGCATGATGCAAAAATGCAGACGAGGCACAATAATGGCTTGGCTAGTTTGATAGCAGCAGAAATGGAAGTGGCCAGATTCAGCACATATTTTGGAGACAGGGTTTCTAGGCCTTGCTGATGGATTAGTTGCACTACAATAAAACAAGTGAGTTACATCCCAGGGGAATTAGCCATTTAAAGGAAGACTCTTTAAACCTGAAATACCTTAACTCAGATGAATGCATTGCTAATGGTGCAATTCTATTTAGGGACATAATAGGGCAAGTGTCCTTTATAATCACTCAGATAACACCCACAGGTGAATTGAGTGCACTGTTTAATGCTCAGTAACTCATTTAAACAAATCCAGGCTTTTCCTCATCTGCATGGCAAACAAAGGCTAATTATGTTTGCTAGATGACTGTAATTTACTGAGAAATAAATAATAAAAAGCCAAGTTACAAAAAACAGGGGAGAGAGAGAGAATGAGAAAGAAGAAGAAAAGAAAGAGAAAGAAAGAAGAAAGAAAGAAAGAAAGAAAGAAAAGAAAGAAAGAAAGAAAGAAAGAAAGAAAGAAAGAAAGAAAGAAAGAAAGAAAGGGAAAGAAAGAGAAATGAGGAAGGAAAGAAGGAAAAGGAAAATGGTTGCTTGTCTGTTTGTTTTTGTATACCAGGTTAATGCATCTTGATTTAGGACATATCAGCCGTATGTTCATTGAACACCGTGATATGCCCACACCCATGAACTGGATTCCATTGGGAGGCAGTTTGCTTAGGAGAGAAGCAAAGCCTGTTAACTTCATTTGACCTTCTTGTCACTTTCAAAACAACCACAATAACAACAGCAATCGCAGTAGCAGCAGCTATAAAATCCCCTGGCCTGACTCTCCCTCTCTTTCATTTTATTCCCCTCCTATGGCAGTGAACACAAAGGACAAATCTGTCATTAACTATTTGCAAATGATCAGCTATCCACTGCAGCTGTTTGCTCACCAGATCACCATGCCAAGCACAGCTGCTCAGATGCGCTAGCCCAGTTTGGCTGGGCCACTCACCACCTACTCACAACTGTCCCCAAACTGCTTCCGGAAGAACAGGACAGGCCGAATCCCAATCTGGCAGCATGAGCTGCGGTTTTCCGCTCCCCAAGGATCTCCACACTTCCACTTCCCTGGGCCATCTTGGGCCACATGGTGAGACTGGCTAAGAGACACTGGAGGAGCAGCCTTACTTCCTGTGGGTGCTCCTGGTCTGAGGATTGAGAGGTGGTAACTATGCAGAGATTTCTGGCCACTTCCTAAAAAGGCAGCCCAACTCTGCCTGGGTCCTCTGGTTGCATTTTTAAAAGCAAGCAGCTTTGTGCTTTCACTTATTAATTTTTGCCAGCTTCTAAAGGTCAACGACCTGGCAAGCCGAGATTCACAAATAACAGGTGCAGAGACTCCGCCACCTGCCTCCGTGGGACATCGCTCTGTCACTTTTATTTACTGAATCAATCCACCAGTGTCCAGCAGGAGAAAAACAGCTAAATGGCCATTAATTGTGGGCTGATGTGCAGATGAAACAAATCTCCAAAGGGACTGTAAACCTTTGTTCCTTCACCTCCTCCTGCTCTTGCTATGGGATTAGCAGTAAATCATTCAGCAGCCTCATCTCCTTATTATAAATTTACCATTAGGGTCATCCCAGGTGAGATAGCGCTAACCTCTGTCTCTGTCTCTTTACCTCTCCTGTGCCTCCATCCCTCTTTTCCTTTTTTCCCTTTCCCTCCCCCTCTTTTCTTTCAGTTTTTTAAAATCTTTTTCATCTCTCCTCTCACAATTTTTCTGTCTCTATTCTTTCTCTTTCACACACATACATTCATTCCTAAACACAATGGCCTTTTATTAAAGTTACTTCACGGTCCCAGGGACCATCCTTTTCTGCCATCCCCTCATCTGTCTGCCCTTCTCTCAAATGTGTGTATACAGACACACAGTAAGCATACAGCTGGGATTCCTATGGAAGACAAAAAAAAAAGATTGGGAAAGTTCTCTTCAAAGGGAATACCTTTCTCCCCTTCCTTTCTGTCATTATTCTTCAGAAATGTTTTTTAACTTCTCCCAAAAGGAGCATAATTAAAGGGTAAAAGGGAATTTGAAAGTAAGCAATAGACAGAGAAGAAACATAATGGATCTGGGCTCTGTGAAAGAGTGTGGGAAATGCACTGCAAGATTTTTTTTATTGTCTCTAGGACATGCACAGCACTGACGTGGCCCCTGGTGGCCAGCCCTGGGTGCAATTTGATTCGAAGGGCCTTTGGGAGGCAGCCCCCAGCCCTAAAATGAATCCCTAAACTGGTCTCCACTTTGAATGAGTGAAAATCTAAAATGGATTTCAATACATTTTACATCTTTGTATTAAGCATATTTAAAAGAATGTATGTTTTATGTTAATGGGTCATGTACACCTTAACATAAAGTCCCCCCACTCCCTGCCCCATGGTCATAAGAGGATGGAGGCAGCAGAAGAGTAGTTATAGAATGGATGAGAGTAGTGTGGTTAGGCAAGGCCCTAGAGAAGACACATCCTCAACAGACAAATTGTCAAGAAAACAAAAGAGAAAGGGCAAAAAAGTAAACTTTCCATTTTTCATACCAGGGCTAAGAACAAGCCTGGGAGTAGGTTCCAATAAACCCAGTCTCCAGATTTTAGGAGGGGTACAAGCCATAGTTGCTCTGTGATCACTGCTGTTAATTAAGTCCAATTACAGATGGACAAAAGCTCAGCCTCACTGAGTTATTCATGACATATATTTTTGTAGATGCATATCATAGCACATTGCGTGGGGCACGGGAGGCAGCAAAACTAACTTGCAGAAGTGTAGTAAAATATTGATAGCTAAGAATATTCACAGATGGGAGTTTCTAGTTACTCAAAATTCCAGGGTAACTAAAGAATAACAGGATTTTAAAAATTCATATTGAGAATGTATATTTAATGTTTTTTCCCTAACAATGTTTACAAAATGTGTTGGAAAGGAAACATAGTGTGTTATAAGAATATAGTCTCTAAATCTAGGCAGCCGTGGTTTATATCCCACTTCTCTCATGTCCTAGTGTGGGACTCTGGGTATTTTGAGCTTTCATTAATTTATTCAACAAATACTAAGAGTGTATGGCTTCTAGAGCTATAAGAAGGAACAGAAATTGACAATGGTCCTGCTTCCATGAGATGAACAGCCTAAAGGCAAAATCCTGACTCTACAAAGTGCTAACAGGCACATGAGGCCATAAGACAGGATAATTAGGTTTTGACCTACTGGAGGAGAGTGAATGGCTAGCAATATTTTCCATCTCTGAGCTGTGGGATATAAATGGGTTACAGGAGTGTTCAGCATTTGATACCCTCACCTCAAGGGTGACTGGATGGTCCCAGGTTAGATGGAGCCCCATAGACAGTTGCCTCTCTTCTGAGCAGTGTTCTCATTTTACTGCAGGTTGCTTTTTGACACCATAAGGTGAAAATGTTTGGGAACAACACCATTGAAGAAAACTTCATTGAGAAGTGGATTATGTTGCTAAAATTCAAGTGATGATTAAGAGTTAAGAAGTTCAGGACTGCATCGAGGGTGGATTCTAAGAAGAGCATGTTTGCTCTCTGAGAGCCAAGTGATTCAGCTTCTCCAACGATATTGGAAAGCCAGCATGAGAGGAATGCAGAGTAAAATGAAGCAAGGTGAGGTGTAGAAGGAGGATAAGAAGAGGCCAAGTTCTGAGGACACAGGCCCCTGTTAGGGCTACATTGGAGACACGAGCCTCAGTGCAAGGGTAAGTGTTTTAAACAAGGGCATCTGGCAAAGACTCATGGAGCTTTCTGCAGTCTCATAACTGTGAGACATTGTGGGATGTTACCCATGTGCCAGTACAAGCTCAGTTGGAAAGTAACTTTGGGACCTGGAAAATACCTTCAGTCCAGCCGGGCGCGGTGGCTCACGCCTGTAATCCCAGCACTTTGGGAGGCCGAGGTGGGCTGATCATGAGATCAGGAGTTCCAGACCATCCTGGCTAACACGGTGAAACCCCGTCTCTACTAAAAATTAAAAAAAAAAAAAAAAAAAAAAAATTAACCAGGCGTGGTGGCAGGGCCTGTAGTCCTAGCTACTCGGGAGGCTGAGGCAGGAGAACGGCATGAACCCAGGAGGTGGAGCTTACAGTGAGCCAAGATCGCGCCACTGCACTCCAGCCTGGGCGACAGAGAGAGACTCCATCTCAAAAAAAAAAAAAAAAAAAAAAATAGAAAAGAAAAAAAAGAAAACACCTTCAGTCCTCAGTTTCCTCATTGCTAAAATTACAGATCTTCAGCTTCTTTTCTCTAAATTGTATCTAGCTTTACAATTCTGATTATCAAATTTATTCACAAAGATACAAAGAGTACAGAATATTGATCTGTGAGGAATGCCATAAAATATCGCAGAATTTATCTGTTTTTTGTTTGTTTGTGTCTTAGTTTTGTTTTCTAAATATATACTGGCAATTAATAATTGCACCACTTGACTTGATAAAAACAAAACAAAGCAAAACAAAACAGTAAAGTAAGTTTGAGACCAGCCTGGCCAACATGGAGAAACCCCATCTCTACTAACAATACAAAAATTAGCCAGGCGTGGTGGGGCATGCCTGTTATCCCAGCTACTCAGGAGGCTGAGGCAGAAGGATTGCTTGAACCCAGGAGGCAGAGGTTGCAGATTGCAGTGAGCCAAGATCGCGCCACTGCACTCCAGCCTGGGTGACAGAGCAAGATTCTGTCTCAAAACAAAAGAAAACGGAACAAAACAAAAGTAAAATTTTTTTGTAGCCGTATAGTGTTATTAACCCACTTATGCCTGGCATTCCATTATTGGAATGCTAAGCATGTCAGTATGTAGGAATTATTTATATCCTACTGCTCAAGGTCATCATCAAGGTCTGATTTTTCACTCATGCAAAAATTCAAAAAATTGCAACCGCTGGCATAAATTGGTTAATGAGAACAGACAAATGTCTAGCTTTTAGTAGAAGATTTATTCATACAATTAAGCAAATACAATACATACAATTTCTCAAACTTCTTAAAATATAGGAATAGAAGTGAAATTCCAAACACAGAGTATCTCCTTTCAAGTGTTTTTAAAAAATACCTTGATTAAAGCCAATCACAGAATTATGGTTAGTCAAAGAAGCTGGGAACATTTAAGGTCCAAGAAAAAAAAAAATTCAGCCAGGCTTTCATGAAAACCATCCAACCCTTTGAAATTTTTATGTGTGGAGTAGAGCCAGGTTCTGCTCAGTGATGATCCACGTCTGATCCCCAGTTGGATATCTTGAAGTTGAATATATTTCTAATACACTTGATTATAGAAAACCTTTTGCTAAAAGAAACTATTGCAAATTTTTAAAAAATAATAAAATGTGAAACAGAACACAAGGATAAGCTTTATGAAAATCATACGATCATTTTGAAATGAAGGCATCTTGCTTACTAAGTAGCTTATATTCAAAAGCCCCTCAACCTCCTTACTGATAGTATAATTTTATTTTCTTGCTACAGAAGGAAGAAAAAGGCATGTTGGCATCCTTACTGAAGAAAAAATGTGATTTGTCTCCTATCTTCCTCCATGCTACAACCAGCTATATTTAACTAGAAAACCTACCTGTCTTGTTGTAGAAACCATGAATTTGATAGTTCATTTGTAAGCCAAATTGTTAAGTACTTATTATATGTCATGTCAAGGGCTGAATGCTGACAGAGAAGACAGACAAAGTTTCTATACTTCCATCCTTACGAAGTTTATAGACTGATATCTGAGTACGAGGCATGGAAAACAGCACATACTCTGAGAAGCAATGTTTAAGCTAAGAACTGACATAAAAGTCCAGGAGTAATGCCTGAGAACTTAGGAAAAGTTTCAGTTTCTCAAGAATATGGGAGCCAATCAATCTTGAACTTTTGTCTTCATTTCAGGAACGCCATCCAAGATATGCAAGCTTTACCAAGTTTTTCTTTTCTTTTCTTTTCTTTTCTTTTTTTGACAGTAAGAACTTTACTTGCAGCACTTTGTTAAAAATCTCCTGGGTATCTTCACAAGTGTTTCAGCCTCAGCACCATTAAGAGATTGGACATGAATATTCTTAAAATCTTTGATAATTTCAAGAGGGTACGATGGGATAGGAGGAGTCTTTCATGCTGGAAATTCTTATGTCATTGTCCAATGTAATACATAACACATCTGTCATCTTCACAGGAAAAAGCCTCGTTGCCTTTTAAAAATTCATCCCTAAGGTTCTCTCCTGTGATATGTGACCTAGAAGACAGATAACTAGGGGGATGCTTGAAGTGAAGGAATCCTGGGTTTTATTGCTTTTGGATGTAACCACCTCCAGAGCTGGGGAAGGAGTTGCTATTTAATTAGAGAGATTAAACCAGAAACATACTTTTCTCCTAACAAAAGAAAAACCCTGGGGCTCTGGGGAGTTCTGGGTGTCTATACCTTGCCCAGAAGACAGGATTTTCTTCTTTAAAATGACTCCACCACATGTCTGGATCTGGGTTCTGTATATTCACCTTGTTTTACTCATACTTAGGAGTTAACTGCTCAGTGTCCAGGTGATAGTGGACACATTTTCCTGTCTATTCTCACTGATGTAGTTCAGCTTATAGTAAAAGGACTCTAGATTGCTTAATAGAACAGCTGTGATAAAAGTAACTTTATATAGAGAAGAGCAAAAAAAAAACCCACTTATTTTTATAGAATTTAGGGGATTCACAGAGGGATTTAAATTTGAGAAACCTATTTGCCATTGACACTTTGTTTTTCCATCACTAGAGAAAGGAGCTACATGAGATATATAAAGACTGTAAGTGAGAATCAAACATAAAAGTTTGGTTGTGACTAGCCATGTCAAGAGGTTTGCGATGTACTCCGCAGGCCACAGAGACTTAAACTGGCCCAGTTGTCCCATAGAGCTGATATCTACGGCTTCTTTTGAATAAACATAGAAATTGACCCTCCCAGTCTTAAAACGTGAGAAAGTTACGTTTGTCTTATCCAAGTTTTTTTTTTTTTTTTTCCCCAGGAAACCAAAGATCAGGCCTCCCAGATAGTATCAAGGAAATGAAACTTACCAGATTACCACATGAGGATAATGAGATGCCAGACTCCTTATTCCTCAGGAGTATCTCCTTACCCCTCTCTAATTTCTGTTTTCCCTCATATGGTTACATTTCTTCCCTGCTACATAAATTCCTAATTTTAGTGGGTTGAACTGAATTTGAGACTGATCTCCCATCTCCTCTGCTGCAGGACCTGAATGAAGCCTTCTTCCTTGGAAATACTCATTGTCTCAGTGATTGGCTTTCTGTGTTGTGGGCAGTTGGACCAAGACTGAACCCCTCGTGTTTTGGTAACAAAACCCATGCACTGTTTCAAATACAAGGCTTTCATGCTTCGGCCTTGCTTTTACAACAATAATAAGATCTGAGCCAAAATCCAATACGACGGATGTGAGCACACTTCCATAATATTGTTATAAGTGAGATCCTTATGCTGATTGGAATTTCAGAGTAACCTACATGGCTTGGAGGAAACTGAAAAGTTGTAATGTCTACCATCTTACTGCATTAGATAGATTTAATCTCTATTCATTGTAACCAGTGCAGCTCGAAAACGTGTACTAACCGTTCAACACTGCATTTCAACTTCAAATCCACTTTTCATGCTCTTCAAGAGTTTTCTTTAGATAACCTCACGAATTCTGTCTAACTTCAGCTAATGTTCTTGCGCCTAATACATCTGATGGTCCTGTCCTGATGAAATCTTTGCAGTCATTTTAATTTGCATGTTTTTTCAAACTTCCATGCCTTTGGATGTAGTTGTTTCCTTTGCTCAGAATTTCTTCTCTTTTTTCCTCCATGGTTCTTATCATATTCAAATTGCTATTAGGACCCGTTCAAACAGTACTTCCATTGTAAGAAACGCCCCTGGATACCTCAAAAGGCTTAATACTTCCATTTCTACATAAACGTGTTTGTTACCCATTACAGCACTTCATTCATTTAACAAAATTTTTGATCAAGTGTTATGCAACATGTACACTGTTAGCACTTAGGATACCATGAAAAAACTTAACATTGCCAGGATTTTTTTAATATGTTACTTCCCCATTATTCTGTGGATATCTTGGTGCTGGGCTCTATGTTAATAATCTATATATCTTAAGGACCTAATATAATTCCTGTTATTCAATAATGTGCTCAGTAATTACCTGAGTTAAAAATTGATTGAAGAAGTATTTTTTCATATGCTTCTGATTCTGAGCACAGTAATACTATCTGCATCCCTTGGTATCCAATGACTGTCCTCTCAGAGCACTTTGTGTTTCCAAGAGTTTCTAAGATCATTCATTCATGCATTTATTAACTCAGTTTTGAGCACATAATTCAGATATTTTGGGTATCTTTTCTTTTTCTCATAATATCTCTCTTATTTCTTCCCCTCTTGACCACTTCCTAAGGAGTTAGCCATTGTGACCTATTTTTTTTAAGAGGTAAATGAAGTAGAAAGAGGGGGCTAGAAAGAACCTTTTACAGATCACATATTTTCATTGTACTATAGGACTACAAGGAGTGGTGAATCAGAACATATGTCATTCATATTTTCTGTTGGACTAGTTGGGGTTTAAAGAATTCGGAAATTTTAGATTTCAGGAGATTTTACATGCTGCTTAATTCCACATCCTACCACGACCTTCTAGTTTATCTCTGATAAAGCTTTCAGGCTCTCTTTGAATGCTCCAATAAGTGAGGCTGCACCACGTTTCATGTTTTAAAGTCGTTTTTGTCATGGTTGTTCTTATACTGATGCAGCTTGACCTTTTATAACTTCATGGTGCCAGAAAGCCATTGCAGTAAGTAATAATTAACATGTAACAAGTTGCAAATTATTTTAGGAAAATAAAAACTCTTATCTTAGAACAAGGTTGTTGAGGTAAACTTAAAAGTCAGTGTGCCAGTGTCCAGGATGAATTCTCACCCTATTTTTGCTTCTACGTGACCCTTTGTAAAGGGTGGGGGATAATAGCCCTTAAAGCAATTAGGGACTCTCTCTGCAACTTTCTGCTCTGTTCCACCACTGGAAGCTCTAACTCACCCCCTCTGGGTAACTAACTTGCCTGTTGGATCTTGGCCATTGACACGTTTTACTCTCCTAGTTTGTGTCAGTTAATCAACACTTACAGAGTGCCTGCTGGGACAGAACTCTGTGCTAGGCTCCACAGAAACATTCACCAGCAGTGGCCATAGTAGTCATGGCTCGTTTTTTTCTAGGAACTTTAAAAGGCAGCACTCAATTTCTCATTCTTAGCCTTCTTTCTATGGACTTTGTAGTGCATCCTACTGAGGACAGCAAAATAGCTCTTCCAGAAATCTCCAGGGATTCGGTTGCAATTAATTTTCTTAAATATTTTTAGAGCTACAACCACACTGTTATTTCCCTTATTTGTGTGTATGTATGTGTATGTATATATATATGTATGTGTATGTGTGTATATATATGACTGGATGTTCTGACTCTGTAGAGAAAGAGCCAGGTGCCTGAGCATGTTTGACTCAGATACTGAATTTGTTACTCAGCAGGGATCATATCTGTGTTGGAGTCCTTAAGCCACGGCCCATGGATTCATAGTATGTCTACAAATGGGATACATGCTTTAAACCTCCTCCCAATTACGTGAAAATGTATGCCTATGCTAAATTTTCAGGAGCGTGGGGGTTAATCACTTGCATCAGAAAATAAACGCTATGTAATATGAGTTTACACAAAACCATGAGAAACAGGTGAACATGAGCAGCGCCTACTCCATTTCCAGCCATTGTCGTATTCAAATAACTAGTTTTCTTCTGTGGTGGCTTTATCTTTTCGCTCTGTGCTTAACATGCAGAACAGCAAGACAAAACAAAGTGAAAACAGAACATAAACAACAAAACTTTCTGTAGAATTGTTTATTTACAGTTCTGAGTATATGGGAAAAGTTAAAAAAAAAAGAGCTATTGAGATTTTCCAAACATAAGTAAAATATTAAGTTGAGATTAACTTCAGGGTCACTATAGATTCAGGAGTTAACTTCAGGGTCACTATGAGAGGTCAAGTAGTGCCCTATTGGCATTATTTACCAACTGAATATAAATACAGGTCTTTAAATGAAACAATAGCAGAAATGAAATAAAAATATAGAATTGCGGTTAAAGATAGTAACTAAATGGGTCAAGTATCAAAGCTTTGTTTCACAGATTTTTTTTTAATCCCTCTGTTCCTTTATTTCTGGGGCCTGTCAGTTGCTCTAGGGAGAGAAAGAGTTTGCTGCTATGAGTTTTCACTAGGAAAGAAAGAGAGAGAGAAAGGCAGTTAAAATGCTTTCGAGTTCAACAAATGTGTCCTGAGAGCCAAATGGAACAGGGTGAAATCCTAGCTAAAACCCGTGGGGAATAATTTGTTGCTAGCAGCATCTGCAAAAGACGTGTGGCAACGGCTGCAGTTTTGTTTAGAGAACAAATGGAGGAAAAAAGGGCTTTAAAAAGGTAGGTTTGAAGGGGAGGGAGAAAATGACGGAGGCCTCGAATGAGTTTGGGGATTTAGGAAGGAGATTTAATAGACTGAATAGCAGGTCACAGCTAAAGAAGTGAAAACCTGGGCGAGAGGCATCAGTAAGAACGCACGGTGTTAGTGCACGGACTGCGAACCTAAAGCAAATTCAAATTAAATAGTTTATTATTCCTACGGCTGCTTCTACCACTAATAATGTGCTTTCCCTCAAGAACTGGTATTTTGAAAATCCATATTAATCATCGAGACCAGTGCTTGCGCTTATCCCGTGGGCGGCCGATTGTGGAAGTCACTTTCATTCTCGCCCGGCTGCTGCTTTCCAGGAGGTGGTGGAGGCTGCGGCAGCCGCGCAGGGCTGGCCCCGGCTGCAGGGGGCCGTGGCCGGTGGCTGGACCCTGACTGCTCCGGGTCATCCCGGGCGAGTCCGCTCTCGTGTAGACTGCTCACTTACCTGCCCTCGGCTTTTTTAGGACCCACATTTCAATCACAGGAAAGGGGGAGCCTAAAAGGTATAAATAGAAACAGAGAATGCTCTGTCTTCAATGGTCTGTGCTCGCCATCCTAACTTTGTGTTTTTTCCCGCTCCCATAGCTCTTCAGTGTCTGAAAGGATGGAGAAGATAGGGATCCGTGGCCAAGGTGTGGTCCCAAGGCCCCCGTGGCCTCATCTCCATTGTCCAGCTGAGGCCAAGGGCTTCCCAGGCTGCTCAGGCGTGGCACTGGCTCTTTAGGTCAATTCTCTGAGAATAATTATTTTACTCAACTTGGGAGGCTCTCACTTTCCTTCTAGTTTATGGGGGCAAATAGTGGTAAATAGTGAGGGGAAATTAGGACAGATCCACAGTTCACTTTTGGGTCCTTGTACCTCCCTTTTCAACTCTCCCTAATTGTGGAGCACTTGGGTAGTTCTCCCCTCAGATGCATCTTAGGTTTACTGCTAAGGGACTCCCCAGGATGCTTTCCTGAGCAGGAACTAGGCTGGTGCTAGCCTTCCTGTGAATATTTATCTATTACAGGAGATTCAGCCTCAAAGGATAGCTATCAATTATTGAGAAGGAAATATAGCATAGGGTTTCCTCCCTGCATGGACTTTGGGGTTGAAGGATCTAGGCATGAATGTGGCTCCCCTACTTGCCAGCTGGAAGACTTCAGGCAAATCATGAAACCTCTCAGTCCTTCAGATCCCTTATCTGTAAAATGGGTTATTGCAGAGAATCAGAGATAATATAGAGAGAGTGCAGACTAGAGATAGAATCATGTCTCACTACATGTGTATTTCATGTAGTGAAATATCACTACATTGCCATTTCTACTAAATATCACAACATTGCCATTTCATTGTGTTCCATGTATTGTGTAACATGTATACACAGTTCCTTTTATAACAATGTCACATGATATGATTTCGCTTATGATTTGGCTTACACATTAGTAAGAGGCAGAGCTCATATCTGAATGTCAGTTTTCAGGCTTCTTGCTTTCCTCACTATGCAAGTATTTTAGTTACAAAAAAAATTCTAAGATTAAAAGTTCCGTCATGATGACAGATGACAAAAGATATTTTAGATATCTAATAATATTTTAGATAGCTGATAATAACATTTTTTTCTTTTTATTTATCTCTTTTTATTACTTACTCTGGTGCCAGGTATTATGTGAAACCATCAATATTTCATTTTATTGTAAACAGAACCTTACAAGGCATCTTTGATTATTATTCCCATTTGACAGATAAAGTGACTAAAGTTTAATGAGGTTTTTAAAACCTACAGTTACTGAGCTAGTAAGTAATAATGAGGGAATTCACAGCTCTGTTCAAATCTCACGTTCTTACCCAAGTGTCTCCTGTAGAAAATGGTGACCTCTGCATGCTCAAGAGAAAATGATTGAAAGGAAATAATATTAAATGGCAGTTTGGATTATTGATTTTTTTTTTTTTTTTTTTTTTTTTTTTTTTTTTTGAGACGGAGTCTCGCTCTGTCGCCCAGGCTGGAGTGCAGTGGTGGGATCTCGGCTCACTGCAAGCTCCGCCTCCCGGGTTCACGCCATTCTCCTGCCTCAGCCTCCCAAGTAGCTGGGACTACAGGCGCCTGCCACCACGCCCGGCTAATTTTTTGTATTTTTAGTAGAGACGGGGTTTCACCATTTTAGCCGGGATGGTCTCGATCTCCTGACCTCGTGATCCGCCCGCCTCGGCCTCCCAAAGTGCTGGGATTACAGGCGTGAGCCACCGCGCCCGGCCTGGATTATTGATTATTAAAGAAACTCAGAAGTTCTTGGGCAATGACACTTAATAAAACAATTTGATAAAACTTTGGTGTTGAATAAAAAGGAGAGCATAGGAAGTTCAGATTAAGGCTTTTTTTCCTAATCTTCTGAAGCACCATTATCATCATCCTAATCTTCTGGAACACCTCTGGAGCCATCATCATCATCTTCACAATAAGTTAATGAGCATTGCCCTTTATATATTTTAAAATAGCTTCATGTACAATAACTAATTTCTCCTTCACTACATTATCTTTGAGGCAGAGTATTATTCCTACTTGAGAACTGAGGAAGTGGAGACAGAGAAAGGGTAAAGGACTTGTCAAAGCTATTAAAGACATGATCCACATCTCTTGATGACTCACTCCATTCTCTTAACACTTCTCATAGTCCACTTCTGAGAAATATACCCCCGAATTGAGCATTTCTCTCCTGTATTTCCCCATCAATAACATCCAATTATCGGCTGGGACTTAAAGTGTGTATATGGATGTGAAAGGCAAACAATGTGGTAGAACAATAATGATAAAAATCTATTTTAATTATTCTCCTTTTTTATTTTAATGCTTTCATTTAGCAAACATGCTGTAGGCAATTGCTCTGTACTAGGCAGAGCTTAGTTGCGGAAATGAATACATATGATAGCATGGTCTCTAATCTCAAGGATTTAAAAGTCCACTTGAAAAATTGATACAGGTATAAATCACAGTGACACAACACAGTAATACAGTTGTAAAGCAGGGCTTGGAAACACTAGGGATGAAAAATAGAGTCTGTCTTAGAAATCCAGGGAGACTTCAGAGAGGAGAGGGTATTGTATTGTATTTGGGATTCGGGATTACCAGTAATTTACCATGCAGAGAATGGATATGGAGAAATGTAGTTAGTATTAATAGTGTGTGCAAAGGAAGACCCATGTGCGTGACCATTACTCAAGTCATCTTTCTTGATTAGAAATTGCTCAGTGTCGTTAGTGCCTGGATCCATGTGACCACAATCAGCCTTACTTGGTTCCTCCAGGTAAAGATTTTTGGGAAGAGTACAGGCTGAAAATGGAGAGAATTCTCAGTTCTGTATTTCTGACTTGGCACTAATTAGCCATGTGGCCTTAGGGGAGTCATTTTACTTCTTAAGACCTAGGTTTTCTTATTTGTTAAAAAAAAAAAAAGACAGAGAGAGAGAGTTGGTATAATGTCTCCAAAAATATTTAGTATCAGTGCGTAATCTTCCAAACCATGACAGAAGCATTCATTTTTCCCACCCAATTCTGTGGGTGAGTCTATGATCATTTGGCCCAGGTCTTTTTGTAATTGTGATAAATTGAACAAATTCTGAATGTTCAGTTGCTTTCAAAACTCATCTTGCCACCTGTGTGGTAGGCTGCCTTTCTAATAGTGGTGGAAGTAACCACCTACCCACTGACCCAGTTCTATTATTGCCTTAGGTATCTCAGACAGGAAATTTTATGAAACTTTAATAGGCCAATGAATTTTTCAGAATAGAGAGGCTACATGCACACACATACTCACACACATGTATATAAACTTAGGAGTTAATTTCTCTGCTCTGAAAAGCAAAATGTTAGGAATGTTAGCACCCACAGCAGGTGCTTTCTATGGTGGCACACCTGACTTGTGCCTCAGAATTCCTTGGACTTTGTGGGTTAGCTTTTCTAGCTTGCAATTAAACAATCAAGGGAACAAAGACCTCTTTCAAGTTATCTTGAGAAAAATGAACCAAATTTTAAACACACCTTCATGATCTAGAACTTAGAGTAAGTAAACTATTCAGAAACTGACAAAACTGTTGTAAATGATTGCTCTCTATTTTTCTCTTCCATATATAATAAGGTCTCTCTTCCTTGTATATTTAACTCTTGTTCTCCCTTTCCTTTTCTATAGTTGCTTTCTTTCTTTTCTCTTTTATTCTTTTGTATAAATGTACACTTTGCATGACTATCAAGATATATGGTTCTAACACTACTTCAAGATTTGCAGCCTCAACTCCTACCACCTGCTGTCCATTCTCAAGTCTCATAATTCAATTTTATGAGAAATTGTCCCATGACATATTTGATGTTGCACACCATCTTGCATATGCCTTTATAAAAAGTCTACTAGGGTACATGTCAATTCCTGTCTCCAGAGCCAATCACTGTGATATAATTTATGAAGTTATACATCTTGATGTCCCATGGAAGAATGAATTGGCCTATGGTAAGAATGATCAGGATATGACACAAAACTACTTGGAAACTTGCAAAGTCCCTGACGTAGAAAGCCACCCATGACAAGTGAAGAAGACAAAGAGCCCCCTAGTGGTTGGGACAAATGAGGAACTAAGAAAAAAGTGCTCTAGAAAAAAAGTCAAGCTATACTGACTTATTTCAACAAGAAAGCCTCATGGGAAATAGTAGCTGTTATTGGATAACTCACTGATTAATTTTATGGTAATCACTGTGATTCTCCAGGTCCTGTTTGTCTTTGCCCTAGCAACAGTAAAATAAGTGAGAAATTTTATTTATTTATTTATTTATTTAGCAATTATTTTTGAGCTTTTAATCCATACCAACCATAGGTTTTACCATTACAGCATGCTTATTATTTGAAGTGGTTTTGAAATAACAACAAAACCTCTAGATGAATGTTAAGAATATTAATTACTTTAGGGTGATATTATGATTGCTGAAAGCCACAAGGAAGAAAGAGGCTTGCCTCGAACCAAATAACCTGACTTCTTTTCCTCATTCTTTCTTCTGTCTTCCCCTCCACATTTGCACCATGCCCAATGCTGCTATCACTCCTAGTCTCTGCAAGATTACTGAGAAAGATACATGCACAGAAGAGGAAACATAAAACCAAATAAATGTATATTACTATCTGGGGTTTGAGCTTTCATTGTTTACTCAACAGGACCCCCTATTTGGTTAGAGATAGATGTAGACTTCATTACCTACATCTAAGCAAGCTTAAAAGTCTGTACTTCATAATCAAATCCAGAACCGAGACTTACATTTGAAATTGTACCGCTACAATTGAGAAAACTAACATGTAGTTCATACTAATAGGTAAAGGAAAAAGCCAGAAAATGAGAGTTTATTACAGTAGCTATATTAGACTGGCCCAGACCACCCAGCAGGCTTTTTAGAAGAAAGATTCGTTATTTTCCAATGAGTAGATATGGTAGACTTTCAAGGGAAAGGACCCTTGAGCAAGACCCTGAAGAATGGCAAAAATTGGACAAGCAGAGAAAAGAGCATAGAAAATCCTAAGCAAACATAACACTGAGGGAAAGGCACAGAGTAGCCACAGCCCTGGAGAATTTACAGGACACAGAAAAGAGTTTAGTTGGGCTAGAGCTAAGAGTACATGGAGGGTGAAGTAAGAACAAAGGTAAAAGAAGCTTTTGACATTTTTGAGGCAGAAGGAACAACACTATTAAAGTTCCCCATCAGGAAGATTAATATGGGAGCAAAGCATTAGATACATATAACTGAGCAGTGACTGGAAGTAGAGACACCAGTCAGGAAACCACTGAAAGGATACAGGTAAAAAAGAAGTAATGAATCCTACTTAGGCAGTTAAAATGAAAAGCAGACATTGGATGGGAGGTATTTTATGAAGGCTGAAACTATTGAATTGGAAACAAAGTCAATGTTGTGGACAAGAAAAGGGAAAAAAATATTTTAAAAAATATTCAAAGAAGAGAGTTTAAATCTGAGATCCTGGGAAGAGCGTGGCATCATTACTTGGAAATAGAATGACCAAGGAAGAAAGAGTTTTCAGGTAAAATTATATATTCACTTTTAAATGTAATGAATTGGAAAAGTCTGTAGATCACCCCAGATAAGAGTTCTTGCAGAATATTAGAAATGTAGAAATATAGTTTCAGAGAGAGCTTAGCATTGCAATATTTCTCATAGAGGTAATTTTTAAATTTATATGACTGGATTATACTTTTTATAGAGTCAGGGCAGAAGGACCAAAAAGTGTGGAGGAAGCGGATCTTTTGGCAACACATATATTAAAGTATAGAAAGAAAAAGAGAAGAAAAAGAAAAAGCCAGAAAGAAGAAAGTATAACATCAGAGAGAAAAATGTTTTAAAAAGTAAGTTGGTAGGTACTGAAGGACACAGAAAAATTTAGAATGTTGGAGAATCAGAGAAAATAAGAAATATACATATATATGTAAAAAATATTTAATATATCAGTTTTTTATTTTATTTTGAATTACTCTCTCTCTCTCCCCCCCATATATATATATATATATATATATATGTGTGTATATATATATATATATATATATATATATATATATATATATATACACTAAGAGCCCAGAATGCTGACTAATGGGGTAATTGACCTCCATGTTGGTCTCCTGTAGATACAGCCTGAAGTACAGCCACAGGCTGTATCTACAGGAGACCAACACGGAAGTCAATTATCCCCCTTAGTCAAAACTCTGAGTTCTAAGTGTATATAAAAAAATCCGTTAAGTGTTTTTGAGATAAAATAACAAGTTAATTTATTAAATATTTATTTTTTCTCATTTAAAAAGATGTTGCCTTTATTTTAGCATACTTACTGGTATTTAACAGCTAGTTCTAACTAAATTCCGGCAATAGCAAAGCATTGATTGAAGAGTGAGGGTGATGATGATGATGGTGGATCATTGCTAGAATTATAGGAGCATCTACCATACTTCTACCATGCTTTATGAGATTATGTTATTTTCAACTCCTACTTGGAGAAGAGAAAGGATGCTGTGCTTTTTCCAGAAAGCTTGTATTTGGTAGGGCCATTTCCCTTTGAGCTCATTAGCCTTCAACAAGCATGCCATTATAGCAGTACTATTTAGCACTTCCCATCCTCAAAGTACTTGGCAAATATTAGCTAATTAGTTCTTCAAACACTCATGAGAGTTTTCTAAGTATGTATTATTGTTCTTGTTACCTTGTCACAACTGGAGGCCAGCCATCTACATAAATTTTCCAAGGAAGTAGAGGGCATTATTGAAAGAGCCAAGACTCTAACTTAGAAATATTTAAGTTTTGGGCCGGGCGCGGTGGCTCACGCCTGTAATCCCAGCACTTTGGGAGGCCGAGGCGGGTGGATCATGAGGTCAGGAGATCGAGACCATCCTGGCTAACAAGGTGAAACCCCGTCTCTACTAAAAATACAAAAAATTAGCCGGGCGCGGTGGCGGGCACCTGTAGTCCCAGCTACTCGGGAGGCTGAGGCAGGAGAATGGCGTGAACCCGGGAAGCGGAGCTTGCAGTGAGCCGAGATTGCGCCACTGCAGTCCGCAGTCCGACCTGGGCGACAGAGCGAGACTCCGTCTCAAAAAAAAAAAAAAAAAAAAAAGAAATATTTAAGTTTTGGTGTTGTCATTTGGCTCCAGGCCCATGTGTCTCCCTTTCTATGGAAGACATTTACAGTGAAGCAACTGGTCATGTGAATCTTAAAGTATATCTGAAACGTAACAGTATAACCTTGATTTGTTTCATAAGACTAACACAGCATTCCTCCATTCTCCCTCCTGTATTACTAACACACAAGGTGAAAATTATATTTACATATTACTGACTGGGTCTTGTCTCCTCCACTTTTTACCCCAGTTTTGATTCAGTAAAGGATTCAACGAAGGAAAAGTTTATAATGAAAGATACTGTAGCTCTCATTCCTAATAACCCTTCTTCACTTTCAACTCTAAGATATAATATTATACATAAGCATTCATGTAATTTTATATAACATTCAAAGTGCCTTCTTTCATATTTCTGATCAAAATTAACTTTCTTTATAAACCTTATAAAACTGGGAACTTCTCTCCCAGTTTTATTGTTGTGTATCCCAGTTTTATGTCAACATCAATTGAAGTAAAACAAAATTGTTTATATTCTTTTTTTGGGGGGAGTGGGGTGTGGACGGAGTCTCGTACTGTCACCAGGCTGGAGTGCAGTGGCACAATCTCCGCTCTCCGCAACCTCTGCCTCCCGGGTTCAAGTGATTCTCCTGCCTCAGCTTCCTGAGTAGCTGGGACTACAGGAGGCTGCCACCATGCCTGGTTAATTTTTGTATTTTTAGTAAAGATAGGGTTTCGCCATGTTGGCCAGGATGGTATTAATCTTCTGACCTCGTGATCCACCCACCTTGGCCCCCCCAAAGTGCTGGGATTACACTCGTGAGCCACCATGTCCTGCCCAGTTTATATTCTCAGCATGTCATCTCCATGTATTTTTTCTCTGCCAATGGTGTTGTCTCTCTCCTGGTGGCCTGAGCCCCAGACTTTGGGTCTGCTACTTCTTGTATTTCTCTTTAAGCTCCCACAAAATGATAAATAACATAGAATCTTTTCATCATACCCTGGTGGAAAGTACCATTTTTTTTTCTTTTTTATTTTCATGGCCACCCACTCAATACAAGCTCATTGTAACAGGTTCCTGGTTTGCATTGAAAATACTTGAAAATATTTAGGTGAGCATATCTTATATTTCACTCATTGGGAATAATCCTGTGTTATTCTAGTGGACACAGGTGGAGGTAAGGCAGAAGAAGGGAGGAACTGACTGACTTTCTGTAGAAGCTGATAAAACTTAATGGGCTATATCAACTGATTTCTGAAAGCTCCTCACTTTCCAACATCTCTTCCATGCTAAATGGTGTAACCTCAAATATCCAGGTGGGTAGGTTCCCAAGCCAGCCACAAAGAATTCTAACAGTCAGATATAAAATAAAAAGCAAAAAATAAGAACAACAAAATTAACAAAGAAATAAACCAACAAGCCATCACCACAGCCACCAACAACAAAACCATGAAGCCAGAAAAACAGAAGCTACTGTTCCAGAAAATTACCTATGGGTGTGTTTGCAGGACCCAGCTCCTGAGAAATGGGATTCTCCTAAGGTAGAGAGGGATGACAATAATGTATCCAGTCCTTGTAGATGTGAGTGGGTAGCTTTTTATGTGAGTGGGTAGCTTTTTTTCTAGCATAATTTCTACGCTATTTATTATTTTCAGTGTTTTACTTTCTGGTTTCTATTGTTTGGGTTTTTCGCTTTGTTTTATCCTGGGTTTTTGTTATTTGTTCGTTTAAACTGGATTTCAACTATGGCTTTGTATTTTCATCCCTAAAGAATCTTATTCCACTGTGAGGCCACTGGTAGAGCAGTCTGCCTAAGGTAACTGAATCTTAGTTGATTGAAGATCCCATTGGGATTGAGGATTAGTGCTTGTAAAATCAATTCACATCTCTGCAGAACTAGAGAAAGTGTCTGAGTTGGACCAGCTGTGTGCTCATGCCAGAACACTATTTTCTTTTTTCTTTTATTTCTACATTTCTTTTCTTTTGTCAGCTTCTTGTTTATTGACATTTTGTGGAGAAACAACACCAAGCAGAAAAACGACAGTTATTTGGGCAATTTGATTACGTTGGTTGCTTTCTTGTTAATCAGCTGGTTATGTGTGTTTTCATAAGCATTCATTGTATTGCCTGCTCTCTGATATAGCTTTGTTCTACATTGTTAGTCCTATGTCAGCTATTGGAGTATATGTTCTTCAAGGAATGACAAGCTATTGCAGAATTTAGCATAACATTCACACTAAATGGACCTGCACAACATTGTAGATTAGCAGTAAATTCTTACGAGATGAATAAGTGATATTGTAGAGAAATCTATTATGTAAGCCTCAATCTTTGCTTATTTCTTTCCCTATGAATTATAAAAAAGGTAACATACAGAAAAAGTACTTATATTTAGGGAACTTGGGGGAGAAGGCTAATATATATATGAGTTAGAATATATCAAATAACATCTAGAAAATGATTGTGTACAATGAAATACATGTCGGTGTAGTTAATGAATGTGCTACAGAAAAGGTCAGTGTGTGTTGTTTTAATGAAAAGAATATGAAAGGATAAGAATAAAAGACATAATCCAGGAAATTAAAATAAAAATCAATTTCTTCTTTCCCCTTCAAGACTGTTATTTCATCTCTTATAATATCCTGTATTTATTCACATTAATCAGCCCATATCTTCATAGATATCCTATGGTATTGCTATTAGAGGTAGATATGTGTGCTTATAAATAGATTGCAAATTATGTTCATTCCTTTAATATTAATCTAGAAGCAAAGAGGGCTGCTGTTATTGTGCGTTATTATTCCTGCACAAGAGATGACAGGAGAGGCAGAAACGATCTGGAGCTCGGTCTGAATTGCAGTTTTAAGCACATCTGATGTAGTGCATGTCTGGAGGTGGCATTTCTAACCTTTTTATCAACTGGGTTCCATGGATCAGAATAAATGATAACAATAGCTCACCGCCTTCTGCTGGACAGATTCGCTACTTGAAAAATGATCAGGGCCCTATTAAGAGAAGCCACACTGCCCTAATGGGGAGCAGATCACAGGCCAGGTCTCCTTGCGCCTGTCTCTCTCTGCGTGAGGGGACATGACCTTGCCTGTCTTTTTCCCTGGGATCAGTTGAATGATAGACTTCTTTTTTTCTCTGAATTGTTACAGCAAGAGGAGAGGAAAGATTGCAGATTTTTTTCTTTTTTCTTTTTCTTCAGAAAAGAGACATGGCCCATTTTAACATCCCCATTATCTATGTGTCTGTCCACAAAAGCTCTATTTGAAAAAACGCTATGGTTTCACAATGATGACAAGCCCTTTCCAATTCTACTTTCCCTATCCACAATATACCTGGGGCTCCATTTTCATACTTGGAAGGGCAATGCATTTACTAACTGCCCCCAAACCTTCCCTACACTGACCCACCCCTCAGATTTTGCTCTGGCCTTCCCTTTCATAAATCATATCCTCTCCTTCCTTTTATGTCTACATATTATTGTTCTCCTTCAAGACATAATTCAAATTCTACATTCTCTCTGAAGCAATCCTTGCCCATTCTAACTCACAATACTATCTTCTTATTTTGAGCTAACTATATATTATTCTTGAGACCCAGTGTAGAAACTGAAACTTATTATCCCGTGTTCATTTATTTATGTTGCAAGACCTGATCTTATTATATTCTATTTTATTTTCACCCTTCATTCCTTGTGCCCTCTTTCATGTTCCTCATAATTACCCAACTTCATGTGTTTCATATATAACCTTAAAAATGTATGCGTATTTATCTGTTAACTTTTTGGAATTTTATTTTGTAAGAATATGAATCTTTAAAAATTATATTAATTGTATTATACAATATTCCTTTCCTTTCTTACATACATAGTATGCTGCATGAAATCATTAGAAAATAATATGTTATAGGTAGATAGATTGAGTGATTGATAGATAAGTAGCAGATAGCAGAAAGTAGAGGGTGGACAGATAAATCATGGAAAATCTCAGACTCATTTTCAAAGCTCCAGTGGAACACATGTGGGAGAAGAAAGCAATCGAACCCACCTCTCTTCTTCACTGTGTGGTCCTCATTTTGAACTTCAAACAAGGAAACAAGTAAAAAACAAATAGAGAATCCTTGGCCTGGAAAGCTCAGTGTTTCAAGAAAAGTTACATGACTCAACAGTGAATGAACAAATGAATGATGCTTTCGGTCCATTCTTACTAAAATATAACAACCACTGGGCCATCTCAGAGATAACTGTTCTCACCTAGGTTTTTGAGCAAGTCGATGTGTGTTTGACCACACTTCAGGTATACATGTGAATGCCCATAACTGACCCTTCCTTTATCCAAGGCTGAAATAAAGGTTAGAATTCTGAGATTTTCAAATATGGACATTACTTTCACTTAGACTGAGGCAATGGTTATCTTGTGACTTTTGTGCACCTGAAACACATTTGCCTTTGTGGGCCTCTTCTTCCTTTAAACAGAACAAAAGAAACAAAAAATTTAAAAAGTCAACAAATTAACCGACAATATACATTATATTTTATGACGATCAGCATAAGGATGAATGTAATAATCCAGTTTCAATTCATTATTATACATTCAGTATTGTTGTTATAGTCAGTATTATTCTGATTTTAATATAAATTTATATTAAAATACTTTCCTGATCCCTGAAAATATCATGGGCTCTAGGCACTTTGCCTACCATATTAAATGAATTAGCTGGTCCTGAGTGAGGGAAGAAGGTGAGTTATCTATTACTCCAAACATCAACAATTCACAGTAATGCTTTAGAGTTTGTAAAACATTTAGGCATTATATTCATTGTTACTTAAAATAACTCTATGTGATATGGAATCATGGCACCATTTTTAGAAATGTGGACACTAAGGTTCTGCCAGTTGTGTTATTGCAATAGAAATGAATAAGCAGCCTAACGCTACAAGAACTCATGCCCTAGTTCCTAAAAATTCAGTGCATTTTTTCCCCATTAGAGGATCAGCGTTAACTTCAGAGTTGTTTCTGTTTAATACTTGGCTAACTCATTTTATCACAATTTAAATTAATTAATCACTCCCTTCAATAAGAAACACAGGCTTTGATTCCTCTCTCATTTATGATTTGTCAGACGTGTAAATCTACATGTTTATTAAATAAACATCATATTGAATAAATGAAGACAAAGATAAAGAGCACTCTTTATGAGGCTACCTTTTTTTTTAAACAACTGGCACCACCACTCCCTTCATCCCTTACCACCCAAAAGAATGGAAGCAAAAATGCTAAATTTACTTTGAAGAATTTAGTTTTGAAAAAATGTGTGCACCTTAAAGCTTAAAATAGTCACGGGATTTAACTATTAGTGTACTGTGTCTCTGTATACAATTTATTTTTGTAAAATATCTGGACACTGTCAGTTTTGTCCCGCAATGAAGGTAACACAAGTTTCAACATTTTGAGGAGTGTTTGTAAAAGTGAAGGTCTTCCCGCTGTTTGAGAGTAGCTCCTTTGTCTTTGTGGGGAAAACTACATGCAGTAGAGTCTCTAGCCTCTGTAATGCACAGCACCCTTCATCTGTCAAGCTCTTTCATTTGAAAATAATGAGCAGCCAAGAGTTTGAAAAACTAAATCTATTAAGAATATTTATGCAGGAGAACTATCACTAAACACCTCCATTCACTCATGTAATGAGATTGGCATCACGATAAAATTCTTGTCTTGTAAGATAATGATCTTATGGCTTTTTCTGGCTCTTAAACCAAAGATAATTGGGTTAATCTCTGCGGGAAGTCCATCTGTTTCCAGTAAACCATTTTAATTGTGGATGACTTTATTTCAGAAACGTGGAAAAGGTCTTGCCACTCGCTTCTTGAGCCTGGGATATTACAAGAAAGAATGTCAAAATTCAAAATGTAGACGCATAGAAAAATGTAGATGCAGTGACATTTTCTATCTGCAAATAGTGTGATATTGGCAATATTTTGTGTTTGTTGGTTGCTTTTCATTAAGGATTTAAACATTAAGTTTTTGACGTTAATACTTGCACGGTGTTACTTAAAAAAAGATAGAGAAAAGTATTAATTTTGCAAAGGTAACATGAGATTTTGCATAGGAAGTTATAAAACTAAGACCATAAGTGTGTACTCTCAAACCTTCCCTACATAGTGCAACACATGTAGCATTCGGTCATATGTAACAATATATTGTAGTATCTTTTAATTGTTTAATGTGTGAGAATCCAATTTGTCCAACTCCATTTTGCAAGCTCAATGAAGATAAAGGCTAGGTATATGCCTTGTCTTTTACACCAGGCATATGTTAGATGCTTACTACATTTTAAGATATTTAGTTTTTGAACAATGGATTAATTCATATTTGAGTTAGATAATAACTAATTTTTTTTTTTTTTTTTTTTTTGAGACGGAGTCTCGCTCTGTCGCCCAGGCTGGAGTGCAGTGGCGGGATCTCGGCTCACTGCAAGCTCCGCCTCCCGGGTTCACGCCATTCTCCTGCCTCAGCCTCCCAAGTAGCTGGGACTACAGGCGCCCGCCACTACGCCCGGCTAATTTTTTTTTGTATTTTTAGTAGAGACGGGGTTTCACCGTTTTAGCCGGGATGGTCTCGATCTCCTGACCTCGTGATCCGCCCACCTCGGCCTCCCAAAGTGCTGGGATTACAGGCGTGAGCCACCGCACCCGGCCATAACTAATTTTTTAAGAATGCAATGAATTTTACATGGTAAGTTAGAGAAAATTGACAACCATATTTGCCTAATTTTATGTTTCCTTTCCATATATATTAGAATATTGTTGAATGAATATAGATAGATATAAAACACACACACACCACACATACACACACACACACATGCACACACACACACTTTCTCCCTTTCAGACTCTACATCTTGCCTGGTGGATTTGAATCCAAATTCTACCACTTATTAGTGGCAACAATCTGACAGCATTATTTTGATGACCAAAAGACTTCAATGCTGTAGCATACACTGTGTGTGTTTGCCATTGCTGTAGTCATTGCTATCACTCAACAGTTATGACTATAGAGAGCATTTTGTCCTGTGCACAGACTTCTGGCTCCAGACATGTTGCCAAGAATGCCCCTCCTTCTCTTAGTCTTTGTCTAAATGGCAGGAAACCAGATTAAGAAATGTACTTTTGACTCTTGGTTTCCATCACCAGCCCATTCCATTTCCATGAAGCAGCCTCTGCTTCAAACAGTTCTACACCTTACATTTTAGATTTAGGAGAAATTCATTGTTCTCTCCTCCTCATTTTACATTTTGGAAAGTAAAAGCCAATAAAGATGATCTGCGTGCTGTCATACTAATGAAAGCTAGGGCTTTCACAGAAAGAAGATAACAGAGAACACCAGATACAATCTTTGGCTTCCCCTTTCAGTATATATTTACTGAGCCTCTGCCATATGGCAGGCACTAAGCTGGATGCAAAACTAAAGATGTCTTTGCCATTCTTTGCCACTTATTGTCTGGGGGAAGAAACAGCCAAGACTCAGAATAACACCAATAAAAATACCATTACAACTCTGACCAGGGCTATGAATGAAAATTACTTGGTGCTGAAAGAATGGATCACAGAGGGGTGTAACCTGGAATGGGTGCCCAGAAGAGGCTTATTTGAGGTAGAAACAATTAAGCTGGGATTTATGCTGGCTACTGAGACGCAGGTGGTGGTGTGCAGGAAAGTGCTATTTGCAATGTTCCAGAAACAGAGAGCATCATAGGAGAAGCTTTTGTGATGAGAGGGAGCAGAAGATGTTTGGGAGACTAAAAGAAATTGAACAGACTGAAGTATTGACTGAGGATAACTGTAAAAATACATACATCCCATGGCTATATTCCATAATAACTTAAGTGTACATTTTAAAATAACTAAAAGTATAATTGGGTTGTTTGAAACACGAAGTATAAATGCTTAAGGGAATGGATAACCCATTCTCTATGAAGTCATTATTTCACATTGCAGGCCTGCATCAAAACATCTCATGTACCCCCAAAATATATACCCCTACTATGTACCCAGGTAAATTAAAAAAAAGTAGAGGCCAGACCCACCAGGGCTTGAGGCCATGGTAAGAACAGTATACGAAGGCCACTGAGTGTGCAATTTTTTTCTTATAATCAATTGGTTTAATTTATTTATTAAATATGCAATTGATTATCTTAACTATTTGGACATGTACACCAGTGGTATTTAGCACATTCACAATATTATTAATATATAACCATAACCACTATATATTCCTGGAACTTTTTCATCATTTTAAACAGAAACTCTGTATTTATTAAATAATATCTCTCCATTTCTTCCTTCTCTCAGTTCTGGTAACCTCTTGCCTTAGTTTGTTTGAGCTGCTATAACAAAACACCATAAACTGGGTAGGCTATAAACAACAGAAATTTATTCTCACAGTTTTTGAGATGGAAAGTTGAAGATTAAGGTAGATTTGCTGTCTGGTAAGGGCCTGCTTTCTGGCTCATAGACCTTCCTGCTATGTCTTTAGATGGCAGAGGGAATTAGGGTTTCTCTCTCAGGCCTTTTTTATAAAGGCACTAATGTCATTCATGAGGATGCCTTCTTCATTACCTCCCAAAGACCCCAATTCCTAATACCATTACCTTGGGGAATTAGTGAGGTGGGGGGGGGGGGCACACAAACATTCAGCCCATAGCACTTTTTTCTATTTTCTGTCTCTATGAAGTTGCCTGTTCTAGGTACTTCATATAAGTGGATGATTCAATATTTGGAATTATTCAGTATTTGTCCTTTTGTGTCTGGTTTATTTTACTTAGCATAAAGTTTTCAAAGTTCATTCATGTTTTCCCATGAACATGTCCACAGAGTGAGAGAATAAAATCAAATTTATGTTTCTGAATTTTCCTCCAGAGGCAGGGTGGGGAATATAGGAGATGGATTTAGGAAGACCCTCTAGGAGGCTGTTGGGATGCTCATTATGAGAGATCATGTACCCTGGATGAGGCTATAGCAGTGAAGGGAGATAAAAATTCGTGGATTCAGGAGATAATTAAGAAGAAACTGTTTATTTATTGCCTTCTGTGAGCTTACCATCTATTTGAGGGACATGCTGCACGTGTAAAGCATAATAAACCTAATTTATTATAATAATTGTAAGACTATGTATAGAGTCACCAGATACCAGTTTAATAGAGCTGTGACTAATGAATAGATAAACAAAGCACAGTTCAGGTGAGAACACTAGATATAATGTATGAGATAAGGAGAGAACGAGAAGAGACAATGTTATACAATGTTAAACCCAGGAATTCAGACAAGATTCATAATAGCTATAGAAGTTCTGATAAGAGAAAGGTGAGTGGGAGACTGAGTAATCCAGGGCACTTCCTGAAGGGGGCAAGACCAAGCAAACCCTAGTCTAGAGGTAGGAAAAGGAAGAGCTTGCCCCAGGAAAGACAAAGAGCATTCAGAAAATGCCAAATTAGTGCACAGCCACAATAAAAATTTAGAAATGGATGAGAAGTCACTCAAGAAAAGAGAGGCAATGTTTCCACATAAATTTAGACAATAATAAATAATGCAAGAACAGAAAATCAATTTGGTGAAAGACAATCCTTCTCTCAACTTATCCCCAGTATGTTCTAAAATGGTCGACTTAAACACTCTTTCACCCTGAAATGACTCCGTGGGGATCAGTGGAAATCTTTTAATTTGGAGCACCGTCCCCAGCTCAATGTGAAGACGAGTTTCCATTTTCTAACTAAGTTTAATGGACTTGAAAGTCTAGAACAAATAGCCAGAAAATAAATCTTTTCTGTAACATGCTGGAAAACTCAGATCTGACTGTCAAAGAGCTGAATCTACTTCACATGCCAGGAAAATTGCATTAGTATCTGGAGCAACTAATATCAGTAGGTGACGAAGATAAGTAATGAGGCAGAAAAAGAACAAGAAGAAGACCAGATTTACAAAGCAATCCATGGTGAGGCAAGATATTGATTTGAAATTACAGTTGATTACACTGGTAGGGGGCAAAGAAGGCAGCATTTTCTCAGATGTTGTGAACAAGTGACATTTCAAAGCACTTTTCATGTGTTTGAACTCAGACCTCTCTTTGGGCCCCATGTCGGCACAGAGAGAAGAGAGAGAGGTAATTGAGTGAGGTCAGCTCTCTTTGTTTAAGAAAAAGAAAAAAAAAATTTTTCCTTGTTAGGATCTCCATTCGGGCCTTGAACACCGACAGATGAAAATATATTATCATAAAGCCACAACACTTGCCTTTGGCTTTAACTACATACAAATTTCTGCATAACTTTATTTAGCTTCTTTATCAATCAGTCTACTAATTAGTCAGTTAGAAATTACTTTCTGGGTATACACAAAAGCAAACAAAGAAGCAGGTCAGGCAGATTATATGGCCACCTCCAGAGAGCTGAGCACAGAACACAGTATTATAAGTCCAGTGAATGGTAGGAAAACAATCATTATAGGATTTAAAAAGCCACTATGGACTGATGAGATCAGAGGTATTATAGGCCAAGTGGACTGTGAACAGGGTCTTGAAAGGTGAGTAACATTCTACCAGGCACAAGGGAGAGAATGTGCTTTCAGGAGGGGAAGCTTGTGAGCAAGGAAAGAGGGACTTCCATGTGTCTGAGGGACAGTGAGATTGAGGGCTTGCTGGAATCACACACTGTTCTTTCAGGTTTGGAGGGCAGAATAAGACTCCAAGAAACCAGTGTTAAACATTAGGCTGCACAGCAAAAGCATGGCTATATTATACAGGCATGTGGGGCCCCAAACTTTTTTGAAAAAGCAATAGATTTAATAAATAGTGGTATTTTAGTAAGTTTGACTAATGGGAAAGGAGTAGGTTGGAAGAAAAGCTGAAGTCAAAGGATTAAGAGTAGCTACTTTAGCAGTGGTTCAGGTATGAAGGATTAGCAACTTGATTTATGGCAGACCAAGTCAACTTAAGGGAAGGGTCAAAGAGCCGGGGCCATAGAACATGGCAAACCCTCCCACCACTGGTGGACTCAGGCTCTGACCTCAGACTCAGTGTGTTCAGTGCCTTGTTAGAGACTTGCTCAGGAGTCCGAATTCCAAAGTAAAAGCTTCAGAGGGCTGGGGTAGGAGGGGAAAGGGTCCACTCCACAAGCAAAGCGTTTGGTGCTATGCAACACAATGATGCCTCAGGAGATGAGCCATGTTAACGCCCTGGGGACAGAGCCAGCTGAGTGCAGGGAGGTCAGGGGTGTGCTTAGCAGGCCTAGGATCATTCAGTGGTGGCAGAAGAGGGTAGAACTGTGGTTGCATGAAGAAAAACAGTCACGGTAGTTGTCTAGGGCTTAATTTGTGTCAATGAAAGCTGGTTTCTCCTGGGGACACATAACACCTCTCTGTGAAGTTGTCTCTTATTATTTAAGCACATACTGGATTAAGGGTGTTGATTCCACAGAGATAGATACTGCTGGGTTTTAGTTAATGAAATTTTTTTCCTGGGAGGTTGCTCTGGCTGTCAGAGGGCCTCACGTTCAAGAGGACTCAAATTATTCTCAAGTTTAGCTGCACTTTAGAATCACCTCATGGGCTTTTACAAAGATGGTAGGAGGTTCTCCCCAAACCAATTAAAACAAAGTCTTTGGGGGTGGGACAGCAGCTTTTTTTTTTAATTGCACAGATGATTCAAGGGGGCTTATAAAGAGTCTGCATTCGTATTTGTTTCAACATGAATTACTCGCATCAGACTTACCTTGGCACTTGTCAAAAAGAAAGATCTCTTGAGATCTCTGGAGGTGGGCCCAGTAATCTGTGTTTCTCAAAAGCACTGCATTTTGAAACTGGCTGTGTTGTATGTGGATTCCCTTGAATGTTCCCAGTTGATGGGTCCTAAGTAAGGTCTGGAAGAAGGTCCTTAAAATGAGATATTCCTCTTAGGATTTACTGTTGGATTCTGAAACAGCAAAGACAGCTGTAAAACTCTTCTTTGAAAAACTATCATGATATCACTGGGTCTGGGGGTTACATTCTGAGTTCTTTAAGCTGTAGAAGAGCTTTCGCTAAAGCTGCTACATCTTTTAAATAAATGATGACTAAAATCTTTGTAGTCCTGAAGATATTAGTGAACCTGATCCTAAACAGTTGTATCTGCCAGCATTGTCACCTACAGACATTTACTGAGCAGCTTCCTCATGTAGGGCACTGAGAAAGGCCCTGGAGATACCACATGCGTGAAACACACATGTGTCCTAAGGGATATTGGAGCCACATTAGGAAGCAAAGCCAAGCATAGAAAACAGAAAAATGTCATATTTCTAACTTTATGTTTTAACATTTTAAACGTGGAAACTGGAGTCAAGGAATTGGTTTATTTATTGTTTCCATTTTATAGCAGCCATGCTTGCCATATCCTTTGGTCTTTTATGCCCTGCAAAAATAACCTTTCTCTTGCCAGGGCAACAAAATGCATGGTTTCTCTGAATAATTATGGTTTTAAAAATGTATAGTTTTATTTCTGAATGAAGAGTTCATAATCTAATAATTATAGCTAGTAGATTCAGCAATCTCTGGGTGCATCTATGTTTGTTATTGTCAAAACACTGATCCAAGAAGAAGCCTTCTACTTCACTTTTTGCACCATTTTGAAGTATGTTAACTGTATCATATTTGCATACATGTAATTTTCCTGTCACAGAATCAAATTTCTCATTTATCCATTTTCAAGTTTTTTGGTCCAATGTTTATGTCCCAGGAATTAAAAAACCTATTGCCTCACTTTATCCAGTCTAATTCTCTTTGCTTGTACTTTTTAGCATGCTTCAATCACCTTTCCTTCCCCACATGGTTAGCAGGCAGTCTCCTACATTCATGAAGCTACTTAACGATTAATTATTTTATATTTACTGCCCACTGGAATCTAAATCATTATCATTATTCTTAACCAACTGCTCTGAAGAATGAACCAGTCCAGTGCATGCGTTGAGCAGAGAAAATGGTTCCCAATCATGGGCAGTAAGCAGTGGCCAGATGAGCTCAGTGCAAAAGGGGACAAGGTGGTTGGACCCCAGCCTAAGAGTCAAGAGGGAGTTGATATCTATTTGTGCCCCCAAAGAGTTGATGCAAATTTAAAAATAATGTTTAGCCAGAATTTCGTTTAGCCAGAGTTTCGTTTTGCAGATTATAAGAAAACACTGCCAATCATTTGAAGTTGATTTATCTAATCTGAGATGGTTAGATAGCCCTGTCAACAAATTTCCCAATCATATAAATTTCCTATCCCAAGAAAAAGTAGGATGTAAACTTCCATTGCTCATTGTGAATGCTATTTATGAAAAGTTATTAAATGACCTGGACAAAAACTACCTGCATGGTTTTTTGTTGTTTGATTTTTGTTTTATGTTTGGTTCAGGTTTACATCAGTTACTACTGTGAATCTCTCTCACAAAGATAACTAGGAGAAGTCCATATAAATGTTAGGCAAAACAAAAACACTACAAATTTTCTCTCTCTTTCTATTCTTCTTCCTCTCCCCATCTCCCCTATCTTAATTCTGTAGCTTCCTGAAGAAACACACGTACACATGTATACATACATATAATTTGTTTAAAAGAAGGAGTGTATCTTTAAATAAATACAGTGAATAATTGTATAGGGTAATTTTAGTTTAGAATCTTTGCTGTCGTTTTTGTTTTCCACAAGGCATGTCGTCCTCATTCACTTCAACAGTAACCTACTGAGATTCATGCTAGGCACTGAGGGTAGGCACCAACAGGACCTGGACTCCATGAATATCATGTGAACAGAACATAAGTAAATATATGACTTACCCTTTCCAAAGCACTTACATATCAGACAACTCATGAATATCTTATAACTCAATTTTCATATAAACATTGCTTCTGAGAAAGCAGTGTCCCATAAAGGGAAGATTCTTGCCTGTCTTTGTCAGCTGGGGCCTCTAGAACAAAATATTGCAGACTGGTGGCTTAAAGAGCAAACACATATTTCTCAAAATTCTGGAAACTGAGAAGTCCAAAATCAAGGTGCTGACAGGTTCAATGTCTGATGAGGACTTCCTCCTGATTTGCAGACAGGCGTCTTCATGTTATTTGCTCACATGGTCTTCCCTTGGTGCATGTAGGTGAATGCAGTGAGAAATCATGTGTCTCTTCCTCTTGTTATAAGGGCTTTATTCCTATCATAAGGATCTCACTGTCATTACTTAATTTAATTACCTCCCAAAGTCCTCACCTTCCAAGTATCATCAAATTGGGGATTAGGGCTTCAACATAAACATTCTGGGGGGATATAAGCATTCGGTCCATAAAATTGCCTAAGTATCAAAAGACCAGAAAGTTTGCTTTTTGATCTTGGGCAATTCATGACTTCTCCGGTTCTCAGCAGCCATGTATTCTGAATTCAGCTGCCTTACCTACCTCATGGGCTTGTGGGTGAATATTCAACAATTATTTTTAAAAAAATAGAAACATCTCCAAATTGCTTTTAGAAAGAGATTATAAAAAAGCAAATATGCAAATACTTACTAAATACCTTTTTCAATGATAAAATATATAAAGCATGACTCCTGATAGACATACATTTTTGCATTAGCAAGTGAGAATCTCAACCTCCAGCCCATATTTCCTTACTCTTAGATCCGACGCAACTTTATTGCACATCAAAATTGAGACTCAAGATGGCAAACGTATTTTCTTCTTCTTTTTTTTTTTTTAAGATGGAGTTTCACTCTTGTTGTCTAGGCTGGATTGCAATGGCGTGATCTCAGCTCATGGCAGCCTCCACCTTCTGGGTTCAAGTGATTCTCCCGCCTCAGCCTCCTGAGTAGCTGGGATTACAGGTGCTCACCACCACACCTGGCTAATTGTTTTTTGTATTTTTAGTAGAGATGGGGTTTCACCATGTTGGCCAGGCTGGTCTTGAACTCCTGTCCTCAAGTGATCTGCCTGCCTCGGCCTCCCAAAGTGCTGGGATTACAAGTGTGAGCCACCATGCCCAACCAGCAAACATATTTTCTATCTCATCCCCAAGGTTTGGACACTGAAGTCAGTATTATAGTGAGTATATATACTATTATAATACTGAAGTCAGTATTATAGTTTTATTACTTTTTTCTTAGTTTTTCTTATTCATTATATGATGCTTTTCAAAGAGAAGACCAAAGACTATTTTTATGACTCATTTAATAGTTGAGTAACTGAGGAACTGGCTGAATAACTGACTAATACCCTCTTACCAATATTTGAGTTCCAGTTTGCTAAAGAAAATTGAAGAAGATGACAGTCATTCAGACAGGCATTTAAAAAGTAAATATTAAGCACTTTCTGTATGATTAGCCTGAAGACAAGGTACTAGGAAAGATATGGGAATCTCTCCACATAGGGAGAATAGAGTTAACCCATAATTTGTTTCAGATGTCAAAATTGATAACTTCAAACATACACTAAGAGGTCATGAAAAGGTTTACTACTGACATAATGAGGCTTCCTGGGGAAAGGAGAGAAGGCCTCCCATGTTGGTATGAAAATGGCTTGAGTGAGCAAGAATATAACACAGGCTCGGAGTTTTATTGTGATTAAGGGGTAGGATGGAAGTGGAGATTTCCTTGTGGGGGCCGGTGGTTGCATAATTTGAATCCTATCTGAACCAAAGGAGGGAGGATCTAGACTCTCTTATCAACTTACCCAATTTTGGGTAGAAGTAGAAAAGGGAGTGGTGAAGTTTAAAAGCTCTCAAAAGTCAGAAATCGAGAAAATGGGGCCAGACTTTTTAGTACAAAATGTTATATCTTGTGCCCAAGAAGTCTTAAAATGTAAATATCACCAGAAGTCACAGGCAAAAATGTAAAATAACAATGATATGAAATGCAATTAATGTCAACTAGTTATCATTTGATTAATTATCTAAACATGTTTCAGATAATAGGTAAATTGGGACTTTGAAGATGGCCAAATTGTGAACTAGTGTGGTCATAAAATGTTCCAGAAAGCAGGTGAATTAGGCAAGTCTTAAAAAGTGGTTAAGTTTGACTAGGCCAAAAGATAGGAAGAGGTTGTTCAACCAAAATGCCCTTCTCAATCTCTGTTGAAAATGTATCAATTTTTTTTGTGTTTTTTGTTTTTTTGTTTTGTTTTTTAGCAATCCAAGTGTATAACAAAATCAGCTTTGGATAAAGTTTGTGGTAGAATATATGGCCCACTGTGCATGGAATTTTCAGACAGGGACAAAGAAAAATAAAGTTTAACTTTTGAATTGAGTATTTATTATTTCTGTGATTGCTTTATTTTTTGCTCCATTCATTTTCCCTTTGCACATTTTGTTCGGCGATTCTCACAGATAGGTGGGAAGGTGGATAGGCATAGATGTCCAAACCATAAAGCAGCTTTCCCTGGGGTCAAAGCAAATCACTGCATAAATCAACATACATGAGAATTTCACAGTCTCTCGGCCTCAGGAGGACTTTTGAAAACTGACATACTGGAGCTTTTCAAGTCTCCTTTGTATAATTTGCAGGGTATTCTCAGCGTTACTCCCTCTCTACTTCCTACAGACATGTTAGAAAACTTCAGAAAGCTGCTTTTGCCTTTGAAACTTTCGGATCTTTTTCTACCCACAGCTTTGTTTTTGAACCTCAACTGCCACAAGCAGCCTTATAAACTGGATTGCCAGAGCTCAGGGATAGTGCACCCTCAGTCGGTCAAATATGAAGAAAATTTTGCTGAAGAAATCTCCTAGTAGGATCCCACTACCCTACAATGAGGATTTGGAAAGGACTCAAAAGTCCTCCCTCTTCTCTCAGACACTGGGCCCACAGGGCCTTGAACAATTTGTAAAACACAACAAAAGGAATAAAGATAAAAAACTCTATATACCCTCTGGCAGGGTTTTATGCATTCATACACAACTTCAGTGGCCATTCTGTAGCTCTATGGGAGAAATTGAGCTTCAAGGAGATTCTTTCCTTGTTTTGCTTTTTAGAGAAAGAAGCAGTTGCACTTTTTTAGGTGTAAGTTGAAAAAAAGTGTGTTTTTTAAAAAATCCTACTTTATTTTAGCTCAGATGATCAGTGGAAGAGCGAGGTGAATGAAGATAATGGAATTCGAGGAGATAATGGAGCTCAAGGAGATGATGGGGTAACACCCCGTTGATGGGAATGTGCTACATTTTTCAAGTGAGGATCCTACATTTGGGGATTCACAACATTCCAGTCTTCTTCCCTTACCTGAAAAAGAGTGGCTATAGACTTGCCAAGGTTCATTCAACAGATATTTATTGACACTTAACTTTGCTACTCTATTTCCTAAGAATACAAATTTGAATGTACTTAGTTTTGGTTTCAGGAATCTCCCAATTGCGGTGTGTGAAGAAATAACTCTAAAATAGTTTGATAAATGTATGAAGAAATCTGGGTTGGTATGAAGGGCACAGAAGGAAGTCTATTAGGAAAGAAAACTTAACATAATGACATGCCATTCACATAAGTCCGACGGAAAGATTACTGCCAAAGGACTCACAAGCAGTGGCATTGTTCCCTATGCTTTATTGAGAAAGTGGAGATACACACACACACACACACACACACATGCACACACACATATGTATATAATATTTTAAAGAAATGGACATGTAACCACAAAAGTAGAAAATAATAATGTCAGAAAATGATAATACATTCCTACAGCATTTTATTAAAATCTTTCTCTAAGACAATGCGACACTGTGGTTATTGATATTCCTGTTTCACAAGAAAATAAAGTTTATTGGACATGATCACACATTGCATTAAGAATTTAACATTTGGATTTCTACTTTTCCTACTTCTAGTTAATACTCTTCTTAACAACTTTAACTTCAGCTGGGAAAGATTTTAATGGAATAAAGACAATAGGAAGGCCCAGGCAGAAAGAATGGATATGAGCCAGTACCTATTTAAGGAGAGGTAACTTTGGGTAATTTGATTAAGTGGGAAGCTTAGAAGAAACATTGAGCTGATACTGCCATTCTAGTGATAAGAACATCAGAAATAGTTTCCAATTAAGTAATAAAATATACATAGTACAATGAAACAACAGAATACAAAACAGTAGTATAAATTAAATAATAGGATCACAAAATCTTGAGCATACTGATGTGAAGATCCAGAAGAGTTGGAGAGATTGTCAAAAAGTGAAAAGGTGGGGAAGGTTTTAACTGAGAAGAAATGGGCAAAGAGTTAAGAATACAAAGTTTTTTTTTTTCTCAGAAGTAGCAGAAATGAAAAGGGACAAAGGTAACCAATATGCTGAGATTTTAAGTGGACAAGATAGAAATAAAGACAGTTCATTTTAGATAGTATAAATATCCTCAGCTAGTTTAGAAGTTGTGGCATCCGCTAACAGTATAGGTGACAAGAATGGGGTTTAAGAGTGGGAAGATTACAGAGGGTTTGGAATATTTAATATGAGGAATGGGGACAAAAGGTCATAACTGAAAGAACTGAGAAGGAGGTGAAGATCAAACTTGGATTGGATAGAAAAGATGAAGACAGAAGCGGTGTATTGGATATTTACAATTATACCTGATCAGAAGTAGAGTACATGAGAACAGGAGATAAGTGTCCTCATTTGGGGCATTGTTTCGGATGAAAGTGAAAAATATTGAGTGATGTGATAGTTAAATGGGTGGATAGCTGAGAGAATAAATGTCAGCATTAAGTTGAACTGAATGAAGTACTTGTAATGGGGGAACAAGAAACTGGGAAATTTCTTACAGTAAAGACAATAGAAGTCTAAGAATGGAATTAATGAGTATAGGTTGTAATAATCATGATATTTATTATTATTATTATTATCATTTAGGTATACAAAATAATATAGCCCAAAGAAAATATCAGTAAAACATAGATGGCAAGCTATCTTAGATATAAAGAAAAATGATAGAACCACAGTCATAAAGAAAAGTTTAATGCACTTTTATGCTAATTAAAAGACCAAAGAGACAGAACCTAAATATGGGTATATGGAAGTTCAATTGCAGAAATAATACACTCAGTCTATCAGATATAACTATTTTGTAGTCAACAAATCAAGACCACACATAATTTTGTGCATATGAAAGATTTAAAAGCTCTTGTATCCTTAGTGAAACTGGAAACCTCAATACCTTCTTGAAAGTAGAGAGCAGACAGTCTAAATTCTCTGACAACAATGTTGCACAGATAGACATGAACCAGATAGTAATCACCATGTGACTTAACCAATTCTTTCTTCAAAATAACCCTTGCATTTTAGATCAAGATTTAGAGATGTAGCTAAAGATTTAATCAAAAGAAAATGTGTAACCTTGTAACTTGTATTACTAAGTAAAAAAAGTTGAAAATAAATTATGCTGTCATCAACTAAGCCACTATATATATAATAACAATATTAACCAGGAGAAAATAGAAGAAAATTAACACCATTGATGATTAACAAATATGACAATGAAATTAAAAACATATTTGATTAATAAAGCTTGTTCTCCAAAAACTAACAAATAGATCTTTGATTATGAAATATATAATATGTTAATTTTATATATGTATTATGTGTGATTAGAAATAGGATTTTTCTCTGACCCTCAAATAAAGAAGTCATTTAATTACAAAAGATTACATGTGAATTTACATTTATAAATTTAAAAATTGAGTTGATTTTTAATAAAAATATAAAATATAAATAAAGATAAAATATAAATAAATTGCTTCCAGAAGAGGCAAAATATCTAAATAGATTTAAAAAAATAAAACTACAGACAACTTTCGTTGAATACTTGCCATCTTAATGCCACCAAGAACAGACAATATTAGAATGAGTTCTAATTTTCTAGGATACATTTTAATTCATTCAAATATTTCAGGCCATAGAAAAGATCCCAAAGATTCCAGTTTATGTCAGATTGCTTAAAACTTAAAGCACACACACATACACACATACATACCACAAAAATAAAACCATACGCCATTCTCACTTACGAACTAGGAGGCAAAAACTCTAACAACAAATAGTAACATTGGGTTTGTATATCATGTTGCACATACATTTCACAAGCATTAATATTTTTTAACTAGCCTTCTGATTATAGGTACAATATTTCCTCCTTATCCCTGGGGGATACATCCCAAAACCTCCAATTGATGCCTGAAATCTTGAATAGTACTGAGCCCTGTATATACCACTATATATATCATGTTTTTTCCTGTACACACATACTTGTGATAAAATTTAATTTATAAATTAGGTACAATAAGAGATTAGCAAAAATAATAAAATAGAACAATGATAACAATATACTTTAATAAATTTTGTGAATATAGTCTCTTCTCTCACACACACAAAATGTCTTATTGTAGTATATTCTCCCTTGTGTTCTGTCAATGCAACAACGCAGATGGCTACTAAGTTATTAACACGTGGGTAGTATAGGCAGTGTGGATATGCTGGAAAAAGGGATGATTCACCCTTAGAGTGAGATGACACAAGATTTCATCATGCTACTCAGAGTGGTACACAATTTAAAACTTATGAATTGTTTATTTCTGAAATTTTCCATTTAATATTTTTGGATTGCTGTTGACTGTGGGTGACTGAAACTGGGCAAAATGAAACCATGGATAACCAAGAACTACTATATAGACATTATTATTCTTAATTTCTAGGTAGGAAAGGGAACTGATTTAGACAGAGAGAGTGTGACCTTTTTGATCTCCTTCAGCAGGCAAAATAAGGAGCTAGAATCTCAGTGGTGTGGTTCAGAATCTACTTTAGTCTCCGAAGTACTCAGTCCTGTGGTGGGCATGGGGAGAAGGAAACAGGCTACCTAGTTCAGCTGGATATTTTACTCTTACTGATGGCATCAGACAAAATATTGGCTATCAGACGTCAGCACAGTTGCACTGACATTGGCTAATATGTATTTGACACTAGCTGATCTAAGACAGAACCAGAATCAAGTGATAAAAGATGGGACACTGAGGGACCCATGCCACAATGGAAGGGGAAGAGGCCTGGCTGGTGATCATTATAATACAGCACCATGTGAAGGTCTTGAGCGTTTTCATAAACAGGGATGGATAGTGGAAAGAACTGATGGGTGCAACATGTTAACTCCTTAGCTGAGAGTTTAGCGGAGTTACAAAATAAACATTTGGATCAGGAATTAGGAACTTTTATTCATTCATTCAAAATATTTATAATAAACACTCACTCTACATGTCATGCCTTACTATAAATTTATGAAATGCATGTGTTTCTTACTATTGTGGACATTGAAACTGATGACGAGAAAGTGAGTAATAGACTT